>NC_000015.10:57026874-57651874 GCF_000001405.40 Homo sapiens
CCTCCTATACAATTTAAATCATTTCTAGATTACATATAATACCTAATACCATGTAGATGCTATGTAAATAGTTGTTATACTGTATTTTTAAATTTGTATTATTTTTTATTTTATTTGTATTGGTTTTTATTTTGTTGTATTTTTTTTTCCCAAATGTTTTCGAACTGAGGTTGAATGAATCTGCAGATACAGAAACTGAAGATACCTAGGGCTGACTGTATATACAATAAAACATACACATTTTAATGTATGATAAGATTAGTTTTGAGATCTGTTTTGATAGATGTATATACTCTAATCAAGATAGGGACCATGTCCATCACTCCAGAAAGTACCCCCTTTCAGTTAGTTTTCTTCAACACCTATGTCTTGGAACGGGTCATCAGATTTCTGTCACTGTAAATTACCTTTGGCCTGTTGTAGAAATAACTACATAATAATGAAATTGTACAGGATAAACTCTTGTATCTGGCTTCTTTGACTCAGAATGTTTTCAAGATTTATCCAAGTTGTTGCATGCATCAGAAATTAGTTATCTTAGTGAATAATAGTTTTCCACGTGCCAGTGCTGATTTGGCCATTCGTTCGTTGATGTATATTTGGACCTTTTAGAGTTTTTAAGCTATTATGAATAAATCTGTTGTGAAATTCTCTATAAGGTTTTTTATGGTCATTTTTTTTTCTTGGATACATACTGAGTAGAGGAATTGCCAGGTCACATTGTTAACTGTATGGTTAATACTCTGAGAGAGTGGAAAAGTGCTTTTTTAAAGTGATCGTACCACTTTACAGTCCCACATTGATATGGTTTGGCCGTGTCCCCACCCAAATCTCATCTTGAACTGTAGCTCCCATAATCCCCATGTGTCTCAGGATTCCCCACGTGAATCATGGGAGTGAATTTTCCCTTACTGTTCTCATGATAGTAAATGTCTCATGAGATCTGATGGTTTTATAAAGGGCAGTTCCCCTGCACACGCTCTCTTGCCTGCCGCCATGCAAGACTTTGCCTTTGTCTCTTCTTCACCTTCTGCCATGATTGTGACACCTCCCTAGGCATGTGGAACTGTGAGTCCATTAAACCTATGTTTCTTTTTTTTTTCTTTTGAGATGGAGTCTCACTCTGTTGCCCAGGCTGGAGTGTGGTGGTGTGGTCTTGGCTCACTGCAACCTCTGTCTCCTGGGTTCAAGTTATTCTTCTGCCTCAGCCTCCTGAGTAGCTGGGAACACAGGCACGCATCACCACACCCAGCTAGTTTTTGTATTTTTAGTAAGTAGAGACGGGGTTTCGCCATGTTGGGCAGGCTGGTCTTGAACTCCTGACCTCAGGTGATCTGCCCGCTTTGGCCTCTCAAAGATTATAGGTGTGAGCCACCGCGCCCGACTGAAACCTCTTTTTCTTTATAAATTACCCAGTCTCGGGTATTTCTTCATAGCCTTATGAAAATGTACTAATAAACACATGTAACACATTATTGTTGCAGTTGCTCAACATTCTCTATCACACTTGGTATTGTCAGTCATTTTAAGTTTTGTTATTCATGTGGTAGTATCTCATTATGGTTTTAGTTTGCATTTCCCTGATGTTTGACGATGTTGGACATTTTTTCATGTGCTTATTGTTCATGTATGTATCTTCTTTTGCCCGTTTTTAAATCAAGTTGCCAGCTTTTTGTTAAATTTAAAGGGCACCTCATAATTTTGGATATAAAATCTTTTGTCAGTTATACGTAATATGAATATTTTCTCCTAGCCTTTTCATTGTCTGAATAGTCTTTTGAGGGGCATTAGGATTTTATTTTGATAGGATCATTTACCAAAGCTTTCATTGTCTTGTCTAAAAAACATCTTTGCTTACTGCAAAATTGTGAAGAATTTTTCTTGTTTTCTTCAGAAGTTTTGTGGTTTTAGATTTTATATGTAGTCCTTTTTTTTTTCTTTTTGGAGGCAGTCTCACTGTGTCGCCCAGGCTGAGGTGCAGTAATGCGATCTTGGCTCACTGCACCTTCTCCCTCCCGGTTCAAGCGATTCTCCTGCATCAGCTTCCTGAGTAGCTGGAATTACAGGTGTGCGCCACCATGCCCAGCTAATTTTTTATATTTTTAGTAGAGACGGGGTTTTACCATGTTGGCCAGGCTGGTCTTGAACTCCTGGCCTCAAGTGCTCTCGAACGACCTGGCCTCCCATAGTGCTAGGATACAGGCATGAACCACCCCACCTGTCTTTACATGTATCATAAGCATTTCAAATTAATTTTCGTTTACATTGTGAAAGAGTGGTTCTTCCAGTGTGAAAGAGTGGTTCTTCCACTACATAATTGGTTGTTCCAGCACCACTTGTTTGAGACTATCATGTCTTCATTGAATTTTTTTTTTTGGTGCCTTAGTTGAAAATCATTTGACCACATGTATTTGATTCTATTTCTGTACTCTCTATTCTTGTATTAATCATTATGTCTATTGTAATTTATGCCTACCTGACTTTGTTTTTCTTTTTAAAAATTATGTTGCCTATTCTGAGCCTTCGTACTTCCATATGCACTTTAGAATCAGCTTGCAGTTTCATTTTAGAAAGGCTTGCTAGAATTTTGATTGGAATTACATCGATTATTTGTTTTATTTTTTACTATTCCTCCACCTTATTACTTGGAGAAAAGTATACTTTGTACTACGCTATATGGGTTGTTCAGTTGTGTTGTTTTTAAGTTTTATATTTAAAAATTAACATGGAGTAAAATGGACTTTTTTGGTGTATAAGTCAATAAACTTTGACATGTGTAGCTCTGTGTAACGCATACCACGGTCAAGATATATATAGTTCTGTTACCCTATAAACCATGTTCAAGCTGTTACTTTCCCCTTTTCTCACCTCTTAATCCCTGGCAGCCATTGATCTGTTCTCTGTTACTGTAGTTTTATCTTGTTGGAGACTGCGTATAAATGTAATAATACAATGCAGTATGTAATGTTTTGACACTGGCTTCTTTCACTAAGCATAATTACATGTGAGATTCAACTATGTTGTAGGTATCAGTAGTTTCTTTTCTTTTATTGCTGAGTGGTGTTACGTTATATGGATGTACCATAGTTTGTTTTTTCATGTTAAAGGACATTTGTGTTTTTTATAGTTTTTGGAGATAAGAGTAGAGTCGCTATGAACATTTTTGTGCATGTTTTTGTATGAACATAAGTTTTCATTTCTAGTTTTCATTTCAAATCTCACCTGGGAATAAGATTACTGGGTCATGTGATAATTTGTAGAGTTTGCTTTATTGATTAATTAATTGATTAATCAGTTGATTAATTGAGTCGTGGTCTTGCTCTGTCACTGAGGCAGGAGTTTGCTTTATTGATTGATTAATTGATTAATCAATTGATTAATTGAATCATGGTCTTGCGCTGTCACTGAGGCAGGAGTGCAGTGGCATGATGATAGCTCACTGCAGCCTGAAACTCCTGAGCTCAACTGATTCTCCCACCCCAGCCTCCTGAGTAGCTGGGACCACAGGTGCAAGCCAGCACACCTGGCTAACCTGGCTAACTTTATTTATTTTTTTGTAGAAAATGGGATCTTGCTGTGTTGCCCAGGCTGTTCTCAAATTCCTGCCTCAGCCTCTCAAAATGCTGGGATTATAGGAAAGAGCCACTGTACCTGGCCTTTTTTATTTTTAATAAATATTTGTTTCTTATTTTGAAAGTAATCACGTTCATTAGAAAGATTTTGGATATGTGGACATAATTGAAAAATAGGAAAACTATCGCCCATTGTCTTTCTGCTGAAACTCAAACACTATAGAAATTTCAGTTTGTTTCCGTTTCTTCCTCTTCTCTTCTTTTTCTGTTTTCAATCATTTTGAAAATATAATTTAATTTCCATCTTTATCTTAATTGCATATTCATATATAAGATTCAGTTCTTAGTAACTTGCTGATTAGTATGTGACACATTATCTTCCATGTGTATAACCACAATTCACATTTGTAGAAGTGAGTTACTGTAGTGGGATTTTAGACAGTGTAACTGGCTCATATGAGATAGTTTTGACTGACCAAGCTTTATTTATTCATCAAATCCAACCAATTGCCTATCTCAAGGATTATATAGTTGATGCCAACCACTTGACTTGCCATTCAGACTGAATAAAGCCTACATACTTGTCATTTTTTATTGTGTGAATTATTATTTCTGTAGTAACTTGTCTTCTAAATTAAGAATAATGTTTGTATTCTCAAAAGGAATAGGGTGCAAATATTTCCACATAGTTTTAGAAATCAGATGCTGCTCTCTCTATATTTTTCTGCCTCTTACCTTTATTTTTAAGTGTTGTGGGCTACTCCTGTTTTCAGAATGTTGGCTCCTGTCAAGTGATTGCTAAGGGCTAGATGTGGCCTTGTGGAACTTGGATAAACATTTTCTTCTCTGCATTTGGTTGAAGTGTTTATCAGTGATCTCCCTGTCTTCTTTGTGGCCAGGAGCTTGGCTAAAAGGATTGTTTAGCTTGAGGTTTGGGGGGTCAGATCAATCTTCTGAGGCTTTCTGACCTGGCTTATCGCTGTGGTTGGATATTAGACAGTATCATTAAGCTAATAATCAGACCCTATAACTCAGAATTTAGACATGAAGAAATTCAGCTTCTTTTACTTATTTAAAAGAGGATAATATTCTCCGGTTCTGGGTAATATGGAGTGAACACACAGCACTCTTTCTTTAGAATTGAATTTAATTATAAAATCTGGACAGAATACATGGTCACCAGCTGCAGGCAGATAGAGAAAGAACATCAGATTTCAAAATACCAGCAAACCTCCATGATCCATTTCAGTACAGCCAGAAACCTAGAAGTGAACACTGCAGAAAAACAGCCAGATCCAGAAGCTCTCTAACTCTGGCTTGAGCTGTGAGAAAGGATGAAAAGCTTAGAGAGAGTTGAGGTCATCCCTTGTTATTTTTTCTTTTTCCTTTTCCCCTATTTTCTTACAACTTAGTCCCAGGCAATCACATGGTAATGACATCAGCTGACAGCCGTTGCATGCAGGAACCAAAACTCTGAGGGGGAGGGTACCTTCAGCTCTGTTTGATGGAACTGTAGTTCCAAGAGGCAGAGCCAAAGCCCATTGCATTTTTTACTCTATCCTCTCAATGTTTTTCACCAAACCAAGGCAGTTGTAAAAGTGACCTCTTTCGGGCAGGAGGACAGAAAAAGATATCCTCAGGAAATTGGAAAAGAGAGGAAAGAGCTTGGGAAAGAGACCTCGTGAAGTCGTATACAGACACCTTGGGCTCATGAATCTGATCTTAATTAGCATATTTTAAAAAGACTTTAAAAACAGGTATGAGATAGAACTCCACCAGGTTGTAGACTTACCATTGGATGGCACACCCACAGGAATAATCCAAATAGTGCTGCAAAGGCTTTGAAAACTGAACTGACATTGGAACTGCAATCTACAGAGGGCATATTGGAACTTGCAGACTGACCTTAAACAGGTTGATTGTCTGCTAAAACAAAAATATAAATATACCTTATAGGATTTAAGAATATTCTGAGTTTTTTGTGTCGTTTCGGCTTTTTGAGGCAGGGTCTTAACTCTTTCATACAGGCTGGAGTGCGCTGGCACAATCAGGGCTCGCAGCAGCCTGGACCTCCCATGCTCAAGTGATCCTCCTGCCTCAGCCTCCAGAGTAGCTGGGACTACAGGCATATGGGACTACAGGCATATGCCACCATGCCTGGCTAATTTTAAAATTTTTTGTAGAGAGGAGGTCTCACTATGTTGCCCAGGCTGGTCTTGAAATCCTGGGCTCAAGTGATTCTCCCACCTAGGCCTCCAAGAGTGCCGTGATTACAGGCATGAGCCACTGCCTCTGGCTGATCCTTAGTTTTATAGCACATTATTCAGAATGTCAAGGATATAATCCAAAGTTACTTGATATACAAAAGGCCATAAGTAATTCACACTGGTAAAGGCAATAACAGACACCAGTGACAAGATAATATTAATGTTGGAATTATTTGACAAAGACATTAAACCCTCCATTATGAAAATGCTTGCATAAGCAACTGTGAACATTTCTGCAACAAATGTTACACTAAAGTATCAACAAAGAAGTAAAAGGTAAAGAGGAAACAAAATTTTAGAACTAAAAGAGCAATAACTATAACTTAAAAAGCTGCGGATGGACTCAATAACAGAATGGAGATGAAAGAGGAAAGAGTGAATAAAGATAGGTCAATAGAAATTTTTCAATCTGAACAATAAAGAGAAAAATGAAAAAAACTTTAGAGCTTCAGAGAACTGTGGACTGGTAACATTAGGACTAAAACTTATGTCATTGAATTTCCAGAAGGAAAAATAGTGTGATGCAAAAAATATATATATATTTGAAGAAATAATTGCTGAAAACTATGATTGTGTTAAAAGTCATAGATGTATACATTAAAGTGAAAAAAGTCAATTTTACCACATGAGAATTTAAAAAATAATTTTAAAGAGGAGCTGCTATTATATTCAGACAGTAACATGGAATTTTTATTTTACAGTAGTTAAATCCTGATCTTGTGACTTTGGGAATTATTGATTTCACAGTTAGTAATGGCAAATGTTTTCCCCACATTATTGTCTGAACTGAATCGAAACTTGGTGTGAGTAGTGGTGGCAAGATACTGACTTTTTTTTTAGAGCAATTCTTGGTATGTACAACAGTTTGGCTTATTATGGCTCTTATTTTCTAAGCTGTAGAAATGTTCTACTTGTGAGGTACTGCAGGGACATGAACAGCCCTGAGAAAGAAAGTAGGTTCTTACTTATTTTTCTACGTATAGAATTTTATGATATATTAGTAAAAATTATTAGCTTTCTTGCTTATTTAATTCTAAAGATGTACCATTAACTAAAACCCTTCAATTTCACAGCTCCGTAGACATTTGGTAGGGATTATACAGGTCCAAAAGGAAAGTAAACACCAGAGTAGCTATTACAAGGGAACACAAATAAGAATGGTTTAGAAATGGATATGATGAATTGACATGTAAGGGTCCATGTAAATGCTGTTTGCTCTCTAAAAGAATGTTTACCTAAAGCTATTCATCCTGCAGACTTGTTTAATGGTATCCTGGTGATGAAATTGAGACATAAGTAATATACAGTTCAGTTTAGTTTTGTTAGTGAGCTACTTTAAATCTTTGATCACCACATTGGTTTTTATAGTACCTGTTTGGATTTGGATACAGTTTAACACTTCATTAAGCAAATGGCTTCTCTTTCCTTAGGTGTGCTTGGATAACCTAATTGATGTATATAGGACTGATCACATTTTCAGATTTTACTTGAGTCACTGAGATTATTTTTGTTGTTGTTTTTGGGTTAAATAAACTATTATATTGTGAATGGAAGAATCTTTAGGTTCTTGCTTTTCTTGTTGATGACTTTTTTTTCTTCCTTTTGCCCTATGTTTTTTCACTACGCTTGACCACTTCTGGGTGGGCAAGAAGAGCTTGCCCTTTATTTAGTCGAGTTTGTAGCTGTACTCAATAAAATTTGCCACCTGTGAAAGGGATTGCAGTGTTGGAGAAACAAAGGAAATTAATAATGTTTGATTTTAAGATCATTTATGGTTTCATATGTTCAGCCTTGTGTCTTATGGTTGTGAACAGGTTCATAAATTATGACAATGAATTTAACATTTAATAGAATATATTTTTTAATGATACACACATATATGTAGATGTATAAAGATATGTATGTAGTTTTAAAAGTACTCTCATATCTGTATACTTTTCATTTCATACTCATGATACAGTGAATTTAATAGTGGTATTGTCTCTATTTTACATATGAAGGACCAGTACCTAATTATAATGACTTCCCAAAACCGTATAGTTAATAAGCAGTATAATAGTGATTTAAACCCAGAACTAGGACACTGTCTCCCTGGTCAGTGTTATTTCCATTTCACAATACTGCCTTTAGCAAAACAGTGAGAAATAATCTGTAAGCTTTACTATTTGAACAGGCAGTGTTGTCATTTAAAATTCTGTTTGCTGTGATTCTCCAATTTTTTTAGGAACATATAATTTCCCATTTTCTGGGTGCCATAGGAAATAATATCAACATAAAATATTTTCCTCAACATGTAAGTTTCCAGATCACTGCGCATATATTAGAAACTAATGTTAATAATATTAACATTTTCTTAATACTTTTATGTGTATTTAACATGAATTCTTTTATTCTTACAACCCCCCAATGAGATTGGTACAGTTACCTTAATTACCAGATGAAGAAACAGTCTTGGGAATCAGTAATTTGTACAAAGTTACACACAGTGAATGACTTCGGGGTTTAAACTTCCAAAGTGATTAAATGATATTGTTTCCTGAAAGAGTAATGTTATCTTATTTTATTTTAGAGATAGTGTCTTGCTCTGTCACCCATTCTGGAGTGCAGTGGCACGATCATAGCTCACTGCAGCCTTGAACTCCTGGGCTCAAGCAATTCTTTTGCATCAGCCTCTCAAGAAGCTAGAACTACAGGTATGCACCACCATGCCTGGCTAATTTTTTAAAATTTTTTTGTAGAGACGGGATCTCACTATGTTGTGTAGGCTGATTGCCAACTCCAGGCCTCAAGTGATCCTCCCACCTCGGCCTCCCAAAGTATTGGGATTGTAGGTGTGAGCCACTAGTGCCCAGCCTCTGAAACAATAATTTTATTCAAATAAGAGCATGAAAAGTGTTTGTAGTCTTGTCACAAGGTGCTTTTAATGGACTTTGAAGGGTGGTTTAGGCAAGTTAAAATTTTTTCTTTGTTTATATTTTTGGGGAAAAAAACACCAAAAGCCTGGCCTGTCAGGATTAGAAGACTCTTAACTGAGGTCTTATGGAATTAGAAAAGTGGATCAGGATCAGATTGTGAGAAGCCTTGACTCAGGGGTCCCCAAACCCCTGGGCACAGACTGGGAAACCCCGTTGCACCGCAGGAGGTGAGTGGCAAGCAAACAAACATTATCTCCTGAGCTCCACCTCCCAGATCAGCAGCGGCATTAGATTCTCATAGGAACCAAACCCTATTGTGAACTGTACGTGTGGGGGGATCTAGATTGCTCACTCCTTATGAAAATCTAACTAATGCCTGATGATCCGAAGTGGAACAGTTTTATCCCAAAACCATCCCACCCCCCACCCCCAGCTCCTGGTGCCAGAAGGGTTGGAGACTGCTGCCTTGACTGACACATTGAATAGTTTTGGGCTTTGAGAGGTTCTTGAAAGATTTTGAACGGTGGCTGTTCAAAGCATTTTGGTTTTCCCTAAATGTGGTGTGGAATTAGTTGAACAGCACACCAGTGAAGACGGTAATGAAGGCATCTTGATATAGATAAAGGTTTTTTGTTTTTTTTTCACTGAAGAAGTCATAGGAATGGAATAAAAGAGTTGGAGAAGAGATATTTTAAAGGGGAGGTTGACTGCGTTTGTAATCTGGCATTTCTCTTTGGTAGGTACCTAGAAGTAAAATTGCCAGGTCATGTAATAACTCTAAGATTTTGAGAAACTGCCAGACTGTTTTCCAGAGTAGCTGCACCATTTTACATTCCCAGCAGTAGCATATGAGGGTTCTAATTTTCCAAATCCTTGGCAGCACTTGTTTTTATCTCTTTAATTATAGCCTGCCTAGTAGTTGTGAAATGGTATCTCATTGTGGTTTTGATTTGCATTTCCTTAGTGGCTGCTAATGGTGTTGAACGTCTATTTTATGTGCTTATTGGCTGTTTGCTTATTTTCTTTGGAGAACTATTTTGTTTATTTGCCCATTTTTTAATTGAAAATTTAAAAAAATTACTGAGTTATATTTCTTTATAAAATATTCTAAATACAAATTCCTTATGTAATTCTGTAGATTCTTTTAGGTTTCTTTTCATTTTCATGATGTCCTGTTTTCCCTTTTTAAAAAAATTATTGCTTGTGTTTTTGGTATCATCTCTCAGAAGGACTTTTAAGGGAAGCAGAGAAAAGAGAGAAGCAAATCCTATATTGTTTTCCTCTGTGTAGAAGTTTTTGAACATTTCCTTATAGTAAGTCAAAGGATTGGGACAGCTGCACATAACTAGCATGTTGGGATGATGTGGTTATTTCAATTAAGTGAAGAAGTCAGTTGTTTTTAACTGGACAAGCAGGTAAGTGATTTAAAGTGTAATCATTTTCTTATGTTGATTGTTGTGAGGTGATAAAATCTGGTAAGAAAATTAAGGTGGTTTGAAAAATGACATCCTGTGCAGATTTAAAAAGTAGTATAAGGGGCTCGAGCACGGTGGCTCATACCTGTAATCCCAGCACTTTGGGAGGCCAAGGCGAGCGGATCACCTGAGGTCAGGAGTTCGAGATTAGCCTGGACAACATGGTGAAACCCCATCTTTACTAAAAATTAGCTGGGTGTGGTTCCTCACGCCTGTAATCCCAGCAACTTGGGAGGCTGAGGCAGGAGAATCGCTTGAACCCAGGAGGCAGAGGTTACAGTGAGCCGAGATCGTGCCATTGCCTTCCAGCCTGGGTGACAAGAGCTCAAAAAAACAAACAAACAAACAAACAAACAAGGTAGTATAAGCTACCTAACTGTAGGATGAAGTAAGTGCACAGTAGAAGATCAAGAGCTCTAGTGAGAATAGAGGATAAGGAGATAAAGAAGCCATTCTGGGTTGTCCTCTTGTATTGTCTTGGGTCTTGGTAGCAATTTTGACTGCTTTGGAAAATTGTTCGGTTTCTTATGAGCATATGTTCCGTTTCTTTGATTCTCTGATGCTGTAACAAGTACCCTTGCTTTTTAATGGACAAATTAACTGAAGGGTAGTATCAATTTTAGTACTGATTTCCGTTTCCTTTTTCATTCTTATGAATATGTAGTTGATCTTTCTCACACACATGTACTTACACATGTGGTTTAATTAGATGTGGCAAAAAACCAGTGTTCCTTTTTCAGGAAGGACTTTATTTCTATTGCTAGTGCTAAAACACATACGTTTATTGAACCAAATCATAGGATATTATCACGTTCAGCACTGTAAAGTGAAATAAGCTATCTTAAAAACAGCTTGATGGATTTCTAGGGGTAAGGAGTTTTAATTACAAAATGAAATAGGTTTTAAACTAATATTCATAAGAGTTCAAGGAAAAACAAAATTAAGTGGAAAAATTCCTGTTCTAATTTTATTAGAAAGGAATTAATAGCTATTTATTCACAACATCTGATTAGGAAGCTGGGATAGGGCAAGCTCTCAATAATAGAAAAGTGTGGGGCAGGCGTGGCGGCTCATGCCTAGCACATTGGGAGGCTGAGGTAGGAGGATTACTTGAGGCCAGGAGTTTGAGACCAACCTGGGCAACATAGTGAGATCCCATCTCTGTTAAAAAAAAAATTGCTGGACATGAGGGTGCCTGCCTGTGGTCCAAGCTACTCAGGGGGCTGAGACAGGGGGATTGCTTGAGCCCAGGAGTTGGAGGTTGCAGTGAGCCATGACCATACCACTTGCACTCCAGCTGGGTGACAGAGAGCCCATCTCAAAAAGAAAGAAGGTGGGGGTGGTGGAGAGAAGGAAGAGAGGGAGGGAGGGAGGGAGGGAAAGAAAAGAAAAAAATATCTGGGTACTATTTCGTGATATCACAGATTGAGTCTTTGGCTTCAGAGTTCTAGAGGTGATTCACCAGCCTGAAAATACGCTTTTCATACCTTCGCATTCTTGCCAAAGCATGTCCTTCATTTAATTAGGAGAGGATAATAAAATGTAACTTGTAAGGTGAAAAAAAAAGAAGCGACAAGCCATAGAGTTTATCTAAAAATTTTTTGTCCTAAGCATTTTTGTTATATTTAGTAGGAAACTGCTACTTTGGGAACAGGAGAAGGGAATATTGGGGAGATCTGCATTTTTCTTTAGCTAGTCCTTGTTCCAAGTATATTGTAGACATAGAGGTAAACATTAGCGTTGTATTGAAGTGCAGTGGTTCTTTGGGTATATGCAAATATATGTACATTATTTGTACTGTAGTTAGCTGAGGGGACACGGGATAGATAGATGACTAGGCCTTTGATGTTTTTTTCCTTGTGTGAATGAGGAAAAATGAAAAGGTACTCCAAATGCTGTGATTTTTGTGGTATGTGCCTAGCTCTTAATTGTCAAATGATACTTTCCCCTTAACTGTATAGGCCAGACTGCTTGGTGTATCTCCATTCCGTACCATTAATTCACAAAAACTTAGAAAGTATTCTTCCACTTGTTACCTTTTTGATTTGATTAATTTGTTTAAAGGTACATTGAAGGCTGTCTTCTGTTGTATAAGGGTTGAGTGAACACATCCATGTTCACTTTTCTGTGTAATTGATGCCGTAATTGAGAGGTCATTACCTGATGTCTAAATAAATAGACATGGGTTGTTTTTTCTTACATATCTGTTCATATTGAAACTCATCTCCTGCTTTACCCTATTTCTGAGGCTCCGTGAAATATTTCAACCTCAGTCTTCGCATTTTGTTAGCCAGTTACTTCATTGTCATTTGTATACCCAGGTATTTAACTTGGTTTCCCATTCAGGCTATTTATATTTTCTGACCATTTGTGGAATTCAATTCATACCTCTCCATCTACTTCAGCAAATGTTTTCTGGTCACTGGTTTTGTTTCTCTGTCAGACCCTTCCTTACCCATGACCAAAAAAAATCCTTAATTTTATCATAGCTTCAGCTTTTGTTTTTATTGTTGCTTTGAGTAGTCCATGTGGTAGAATTTTTTACCCTCAGCCCCCAAAATAAACTTTGTTTCCTGTCTCTCTGTGGGTTATGCTTACTTATTAAGTCCGTAGACCTTCTTGTTGCAGACTGGCTTTTCAGGAATCATGAGACCCATTTATTTGTACAGTTTTGGGTTTCTTCTGGACCTCCTAAAGGACAAGAAGAGTTACTAGTAATATTCCTGCCCTCTGACACAGTAACTACCACTTAGGTGCCACAGCTCTTTGAGATTGTCAGAAGTCATGATTGCCTGTCATCCAGACCTAGTAATTTCTTTATATTAATATAACTGTATTACTCTTTGATCTAATATTCTAACTTCTGCTTCAAAAATTATTTCAGGCCTCTCTTGATTAGCTTTTCCAGACTTCATGAGTCTCTCTTTTATCTCACTTTCTTTCCTGAATAAGAACTTTTATTATTGGCTTTTTGAGTAACTTGTAAATAATATTCAAACTCCTCTTCAGGATTTTTATTTCTTTCTTTTGAAAAAGTATCTTCTGTCTGTGAAAACATGATTATATGGATTCTTTTTTATCTCCCCATTGTAGAGTACATTCTTAATGCAACAAAAGAGCAAAGATTCTGAACCATTAATTTATCGTTCAATCTAGATTCCTGATTTTGTTTATAACGTGGGCTGTATATTTGTGGAGCCTATCTTGACATCATGATGGCTTTTTATCCTTTAATTATATTTGGTAAAAAGTAAATTGATCTTATTCCATTTGTCTTCACCAGTGGATTCAGTATCGGAAGAAAGCTCTTTGGCAAGTGCATAACCTGACTGAAATGTCAGGGAACAGATGGAAAGGAGTTCCGTAAGAATTGGCTGAATAGTAGGAGTTTGACTTTCTGAAAAGTTTACTGCCTTTCCTTTCCTCCAGAAGTGATGGGAGGAAGAGCTCAACCTTCAAACGAAGAGACAGCTGTTTTTAGGCTGGTATTCAGTAGGAGAAGATAAAAGCAGTTTCAAATAGGTCTTTACCCTATGGTTTATTTATTTTTGAAGAGACATGAGCTCTCAGAATATCGAGAATATCTCATGATCAGATGTAAACACAAAAAACAGTTTCGAGCCAATATAAATAGTTCTTTTGAATTTTCCTAATTATACTACTGCCTTGATTAGGGTGAAAAATTGCATTTAGGGTAATTAACTTACTCATAATATGGATGTGAAGGCAACTGACTTTATTTGTGATTATATAGTTGGGTGTTGTGAATGTTATTATAGTCAAAATTTCTGCTTAAGTGCATATAGGCTATTTTTGTACATTTTAACATTTCCTCATAGTGTTCTGAAGACCACACTGAAAAAAATCCCTTTTAAATTACTGATTTTCATTACCTGATTAACTTATGTGAATCTATGATGAGGCTCTCAGGTATTAACTTTAACAAATTAAGCTATCATGTTTATAATCACATGAAGAATTTGAGGCAGGATGTCCTACCTGACATCAGGTACTTCTTCTACATTTGATAAAACGAAAAATGCATTGGAAGACAGATGCAGTACTTTGGAAGACAGACAGAAAAGTACAATAAAGATTAAAAGAAAGATGGGCAATTTGGCAGTCAAACAAATTTAGCTCTGAGTGCTGGGGTCTCTTTTCTAATTACTCAGCTTTTAGTACGTTAAAATTGGATGTTAATCTCATGATGAATCTTTTCTTTATACTATTGAACCAAATAGTTCTTTCTCTTATTTATTTTTTATGTTGTCTTCAGGTGGATAAATTAGGTGTTATGTCTATGTTTTTCCCTTTGTATTCACATAAGTATAATTTGCAAAAAAGCCTTTGCCACAGTGGGAATTCATTGTGGTGATGAAAGCTAAAGTGTTCTTTCATGCTAATTTTATAATGTGTATATACTGCAGAAGTTAGACAAAGAAACTAAGTTAAACAAAGATCTAGAGCCACTGCCAAACCTGAAAACAACAATGGCACAAAGAAGAGAACAGAATGCAGGGTCCAAAGCCAACAAAATCCAAATGTAAATTTGCTAGTTTGCAGGCATCTCATGTAAATGGGCTTATTTTGGCAACTCTTGGAGTTAAAAATACAAAAGACATCACTTATACAAAAGCAAAAATAATTGAGATTTAAAAAAAAATAGGAAAATGGTCTTTGGAAATTTATAGTAGCCACTTAGTTTGTATGAAGAATGCTGCCTTTCACTTTTGTTAAAATCCATTTGTTTACTTGATCGCATTACTAGTGTACTGTGGCTCTTCATATTTATGAAAGTCATTTTGGATGACAGAAGAAGACATGATCATTACATCAAAAGTTTACTGAACACGTTTTTTCCCTAAGCCTTGGATTGGGACCTGTAATTACAATCCTTTCTTGGTATGTTGGCAACATATTTTATATTAATATAATTGCCATTTTCTAGCCATTGCCTGCATGCCCATTTACTCAATTTAACTACAAAAGTACCTTTTACCTTATTTTATTTTTCAATTTTTATTGTTTTTTTTGAGATGGAGTTTTGCCTTGTTGCCCAGGCTGGAGTGCAGTGGCACGATCTCAGCTCACTGCAACCTCTGCCTCATATGGGAGGGCATAAAGTGAATCCTTAGCAAGTGTGGGTCTGGCTCATTTGTGGTTCATCAGATGGACGTGGACGAAGGGAAACAAAAGTAGTAATGTTTCTTTGAAGATAAAGGATCGAAAACAGAGTGTTCTTATGGAAATAAAAAGATAATGGCTAAAGAAATGGGCATCACTTTTTGGTATATGCAAAAAAACGTGATTTTCCTGCTCTAATATATATAGACAAAGTCTTAACTCTGTTGCCCAGGCTGAAATGTGTGCCACAGTCATTGCTCACTGTGACCTCAAATTCCGGGGCTGAATTGATCATCCTGCCTCTGCCTCCCGAGGAGCCAGTACTACAGGCACGCACCACCATTCCTGGCTAATTTTTAATTTTTTTGTGGAGACGGGATCGCACTGTGTTGCCCAAGCTGGTCTCGAAGTCTTGGCTTCAAGTGACCCTCCTGCCTCTGTCTCCCAAAGTGCTGGGATTACAAATGTGAGCCACTGTGCCCAGCCTTACATATAAATATTTTTTCTTATGAATTTTTAGGTCTACTTTTTTGTTTTTTATTGTGGTTAAAAAAATGAGATCTGTCTTCTTAACAAATTCTTAAGTATTTAGTATGGTATTGTTAACTATGTGCACATTGTTTTACAGCAGATCTTTAGTACTTTTTCATCTTGCATGACTGAAACTCTGTCCCTATTGAATAACAGTTCCCCACTCTACAGTAATCACCATTCTACCTTCTGCTTCTGAGTTTCGCTACTTTAGATACTTCATATAAGTGGAATTATGCAGTATTTGTCCTTTTGTGACTGGCTTACTTTATTAACATGTCATCCTGCAGGTTCATTCATGTTATCACAAGTGATAGAATTTTTTCTTTCTTTTAAGGCTAAATAATATTTTATTGCACGTGTGTACCACATTTTCTTTATTTTTTTCATCTAAAGACCCACTAAAACTACATGGATTAACTACATTAATCCATCGGTAGACATTTAGGTTATTTCTACATTTTGGCTATTCATATTTCAATAAACATGGGAATACAGATACCTTTTTGAGATCCTGATTTTAACTCTTTTGGATAAGTATCCAGAAGTGGGATTGCTGGATCATTATGGTAGTTCTATTTTTAATTTTTTAAGGACCTGCCATACTATTTTCCATGGCAACCGTATCATTTTATATTCCCTCTAACAGTGCTTCCAGTCTCTCCACGTCCTCACTATCACTTATGTTCTTATGTTGTGTGTGTGTGTTTTTTAATAATAGTCATCCTAATGGGTGTGAGGATATGTATCAGTCTCACTGTGGTTTTGATTTGCATTTCCCTGATGATCAGATATGTTGAGCACATTTTTATGTACCTATAAAAATATACAAAGAAGACACCTGTATGTCTTCTTCGGAGAAATTGGGTATTCTTAATTGATTTAAAACAATATTTAAGTCAGTAGAATTTTAGCAAAGTAAAAGATACTGAATTTCTGGAAGTCTTTGTGATTGTGTTTGAATTCTATGAAGTGTTAGGCTAGTAGTTTTGTATTTGTCCATTGATTGTTTTTGGTTTAAGTTATTTCTTCAAGAAAACTCATTTTTAACTTATAAACTTCAGAAATTTTGGAAGATAGTGAAAGGAAGAAAAAATTCAACTTTGCAAATGAAATTATTATTAGTTTTCTAGTTCCCTTCAGTTTTCCCCGTCATGCATTGTTTTTAAAGTTACCATATTAAACTTTTTTTTTTATCTTGCTTTTTTACCGAAAACTATGATGGAAAGAAAGTTTTAATTAAAAAAAGCTTAACAGATAAAAGAGAAAAAGTAGTACAGTTTTTACATTCAGATTGGACACTTTCAAATTGGAAACAAGAAGAAACAGTTTTTGAATTAAATGGGAAAGTGAAATAAACAAGGATAAATAGGAGCTAATACTGTATTACTGAATTTATATACTCTTAGAAACATGGACAGAGTCAGAACACATAGTAAATTTATATGATAATGAGCCACATGACTCTAATATAAGCTCTGCTATTTGAGTTTTAAATGTTTCACTGTTTAAGAATTTACCAGCCGGGCACAGTGGGTCACACCTGTAATCCCAGCACTTTGGGAGGCCGAGACAGGCGGATCACTTGAGGTCAGGAGTTTGAGATAAGACTGGCCAACATGATGAAACCCCGTCTCTTAAAAAAAAAATTTACCTGTGGATTCTTTAAGTGAAGTTACTTATATTGTCATTTAATTACTAGTTTTTAAAATGAACTTTTTGTTTGTTAGAGAAATTTACAGGGCATATATTCTACCTGTTGAATGAATCATCATGCTCAGAGAGAGTTCCAGATTTGTGACTGATTTGCCTTACCATTTTTTTTCTTTTCTAACTATTGTAATTTTTTTTTCAGCCTTGCTTTTACCCGTTTTTCTGGTCAAAATTTTATGGATCTTTTCTTTGAAGTAGAGCTTTTCATGCTGACTTTAGTCATGTGATTTTTCAGGTAATTTTTTTTTTATAAGACTGTGTTTAGGATGACATATTCTGCTTAGTAAGAATTCATTATTTTCAAATGTTCACGGATTTGTTATGTTTTCCATACAAATACATGTTTTGAGGTTAGTGGACATAAAGTGGAATGGGACATTTTGGGAGAAAACCTCTGTTTTATTGAGTTTAACTTGCTTGATCGTTTGTGGTACTGATGAACCTACCATACAAAAAGCAGTGAAGATAAACTTGGGGGTGTAAATGACAAAGCATCCAGAATCATAGTAGATTTTCACTAAATGCTTATTGAGTAGAAATTATTCAGTAGTGGAAAGCAGATATAATTGATCATTGTAGAAAACAGTAACATTTTCTGTCACGTGTTAATCTTTTAAAACAACTCAGTGAAACAGTGCAGGGAGACCGTTTTGTGATGGTGATTATAGACACTTAGAAATGACTCCATGTGAGATGTGTTCCAGACACATTACATGCTGTCCCATTTAAGTAGGCAGAACCTATGTTTCCTTTTCACAAAAGGAACTGGGGCAAAAAAGTGTGTGGCATTCAAGACAAACGATTTGAACTGTGTCTGGATTAATACGTCAAATTCTTTTTTTCCCCATAAGATGAATACTGTTTCTTTTTTATTGTCTAGGTTTTTATTCTCATGAAAGTAGGAAAAGAGTTGATTTGTGATAAACATGAGTATCTTTGTGCAGCCTGACTGACTTTAAAGAGCAGTGGGATCAGGATTGTGTCAGTATTACACTCTGTGGTAATATCTTCTGTATCACTTGCTATAATAAGTCATTCATGTTGAGGATTTTTTTTTATTTGTTTGCGTTATTGTTTTAGTTTTTGTGTTTTGAGATAGGATCTCCCTCTGTAACCCAGGCTGCAGTACAATGGCATAATCATGGCTCACTGCAGCTTCTACCTCCTGGGCTCAAGCGATCCTCCCACCTCAACCTCCCAAGTATGTAGGACTACAGGCACATACCATCATGCCTGGATAATTTTTGTATTTTTTGTAGAGATGGGGTTTCACTGTGTTTCCCAGGCTGTTCTCAAACTGCTGGACCCAAGCGATGTGCCCTCCTTGCCCTCCCAAAGTGCTGGGATTACAGACCTGAGCCACTGTGCCTAGCCATGTGGAGAAGTTTTAGTACAGAGGCTATTAGCTCCGGCAGGCTGTCAGTACTCCAGTCAGAGAGAAACTGATACTTTAAGAGGCAATACCACAAATGGGAAATCCAACTTAGACCCAGCAACTTCATAAGCAGCAGATGACTGCCTTCCACGATTTTCTTCACTGAAAAATTGCCAAATGAGTTCTCTAACAATAGGAATGAAAAACCTTTCCTTACAGTTTCAGATCGTTTACATTTGTTGAGAATTTAACTGTGTGACAGAGACTGTACTTAAACGCCTTACCAACATCATCTCATTTAATTCTCAGCCTCACTCTTGAGTTATGTACTATTATCAACCCACATTTAACAGAGGAAGAAGCAGACTTAGATAGGGTCATCACATAGCTAGCAAATATCAAAACTTGGCATCATACCTGGATCTAGCTAATTCTAAAGCATGTTTTCTTGAGTTTGTCACCTTACATAGTTACTACAGAGTTCACTATATTCTACTTTCTTTGTTGACTTGAAGAGAAACTCAGACACTAGTTTGAGAAATTGGGTATGGAAGGACATCAGTTAGATTCATTTTTTTCTGACATTGTTTTTGTTTGTTTGTTTGTTTGTTTTTGAGATGGAGTCTCACTCTGTTGCCCAGGCTGGAGTGCAGTGGTATGATCTCCGCTCACTGCAACCTCTGCCTCCCAGGTTCAAGCTGTTCTCCTGCCTCAGCTTCCTGAGTAGCTGGGACTACAGGCCAGTGCCATCACACCCACTTAATTTTTGTATGTTTTTTGATTTTTTTTTAGCAGAGATGGGTTTCACCATGTTGGCCAGGCTGTTCTCGAACTCCTGACCTCAAGTGATCCACCTGCCTTGGCCTCCCCAAGTGCTGGGATTACAGGCGTGAGCCACCATACCTGGCTGATATTCTAAAACTATTGGAATACATATATTAAATGTTCTTAATCTCTCAAGTTTCCTTCACACTATCGATAAATATCTTCCTCTGACTAAAGGCACACCAAGGGAGAAACAGTATTTCCCCTTCTTCCCTCCTGAGGCAGCTCTGAACAATACATAAACTCATATTTTACCCATCTTTTCCCCAATCTTGTTGATGATGTAATTGAGGAAATTAAGAAGCCCTGTCTGGTTCCTTGCTCATAGGCAGAGATGAATCTAAACTACGCCTTTCGTCTTTACAAGTTCTTTAGTTTGAAAGTTTTAAAGGGAGGAACATGGCTAATTCAGCTAAAGGACACAGAGCAAACTCAGAATAAATTCATACTTAAGGAAATACTGTCACCTATAAGTATTTTGCCAGCGTTTTGCTGTTGACATTGCTTTTTCTAACGGGTTTTACATACTTGATAGGTATTCTATATAATACTTAGAATATTTAAAATGGTGCTTAGTAGTACAAACAAGTTACTTTATCATAGATGTTTGTAGAATAAATGGAGAGATTTTAGCCCTTCACTTGTAATTCAAGGTTAGCAAAGGGAAGTGTGTTCTATAAATAGTTCTGTTAAGTTACTGTCTTCTATTGCTATCTTGATTACCAGCTTACTTTGAGAAAGATTGAACAAGATAAGTGATTTTTGTATACCTAAAACTATTCAACAATAATAATTTGAGTGGTTTAATAAGGATTCTTAATATAAGAAATTGTAATGGGGGTAGATGAGCAAAAATTGGTTGACTTATGGAGATCTCTGCCTTGAGCAGCAATTGATTATCTTGCAATATTACAAAAATGCCAGAAAATAATTCTTGATTTTTCACCCTTCTTCTCTATTTGGATTGTGAGAGAAAATATTTTTGAAAATTTTATAAAGAAAATATTAGCCTCAACTGAAAAAACCTTTTTTCCTCTTGAATATCAGTATAAATATACAATATCTCAAAACATACCCCCATTGTTGTGTGTCACTTAATAACGGCCATATGTTTTGAGAAATGCCTTGTTAGGCGATTTCATTCTATTGCTAACATCATAAAGAGTACAGTGCCTACACAAACTTAGATGGTATAGCTTACTACACACCTAAGGTTGTATGGCATAGCCTTTTGTTCTTAGACTACAAACCAGTACCCTATGACTGTACTGAATACAGTGGGCAGTTGTAACACAGTGATGAGTATTTGTGTATCTAAACATAGAAAAGGTACAATAAAAATACAGTATTATAATCTTCTGGGACCACTGTCATATATGCCTTCCATAGTTGTTATGTGGTGCATGACTTTATTTACATATGAATTTTCTACCTTTCATCTGCATTAAATTTCTAAAAATAACATTGCATTTACCTTCTCAATCTATAAATTTAATTAATTTCCTGGATGTAATTGGATGGGCTTACCAATCATAAGCCAGCACTCATATTCCTCCCCTGAAGTTTTTTTGTTTGTTTGTTTGTTTTGTTTTGTTTTGTTTTGTTTTTGAGACAGAGTCTCGCTGTGTCGCCCAGGCTGTAGTGCAGTGGCGCGATCTCGGCTCACTGTAAGCTCCGCCTCCCAGGTTCACGCCATTCTCCTGCCTCAGCCTCACAAGTAGCTGGGACTACAGGCACCCGCCACCACGCCCGGCTAATTTTTTGTATTTTTAGTAGGGGCGGGGTTTCACCATGTTTCCCAGGATGGTCTCCATCTCCTGACCTCATGATCTGCCCTCCTCGGCCTCCCAAAGTGCTGGGATTACAGGTGTGAGCCGCTGCACCCAGCCTCCTCCACTGAAGTTTTAATTGTGGTGGAGGACTAAGTCTTACTTTGTATCTTGCAAAAGACATGGCACTCTCTATCATTTAGGTAGATTTTTTTTCAACCTATCATTTTGGTTTGTATCGAGTTACAATTTTAATGAACATAATTTGCTGCTGTTTGTTTGATTTCTGTATGTACCCATTATCCTCTGGAAACCCACAAGAATGTGAGTAAAACATGAATATTGGGAAAAATTTATATATGGTGAAATAAGTGTATCTTAAATGTATAACTCAGTAAGCTTGATAAATGCATACACCCATCATCAATATCAAGATGTTTATATCATCAAGATATAAAACGTTTCCCTTATAACATGTAGAAGATACAATGGAGGGCTTCCAGCATTGAACACTTACTTCTCCAGCTGCTGGAAGTGTTGGTGAATGACTCACCAAAGTTGCTTTTCAAGAGTTACCCTCTGCTAAAGAGAGCCATGTTGACCGTGGTCACGTCCACTTTCTGGGGGCTGCCTATATCCACTTTCTGGGGGCCGTGGGATGGAGGGAGAGGTATAAAGGTCTTGGCCCACTTGCAGCAATTTGGGACAGTTCTCAAATGTCATCCCAGCTCCAGAACTTCCCATGTGATCAGTTGAGGCATTTGTTGCTATGTAGTTCAATTCATCTTCTCCCTCTACCCCTTTGTGCTTCCTTCAACTCATAGGTTGAGCATGAGAGAGCATTTTTCAGTGGATTTATTTTATAGATACTTCCGTCTGCTTCCCAGGAACTACCCAGCAGCACTCCAGAAAGATGTCTCATGTCTGCTTCCAGTCAACCCTTACCTACTCCAAACAACCATTGTTTTGATTTCTGTCACCATAGATTAGTTTCGTTACTTCTGGAATTTGCACATTGATGGAATGAAATAGTATGTCCTCTTTTGTGTCTGGCTGCTTTTGCTCACAAGATTTATCCACGTTGTTGTGTGTATTAGCAGTTTGTTCTTTCTGTTGCTGAATAGTAGTATTTCATTGTATCAATAAACCATCATACATTTATCCCCTTGGGTATCTATAGACATTAGGGCTGTTTCAAGTTTTTGGCTATTACAAATAAAGCTGCTATAAACAGTTTTGTGTAATTCTGTTTGTAGATACATATTTTCATTTACCGTGAACTGGAATTTCTAGGTCAGAGTTGAGAAGTATTTTAATATTCTGAAAAATTGCTTGTTTCCCAGACTGATTTTACTGCGACAGTTGTAGTTGCTCTGCATTCTCTCTAATTCTTGTTCTAATTGATATATTTAGTTTTGTAACATTACTATTTGTTTTCTTTTGCGCCATTAATTATTTTGTGCCTTTGTTTTGCCCTTTCTGACTTATTAATCAAATATTTTTTGTATTCAGTTTTAATTCCTCAACGTGGCTTTTTAGCTGGACCTCCTTCAGTTATTTTTAGGGGTTCCTCTAGGAATTACAGTATACAGTCTTATCACAGTTTACTCGGAGCTTATAGTTTACTATGTCAATGTAAAATTAAGGATCTTGAAAAGTATTATTCTGTATACCTCTTCCTATTCTTTGTCATACAAATGTTGCAAGGTTTTCAAAACAACTGTAGTTTCTGCTTTGAACAATCACGTGCATTTTAAAGAAAATAGAGGATAAATCATCTTTATTCGTACTCACATATTTGCCATCTGTATGCTTTCTTTTTTTTTATAGTTGTGAATTTTATCTGGTATTATTTTCCTTCAGCCTAAAAACTCTATTTAGTATTTCTTGTAGTTTGGGTTTCTAGTCAGTGATTCTGAGGTGACATGAGCATCCTTCATGCTTAAAGGATGTCATTCCTTTATTGTTTCTGATAAGTCTTCGTATCATTTTGCTCTTATGTAATTTATCTTTTTTCTCTCTGGTGAATTGAAGATTTCTTTCTTTGCGTTTGCACTTTAACATTTTTACTATTGGTGCATTGATGAGGTTTGCTTTGTAGTTCTCTCCTACTTAGAGACTGCCGAGTTCATTGGATCTACAGTTTTTTCACTGATTTGGGGAAATTTTTGCCAGTTTTTTTCTCTTAAATACTTTTGGTACTCTCATTACATGCATTTAGACCATTTAATGCTATCTAACAGGTAGCTGAAACTATTAATTTTTTCATTATTTTTTGTGCTTTAATATTGAATAATTTTATATTGATGTGTGTTCAGTTTTACTTACCATTTCTTCTGCTGCTCCAGTCCATTGTTAAGCTTATCCAGTGAAATTTTCATTTCAGATATTGTGCTTGTCAGTGCTAGAATTTTCTTTTTTTAAATGGTTTTCTGTCTTAAGAGCCTCCATTTGTTCATTCATTTTGACTGTCTTTTTCTTAAAGTGTTTGAATATTTATAATAGCTGCTTTAAAATCCTTTTCTTATTCCACCATCTTTGTCATCCTCGGATATGTTGACTAATGGTCACATTTTTATTTCACCACACATGTAGTAATTTTTAATTTCATATTGGAAAATGTAGGTGATATGTTGTAGAAGTTTTGGCTTTTGTTAATTTTTGCAGAGTTTTGTTTTTGCTCTGGTAGGTAGTTAAATTATTGGTTGATTATCTTGAGGCATGGTTTTATGCTTTGTTAAGGCAGGTCTGTAGAAAGCCCAAATTATTTACCAAGCCTTTCTAGTTAGTCTCTGCTGTGGTGCCCAGCATCTGAAATCTGTGATCAGTTATTTTAGCGTTCCACCTGTTGCTTTTAGTTGGGATTCTTGTATTCTTCCTCACGTTTATGTTGAGAGGTCATAAAGATTGGAGGGGAAATTAAATGTAAATTTTTGAACCTTCCTCAGCTGTGGCTTTCTGCTCCCTTGTGTTTCCCATCCGTAATTTCCAGTCACATTGGCATTCTCAAATTCTGTTTTCTGGATGCTGCCTTTTCTGCCTCCTCTCCTTCTTTTTTTTTTAAGTAGAGATGAGTTCTTGCTATGTTGCCCAGGCTGTCTCGAATTCCTAGACTTGAAGTGATCCTCCTGCCTCTGCTTCCCAAAGTGCTGGGATTACAGGCATGAGGCACCACGCCCAGCCTATTTTCTGACTTCTTAAGCAGAGAAGACACTGGCTTTCTGCTTGTCCAGCCACCACATTGCCATGTTGACTGGGGAGTGCCTTCATTTAACCATATAGATTTGGATCTTACCCAGAGAGTCTGGTTTTGTTCTTTGCTTTCTAGTTTCAGGTCTTATGTTTAAGTCTTTAATCCATTTTCAGTTGAATTTTTCATATGATGTGAGATCAGCATCCAATTTCATTCTTTTGCATGTGGACGTCCAGTTTTCCCATTGCCATTTTTAGAGACTATCCTTTCCCTATTATGTATTCCTTGTCAAAGAGCAGTTGACCATACACACATGGATTTCTGGGTTCTCTATTCTGTTCCATTGGTCTATGTGTCTGTTTTTAATGGCATGACTTTATGTCTGGACCATACTGTTTTAATTACTAGAGCTTTGTAATAATATTTTGAAATCAGAAAGGTTTAGACGTTAATTATGAGAGTTCAGAATTTAGAAATCTACATGACATTAATTTTTGCTTACATATGTACACTCATACATATAACAAATTTGTATGAATTTTTTAGTCCATTTCATGAGAACAGTGTGCTAATATCAGGGGTTTCAGTTGAGTACATTCTTGGTGTGATTGCCTTTGTTCTGTGCCTTGGTCATCAGTTGTATCTTTTATGAAGGTTGCCTTGCAATGTCATGCCCTTTACCAGGGAGATTGGGAGAGTGAACATAAGTGGATAAGTAAAAAACTATAGCTAGGCCGGGCGTGGTGGCAGTCTCAGCACTTTGGGAGGCAGAGGCAGGTGGATAACCTGAGGTCAGGAGTTAAAGACAGCCTGGCTAACATGGTGAAACCCCTTCTCTACTAAAAATATAAAAATTACCCGGGCCTGGTAGTGGGTGCCTGTAATCCCAGCTACTCGGGAGGCTGAGGCAAGAGATTCACTTGAACCTGGGAGGCAGAGGTTGCAGTGAGCCGAGATTGCACCATTGCACTCCAGCCTGGGTGACAGAGCGAGACTCCATCTCAAAAAAAAAAAAAAAACCAAAATAAAACAAAACTATATCTGCTACTAGAAAACTTGTCCTTATGTTAAGTAACAGTGTCATGTTATTTATAAATACTTCTTTAGTGAGCTTCTTCTGTGTATTCAGCATTGAAGGTGATACAGAGTAAGAGCTGAATGTGGCCTTTGCTGTTAATTTGAGACATGTTAGATAGTGCTCATGTAAACAGTATAACTTCATCCATTGATGAACATTTAGGTTGTTTCCACATTTTTACTATTGTGAATAATGCTGCAGTTGACATGGGAATACAGATATCTCTTTTAGATCCTGATTGTAATTGTTTTGGATAACTATCTAGTAGTGGGATTGCTGGGTCATTATGATAGTTCTGTTTTTAATTTTTAAAGCAACCTCCATACCATCTTCTTAATAGCAGCTATACCATTTTACATTCTCACCAACAATGTACGGGGGCTCTAGTTTCTCTACATCCTCATCAACACTTGTTTTCTTGTGTATGTGTGTTTTTAATAATTGCCATTCTAACAGGTATGAGATTATATCTTACTGTGATTTTGATTCATATTTTCCTGATATGTATGATGCCGAGCAGCTTTTCATATACCTGTTAGCCATTTGTATGCCTTCTTTGGAGAAATGTCTATTCAAATTTGTTGTCTGTTTTTAAATTGGCTTATTTGGGTTTTTCTGCTGTTGAATTGTAGGGGTTTCTTATGTATGTTGGACGTTAACCCCTTATCAAAGTTATGGTTTGCAAATATTTTCTCCCATTCTGTAGATTGCCTTTTCACTCTGTTGTTGACTTTGTTTTGAGTAGCTTTTTAGATTAATGTAGTCCCACTTGTCTGTTTTTGCTTTTTTGTCTGTTTTTATTTTGTCACATCCAAGACATTGACAAGACCAGTGTCATGAAGGTGAGGTGCTTAACAGGATCAGGCACCGCAGAACAGAGGTAAATATAACCTGTAGCCCATCACCTTTTTTTTTTTTTTGTAGATAAATTTTATTTGAACACAGCAACTCCCAGTTGTTTGCATAACGCCTGTAGCTGCTTTGTTGCTAGAGTAGTAGAGTTGAGTAGTTGGTATGGAAGTGATCAGCCCCCAGTTGCCTGAAGTATCTATCATTTGGCCCTTTATTGCAAAAGTTTGCTGACCTGTGCTATAGAGATCAAAGAAATGAAGAATAAGAGTAAGAGTTATATTTTATGACGAGGACGGCTTTGATGACCTGAAAGAGTTTAGTTTTATCCTGTAAACAAATGTTTGCTGAGAGCCTGCTGGGTGTGTGGCATTTGGTTTTGCTGGTGTGATCCAGAAGATGATAGATAGCAGGAGATTAATTAATGAGTGAGTAAATGGTAAGAAGTGAAGGTGATGAATATAAATTTTTCTTTTGTGAGTATGGAAAGAATTGAGTGGCAGTTTTGTACTATGAGGGAGATTTTTAAATATAAGGAAAATATGAAAGGAAAATTTTTAGAGTTCCTCTGAGAGAGGCAGAGTGTGTTGTCATTATAGGAATTAATGGTCTAAGACTTGAACCAGGGAGTACATGGGCCTCATTACAGGAAATGAATAGAATTGTTTGTGGAATTAAGTTAATAATAGTAATTGCTCACACAGCTGTTTTTAAATAGCAAATTGTGTTAGGTAATCAGCAAAAATTCATTAAAATGTACTTGATAGTTATGCAGAAACTGCTTTATTGGTACTGACTTATGATCCTAATGGGTACCATAAAAACAAAAAACCTTTGCACTTTCACATTGGTATAGTGTTGTATGTTTTTTGTTTAATGTGTAAGTCCATTTGTAATGTTTTCATCTTCCTTTTCTAACCACCAAACCCAAATATAATTGTCTTGTTCAAGAAGGGCAGCAACATGAACTTTATGAGCTCACAGAGCAATGGGGTGTGTTCGCACTGAAAAGAGGAGTATCTGTTTGATTGCTTCCCTGTCTTCTTTCCCAGACAGAAGTGGAATATTTTATTGTATGGTTGGATTTAGGTCTACTAATTTGTTTGTTTTCTGTGTATTCCAACAGTATTTTGTTTTACTGTATCTCCATTCTTTTGGGGTGGGATTTTCTTAGGACTCCTTTTATTAGCTGGCTTTTTTGCAATGCCTCTGCTTTTTTTTTTTTTTTTTTTTTTTTTTTTTGGTAGCGTCTCTAGGGATGTTAACATACATCATTAACTTCTCAAAGGCTATTTAGAGTTAATATTGTGCCACTTCACATAAAAGGCAGAACTCTTGACCTTATTATAGGTCTATTTACTGCCTTCCTTTATGCTATAGTTATCATGTGTATTACATCTGAATGCATTGTAACTCTTAGGAGAGAAAATTATTTTTTCTTTCCTAAGCTCTATGTGTTTTGAAGACATTAAAGGAAAAATTAGTCTTTTTATTTATTATATATGATACTATTCCCTAGGATGCAGGTCTTCCTCTGATAACATTATCCTTCAACCTGGGCCAGGTGCGTTGGATCACACCTGTAATCCCAGCACTTTGGGAGGCCGAAGCAGGCGAATCAAGCCGGGGTCAGGAGTTCGAGACCAGCCTGGCCAACATAGTGAAACCCTATCTCTACTGAAAACACAAAAATTAGCCGAGTGTGGTGGCGCACGCCGGTAATCCCAGCTACTTGGGAGGCTGAGGCAGGAGAATCGCTTGAACCTGGAGGCGGCGGTTGCAGTGAGCTCAGATCGCGCCACTGCACTCTGGCCTGGGTGACGAGCAAAAACTCTGTCTCAAAAAATAATAATAATAATGATTATCCTTCAGCCTGAAGAACTTCTTTTAATATTTCTTATACCAAAGTTATACTGGTAATGAGTTCTTAATTTTCTGTTATTTGTAAAGGTCTTTATTTCAACTCCATTCTTGAAGGATATTTTTGCTGAGTATAGAATTGGTTGATAATTATTCTCCCACATCCCCCAACCCCAAGCACTTTAAAGATTTTTTTTTTCACATCTGCTGGCATTCATAGTTTCTGAAGACAAGTTCTTAGTTATTTGAAATGTTGTTACTTTCAATGTAGTATGTCACTTTCTGGCCATTTTCAAGCTTTTCTGTATTTTTGGGTTGTCAGCAGCTTGACTATGTTGTGTCTATGTATGGTTTTCTTCTTATTTATACTCTCTGGGTTTCACTGAGTACAGTCTTTAATCAGTAAGTTTGTGTCTGTCACTGCATTTGTGAATTTTTTGGCCTTATTTCTTCAAACACTTTTTTCTACCATATTTTCTTTGTTCTCTCATTATACCTATGTTAGTCTTTTAAATATCTTCCCTTAGGTCTCTGAGGCCCTGTTTGTTTTCTTTTAATCCTTTTTCTCTTTTTATCAATTGGATAATTTCTGATGATCTCTCATCACGTTCACTTACTGTTACCCCTGTTATCTCCATTTACTCTTAAGACCATCCAGGAAATTTCTTTCTAAATTTCAGATACTTAGTTTTAGGGGTGTGTGTGTGTGTGTGTGTGTGTGTGTGTGTGTGTGTTTTGAGACAGAGTTTCTCTCTTGTTGCCCAGGCTGGAGTGCAATGGTACAATCTCAGCTCACTGTAACCTCTGCCTCCTGGGTTCAAGCGATTTTCCTGCCTCAGCCTCCTGAGTAGCTGGGATTACAGGCGCCCACCACCATTCCCAGCTACTTTTCTGTATTTTCAGTCGAGATGGGGTGTCAGCATGTTGGTCAATCTGGTCTCGAACTCCTGACCTCAGGTGATCCACCTGCCTCAGCCTCCCGTAGTGCTGGGATTACAGGCTTGAGCCACTGCACCCAGCCAATTTTAGTTATTTTTAATTAATTTATTTATTTATGAGAGAGAATCTCGTTCTGTCACCAAAGCTGGAGTGCAGTGATGCAATCTCAGTTCACTGCACCCACTGCTTCCCGGGCTCCAATCAATCCTCCAATGTTAACCTCCCACGTAGCTGGGACTACAGGAGCACACTGCCGTGCCTGGCTAATTTTAATTTTTTTGTAGACATAGAGTTTTGCCATGTTGCTCAGGCTGGTCTCAAACTCCTGGACTCAAGCAATCCACCTGCCTTGGCCTCCCAAAGTGCTGGGATTACGGGAAAGAGACACCACACCTGGCTTAATTTTAGTTTTTTTTAATGTTTTCTTTTTCTTCGTGAGATTTTCACTTTTTTTTTTTTTTCATTAAAAGCATGTATCTTTCACTTTATTGAGCATAGTTACAGCATCTGCTTTAATGTCCTTGTCTGAAAATTTTACTTTGGGTCATCTTGCTGTTGGCCTCTGGTGATTATCTTTTCCCTTGAGATTGGGTTACATATTACTGTCAAAGAATTTTGGATATTATGAGTGTTATTTGTGGAAATTGTGGCTTATTTTCATGTTCTTCCAAAGAGTTTTGATTTATTTGTTTTAGTGAGCCATTTGCTTTTGGTTAGACTCATAGCAAAAATTATCTCTTGCCTGAAGTTGGTAGCTGCTCAGATCTCAATTCGGTTCTTTTAGTCTCTGCTACAAACTGCCTTGTGCCTGCCCTGTGAATGGTGTTCCAGGACTCAGCCAAAGATGTGGGCAGAGATAAACCAAAAATTTGGGACCTCTCTTTTCTGGCCTTCTCCCTTTTGGGATTCTATCCTCACTTTCTAGTGACTGTGGTTGTCCTGTCTCTGTCCTCTTTTCCTTCAGGCCAAAAAGACAATGGGGTTTCTGTTGGAATTTTAGTTACTAGAGGTTATTGCTGCTTGCCTGCAGGAGAAAGCTTTCAGAATGGGAAACTCACCTGTGCTGGTCCCTGAAAGCTGATTAAAAGAGAAACTCACCCATTCTGGTCTCTTCTTTCAAGTTTATATTTTCATCCCAATCAGCCTGTTTTTGTTTACTCCCCAGAGCCTTTATGTAGTTGATAGCAAGCTAGCTAGATATTTTCTTTCCGCCAGCCCTAGGATTTATAGTAACTATTAGAAGAGAAAGAACAGTAGGAGATGAGTTCAGAGAGGTGGGAGGCAGAACCTGTAAAACATTGTAGACCATTGGGTTTATTAGTAATTCTGAATGAGTTGGGAAGCCATTGGTAGGTTTTGAGCACAGGATGGACATGATTTGGCTTGTTTTTAAAAGGTTGCTCTAGTAGGAGGGGCAAGAAGAAGGGAAAACATTTAGGAGACTATTACAGTAATGCAGGTCAGAGATGATTTGATTGTGTTAAAAATAGCATCAACGTTTTGTTTTTTGTTTTTCCTTTCTTAAAACTACGTTTGTAGTGCTTCTATGGAAGAAAACACTGGCATTGGTCTTCAGATACAGGGCTTTGGTATATTAGATTGGGAGAATACTTGGTTCTCAGGTACGTTGGGAGGGCCCTTCCTTCTTTCTAGAAACTTGACAGCTAATTTAGGGGAGTTTTAAAGGTAGCTCAAGAGCCTTTGTCAGTCTTGGAATGTCTGTTCAGACAGTCAGAACAAGTCCTCAAAATACAGTGACCACCATATCACTATATAGTTCCCATTAAACAATTCCCAAGTCGACCCCTGGGAACGTATTACTTTCAATTCCTGGCCATCAGGCAGTTTCTGTTTTTCTTAAAGAGATAGACTTGGCATTTCCTTTTGGCCCTGTACTCTTACTTCTTTGATTAAATCAGTCATTGGGTTTTCCTTTTGTATCTTTACAGGGCATTTGTATCAGGGTGATATAGCTAGTAACAATAATATAGCAAAATCTATGTATGAAAGTCATTTTCAAAATTAGTCATTTTTTTGAATGAAATTTGCCATGTGTTCATTACCTTATTGTACTGTACTGTGGCACTAAAAACTTTAATGGAACATCTGTACTTGTAAATCTTTGGTTTCAACAGTGCCAAACAAAAATTCTGATTGGATTATTAAAGATGACCGGAAAGGGTGATTCCTTCTAATCTTTCCACCGGACTTACTTTCTTACATATGTGTTTTTTAGACTGTTTTATTTGACAATTCACTGCACAGAACCTAAATTTTTTATAAGTAAAAAAGTCTATAACTAATGTTATATACTTTAGATGAGGTAGCATGTTTTAACTTCTATTAAATTCCCTTGCAATTTTAATATTTTCCTAGCTTTTCCCTTTTTTACTAATGTGTAGCATAACAAAGCACTTGTTATTATATTCTAACTGATCCTATTTCACAATGAATGTCTGGGAAAATACATTCATAGATTTATTTCATGAGTGTCTAAAATGTGAAAAATACAATAAAAAATCTTGGTGTTGGTTTTTTAGGTGTATATTAGTTTACAATTGATTGCAGCCTTTGAGTCTTATCTAAAGGAATATCCTTACTCTACAAATAGAATTGAATAAAGACACTATTAAAAATAGACACATTCATAGCTTTGATTATCTGATATAGCTATCTCTAGTCAGAATTCTTTCATCAAATCATTTATTGGATCCCCCTACAGCAGATGGCAATCCTGCAAAATATGTTATGTTTCCCTTATTTATGACAGTGCTGAGATTTGATATTTTTGGAGTACATTTTACTTTCTAGAATAAAAATTTGATTTCAGTGCTACTAAAGGCAGAGTGCACATGTGCACCAGCGGGTGGGGGGAGAAAAAGAGAGAAATGTGTATGTGATTTTCCCTGTGCCCTTGCTCCCAACTGTATGTGTGTCTCTTTCCCACAGGGATGGGCTCTCATTTATGATACCCTAGCAGTATGGCCAGATTGAATTGCTTTTCTTACTGCTTTTGCTGCAGGGACATCCTAACCATTTCTCTCATTCTTGTATGCTGTCTCCCTGTTTCATCCTTTCATTCTTTCTTGGGTCATCAGACTCACCACTACTAACTGAAAATATTTTCCCATTTCCTGTCTTATTTCTCACTTTACCCTAGTCTTGGTTCAGGGTGGCGGAGTCTTTAGTGATAGGTCTGGTAGTGGCAAATGGGCAGAGAAGGAACTGGTGTTCATGTCAGCAGGTTTGTTCCTAATTCTTCCCTTTTACTTTCAGGCAGGTCTTGCCTAAGTCTCACCAATTCTTTAATGATGGTTTACTTACTCAAACTCTGCAGTGTTAACAATAATTTGTTTACAGGGCTCATATGTGGTGGGGGGCTGGGGGGAGGGTGGAGGGAAACACAATAGGTGCTTAGGGCATAGAAAAGCATCTCCTCCCACCAAAAAAAAAAAAAAAAAAAATTCCAGTTTCCAGTTTTTGCTAGTGGATCAAAACCTAGAGATGCCCATAGGACTCTGGTGGCTTGATGAAAGGGAAGAAGTAGGAGAGAGGCTGTGGGATAGTTTTTGATTGACACTAGAAAGAAAATACTGTTATTCAAATACTAAGATGGGAGTAGAGCATAAGAAGGTAGTCTAAATCTGTGTTCTTCCTAGAAAAGGGAGTAATGGCAGATGTTGGACTTGGGCAAGAAGTTTACCTGTTCCTCTAAGAGTCTTATACTCTGAAACCTTAAAAACTTGAATTTTACCTTTCTATTCCTTCTTTAAGGTATCAGCCTTTTAGGGAACTGCCTGTATATATAGTAATTTATGATTGCTCTTAGTTACTTTTCTTGTTAAATGTTTTCACAAAAGAAAGAGGCGGATTGCTTTTGTTAAGTTCACAAACTGTTGTTTTTAGATACGAGGTCTAGAATTTAATGTTCCTTACTGGAAAATACTAAGTTAAAACAGCATGCTTTTAAAAATGGAGCTCATAGAATCAGAATATATTACATTTGACTTAATTGATTCCATTCAGAAAACCAGGTACTAAGAGATTATCTATATAAAAGGTTAACAAGGAAAAAAATAATTTACGTCTTTCTGTTATTGATCACCCCTTTTAATCCTGTTGAATAGAAATGGAAAAAATTTATTAGAAAGTCAAATAAGGCTCAAAAGTGTTTCTATCATTAATTATTGCTGAACTTTCTCTTACATCTGCCATTTTGGTTTATGAGTCAAGGAACTAACTTCTCTGAAATTGTTGAATTCGCATGCATATACTAGAAATGGGAATGATGAAAATAATATGGGAATGATAATTCAGAAATAACAGGAAAAATGTTACTTCTCATCACTGTATTGCAACTGTGGTGTATTTTCTTGTCAATAGGTATTTTTTTCAGATTTTGGTCAATTTGTATAATATCTGTGTTAAGTTTTATCTTCTGTGTGTAATTTCCTTTTTCTGCTTACCTTGGTCTTACGGCTGAAGCTTTGGAAAGTTTATTATTCCTGTCATATTTCTGTGTTTGTACAGCCATTGTCTTTAGCAGAAAGGAGTCATTGATTCTAAAAGATGACTCTTGCCTTTGTCAGTGCCAGCCACGACCTTTTACTCAGAGTCTGGATATGTTAACAATAAAACTACAGAGCTTGAGTTTAAAACCTAGCCAGATTCTTGTTATTCTATAGCATTCTTTGAGCCCCTTGTCATTTCCAGTATCAGTGGTATGTACTACTCTTTAGCTGGTGATGCCATCACCCAATTAATTACCATTTTATTTCATTAGTCTTTGCTTTTTCTTTATTTTATAGAAGTAGAGTCACTTGATGAAAATTGAATATGTAGTTTCACATAATTTTGTGTGTCTCTTGAATTTTGCTTGAGATGTTCTCTGTAACTGGCACCCATCTTTCCTCTCTCTCTGTTTTTACAAATGTATTTAAAATACATGCAAAGCTGGGCATAGTGGTTCACACCTGTGATCCCAGCACTTTAGGAGGCCATGGAGGGAGAATCGCTGGAGGCCAGGAGTTCAAGACCAACCTAGGCAACATAGTGTAAGACTCTGTCTCTACAAAATAAAAAAAAAAATTAATGATTAGCTGAGCATTGTGGCATGTTCCTATAGTCCTAGCACTGAGGAAGCTGAGGCAGGAGGATCACTTGAGCCCAGGATTTTGTGGTTGCAGTGAGCTATCATCATGCCACTGTACTGCAGCCTGGATGACAGAACATGAACGCTGCCTCTAAATGAGATAAAAATTAAAATACACATAAGCCTCATATTTATTAGTCATTTGATATAAGAAAATATGAAGTCATAAAAAGACTAAGTTATGGTTTGATTATTTTCATCAGGACAAGATTCATCGAAATCACTTACCATTATATGTTCAATAAAAGTGATTTTTTAAAATACAACTTTTCATAAAATTATATGCAGTTCCATATATTAGTGGATTTTGTAGGTTAATGGTCATCTTTTTCTTGGATTGAGTCTCAGAGGAATACTTGCTGCTATTCTACAGTGTTGGTTGCAGAGAAAATGCTTGGAAGATAGCTCACTGGTGTCTAATGATACTGGAGAGATGGTAACAGTGTTTTTTTTTTGTTTTTTTGAGATGGAGTCTTGCTCTGTCACCCAGGCTGGAGTGCAGTGGCACAATCTCGGCTCACTGCAACCTCCACCTTCTAGGTTCAAGCTATTCTCCTGCCTCAGCCTCCTGAGTAGCTGGGACTACAGGCGCCCGCCACCACACCTGGCTAATTTTTTGTATTTTTAGTAGAGACGGGGTTTCTCCGTATTAGCCAGGATGGTCTCGATCTCCTGACCTTGTGATCTGCCCGCCTCGGCCTCCCAAAGTGCTAGGATTACAGGCGTGAGCCACGGTGCCCGGCCGGTAACAGTGTTTTTTACATGACATTCCCCAAACTCATAGAATATCTCTTAAATTTGGAACTTTAATACTAGCTCCACAGGAATGAACAAAACACTGTTCACGTAATCTCTGTGTTTTCAAAGCCTCTGGTTCACTTGAAATTGTGCCTGGAATGTTGTCTATACTAGATACTCATCTTTTGTATCAACTTTTTAAAAAAAGTTATTAAAATATACTTTAGTCACTTGATACAGGAAGTACAGATTCATAAAAATAATAGAGTCCTAATAACTAAGTTAGTAATTAGTACATTCTACTTTGGAAACTGACCCCTCCCCCTTCCCTGCTTTTTGTTACCCATCCTTTCAATTTGGCAATTGTGTCACTATAAAAGAGCCTTAGTAATCATTGCAAATTAATGGAGAATTTGTGGCATTTAATTTATTACATACCACATTCTCACCTAAATTACAGGGAAATTACAGAGGGACTTCCAGGAATATCTTGAAAGAAAGATAATTTCTAAACTTAGCAGAATGTTATCATTGTAGTATCTAGGCTGTTCTCATGAAAGAATGAAAGAAAGAAGTCAACTATTTCTGTGTTGATGAATTTCATCATAGAATGAAACTCAGAAGGGGTTAGAGAAGTGTACCCTCCTTGCAGTCAAGGATGAAAAAGACTGGAGTCTTCAAAACAGAAGAGGTAGAAATGGCTGGATTAAGAGATCTCCAAGTCTTCCAGCTTTTTCTGGGGACTGATTCGGAGGTGAAAATAATGGAGCCCAAGTGTCAGAAGATGCATTAAGGATGCACAATAAATTGTTTTGTTGGTTATGGCACCTAATTCTTTCTCACTGTGAATTTTCTTTTGCCACCTTCATAAGAGTGGAACTGCTTATTTGAAATCAAATTGTGTATAATTTTAGAAGAGATGGAAGTGTCACCCACAAAATTACTAAGGGTGAGTTTTCATGTCATTTTGATTTTATATAACTAATGTTGATTTGATATGGTTGATATAGTTAGATTTAGTTTGATGTCATCAGTTAAGAATATCTGATCACTGATCAGAAAGAAACCAACTTTATTAAATTGAATGATTGTTTGTCTTGCTTCATTTTCTAGGGCTTAACTATGAAAAATGAATTATTCATGTTTTCATGTAGGCAGTACTAAACCAGACAAAGTTTGGGGGTTCATCTACTCCTAGAAGTAGCAGTGCAGGGCGTGGTGCTGGATGGAGAGACTATGCCCCATTCTAAAGTCTGCAAAGAAATATTTTGATTCTGAATTACTATAATTTACATAGGGTATTGCATGAGGATTGATGGAGCAATGATGAAGATACTTTGCAGTAACTTATATTTTACAGGTTTCTGAAGCAAGGATTGATACTTAGCTCTTCCACGAAAGCGCAAATACCACTTGCTAAATTGTACTCTGCTGTCCCGTACCAAAAAAATCCACAAAAGTATGTTTTTAGATATATCTTTTATTTTCTTCTCTTTTTAGGTATTGATGAAAGAGGAGGTACAACATCTTGGGGAACAAGTGGTCAACCAAGTCCTTCCTATGATTCATCTAGAGTAAGTTTGCTGATCAACCCTTGATTAAAGCTGTAATTTGGCAGACTACGTAATTTCTTTCATATATGCTGTTTCTTATGAGAAATGAAAATTAATTTCTTTTCATGGAAATGCAGTAGAATACCTAGTACCTTTTTGTTACATTTAGTTCTTTTTATAAGCTGTCAAACTTTGGAAATTTAATTTCCTACAGTTAAATATTCTTGGTGTTACTTGTACACATGAACTGCCTACAGTACTCTACTAAAGAGCTTAGAATGCATAAGTGCTCTCCATATGTATTTAGCCATTTTTCTTTATGTGTTGTTTATTTGCTTTGAGAGATGGCATTGGCTTTCAACATACTAACTTCTAGCCTCTCTCCCTCATCCTTGCTTCAACAGTCATCAGCCCTTTGCATCAGGAACTCAACAGCCCTGCCTCTTGGAAGCATATCAAAACAGACATAACAGATGACATTTCTTAGTTAACAGTTAAGAGAAAATAGGACCAAGTCAACTTTCTACACACTGAGGTCACAAGGTTAGAGCCCTTTCCAGCAAAAAACAAAAACAAAAACAAAAAACCCCCAAAGCTTTATAAAATGAGACCAGGAGGTGGAAAATTAGATCAAAGAATTGGAATAAAAGTAAGCACTCTGCTCCCAGACTTTCTCTAGTAAACTGACGAGGTTAAGAGATACTTTTCCAGGCTGGGCATGGTGGCTCATGCCTGTAATCCCAGCACTTTGGGAGGTTGAGGCAGGTGGATCACTACAAGTCAGAAGTTCGAGTCCAGCCTAGCCAACATAGTGAAACCCCATCTCTACTAAAAATACAAAAATTAGCCAAGGCGTGGGGGTGGGCATCTGTAGTCCCAGCTACTCGGGAGGCTGAGGCAGGAGAATCGCTTGAACCTGGGAGGCAGAGGTTGCAGTGAGCCAAGATCATGCCACTGGACTCAAGCCTGGGCCACAGAGTGAGACTCCATCTCAAAAAAAAAAAAAAAAAAGAGAGAGAGAGAAAGACTTTTCCAAAAGGCCATACTTTAAGTGAATAAATTTCTCATTTCTCTCAGAATTAACCAAGAGAAGAAAGAGACAAGCATAAGATTTATGGGTAGTTAATCCTAGAAGCAAATTGCCTTAATGGGAGGAAAACTGAGTAAGTGACTGAAATGCATAGTCTCAGTATGGTTTACACAAGTTTGCATTGAAAAATGCTGAGTTAAAATACCTTTTAAAATACGGGGTTTTACTGTTATATCTGGCTGTAGCCCATGTTTAATTTATTTTAAATCCTTTGGAAAGAACTGGGATAGTCGTATGGAATCCAAAAAGATATATAAAGAGGCTGTTAAAGGTGGGTTTTTGTGTTTCACTTTTGAGAATCAGAGGCTGAGAAAGCTACATTGTAGTGTAAAGAACCCTATGCTGAGTATGTCAGGACTTGGATTTTACTATCAACTGTATTGTGAACCAGCCATTTAATCTTGGACACACTATTTTTGTCTTAGCTATTTAATCTTGGACGCATTGTTTTTGTCTTGAGGCTACTTAAACTGGTTGATACCCAAATTTCCTTCCACTCTTAAACGTTTCTGATTCTTTGAGTAATATTGTGAATATGTGAGATAGGATCTAGTTTAGATTTTGAAGGTAGGAGTTTTATGTAGTGGGAAACTCACAGTACTACTTATTAATATTGGATTATTTTTTTCAGAGGCTTGAGTTACTTTGTAATAACTTGTTATCTCTTAGAATGCATTAAATGGTGCCTGGGTGCCTTATATTTCTCTCTCTTTCAGGCTTTCTTCACCGCCCCGCCCCCCCACCACCCCCCTTGAGTGCTGCATAGGATTTTAGGAGAAGAAAAGTACTAATGTATCCAAACACTTATGTAATTTATGATCTTGAAATTAAGTTTACCTTCAGACATGAAATCCAAAGCAAATCTTGCTTTTCTTTTTGCTATTTATAGGTCAAATGTGAAATGCTGTATTTTACTTAGTTTATTTATTTTTAGTATGTATTATGTACAGTGAAAAGTTAAATTGATTATATAGTAAGCTAGTTTTCATAGAACCATAGAACCACATATGTATTTCTACCTGTCTATTGAGAGATCAGATAGAGTGAAGATTTAATGCTACCCTTCTTTATTTTTGTTCCCATTGAAATCCACTCTTTCACTAATTTTTCTCCTTCTATCCTAGTCATCGTCTAAACCTAAAAGGTTTGGTGAGATAGTTAAGAAGTTTTTCGTATCATTTTCAAACAAAAATCTGGATCCAGTTTCTCCTTGGCAACTCTTCTTGCCAAGGAGAACTTTATGGTTGTCTTTGAAGCCTCCCTCAGTACTACTTTATAGGGAAATTATCAGCTTTTGGGGTTTCATCTTTTAACAGTATTCACCATCTTGACCATTTCTTTCATAATCATAAGCATAAATGGGTATAATTGTGTTGATAAGAATCTCAACTAAAGTACTTCATTCTCCTATTTTAGTATATTGAATTTCTTAAATTCTTATTTAAGTACATTGAGGTTCTTAAATTCAAAAATAAATATTAATGTTGGCTAAAGACTAGTTTTGACTTGTTAGTTAAAAATTTGTCAACTTAAACAATGTAGTTGCAGATACTTCAGTAGAAATCAAGTAAATGAAATTTATTTAGACTTTATCATATTATATAAATATTACATTTCTATCAGCAGATTCCATTATTTAAAAATAATTTGATTTTCAGTAACATCACTAAATAGAAATTTTTTATTATACTTTTTATAACATTTGAAAATGCTTAGTAGGCCAAAAAAAGGGTATTAGAAACTGCAAAATGAGTAATTTGTTGGAGATACAATATACCTGCTTTAAACTTAACATGAATTGAACTATCTGAGCTGCCTGCCATTCTATCCCTCTCCCATTCCCATGCCAAACTATAAGGGAGAAACAATACTTTCTTTACAATAATATGAAACCATATTTGGCAGATGAACCCTATTAATATTGTATGTTATATGTTACTGTATGGGAATAGTTACACAAAGTCATATTGATTGAACTTATTCTTTATTTAATAGCTTTTCAAGGGAAATTTTTGCTATGTACACTATTTGCCTTACAGGGTCCTGACTTTAATTGTAAGATACCATTCTACTATAGTAGCCTTGATGCATAAATGAGCTCCACCTGAGTTATGTATTAAGCGGTCACAAACTTCTTATCTCTGTGTTAGGCTTATCCCCATTCTTTCAGAATTAGGAAAAGTCACTCTAGCATGGTTCCAGTCTGTGTGTCTGCCCTTGCTTTTACCAAATCCACCAGAAAAGTAGCCTCGCAGTTTAGAGGTGATTAAGTTTCTGGTTATCAGAAGTACCTACAGCAATCCATTCAGTGAAGAGGTTTCGCTAGGTTGACATAAAAATAGACATTGTACCTAAGAGTGGTTATAGGCCGGGCGCGGTGGCTCACGCCTGTAATCCCAGCACTTTGGGAGGCCGAGGCGGGCGGATCACGAGGTCAGGAGATCGAGACCATCCCGGCTAAAACGGTGAAACCCCGTCTCTACTAAAAATACAAAAAATTAGCCGGGCGTAGTGGTGGGCGCCTGTAGTCCCAGCTACTTGGGAGGCTGAGGCAGGAGAATGGCGTGAACCCGGGAGGCGGAACTCGCAGTGAGCCAGATCCCGCCACTGCACTCCAGCCTGGGCGACAGAGCGAGACTCCGTCTCAAAAAAAAAAAAAAAAAAAAAAAAAGAGTGGTTATAGAAGAAATGGTAGGCATGGTCAGCATTCTTAGGCAATGTGGATTTCACATTTCCTAAGCATGTCTCAGCATGTTTGAGACACCCAGAGGGAAGGAACAAACATTTGTTCCTTCCTCTCTACTTTTGTTAGAGTCCTGGTTTCTGCACTCTTCATCTGCTGTCTACCTGTGCAGAGAGCATAGACACACACATGAACATATAGATAGAATCATGTTGTGAATAGCACTTCCAGTTTTAGAAATTTGTGAATGTGGTGATAAAGGTAAAGCACCTGAGACTGAAAGGAGTGATTAAAATCTCAGGTAGTTTAGACATGGGCAAGAGATCTAGTTAATGAGTTTGTTCCCTCTCTCCCTTGCTTTTTATTCTTTATTGCATAGAAATGTTGGTGTACCAGGCATAAAGGCCAGAGAATATTGTGGTTGTTCTTGTTCACTAAGGTGTTAATGACTTACTCTAGTTTCAGATTTTTTTTTTCTCTTCAGAAGGCTGTGCTTAAGAGGGCAGACTGTGAAATCATACTGCTTGGGTATAAATCGTAACTCTGCCACTTACTACCTGTGTGATTCTGGACAAGTTATTTAAATCTAGTGTACTTCGGTTTAGTCATCTGTGAAATGGGGATAATGATATCTGTTTCATGAAGTTGTTGAGGATTAAATGAGGCAATATATGGAAATTGCATAGATCAATGTCTGATATGTGGTGAGTGCTATATAAGTGTTGGCTTTAAACCTGTGTATCTCAAAATTCACCCATTAGATCTATATTTAACAATTACACAAATTTAAACACATGGATACATTTGCAAATATGCTGTATTCTAAGTGTAATAAATGAGAATTATTTGCCGACTCAGTCATGCTTAATTTAACTACTTTTATTTATTTTAAATGTATGAAGGACATAAATAAAATCAATTTCCCCTCTTCAACTGTTTATTTCTTTCTTGGGAAAGCAACAGTCTCTTCCTGCCAAACTTGGATATAAAAGTTATCAGTCTCTCTAGTATAACACCTTATACATGATGAGTGCTCTATACATGTTTGCTGAATATAATCAAATTCGGGAACAATCATCAGATTTACTAGATTAACTAGGCTGGGAGGTTGAGGAAGGAAAGAATCAAAGTTGATTTAAGGTGAAGCTTGAAGTAGGTGGTGGTGGTATTAATGGTAATAATAAGTGATTTGGAAACTTGTACTGTGTGACCATGGGAAAGTTACTTCTATGTGTCTTAGTTTTCTGGTCTCTAAAATTATGATAATTTTACATGTATTTTGTAGGGTTTTGGTGAAGATGAAATGTGATAATAGGTATGAAGTATTTCATTTATTGATATAATAAGTGAGAACTGCTATTATATTGTTATTTATAATAATTTGAAGTACATTTTCATGGTTATATTTCTTGATGTACAAATTCTGTTTCTAGAATGTCGAGTTATATGAGTTTGTGGAAATGTCAAGAGGCCAGGTCATCTTGGTTTCTCTGCCTTTTTAACTGTGTTAGCCAACCTACGCCAAGCTCTGGAGTAGAGTATTAAAGTACCATTGAGGTTTGCATCCTGGGGTGGGAGTAGGAGAGAGGAGTATATTGATACTCTTTTCTAAGATACAGAGTTGGTCATTCCTTAGTTTAAAAGATAGAATTGAGTTCACTGATAGGAAACCACTGATAGGAATTACATTTATAGGCATCATCAGTGATCAAGAGTTGGCATTTTAATCATGAACATTTTTCAGTTTATATGTAATCTATTATGGTAGTTATTTTTTTAAAAAAGAAGCAATATTAAGTTGAGTAGAGTTTGAGTGCTTTTTAAAAAAATGAATTGCTAAATGTCCACCATGGTTTTCTCTTCTGTCTGTATTATGGCTTGCAGAATGAAACAGTCATTTATCTTTTTGCTCTTTCTTCCCTCTGTGTTTTACAGTATCATAGAATTTTCAAAACTGAAAGATGCATTGGTTATATATGTTCTGTCTCTTTATTTCCTACATGAGGAAACTGAAACGACATGTTTGAGATTTGACCAGGTGTAGATTTGTGCTGTATGTAGAGATTTGGCTAGGCTATGTGACTAGTTAATGACAGCCTCTGGCATGACAGAACTCAGATATTCTGAATCTTATGCTAGTGCTTTTTAACCCCTTGACTTTAGTACTTCCCAACTCAAAGAACTTTACGTTTTCTGCCATATACTGAAGGAATGGGAAAAGAGAGAGGAGAAAGGTGAAAATAGAAGAGGGTCTGCAGCTGATAAAAGAGGACATGGGACATGATATGATAGAACAGTTTAGCAAGTATAGTGTATTGGGTAGAATAGCATAGAATTTAAGAGCTTGAGCATTAAAATCAAGCTGTCTTGGGTTCTATTTCTGGCACTTCTGCCTCATTGCTCTGTGACTCTGAGCAAGTTATGTGTTTTTACTTTAATCTTTTTTTCTTTTTTCATTGATTAAAAGGGGGTGGGTACTAATAATAACTTCCTCACTAAAGTTTGGGGCTTATACCTGTCAGTGGAAAGGGGAAAACCAGTTGTGTGGTGATGATTTAGCTTTAAAATACTTGATTTAGCTGCTGTATATGATTCAGCACAAGATGATATCCGGGATTTTTTTTTTATTAAGGGATAGTAATAGGTATGTTCTGAGGCTTTTTGTTTCAATACATGCTATGATTTCTGATACCTATAGCAATAAAGGGATATGAGGATTCAGTTCATTTAAAAAGCATCAGCAGTGGTTTTTTTCACAGACCAGTTGTTAAAAACAAAAACGGACCATAGACCCAACTAGGTTGAAAATGAAAATATGTGGGTACAAGGATTTAAGTATTTCTCCAGTCTTCTAAAGTTCATAGACAAAGCCATAGATTGGGGCCTTGGGATAAGGGAAACAAAAATAAATAAAAACTCAGTGAAAGTAAACATAAGCTTTCAGATTCTATGGGAAAGTAAAATCAGCCTATAAGATTATCTGGATGAGATTAATGTCATTTTTCTTGCAAATCCTGGACCATTCCTGCCAGATATGGCTAAAGGGAACTTTAATTTTGTTTAGCGCTCTCTCCATTCTTAACAGGAGTTCAGTATTTTTTCGTTAATGTGGAAGAGTTTGGCTAAGAACCTCTCTATAGTTTGTAGGTAGTGAGTTAGAAATAGGATAATAGAACCTTGGTTTTTCTAATGTGCTATCTATACAAAAAACACAGGTCATTCTGACCTCAGCAGGGTCATACTGGCTGGAGGTGTAGAAGGAACTGGTGGGTAGTTCATTTACATTTGACAGCAGATGCCTTAAGAGTGTATCTATGGGCAGAGGCAACCTGTAGTTTCCTTCCTCCAACAGAGTCCAGTGGCATAAGAACAGTATAGTTGGCCTGCTTTTAGGGAGGTTGGACTTACCCTGATCCCCCAATTTTAAGATGTTGAGATTTGTAAATGCATTCAGTTTCTTAAATGTTAAAGGTGAATAAATGTGTATCTTATAGTTCAGGAAATATGCTTAGACATGTAAGTCATATTTGCCTAAAGAGTTACTTTTTAGGCTGGGCGTGATGGCTCACACCTGTAAACCCAGTACGTTGGGAGGCTAAAATGGGAGGATTGCTTGAGCCCAAGAGTTTGAGACCAGCCTGGGCAACAAAATGAGACCCCCTCTCTACAAAAAATAGAAAAAAAAAAAAATCCAGGTCTGGTGGTGCGCACCTGTGGTCCGAGCTACTCAGGAGGCTGAAGTGGGAGGATTACATGAACCCAGGGGTTGAGGTTGTAGTGAAGAAAAAAAAAAAGTTGCTGGTTCACACCTGTAATCCCAGCACTTTGGGAAGCTGAGGCAAGTGGATCGCTTGAGTCCAGGAGTTCAACACCAGCCTCTGCAACATGGCAAAACCCCATCTCTTAAAAATTTAGCCGGGTGTGGTGGTGTTGGCTGTAGTCCCAGTTACTCGGGAGGCTCAGGCAGGAGAATCTCTAGAGCCCGGGAGGCGGAGGTTAGAATGAGCCTTACTACACTCTAGCCTGGATGGCAGAGTGAAACCCGATCTCAAAACAAAAAACAAAAAACAAACACAGCCCAAAAAACTTCTTAACTCTTTTAAGACAGCAGTGGAGATGCTGTAATTAGGCAACAAATAGTTAATTACGAAAATAATTTTCTTGGCTACTGTGAGATTCCAGAGGAGGGAGATTACTTTGGATGGTCAAGAAAGACTTAATAGAGGAGGAAGTGTTTGAGTAGACTGTTACAGGACAGATAGCATTTGAATAGGGCTGGAAGAAAGTCTGGAAATATGGAATGATGGAAACAGTACAGTGGTCTCATTACAAAATTCGGTAGATAATAAATCAGCTTACTTTGTGGGAAAATAGTACGAGATAAGGCAGGTTAACATTTCTGTAGAAAAAAATGTTATCTATTCTTTGGGAGCCAATTAAAAATAGATTTTATACACAAAATGTTTTATAAATATTAACTTACTGTGGTATGAAGAATGGATCCAAGGTGAAAGAGTGACAAAAAATAGGATGATCTGAAAAGATGGTACATGGACCCACGGATAATGAAATAAGACTTGGATTGGGAGGATAGTAATCAGATTGCAAAGTTATATAAGAAATTTCACAAAGGGGAAAACACAAAACTGGTACAACTAAGTGACTGGGAAAGATATAAAATCATGTAGACTCACTTCACCCACAAAATGGTAACTCCTGAATTAAACTTCATGTGTTTTATTTAGGCTTTGTCAAGTTAGCTATGGTTGTATTAAAACAGATTGTTTGATTTTGATAAATAGTTTTCCTTAATACATGGGAAAATCGAGTTGTGTGAATAAAGAAATATAAAATAGCTTTTACTCAGTTGTCCCATTTGTCAGCATTGATGGGTAATAAAGATTAGTGTTACTTTTTCTTCTCTAGTGTAGATATTTTCTCAAAATTGTGTGTTTGCTATTGTTTTTATTTTTGAAGGGGAAAAAGGTATACATTTTATAGCTACTAGGAGTTCAAATACAGTAATTAGAAAGGACACACGAATTTTGAAATAGTATTTTATGCCTCTTGATCTCAGGTACAATACACGAGATGAAGCAGTTAAATAGCAAAGCAAGACAGAAGGGTCAGAGAATTAAAGTAAGTGTTTTCTATATATTGCATCTGTGTTCCCATTAATCTCTGTTTTGTTATGTAACTGCTCCTTCTGAATGTTCTGAATGTGAAGAAAACTATGAGTAAGAAAAAGGGTGTGTTTTAAAGTTAGGTTTAAATAAAGCCAGAAGAGTAAAATGTTTTTACTCTTAGTTCTGTTTGAAACAGCACCTGCCTATAAATTATAACCTAAATGTTTTTGGATAAGAAAAAATTGGGTTGTGATGATGTAAGCACCTTTAAATCTCTTGCTAGCAGATATTTAAAGTGAAAGAAAGCACATACTGATCAGATTGCCCATGTTTCCATTTTAAGACAATTAAAGCTTCTGTTTTTTTCAGACTAGCCTTTCTTCCTGGGGACAACACTTACTGAGAGGCTTTGCTGTGGATCTTTTTGGAAATAACCTTCATGTCAATTTCTCACCTTACTGTGATTAACTTTCTAGGCCCATGAAATAACATCTTGATCAGGACTGATCTAATCTTTATAGTTTTCTTTTTTAATCTTCTAACTGTTCAGATTTTAAAGTTAACAAGTAAAAATCAAAGCATATTAATCTTTGAATCTTTATGTCCCTTTTTGTAATTGTTGAGGTCTTTCTTGACAGCCTGTTTAATATTTTTTCCCTAAGTTTAGAGATTGCTTATTTGTGGGAATAAAAAGTAGGGTGACACTTTTTTGTACCCACTTGGGTTTTTAAATTAATAACAATGAAATCATAACCAGCACTTGTCACAATTTAGTTTACACACTTTCATGTTACCTGCTTTGATCTTCACACGAGCTCACCAAGAAGCCATTTTTAAAATCTTCTCCATTTTAGAGGTGACAGAATTGAAGCTCAGAAAAGGTAGATAACTTATCAGATATTAAATGCTTAGGACTTTATCCAGGCTGTCTCTAAATTACTTTCCCTTTTTACTGTGTTGCATTTGCCAAATTATAAAAGAGACCCCCAGAACAGTTATTTCTACTTGTGCAGGACTTGAAGGACAGAGTCACTAGAAGTTTTTTTGTTTGTTTGTTTGTTTTTTGAGACGGAGTCTCGCTGTGTCGCCCAGGCTGGAGTACGGTGGCGCAATCTTGGCTCACTGCAAGCTCTGCCTCCTGGGTTCATGCCATTCTCCTGCCTCAGCCTCCCGAGTAGCTGGGACTACAGGCGCCCACCACCACTCCTGGCTAATTTTTTTTGTATTTTTAGTAGAGACAGGGTTTCACCGTGTTAGCCAGGATGGTCTCGATCTCCTGACCTCATGATCCGCCTGTCTCGTCCTCCCAAAGTGCTGGGATTACAGGCATGAGCCACCACGCCCGGCCTTAGAAGTTTCAGGATAACGGTACTGCCATCTTACTTCTTATAAAAGCAGTAATTCGTATTTTATGTATTAAAATAAATGAGCCATAGGATGAATCAGACAGGTTTGCTTCTAGTTTTCACCACTCTATTTGACCTTGGACAAGAGAGTTAATTCCCGAGCCTCAGATTTCTCATCTCCAAAGAGCTTTTTCTCATAGGAAGTGTGCAAGAATTAATAGAGGAAGTTTTATACAGTATTTAGCTCATATAGAAATCTATACATTGTTCTTCTTTTTACATTCCCATGAGAAATTTCATGCCCATTTTGATTAAAAAAAAAAAAAAAAAAAAGATGTTAGGAATTTTTCAAATCTTGGATGGTCACTGGAGAGGTAGCTGTTTTGAATTCTTGGAGTATATCCTGAAAAGATGATGGACTATTAGGGTTTTTAAATGCCCAACAAGAAGTTTGTTTGTTTGTTTCTTTGTTTGTTTGAAACAGGGTCTTGCTCTGTCGCCCAGGCTGGAAATGCAGTGGCACAGTCATGGCTTACTGCAGCCTTGACCTCCCAGGCTCAAGTGCCTCTCCCACCTTAGCCTCCTGATTAGTTGGGATTACAGAGGTCTACCACCACAGTTGAACTTTTGGAAAGTTCACTGTATTGCAGGTCTTGGGATTTGGAGATTATTGGGAAAAAGAAGTAGGGCAACCCACATTCTTATGAATGTAAATTTATACAAATCTATATTCTTATAACAGATTGCAGATTAATACATTCTAGGAAAGGAAGAGATTTCAGTTCCTCAAATCTGTTTAAAAGGATATGCATCTCACAAGGCATTTAAGAGACCTAAATTAGCTTATATAGGCCAAAGGATTGGTGTCATCAATAATGGTTAGATTTTTGTGTCATGTATTTTTGTTGTCATATACTTAAACACTTTTATTCTGAGAACAAGCTTGAAACGTTTCCCTTCAACATATTGAACTGATGCTTTAACCTTCTTATAAAATGAAATAATTATTTAAATGTCATTTTACATCATAATCAGTTTGTTGCTTTGTGCACGGAGCAGAGCATATTCTGGTGGTTAGGACTGGAAATTATTTTGTGATTAAATAATTAAGTGCCAGCTGTCCTGAACCAAATATCTTCTCGATGTTGGTAATACTGTTGCATCTTATTGAGTTGACTTTTCTGAGTTTTTGCTGTGTGTGTATTACTGTTTATTTTCCACTAATTTTGCCTTACTTCCTTAGATCGTTTTTCCTCAGTATCTTTCTTCCCTACTTCGAGTTTTGTAGTCTCTTGGAATTCTGTATGCACATCTTTATGTTGTTAACATGGAAATGTTTTTTTTCCCAGCTCCTTTCATTCATGAAGCTTTTACTGAGATTCCACTATTTCCTTGTCACTGAAATTAGTTGTGGAAAACAAAAATCATCAGTTTATATTTCATAAAGGGAGTCCTCATTCTTATGGGAAAAACAGAGATTATTGTACTGTAGAATGATAAAAGCTATGATAAGGATGGCCTAGGGGAGAGTAAAAGTCCAGAAATAGAAGGAATATTTGTTTATGAAACCTCCAGGACATATTGTATAGCAAGTGAAAATGATAATCTGTTTTGTAATACAAGGAACAGGGAATTTAAGCCTGAGTTCTCTCATTAGACAAATGAACTTGGTCAAATGGGTCATTTTTTCTGGACATGACATGAGGTTTCTTTTCTTTCTTTCTTTCTTTCTTTCTTTCTTTCTTTCTTTCTTTCTTTCTCTCTCTCTCTCTCTCTCTCTCTCTCTCTTTTCTTTCTTTCTTTCTTTCTTTCTTTCCATTCTTTTTTTTTATTTGAGACAGGGTCTTGCTCTGTTGCCCAGGCTAGAGTACAGTGACACGATCGTGGCCTATTGCAGCATTGAACCCCTGGGTTCAGGTGATCCTCTGCCCCTGTCTCCCAAGTAGCTGGGACTACAGGCCTGTGCTACCATATCTGGCTAATTTTTTGTAGAGACAGGGTCTCACTTAGGTTGCCCAGGCTGTTACCAAATTCCTGAGCTCAAGTGATCCTCCTGCCTTGGCCTCCCAAAGTCCTGAGATTATAGGCATGAGCCACTGCGTTCGGATGGGCATCAGATTTCTAATGTGTAAAACAAAAATTTTGAATAAGATCATAGTTTCTCAAACTGGCCTTCATAGGATATTAACAAGCAGTGTACGAATACAGAGCTTTGTGATCCAAAACATTTATGTATTAGTTAAAATTAAATAGACTTTTTTATTATTAGATTTCTTAGTTTTTAATAGGTTGTAGTAAATGATAAATCTTTAAGAAAGGAATAGAATAGGCCGGGCACGGTGGCTCACACCTGTAATCCCAGCACTTTGGGAGACTGAGGCGGGATCACAAGGTCAGGAGATCAAGACCATCCTGGCTAACATGATGAATCCCCGTCTCTACTAAAAATACAAAAATTTGCTGGGCGTGGTGGCAGGCGCCTGTAGTCCCAGCTACTGGGGAGGCTGAGGCAGGAGAATAGCGTGAACCCAGGAGGCGAAGCTTGCAGTGAGCCGAGATCGCGCCACTGCACTCCAGCCTGGCTCTGTCTCAAAAAAAAAAAAAAGAAAAGAAAGGAATAGAATAAACTTTTTCCCACATTTTTTTCCATCATAGAATTCCCTCGATATTACTTAAGAAATGTAGTTTGACTGCTAGTAGCAGTCTCAAGAAATAGTAAGTTAGGCAGTGTAAACATTTAGCTCTTAACTTAAATCTGTGATCCATTGTGAGTTTGTTTCTGTATAAGATGTCAAGTCAGGTCAACGTTAATTTTTTTTTCATAAGGCTGTCCAGTTTGCCACCACCATTTGTTGAAAAGATTTTTCTTCCCTCCCATTGAGTTAACTTGTTATCTCTGTTAAAAATCTGTTGGCCATATATGCGAGGATCAATATCTGGGCTCTGTATTGTGTTTTATTGATTTTATCTTCACACCAATACCATAACTGTCTTGATTTCTATACCTTTAAAGTAAATCTTGGTATCAGGTAGTGTAAGTCTTCCACCTTGTTATTCTGTTTCAGAATTGTTTGAACTATTCTACGTTCTTTGCATATATATATTGAAAACTTTAAAACCAGTATGTCAGTTTCTACGAAGCTGTGTAGGATTTTGATTAGGATTGCATTGAGTCTGTAGATCAGTTGGAGGGGGAACTTAACAGTGTGGAGGCTTTTGATTCATGCATATGATATATCTCTATATTTAAGTATTTACTTTCCATATATATGTATATATATGTGTGTGTGTGTGTGTGTGTGTGTGTGTGTGTGTGTGTGTGTGTGTATATATATTTTTTTTTTTTTGGCAAGGCTTTGCTCTGGCGCCCAGGCTGGAGTGCAGTGACATGATCTCTGTTAGTATTTTTAGATAGTTTTTAGTGAACAAGTCTTGCACATTTTCTGTTTAATTTATTAACTAAATGTTTCATAATTTTTGATGATGTTATAAGTATTTTTAATTGCATTTTTTGGATTACAGGCTGCCGCCACTGCACCTGCCTAATTTGTATATTTTTTTTTTAGTAGAGACAGGGTTTCACCTTGTTGGCCAGGCTGGTCTCGAACTCCTGACCTGAAGTGATCTGCCTGCCTCGGCTTCCCAAAGTGCTAGGTTCACAGACGTGAGCTACCACACCTGGCGGATCTGTAGTTTTTTAAAAAAAAAAAAACGTTTGCATGTACTTTCTTAAGAATTTGTTATGCTAATCCTGGCTTGAAAGAATTAGTTGAGAAGTATTACTTCTTCAAATTTATTGACAAGATTGTGAATAATATTTTCTTCTTTTTAATTTTTTATTAGTTACCTATTGTTAACTAGGTACCAGAAACTTAAATAACACATTTATTGTCTCGTCTATGAGATGGGGGAAATATAGTATTATTCGATATATAGGTTAATATAGGTTAAATTAACTGACACAATGCATGGATATTCTTAACACAGTGCTGGTACGTAGTATGTACTCAATAAAACTTAGTTGTGATGATCAAAATGACACCAGAGGTGCTTATTGACACTTTATTTTCCAGTTATCAATATGTTTCATTTTGCTTTAGGGTATTCTTTAGCAAATCTTAATGCGACTTCTGCCTGCCTAACAGTATTTGTTCTGCTTTTGGTGCTCCCATTTGAAGCTGTGCTGGTGTATTAGCATCTTCTAAACTATTCATACAAAACCCAGCAAGTTTAACTTGTAATTTGGCGGACTGGTTTGTACCTCATTTAAATTTTTACTGTTTATTATCATCCTGTCCCCTAGACTACTAGGGAGTCCAATGGTACTAATCAAACCTTGGAAGCTATAATGTGGTACATGCATCTCAGGCCCAGACCTCATGAAAAGGTTATTCAGTTTATTAATATATTTTCAGATAATGTCTCTCTCTTCTTGTGACTTCTTGTGACTGTAAGCTCCTTGAAGGCAAAGGCTTTTATTTATTCTTGCATCCTATCATCTGGCACAATGCCTAATGTATTATAGGCAGTACTACACATATATACATATGCATTATCACACTTCCATATGCATATTTTAATTTCTTTAATTTCATTAATAACTAGATTGACATGAAAAGATAGGTAAAAAAATAAGATGAGTGTTGAAGGAGAAAATGGGGGCTAAAAATCGAGAGCAGGTAAGACGAGAAGATGAAGTATCAAAAAGCACACCTGGCATTTAGGATATAGATTGATAGTATGCATTACAAATATTAGAACTCAAAGCAGACAAGAAATCCATTTCGGTTATTGCTGCTGATGAAAACCATCGTATTTGATCACATAGATAACTCAGTTTATATCACAATTAGCTTTAGTTTCCTTAGGAAGGGTATAAGAAAAGAAAGGTAATGCTGTGACCTTTTGTTATCAAAGTAATGCTGGTCTTCTATATTTGTAAGTATCTGAAAATTTTATATTATGTGCAAATGTAATTAACTCATTATATTTTCGTAAGTATGTGAAAAGTTTGTATTGGGTGCAAATACAGTAAAGCAGTATCAGTTTGGACTAAATGTCTGAATTGAAGTGTAATTTTATTTTTTAGGAAATAACTGCTTTTTACTTTTAATTACATGTATTAGCTGAAACTATTCCAATAAAGTAATGCCACTTAAACGTGCTTCACAGTTTACATACACACATCAGAATAGAGTTTTTCTCTGGTAATGGATCAGATAGTTATTTCTTTGATTGTGTACTAGGTGAAGATGCTGACTTGTGTTTTCATACCATGTTATATGAAGAATACTATTTCTCACACTAGAATCATGGCCATGGAAGGAGATGCTTCCACTGAGAAGCATTAAAAAATCCATGAGAATTGCTGGCACTTCCACATCTCATGCTCACTCCAGGATACAAACCATGCTTTTTGGTAGAGTAGGGATGGAGTGGAACAGTACTTTTTCTGCTTTCATTTTTTATAAATTCACATAGTTTGATTAGATCAATTGACGTAAGATACGAGTCAGTATATCTGGACACACAAATAACCACAAAATCCCTCCGCTGTGTGATTTTATTCAATTCTAGTAGATGTTTCTCAAACTGGTGAATGAGTAGCCCCTGGCGGTTGTTCCTCAGCCTTGTTCTCTAACGTGGTTAGAGAAGGAAATGCCTTTACTTACTGATTTTTTCAGTGAAAGGAGACTGACAACCATGCAGAAATAAGTAAAATGGTCTTTAGTTACAAAAGTGCTATGGAAATGAGAGGGTAGTGTATTTAGAATTTAATTCCTTTGTTCTTTGTAGCAATAAGGACTAACCTGAAGAGATATTTTCTTTAAATAAATCTATAAAGTATTAACATATTAATAGGAAGACTCACAGATTCTAAATCTGTGATTTTGGTATATTTAAGGAGACTTAAAGATCATTCTAAAAACGCTTTCTCAAATTAAAACAGCAGCTTTCTTGAAAAATAATTTAGATGCTCTTTCAAATTGAAAAATTACAGAAGTTCAAAATGAGGAAGTATTCCACTTCCAAGAAAAACCTGATTAGTTACTTCAGTAAGCTGCTCATTGAAAATAAATGTCTCTACTGACAGGATTATATTTTAGTTTTAAGAAGCTAATTTATCATTTAAAGGTTATCTCTAAAAGTTAGGTTTTGTATATCTAATGTACTCACAGTTACACCTACCTCTCATAACTTGATAGTGAAACCTTTCTGTTTTTCAAAGGGAGTTCCAGCATTTCAGCTGCTGAGCACTCTGCAAGAGAAACTGTATACTGTACATCAGAAAGCAGGGGTACTGTCTGCCTTTGATGTTAAGTAGAAATGAAGACTTCCTTCATTGCCGGTTCTTTGTTGGATTATTCACATGGCACCTGTGTCCTTTAGCCAGATAATCACTGTTGATTTCAGAGATCTAGGAATTGAGGAAGGGGATAATAGGTCTGTCTCTTAACAAGCCGTTTTGCATTCAGTTGCTATTTCTGGGAAGCTTCAGTACTGCAGAACGAATCACAGAGTCCCTGAGGAAGATTAGTGCCCCCTATCATGCTGTTTCTCTTGTTGAGCATTCAATTGATGTTGGATTTAGGGCCCTGACCCAAAAGATTTTGATATCTCTGTGAATAATTTCCTTTTTTGCAATTGTCAGTGCATTACAGCTAGGCCATTCGGATGCCTTTTATTAGAATGGAGTTACATAGCCTTTCCCAATTAATTATAATGAATATTAATTCTTAACTATAATTGCCAAATCATTATCATAAACTTTAACATAAGGGTACTCAACTACTGGCTCTGACGCTGTAGAAATTTGCCTCTAGGTTTTTTGAGGCCTCTGTATGCATTTTCCATGGGAATTATGTTAGCATCCCAGAAGACTACTGTACCTATTCCCACCTTGGGCAAGAGAAAAGTTCTGCGGTAGATAAAAATGTCTGCAGTAGATGTTCACTTAGCAGCGGAGGTTTTTCCATTTCCCATTTTGTTTGTGGCTTCATGAGAGTCCCCCAGTCCAAACAGTTTACTAAAGCTCTTATGACTGTCTCCACTGTTGTGAGCACCATTTGCCAAACTGGGTAGTTAAATTTTGTTTTGTTTTGTTTTGTTGTTGCATTTTCCTACTTTCATTCCTTTATTCTTATGAATTACTGTTTGAACAGATTTATTCTTCATTTTGTATGGCTTCAGCCTGTCATTGAGCCATTCAGTTCACAATAGTTCTATCGGGGAGCAGTTATTACTAGAAAGGCAGCATTTCATGGTGGGCTCTGGACAGACAGCCTGGATTCAAATCCCCATCCTACTATTTACTGTTAGACTTTGGGTGATCTGTGTAAATTTTCTGTGCCTCTTGCCTCATCTGTGGAATGGGAATAATAGTAACTAGTTCATAGTGTTGTAAAGATTAAATGAATAAAGCCTTTAGCCCAAGTTCTGGCAAATGGTATCGCCAAATGTATGCTCATGCTATTATTATTTTTATTATAGTAGTAGTTATTACTTTTTAGTTGGAGCCTCACTCTGTCACCCATGTTGGAGTGCAGTGGCGTGATCTCAGATCACTACAGCCTCTGCCTCCTGGGTTCAAGCGATTCTCCTACCTCAGCCTCCCAAGTAGCTGGGACTACAGGCGCATGCCACTACACCCGGCTAATGTTTTTTGTTTGTTTGTTTGTTGTTTTTGTTTTTTGTATTTTTAGTAGAGACAGGGTTTCACCATGTTGGCCAGGCTGGTCTCGAACTCCTGACCTCAAGTGATCCACCAGCCTCAGCCTCCTAAAGTGCTGAGATTATAGGCAAAAGCCACTGCACCCGGCCCATGCTATTATGGTTAGTACTGTTACACAAAACCTCAAATTAGGGAGGATGAGTGAAGATTCGGTAATATATTCCTGGAAGGAACCACTGATCTATCAGCTGTGGCTTATCTACTTTCACCTTCAAGGAAATGAATCTAGGCCAGGGATTTAGCACATATGTGAGCCAGTTATTAAATAAACATTGTTTCACTATTATACTTTTAATTGGAACTTACCCTTAAAGATGATTGGCTTTAGTCATGGGGCAGGAAGAGGGAGTGTAAATAAGTGGCTCATGGTCAACTGCCCTGACTAGTAACAGAATTCAAAAGTACTGTCTTAGTGGTTCCTACCAAGATATGCAGTACTATTTTAATCATGAACTGTGTATTATTACGGCCATGGGTCAGATTCTAAAAGTCAGCAGCAGCCAGTCTTGTTGCCATGACTCTTAACAGTCCACACAACACTGGCTATCAAGATAGGATACCAGTGACAAACTAAAAATATATGGTATATCTTGCAGATTTTAATCTATTGGTGCCTGGAGTAATGTATGCAACTTTATAGAAACTTAAGATGAACCGAAGAGGCTAGCAAAGATTAACTCATTTAACAAATGTGTCTTGAACATTTTTTATGGCAAAGGACTGCCTTTGGACCCAGGCCAAACTATTTCAGATAAGAATATAGCTACACTAACGGTTAAGTGAACTGATAAGGAAATGTAATCATGATTGCTTTGCTTTTTATCATTTGGGAAGTGTGTCACAAATTACATACAACTTACAAGGGGATTTTGGAAGCCACCTTTCATAAGTTTGGAGCTTTCATGATGCAGCAAGAGATATGAGACTTTCCCCCTAAATGATAACATATTTCTATTCTAGAGAACAGTTTGGCAATATCTAGTAAATTTGAACACAAGCATACCTTGCAAACCAGTAATTTCACATTTAGATAATTGACCCCAAGAGAAAATTTCATATAAATTCGTACAAGGAGACATATTCCTAAAATGTTTATAACAACCTTATTTGTAATAGGGAGAAATTGGAGGCAAGCTGAATGTCAATAGGGAATTGGATAAATTGTGGTATGTTTATAAATAGAGTATTCTATAGGAGTGACATGTATATACCAGTGCTACACGTTGTCAGCATACATCAGTCTTATATATTGAATGTTAACTGAATAAAGAAAAAGAGATACTATTTAGAAACATAAAAAGTGATGCTATATATCATTTAGATAATAATATGTAATGAAAGTATTAAGTAATGTGTGAAAATGATAAAAAACAAATTTAGGATAGTGTTTGCTTCTAATGGGAATTATAATTACATAGGGGTTTAAACTATACTGGTAATGTTCTATTTGTTGAGTTGTGGGCACATGACTTTTTATTATGTACATTTTAATATGTCTGGACTAGTTTAGAAACATTTAAAAATTGAAAGAAAATGTGTCTTGTTGATGTTTGCATTTCAGTGGAGATAAAAAGAGATTTTTTTCCTGCTTACTTGATGCGATTTTTGTACATTCTCTCGTTTCTACAATGGGTATATGTTATTTTAATCATGTTAAAGGAAAATCTGAGAAATAATATATCTTTTAGAAAAATAAACGACTGTTTTAGGAATTTTTGGAAAATATAGGCAAATGAAAAAAATACTAACACTTTTTATAATTAATTTTCTAGTCTTCTTTCTATAAACTTTATTTATTTGTTTTTAATTTTTAAAAATTTTTTGAGATGAGCTCTGGCTCTGCTTCCCATGCTGGAATGCAGTGGCGTGATACTGGCTCACTGCAGCCCCCAACTCCTGGGCTCAAGGGATTCTTCTATCACAGCCTTCCAAGTAGCTGGGACTATAGGTGTATTCCACCATATCTGGCTGATTTTCTTGTATTTTGTAGCACCAGAGTCTCGCTATGTTGCCCTGGTCTTGAACACCTGGGCTGAAGTGATCCTCCCACCTCGGCTTCCCAAAGTATTGGGATTACAGGTGTGAGCGACTGCACCCAGCTCTATAAATTTTATAGAAGTTAAGCATTATTGTATATTCTTTTTTCCTCCTATTTTTCCGGCCTGTTGTTATAAAATAAACATTTAATATATGGGACTGGTATTTTAAAGTTACTTTAAAATATGTTATCCTCTGAATGTAAGAACATGGTTTTGCTCATTGGCTGATGTTCTCTTTTCTTGCAATTAGTTGTTGCTTCTTAAGCATGGGTTTTAATAAAATTATATTGTACCTTATGTTTGATTTATTTTAACTGATTTTACAAATATCAGGAAATAAAAATATATACGAGCAGTTATATGCTCAGTGATAATACTGTTGATTTATAGTAGTAGAAGATAAAAGCTTTAAATTATGTAAAATGTGAGATTTTCTTGGGAGGGGGACAGTAACATTTTAACTGTTAATTTTACTGGTTGTATATAGTATGTGATAGGCAGATTTATGAACACGACAGTGGAATTATGGTTTTACAATGTGAGCTCTTTAGGATTTGATGTAGTGCTAGTGAGTGCTAGTGGTACTACAAAAAGAAATAATAGGGCTAATACTGTTTTACAATGTACCGGGTCCTGTGACTTACAGGATAATATAAACCAGTTCTTGCCAAACTTCATTTTGTTTATAAATCTCCTTTAAATCTTGTTAAGATGCAGATTCTGGATTCACTAGGCCTAAAACTCTGCCGGAGCTTCTGCATTTCAACAAACTCCCAGAATTTGCCAATAAGTCAGTTTTAAGGACCACATTTTTAGTACTGAGGATGTAGATTAGTGCTTCTCAAACTATCTGCAAAAGACTAGCTTTTAAAAGATACTATCTAGTATTTCACAAAAGAATACTTCTTGGAAATAAACTAAAGAATATATAGAAGGCAAAGGGAGAAAATTGTATATTAATTGTATATTATAAATGTATATTAAATGTATATTAAATGTATATTATGAAATTGTACATTAATGTGAATGTAATCTTTCAATAAACCTTTTACAGGTATAAAGTTAGTACATTAATTTAGAATAAACTGTTTCCTAAAAAATGTTTAGATATGTCACACTATATAGTACAGTTTTTAAGGACAGGTAATTTTATAAAAATACTTGCCCTTGTGCTAAGCAGCATCTCATGTATCCAGCATATTTTTTGAATATTCTATTTCTAAAAGTTTTTGATTCTCCTCTTCCTCCTAGGCCAGTTCAAGACTCGCTCTTCCTTCTTGGATTAGAGTAATTCTATAAAACTACTTAGCATTCATGAATAAAATGTTACCTGAAGAGATTATTCATCCTCTCAACAAAAACTTAAGCACTTCATTACACACAAAATTCTATGCTAGTCTCTTTTTGGATTATGAAGAGGAATAAAAAGTTCTTGCCCTGTAGAAATGTATGGACCTGGATGACAGAATCTATCTCCCTGTTAAGAAATTTTATTATATGTTAGTATTGACCTGTTAAAGGATATCAGAATCTTAAAATACTATTAAGTAGCTGTTTCCGATGTAGACCTGATTCATTAACTGGGGTAGTGTTTATTTTTCAGTCATTCATTACATTAACAGATTAGTCACCTACTACATGCCCGTTAGTGTGCTTGTCCCTTGTGAGAGATTAGTGAGTGGTAACTAGAGATATAATTCCCGCTCTCACATAACAGACTGTTGTGATCAAGTCAACCCACTTGACTTTTTCATAGTTGTGTTTAACTGAGAGAGACAGTGACATTCAAGGATTTGTTTTAGAAAGTATAGCGTTATTTATCTAGACATTAATTTTGGCAATTTATGATGGGGTAAGTGAAGAAATACAGTAAGAACACTTTTCTCTCTTTGAAACTGCATTTATTCTTACTTTTTTAACTTTCCATTTTATTAATATTTCACTTTGAAGCATAAACACTTATTTATATCCAGGCCTCATCCAGAACTTTCTGATGGCTTATGGGTTTTGGCCGATTCTTCTGGCTTTTGCCCACTTAGAGGGTGTAAGATTTCGGTAATTGGTGGGAAATCTTGTAGCTCTTTGAATACCAGAAACCCGTGGATACTTGTTCAATCCGGTTAGATAAGCTAGTTTCTTACCACCTTTCTTTCTGATAGTTACCCTGAGGTCTATGGAGAAACTGATTGGACATTTATAATATCTAAAACTCAGCAGCATTTTAAAGATTTAGCAGCTAAAACCTCCTCCCCTCCCTTTGTCATTTGTTCAGCACCTGCTATGTATGTGGCAGGCATCATTCTGAGGATGTCATTGTTGGGGGAAAAAGAAAAAAAATAGGGTCCCTGTGCTCTCAGAATTTGTAAGACATAATCTCTAACTTGGATGATGATGATAATAATAATAATAATAATAATAATAATATAATGACTAGTGTTTATTATGTGCTTACTATGTGCCAGGAACTTTTCCAAGTGCTACATATATTTACTTATTTAATCCTTTTGTAACAACCTGTGAAGTGAACGCATTCTTATTACCATCATCTACATTTTACAGATAAGGAAACTGAGATAAGAAAGTTTAATATGCCCCATGCCACATAGCTTGTATGTACCAAAGATGGAATTACCTGCCAGTCTGGCTCCAAAAATTTCATGTTTATCCACTACACTATGCTGTGCAATTATAACACAAATTTAAATTATAAATTTAATTTAAATGGATAATTAAATAGGCAGTTTTAATAAGTAGGAGCCGTGCAATGATGGAGTGCTCACTGCTGTGGGAGCACAGAATAATCTCACGCAATTTGGTCTTGTTAGGGTCCAGGGAAAGCTTTCCTGAGAAAGTAATCTTTATTCAAAGAGCCTCTTTCCCTCCCTTTAAAAAAAAAAAAAAAAAAAAGGCCATTGAAAAGAATTGAAAAATTTTTTAATAGAATTTTAAAAACAGTGGTTTCTTTTTTTTAAACTGATTTTCATACAAAGAAATAACAACATAGGTTTGTAAAACTGTAAGTGTATTCTGAACTGGGAAAGATCCTCTGGTGATGATACTCTATAAATTGGATGAGATAAATTTTTTAAATGAGCCGTTTTAAAAATTAGCCAAAAGAAAAAATTCTTGTATTTTTGAGGTGAGAAACCAGATAAGAGTACTATTATATAAATAATACTAGGTGTGTTCTCTCCCTCTGTCTCCCTCTGTCTCTTCCCCTCTCTCTCCCTCTGTCTCCCTCTGTCTCCCTCTCTCTCCCTCTGTCTCCCTCTGTCTCCCTCTCTCTCCCTCTCCCTCTCCCTACCCCCCTGCTCACCTTGGATACAACAAAATATTTGATTGCCCACATTTTGGGAGGCCAAAATGGGAGGTTCACTTGAGCCCAGGAATTCAAGACTAGCCTGGACAACATAGGAGACCCCATCTCGACAAAAAATAAAAATATTGGCTGGTCGTGGTGGTGTGTGCCTGTAGTCCCAGTTACTCAGGAGGCTGAAGTGGGAGGATTGCTTGAGCCCAGCAGATTGAGGCTGCGTTGAGCTGTGATCATGCCACTGCACTCCAGCCTGAGCAACAGAGCAAGACCCTGTCTCAAAAAAAAAAAAAAAATTTATATATATATATATTTGATTATGTGCTGTTTAGTTTAAATATGGAAGCTGCTTTGATCACTTCAGGTCTGTTGTCATACTGTAGCAGGGGTTAACATTTCTAAGTTCCTGCATCAGGAAATGAACATAGAGAAAAGTATGAAATCTACTTTATAGACCACATTTTATAATATCAAAGCTTTTATGAAGTATTATGCATTCATAGATGGAATTATTTAAGATTTACCAACCAAATTTTAGACAGATTTTAAGTATAGAAATTAATGGTTTTTGTAATCTTGCCATGCATCAACTGATTTTATCAATTATTAATATCTTGAGTGCTTTCCATTTTTATAAGATGGGAACAGTGATTGTTTAGGTTGTATTTGGAAATATTTTGGTGTTCAATAGCATATTGTGGCTAAAAGGCTGGTGTAATAGATAATTCTGATAGTATTGCTCTGTCCTTCATAATGTATGTCATCTCATGTATTAAAAAATCTCGTTTATCTTAGTTGCTATTAACAGAATTCAAGATCTTAATTAGGAGTCCTGGGAGCCATGTTTGACCCCTTTTATTAGCATAGTAACTTTCTATCAATTTGAAATATGCAGCATGATCATTGTATATTTAATGATGTCACTGATTTACTTCCTTTATATTTTAAAATTGAAATAGCATTCATTTACTGGTCCCATTGGTTGATCCACTCGGGCTCCAACTTAACCATTGTTTGCTTGGTTTTTGTTCTTTTCTTGTCACTGCAACCACTCCCTTAGGCCATTTACCTTCAACCTATGTTCTCCAGCCTGTTGGAAGTTACTACATTATTTTGCTTTGTTCTCTGCTATTCTGTCAGCCCCGTGAGTGCTCTGGTTTATGACATTTTCCCCTTTTGCTCTATGAGCAGCCATGCTTGTTGCCTAACTCTATGTGGTATTTCAGAAGAAGTTTAAACTCCTAGTCAACTAACCTATTTCTTTCATTGGGGCTATATTTGACAGCTAAGCTACCTTCTACTTTTAAAACTACATGGATGATTACATACATACATAAAAATATTTTGCTATTCTAATTGCTTTAGTTTTTTTTTTTTTTTCTTTAAACTGTGGGGTTTCTCCCTAATTTATTCTTATCTGGAAATTTCTGGTGTTTTAATATGGTTTCAGTGGGGGGTGCCTGGCTGTCACCTTTCTAGACCTTTTTACTCTGTGTTTATGAAAAAGATCTTTATTCCAAGTTGTGTAAGTTCTTGCTACTAGTAGTGTAGTTGATAAGCCAGCAGCATCAGCATCACCTATTTGTTAGAAATTCAGAATCTTAAGTTCTACCCCCAAGACCTTATGCATCTTAATCTGCATTTTAGCAAGATCTCTACTCGTTTGATAAGAACATTGAAGTCTACAAAGCATTGCTGTAGGTATCGGTCAACTAGATGATACATTGACGTGCTAATAGTTGTACATTTCTACAACTGATTTTAAACATATGACTTGTGATAATCGTATTTAAATATTTGTGAATTATTTCATAACTATTCATCTTGTTTCACCAAAAGTTATACTATGGGTGGGTATTACTACTACTGTGTGAAAGGAATGACAGGAATAATCCCAAACAGTAGCTACCCCCAGTCCTTGAAGTGAAGTTTTGGTGTACAGTTGTATGCGATGTAAAACTGTGACAAACATTTTGCAACTCTATTTGTCCCTTCTCCCAGCATCAGTTTGCACCTGTAGATGAAGAACTATTATTCCTTTCTTGTCTCTTGGACAGTGGCTTTTAAACAAAGTTCCATTTGCTAAATTGAACCTCTAAGGTGTTGGGGAAAATATCTAATTTTCATCCTTAAATCAGAGAAATTGTGCCTTACTGATACTTGATATGTGGATTAATAGTATATGCATATAATCTCAGTAAATAGGTATTGAGGATTCATATCCAACTCTTGCTTGTATTTGAGGAAAAAAGTCTATAGGCTCCTATTTTCTGGTGCACTGTGAAAATCCCAGTCATTAGCAGTGGGAACAGCAAAAAAGTTAGGTTAGCAGGGTAAAAGACACTACATGTAATCTAATCTATAAAGTTAATAAATTGTGTGTAGTCATTTAGCAACACCATAAATACATTTCAAACTTAGATATATTTGTATAGTGGTGCTTTAGGAAATAGTTTTTTTTTTTTTTTTTTAACTGTAGTGTTTTTACTTTTTGTTGTTCAAGAATGAAGAGAACTGGGAGGATACAAAATTGCTCTTTCATTTGCCTTTAGCATTCAAATGTGTAGCGTGAACAATGTAGCTGTTCCGCAAGCACATTTTAATTGGCATTTTTCTACAGTAGTATTGCTGTAGGATGACAAACAATATTTAAGTGAGTATTTTTATAGGTTTTGATGCCTTCCTTTGACTGTGTGCCTAAGAATGGCAGTGGGAAGGGTGGCAGAGAGAACACCCAGATGTACGTGAGATAGTGATTTGTCCCTTAGTATTCATTTTAAGTAGTAAAAGCAAATTCTATGGGCCAGGCATGGTGGCTCAGGCCTGTAATTCCAGCGCTTTGGGAGGCCAAGGCTGGAGGGTCTCTTGAGCCCACGAGTTTGAGACCAACCTGGGCAACATAGTGAGACCCCATCTCTTCAAAAAATTTTAAAAATTGATTGGGTGTGGTGGTGCACTACTGTAGTTCCAGCTACTCCTGGGAGCCTGAGGTGGGAGGATCACTTGAGCCTGGGAGGTTGAGGCTAGTCAGCAGTGATCACGCCACTGCACTCCAGCCTGGGCAACAGAGCGAGGGCCCTGTCTCCAAAACAAAAACAAAAACAAAAACAAAAAAATGGTAAGCTCTGTGGAGTGACGTTAGCTAAGAGCCATACTATTGTGTATATAGGGTCTACTAAATGTGGCTGTATCAGACAGGACTTATGGTTATAGTTACCAGAGAACACTTGTGGTCATAAGTTGTGAATGGCACCCAGATTCTTCTTGAATATCTATCACATGTCTATCAGTAATTCTGAAGTATGTAAAAATGAAACAAAGATTTATTTGGGAGTTAGCACTCCAGAAGATTAGTGTTAAAACAGAACAGCAGAAGGAGTTGTGACATGCATCTATAAACAATTGTAATGATTTGACAGTTATTTAGCCCTCTATTCCTAGCCCTTTCATTGAACTGACAGCATGCCTGCAAAGATAGTGAGGCCTGTTTCAGCCACATTAATGTCCTCTTAAATGGTAGCCTGCAGTCTGGGGAATGATAAATGTTCAGTGATTGATGATTTTTTTAGTCCCCGGGGATTCTGGGTGGTTTCAGGTTTCTGTGAGCCAGGGTAGTTTTTTCTCTTACTTGGGCTTCGTATACGTTTTTCCGGTCTTTACCATGTTGGTTTTAGATTGGCAGAGATATATATGACCTGCAGTTTTAATTAATAGAGTTCAAAGCCTTGTTTAGAAACAATATGATTTTGGAGGTAATGCTGTACTTAAAGAGTGCGTAAAAGTCTGAGAACCAGGACAGGTTTCATCACGTAGTAATTTTGTAACACTTGTTTTTGTTTGTAAACTTTATCTTTTTTCCCCTTTGCTTTAAAAAAATATGTTTTAAACTATAAGGAGAAATGTAATAACAGCTACTGTGAAAAGTAACATTAGCTTTATTGTTTTTAATGGTGTTTGTAATTTCATTCTTAAGAATTTAAATCAGCTATGTTTAATAATTGTTTTACTTTTTACATGGCTCAGTTTCTGTAGGAGTATATATTGTTCTACTACAGTAGTATTAAAATGAGTATAAACAGACCTTTTTTGTTGAATATTTGCCATTTAGGAAAGGATTCATTTCTAGCATATTGATTGTGAATTAGTTTTAGTATTTTAAGTCACTTGTAATTGCCTAACGCTTTATTTTTAGGGTCTGGGGGCAGGGAGTGAATAGGAGGATAAAGATAAGCATTTCCCTAATTTATTACAACTGAGAAATATATTTTCTTAATTTATTTTAAAAAATCCATTGTACTTTCCCTTTGGATGTAAAGTAATCTTAGAGGTAATTTTAGTAATAGTTTACAGAATTCTTATAGCTCCCCATCCCATCAGAAGAGCTGATGATACTTTGAAAACATTCGTGCTCATGGTTAGTGTTTATTTATAGAAACCCACTTTTCTTTACGATCAATAAAGAAAATGTTTTTTGACTTAAAATCTTAAAAGGAATAAAAGAAGCACTTCTGCTGTTAGCTTTTCAAATAATGAACAAGAAACTTGGTCAGAAATGACCATGTGTAAGTCTGTATATTAATTAGGTGAGTGTCATTATGCTCAATTAGCGGGACTGCCAAATAATCTCTTTAATACTCTGATCTTTTTCTCCCCCTAGGGTTTTACAGACAGCCCTCATTACAGTGATCACTTGAATGACAGTCGATTAGGAGCCCATGAAGGCTTGTCCCCAACACCTTTCATGAACTCAAATCTGATGGGTAAGTTGGTAATTCTCTGCAAGTAGTCTTCTCAAAGCTTCTTTGGTCAGAGACATTTTTTATCCCTTTGTCCAGGAGGGACAGGTAAGTATCTAGAAGAAAGTTCTTGAGTTTCTAGGGGCATCTAGGGCTTTTCTTGTTCAGCACAGCTTGAGGATCAAATGTCCAGAAAATTTGGGGTCTACTCTTAAAGCATTATTGTTTTGGTGTCAAAAAAAGAAGTGGCAGTGTTTTGATTGTCAGTTTTGGCAATGTCTTTGTGACCTCAAGCATTACATGTTTTCTGGGGCAGAGAAGTATTGTTTTAGGGGCATTTGTGATGTTACTATTTCTCTTAACAGTTGTATTATGTTGTAATTAAAAATGTGACATAGCAGTGATTTTAGGCAGACTTTACTTGCATTGGACAATATTTCTCCTGGCACAATTTGATTAAAACATAGTATATTTAGATATTGCAGCATTGTTTTAAGCACTTGGCTTCATACTAGGACTTTTTTGAAGTTTTGGTTTGAAGAAGTGAAGTTGCACTTTCAAGAAGGGTATGCACTACCATCTAAACTTGATTTTTATGTTTAGGCAAAACCTTTGTGGTTAATCATGCTCTGCAAAACACCCCTCCTTTCCTTTCTCCTTCTCTGTCTCAAATGAAAGTTTAAAGTTGTTCAGTCTAAAATTATAAACCCAAGCTTGTTTTTTTCAGTTTGAATACCATTTTTTTTTGTGTAAATATTTTACCCTTTTGCAAAACCTGATTGAAAATAATCTGTATGTTTTATGATTTTTTTTCTTGCTTATGCTGGGGCTGAAAATATTACAAAAACTTTTATCTGTTTTACCAGTTATAACTGTTTTTACCAGTTATGGCATCATATAAATATGGAAAGTTTGTGTAATTGACATTGATTTCATTACTTACTTTATTTCTTAAGGACATGACCTATATTGTGATCTTAGAATCGTCCTTTTAAGACACAGCCATACTAATCTGAGTAGATTACCCAAATCCCAAATCCTGGTGGTCTGCAATTTATTTAAAATGATTTGCTTTGCACAGTCTTTGTTTCCCTTATTCTCTATAGTGTCGAGGAGACAGAATCTGATAGTCTAGTGTGGATTTTGCCGAAGGCGGTTGACAGTTTGAAGCCAGAAGAACCATTAGAGTATGACAGAAGAGTGAAAAAACTGACACAAGCAATAAAACTTGTGTTTAAAATCACAATTTGTTTCAGCGTAAATAAATGCACATAGAAAATCATGGTATTATATGTATTATCATTCCAGATAAAAAAATCAGAGTTAGGTTTACAATAAATTATTTGGCTAGGGAAAACTTTCTAATTTATTTTTTAAATTTTCAATTGAGCTTGCCATCAAAGTAAAATCGATATAACACTCCAAATTATTTCCTTTCGGAGTACAACTTTTCCCCAAGTAGGATTTAATTTATATTAAGTGTAGTAGGGCAAGTAAAAGTCCGTGTTTTTGTAATTTTGGATTAAACTAAGCTTTCTTAATTGAGAATATAACTCTGAACTGTGAAAAATCAGAAATTGCTCTTTTTGTATTTATGTTCTTACCTTTATTCTTCACTCATAGAGATGACTTTTAGGCCCAATGGAATTTCATCATTAGTACAGCTTTGTACCAAGGTGACGATTAAAATTTTGTACGGGACAAGTGTGGAAATTAAATGAATCCTAAGAGGTATGCATGTCAGTCAGTTGCTCTGAGCAGATGTTGACTAACAATATATCTGTAATTCACTTTGAGGTAACATTTTCTCAGTTGGAGCAATTACGAGCATGTGCTTGTTGGTTTCTTTAGTTTTCAGATAATTATTAGAATACGTTCAATAGTCATCCATACCCTATGTATAAAATCAACATCTAAAAAAAGTCTTGAAGTAAATAAATATTTGTAAGTAGATTGATCTCTTAATTCAAATGAAAAAAATCTGCATTCATGTGAACTACGTTGTTTAGGTACTACTTTGTATCAGATGCAGATATACAAACCATACATTTTCTTTTCTTATTTTTGAGACAGGGTCTCACTTTGTCACCCAAGCTAGAGTGCGGTCGCATGATGATGACTCACTACAGCCTTGAACTCCTGAGCTCAAGCTGTCCTCCTTCCTTAGCACAACACCAGCTAATTTTTTAATTTTTAGTTTTGTAGAGATGAGGTCTCACTATGTTGACCAGACTGGTTTTGAGCTCCTGGCCTCAAGTGATCCTTCTGCCCCAGCCTCCCAAAATGTTGCAATTATAGGCATGAGCCACCATGTCTGGCCCAGACCATACGTTTTATTTGTGAGTTTTAACTACCTAATGTAAAAATGTTTACTTATACATAAAAGAAGGAGACAGAACCCTGAAATGATTAAGTAGATAGGTTCAAAAGAAATTCACTGGTCATTGGCAATATCTGATATACTTCACTTCCTTACCTTTATTTTTAGTAAAAATGATCAAATGAGGTACCTTAGTGTAAACAATCTGCACGACAATAGCTTGCTTTTGGAAATGAATGCCTCTTAAATCACAATGCAGTTCTATACAGCAACAGGCAATTCAACTTGATATGAGCTGAAGTAATTGAACTGACACCCAAACGTGGGTTTATAGCAATATATAGTTACAGTGGATAGACTGACTTTTCTGGCCGTTTGTTAATTTAAGGGAGTTTCTGGCTGAAAAACCTAAATTATTAAAGCTCTGCTGAGATGTGTATGGTAGTATTTGAAGCATTTGGAACTGTTGATAACCAATCATCGCAACAGGTAACAGTTGAGAGTGGTGCTGTGCATGATGAATGTTCAGAAACAGCTAAAACTAATAGGAAAGCAGTAACATTTCCTGTTGCTGTCAACATATAAAAACACCATTAAGTGGGGGAGGGATTGTACATCTAGGGAATGTTGTTATTTTGAGTATTATGTTCAGCCATAAGCACATTTGCCTGAAGAAACAGTGGATTATAAAGCACCACTGTCTTCTGTGATAGAGCTTTCAAATACTTTAATGATTTTGTACATTGCAAAAATGAGAAATTTTGTCTAACAAGGGTTGATAATGATTCAGTAATGAACAATTTGCAACAGAAAGTGTGTTTATATATTCATGTATATATTTTGAAGTGTTTTATGCTGAATCAGTTAATGTTTCTTTTATGAATTGCAGAAATCTCCTGTGGATATGTCAATATGGGAAAGAGGGCTTTTCTTATGTTTCGAGTGAAATAAGTACATCTTTTTGGCACATCACTAGGTAATTAGCATCAAGCAGTTCTGTACTCTGAAATATTAAAACTGTATGAAAAGCTTTGACCGTAGCAGTGAATCCCATGGTCATTCAAGGCTACTATCAATCACCAAGTAGCCTTGTCTGTCTCAAGCTTCTTCCAGCTCTGGTCCATTTCTCCACCCTTGATCCTCTCATTAATTTCAGTAATACTTGTTTTCCTTTACCTTTTGATAATTAGTCATATTTTTGATGATGGGAGGATCAGTTTACTGGTTGAACTTAGAAACAAATTATTCTCACAGAATTGCCTGGCTTCCATCCCCAAGTGATTGTGTAATAAACTACTATTATCTTTTTAATCCCTCCATGTTTATAAGCTTTACTTATTTTAGGATGTATGTATGTGTATATGTGATAAATGGGAGACTTAAGGTGTAAAATTATCTTCGGTTTTGCTTGTTTTTTGAGACCCTTAATTGTGTTCCTTTCTGAGACACTATTTTGCCTCTAGAGATGGTTTGTTAACAATTTTTCTTTTAAAGAGTGAATGTAATATGTGGTGGTACAGGGGGAAATTGCAGGGCTGAGAGTTAGGAGGTGTGGATTTTAATCCAGATTCTGAAAATACCTTTACCTTTCTGATAGGGTAATGCTGGGAATTCTCAGAGGTCTTGTACAGCTCTAGAATTTTACAATTCCATAATCTCATAAATTTAATAACTTTTATTCAACCCTGAAAAAGGCCACAACTAGAATTATAACTGCTATTTTGCAAATGATTAAAACTAAGGCAGAGGACAATTAAGTGTTTCTTTCTGAGGTCACAAAGCCAGTAAATGTTAAAACTAAATGTAGAACTCATATCTCCTGACTCTTAGTTGAATGCTGTTTCCATTAGGCCACACTGTTTAGGTGTTTAAGATACCTGTTGTTTCTTCATAGCTCAGATTTTTTACTAGCTCAGCATTTTCTTAAACCATGATTATGGAGACACTGATCTTGATGGATGACCGTGGAAAAACGGTTCCACAGTGAAATAACTTTGGACACCATTGCGTATCAGTTGTTCCCTCTTAGAAATTCAGATTGTACTTTGGAATGTTAAAGACTCTGAAAAAAGAAAAAGCTGATTTAACTTTTTTAGCCTACGACACCCCAAAATCACATTAGGCACAGAAGGCTTTTTGTAAAGAGCGTCATTAGCTTCTGAGAAACTAGTTTTCTGTAGGACACTGGGAAATGTTTCTGGTTATTTAAAGGAAAAAAAAAAGATCATGAAAGTTCTCTGAAAAGTAAAATAGCATCATGTTAATAGAATTGCTATACAGTCATCCCTTAGTATCTGTGAGGGATTGGGTCCCCTGATGCTCAAGTCCCTTATATATATATATAAAATGGTATAGTTTTTGCATATAACCCACACATATCCTCCTGTATACTTTAAATCATCTATAACTTACATATAATACCTAACACAATGTAATTGCTGTGTAAATAGTTCTTATGTTGGATTGTTTAGGGCATAATGACAAGGAAAAAAATGTCTGTATACATTCGGCACAGATGCAACCATCCATTTTTTTCCCCTAAATATTTTCAAATTGTGGTTGATTGATTTCACAGATGTGGAACCCACAGATAGAGGGCAGACTGTATATATTGTTGTAACTTATTTTAGGCATGTTAACTCATTTAACAGGTTGGGTCTAATTGCTCAAGTATATTACTGTCAAACCTCTGCTTATAAGCATTTGACTTATAAGCAGACCAAGTGTCTTCCCATTGCTGCTGGAATCTCTTTGCTTAACTCCACTTTCTGTATCTCAGAACTTAAAGGGCACCTCTGGTAAAGCTTCTGTGTTTTATTTCCATTTCATTGTAGATTGCATAGGTTTCAGTGGATTTGTCTGGGAATTTAAGCCCAAGTACACTTTTTTTCTGTATATTTGGTACCTCAAATAACCAAATTTCAAAGAAAATTCTTCTGTAAACTTGATATTGCTTGCAATATAACCTATGAAAAATTCTGAAATCTCCTAGAGTTACAAAATATGTAGAATCACCATTTTCAGACTATCAAAGGGTAATACAACCCTGCCCTCAAAAGTTAACTCTTTTGGCTTAGTGGGGTGGCTCACATTCCCAGCACTTTGGGAGGTAGGAGGATTGCTTGAGCCCAGGAGTTTAAGACCAGCCTGAGCAATATGGTGAAACCCTGTCTCTACAAAAAATAAAAAAAATTAGCCAGGCATGGTGGCACATGCCTATGGTCCCACCTACCTGGGAGGCTGAGAGGGAGGATTCCTTGAGCTGGGGAGGTGGAGATTGCAGTGAGCCAGATCACTTCACTGTATTCCAGCCTGGGCAACAGATCCAACCCTGTCTTAAAAAAAATAATAAAAAATAAAAAAAGATATGTAGTTTGATATACTTGAAATTTCTTCACTAGATGAGATACTGAAAATGATTATAAAGTGTCGAAGGGAAATAGTATCTGATTTGACAGTGTTTCATAAGGATGAGGCCTTTTACTTTTTCCAGTGTTTTAATAACCCTAAATTTCATGAAAGAATATGATTGTATATTCATTGATCTACATTCTCTGACCTTTGGCTGTGCTGACAAACACAAAATGTTGGCACCAAGAGAAACTTGAGAGAAAGGAGCCTAGATACAGTTGAAGGCACTAAAGCCAAGAAAAATGAAATTACTTGTTAGTTTGAAACATGGCCCTGGCCAGGCACAATGGCTCACCCCTGTAATCCCAGCACTTTGAGAGGCTGAGGCAGGTGGATCACCTGAGTTCAGGAGTTCGAGACCAGCCTGACCAACATGGTGAAACCCCATCTCTACTAAAAATACAAAAATACAAAAAAAAAAAAAAAAAAAAAAAAAACCAGTCAGGCATGATGGCACATGCTTGTAATCCCAGCTGTGTGGGAGGCTGAGGCAGGAGAATTGCTTGAACGCAGGAGACAGAGGTTGCAGTGAGCCCAGATTGCGCCACTGCACTCCAGCCTGGATGACAGAGCAAGACTCCATCTCAAAAAAACAAAACAAACAAACAAAAAAACAGAAAAAGAAACATGGCATTGACCCTCTTGATTCTGACTAGCTCACAGTCCCTTTCCACTACGTTGCTTTTTTCCTCTTTTTAACTTCTTGTGTTCAACCATTTGTTTCATCTGCTGCCTTTTTCTACATTATAGCTCTGCTGTCTTGTTCTTTCTTTCACTATTGCTCAACTCTCATTAACCAGTCTGAGTTGTTGAGTACCTTCCTCCATCTTTTTTATGTATTCATTCCTCCATTTTTTTCTGCCCTTTACCATGCCCTTTTTCTGCCTTTTACAGAGGAAAGTACTGTATGGTAGAATATTAAAGTGAATAATATTCAGTCTATCTTTATAGACTATTATTTTAGTGTGATAGAGGGATAAGAATTTCAACAATTAATATACGTGGCAGAATGTCAGTGATACGAATAAATTCTTACAGACATTCAGAAGAGATTACATTCAGGCACAACCAGAGGTGATCAGGAAAAGTTTTATTGTGGGTCACATTTATTCCAGTCAGCACTCTTTTTGTTATAAGTGACAGAACCTAACTTAAACCGGGTGAAACAAAAAGTGGTGTTTATTAACCCATTTATCTAAGAAGGCTAGGAATAGATTGATTTGGAGCATGGGGGACCTAGGGGTTTAAACAATATCATCAGCCCTCCCTCTTTCACCTTGCAAATGTTTCGTTGAAAGAATAAGAACTGGAGAGGCAAATTGGGCCAAGGAGAGTGGATGTGAGAAGTGGGAAAATTTAGGAGTACAGTGTTCTGGTCTCTCCTTCTCTAGCTCCCTCACTCCAGTATTTCCAGATTGCTCTAAATTGTTCTTCATGGTTGCTATATTGTAAGGTACCTTATTCCTTAGTGGTATGGAATGTTTTTAATCAGTGGACATGTGCATTTAATTTATAACATCCTGTTCCTGGCAGTATCGTCTTTTTCCATGCCCCTGCCCTGCCTCTACAGCCTAAAAAGCAGTTCTCTTTCTATGGTTAGAATGAATTTTGATAGCCATTCTCTGAAGCTGTTTCTGTGAGCCAGAGATGACCTGAAGGCTTCTTTTCTACCCAGTCTGAGAGAGACCGAAGTAATACTAACGCCTTAGTTTGAAAGAGGTTCCACACTTTCCAGAGTACTCCTGTATGGACTCAGATCCCTCTTATCTATGGGTAATCCGTCCTAGAATGAATTACTTGAAAGAGTAACCAGGATTTCAGAAAATATAGGGAAAAAATATATTTCATTTGAATTTTAAAAAAATATTTCAAAAATTAAAATTAAAATAAGAATATAATATTAAAAAGTGAACTATATATTATTCACTAGGTCTTAGAGTAAACAAAGAATTAGTTGTTGATTTTTTTAGCGTATTCTTCTCAGAAAATTTATATGGTAATACTATATATCCTGTATTTCACATTTGAATCTTGTTGATTTAGCCTACTATTTCTAACTCAGGTCGTAATCCATTAGTGACTTTATATTTGATTAAATGGCTCTTTAACACCTTTTTCAGGACCTCATGAAGTCTTCAGTCTTTTGCATGGTATTCAACTTATAGTAGATTTGTTTTGTTTATATATTATGGGATATTCAACAGAAGATTGATCAAAGCAATCAACTGTGGCTTGAGACAACCGTACTATCTGTAGAGGATATTTCAGAGTTTTTTTTTTTTTAAGTTATCTGGTCTAATGGATTTTTTGGTGAGCTCACAACATTGGCTTAACTATGCATCCTTGCAAACTCTAGGGACTTAAATCAAGTGGACCACCTTTACTTTTACTTGTTTATCCAGTGCATTTCCTCATTGTCACTTGGGTGTGCATTGTCTATGATCAGTAGTTATCTTTATGGATCCTTATTGTTTTATAGTGGGCCAGTTGCATAGATCTGATAAATGGTTCTTCTTTGAATCTTCCCATTGTTTGTGTCTAGTTCTAACCAAGTGAACATGAACTCCTAACCAGAGATGTTCTGAGTTCTGCCTGTAGGGAGGTGGATGACAGGGGCCGTGGCTACTTGGTTGCTAGAGAACAAGAGAAAGATTGCTTTTAAGGAGCTTTTGTAGCTTTACAGTTCTGCTATATGCGTAGAATTTCAGAAGCACACCATAGCACGCAGTTGAGAATTTGGGACACTGTTTTGATTTAAGAAAAGTCCTAGAGCAGCATTAACAGATCTTGCCTCCTATGTGGTAACATTTCGGATTCACTTCCTCTTTTTTTTTTTTTTTTTTTAGTAGAGATGAGGTCTTGCTGTGTTGGCCAGATTGGTCTTGAACTCCTAGGTTTAAGTGATCTTCCTGTCTTGGTCTTCCAAAGTGCTGGGATTATAGACATGAGCCACTTTATCTAGCCCAGACTAACTTCTTATAGTAAAGATGCTGCCTTCATCATTTAATAAAGGCTTTCAGAATGTTTTATTTAAAATAAATGGTTTCATATTAAAATTCTCATAGATGTTTGAACTGGATAAATAATATGTTATAAAGAATAGAAGTAGGGGGAGGTATTCCTGGTACTTACTCCCCATACCCTGAAAACTCTAGGGCCTCTTTCAAAGTGAAGAATTAGCAGTAGCTTGATTAGTGGTCATGGTATTTATGTAAGTTTTAATTAGCCATCAAAATAATTTTTTAAAAAAATTTGAAAGCATATACTGAATTGCTTTGGTTTAAATTGTACAAGTATTACTATTGTCTGAAGGTTTCCATTACATTCTGGTCTTTAGTTATATAGGTTTTTTTACTACATTGCTGTAGTTGAATAAGCCTCACATTTTATGTGAGGCCCCATAAAACAATTGATTATTTTGAGTGTCAATTCACCATTTTTGTAATCTCCTTATTTCCACATCTCAGCTTCTTTTTCTTCTTGGAAAATTCAGCCTTTGCCTTTCATAATTCATGGTTTTTGTGACTTCCAGTTTGGTATTTGTTGTTTTTATTTGTGATTTTAGATTTTAGGGAGGCTTTTTTTGGTGGTGGTGGTTTTTGTTTTTTGTTTTGTTTTGTTTTTTGAGACAGAATCTTGCTCTGTTGCCCAGACTGGAGTGCAGTAACACATCTATGGCTTACTGCAGCCCCAACTTCCCAGGCTCCAGTGATCCTCCCACTCAGCCTCCCAAGTAGCTAGGACTACAGGTGTGTGCCACCACACCCAACTAATTTTTAAAAAATTATTCTTTGTAGAGACACAGTCTTGTTGCGCTGCCCAGGCTGGTCCGAACTCTTAGGTTCAAGCGATCCTCCAGGCTTGGCCTCTCAAAGTGCTACGATTACAAGCGTGAGCCACCATGCCTGGCCCCTGATTTTAGGTTTCTGTGAACACTAGAACTTGCCATTCTGCCTGTATTTCAGGACTTTCTGATACGTACGCATGTGCACGCGTGCGTGCACACACACACGTGCATATGCACCCACACACATATATATATGGTTCTGAGTTTTTAAATCTTTATCTTGAAAAATGTTTCTTTGGGTATTTCCATATACATGATATGTTTTGGTGGTTCCACAGTCATTCTTGTGTTACGTATTTGTTTTTTAGTTTGAGTATACCTCTGGAGGATTATCACACTTTCAAAGTTCCATGAAATTTCTAGGGAGTGACAATTAAATGGGAGTACATTACTAGTCCACTTCACAGCAAATTAAATCGATTAGTTAATGTATAGTTAATTGTAAATTTTATTAGTTTCTCTTACATACTTTTCCACACTTGTCCCTGGTATTAGGGATTAGCAAACTACACACAAAGAGCCAGATAGTAAATAGTCTAAGGTCTGTGGTCCAGCATACCAATATCAATGATAATCGTATAGGTACTTATATAGCTACTTAAACATGTAGGTAGTTATATGTTTATGAAGTAGGCCATAAACATATAATTCATGGCTTATCAACTAAGCCATAAACATATAACTACTTACATGGTTAAATAGCTATATAAGTACTTATATATCATTGATTTGGGGCTATAAAAATAACAGTTGGTGGCCTGGATTTGTTCCATAGGCTACATTTGCCAGTCTTGCTCTAGATAATTTAACAAAAATACTTGAAATAGCAGTAACTCTGCCAATTTGTTGAAGAATTAATAAGTTACATATGGCCGGGCGTGGTGGCTCACACCTGTAATCCCAGCACTTTGGGAGGCTGTGGCAGGTGGATTACCTGAGGTCAGGAGTTCAAGACCAGTTTGGCCAACATGGCAAAGCCCCGTCTCTACTAAAAATACCAAAATTAGCTGGGCGTCGTGACGCACACCTGTAATTCCAGCTACTAGGGAGGCTGAGACAGAAGAATCACTTGAACCCAGGAGGCAGAGGTTGCAGTGAGCCAAGATCGCATGACTGCACTCCAGCTTGGGTAACAGAGCACGACTCTGTCTTTAAAAAAAAAAAAAAAAGTTATGTATGTGAAATTTTATGGAAAGTACCAGGTTTTTTCTTTTTTATTTAAAAAACAAATTCAGACGTGATGGTTGGTGGTTGTAGTGGTGAATTATTTCTAAAGTTTCTGGAGCTATACTGCCTCTATACAGAATGGTAAGTTATTAGTTAGGTGAGTTGTTTTTCTGTTGTTTTGTTTTCAAATATGGGCAAATTTCTAGGCAAATGTCAGATTTTCTCTCTCTGAAATCCTGTGTTTCCCTTAGTTTTCTATAATCAGAAATCTTTCAGAAAAAACCTGCTTCTCAAGATAGCAATATAAGATTGTTAGCTTTAGTGTATCGAACTGCTATATTGGGAGAGGAAAAGGTGAAAATTAGGCTGCTTAATAGAGGTGTGGCAGTTGGGCAGTCGCGTCTCTATTGAGCAGCCTAATGCAGAGAGAAGCCTTCAAAGAACAGCTGCAAAGAGTCTGTCGAGGGAATCTATAATGAGAGGATAGTGTGAGAATTGCACAGTAATAAAAAAAGTATACTGTTGCTCTAGTGAAAATCGGTACTGCCCAACATATGAGAATCTCCCCAAAGGGTATGTACAATAAAAATACAGCATTTTCTAGGCTGTGTATAAATAATTTTTGTAAGATAAATGTAAATTGTGGATTTTGATGCAGTTTATAAAGTATGTAATTTTAAAATTCCATGTACAGTGATTAATGGTTAGTATTTGAAGAATTTTCTGAGTATTATATGCTATTCATTTTCAACTTAAGGCTGTCTTCTGTCTTAAGGATTTAATTGGGACCCTGCCTCTACAAAACATTTTTTGAAACATTAGCCAGATGCAGTGGCACCTGCTGTAGTCCCAGCTACTTTCCACATGTACATTTGGAAAAGTTAAACGCAAATTGTATAAAGAAAACAGTCCCAAACGCACTTATGAAGATGAATTTTCATACCCAATAAAAGAAGACATTGTATGTTAGCTCTACCACAATGGAATTTAACCCAAGGAAGTAATTGAAAATACACGTAAAGATGTGTATGCAAGAATGTTTGCCCCACACAGTATTTTATAAAGAAAAATTAACATCACCCAATATGGGACTAATTAAGTTATAATATGGTCATATGATGGATAACATTGCACTCATTAAAACTTACCTTTCAGACTGGGAGAGGTGGATCACTTGAGGTCAGGAGTTCGAGACCAGCCTGGCTAACATGGTAAAACCTGGTCTCTACTAAAAATACAAAAAAAATTAGCTGGGCGTGGTGGTAGAAGCCTGTAATCCCAGCTACTCAGGAGGCTGAGGTGGGAGAATTGCTTGAACCCGGGAGGTGGAGGTTGCAGTGAACCAAAATCACGCCACTGCATTCCAGCCTGGGTTACAGAGCAAGACTCTGTCTCAAAAACAAACAAACAAAAAAACACTTCAAAATAGTATTTTGTGATAGGATTTTCTACAGTATTTCATAGTGGAAAGGCAGAGTAATGTATTATTGCAGTATGTGTAGATTATAAAATCTAAAGAATATCAAAAAGTTAACATTGGTCTGATTGGAAGTTAGTATCAGGAGAGACACCGTATATGTGAAAATATACTATATTTTCACAATGAGCATGTATTTATACAGAAAAAAATACTTAAATAAGACTATCTCATAACATAATTGGAAGATAGAGGAAGGGAAAAAATGTTTAGCCACAAAATCCAAAAATATTATTGGCAGACTTTTCTTGGGAGGCTTAATAAGATAGTTGTAGCAATATACTAAGCACGTTGATTCTTCAGCAGGATTCCCTGTGTGGAGCCACAAGAATAAATTTTTTTTTTCTTTTTTTTTTTTTTTTTTTTTTTTGAGATGGAGTCTTTTTCTGTTGCCCAGGCTGGAGTGCAGTGGAGCGATCTCGGCTCACCACGACCTCCACCTCCCAGGCTCAAGCGATTCTCCTGCCTCAGCCTCCGGAGTAGCTGGGACTACAGGCGCGCACACCCAGCTAATTTTTCTACTTTTAGAAGAGATGGAGTTTTGTCACGTTGGCCAGGCTGGTCTCAGACTCCTGACCTCAGGTGATCTGATGGCATTGGCTTGCCAAAGTGCTGGGATTACAGGCATGACCCACTGTGCCTGGCCATAAATCTTTATTTTGTTTAACTTTTACTTGGTCTGAGTGATCTCCTTGTTCTCCTTTGAGCAGGATTTAGGCATTCTTCACTGTCCCTCTCCTTTTCTCATCTATCTTGCTGGTCTTTGGTGGTGTTTTTTTTTTTTTTTTTTTTTTTTGTCCTGTGAGGTGGAGTCCACTTTGTCACACAGGCTGGAGTGCAATGGTTTGATTTCTGCTCACTGCAACCCCTGCCTCCCGGGTTCAAGCAATTCTCCTGCCTCAGCCTCCCAAGTAGCTGGGATTACAGGTGCCCACCACTACACCCAGCTAATTTTTGTACTTTTAGTAGAGATGGCGTTTCACCATGTTGGCCAGGCTGGCTTTGAACTCCTGACCTCTAATGATCCTCCCACCCTGGCCTCCCAAAGTGCTGGGATTACAGGCCTGAGCTACTGTGCCCGACCAATCTTGCTGGTCTTTATCTTCCTAATGTGTATATGCTGTTTAGCTTTCAAATTCTAACACAGGTTCTTCCTTTTATATGAATAACCTTAATAGAGAATGCCTTGTATCGCCATCTCTTAATGTTCCTATAAACTTGATTTTCCAGTTAAATTGCAGCTCCCTGGTGAGGGAACATGTCTTTAAACCTTTGTGTGTGCCTCATTGTACCTGCATAATTATGTAAAGTTCTTTTTGTGGTGGTGGTGGTGTTTTTTTAGACGGAGTCTCATTGTGTCACCTAGGCTAGACTGCAGTGGTGTGCATGATTTTTGCTCACTGCAATCTCACTCCCAGGTTCAAGCGATTCTCCTGCCTCAGCCTCCCGAATAGCTAGGATTATAGGTGTGCATCCCACACCCAGCTAATTTTTGTATTTTTAGTAGATACAGGGGTTCACCATGTTGGCCAGGCTGGCCTCGAACTCCTGACCTCAAGTGGTCTGCCTGCCTCAGCCTTCCAAAGTGCTGGGATTACAGGCCTGAGCTACCACGCCCAACCATGAAAAGTTTTTAATGAGAAACGCTGGTTTGGTCTTTATTTATGCTCTTGAACAAGTCACTTAGAGTCTTATTTTTCTCACTTGCAAAATGGGGACATCAGTGCAAGTTTACAGGACTGTTGGATTGAACATTGTGGCCACCTCATAAACTGTAAAGTGTTCCATAAATATGAGTTGTTATGTTCGTTATAAGGGGTATTTAAAAAGTGGTTGATTACTGTCAGCATAGGGATAAAAAGCAGATCACATGGGAGACAGTAACAGCTCCTGTCTAGGACCAAAGCAGCCAGAAATTAGAGAAAAGGTTGAGTAAATAATTACTCCACATCTATACATGGCATATTACACAGCCTTCAGAGTCATATCCTTAGGTGCTGATAGAAAGATCTCTGAGATACATTAAGTGAAAAAAGCTAAGTGCAGAGAAGCTTGTTCTAATTTGTGTTAGAAATGATACATATCTAAATGCAATGTGGTATCTTGGATTGGATCTTGGAACAGAAAAATTACATAGGTAGAAAAAATAGTGAAATTCTAATAAAGTCTTGAGTTTAGTTGATAGTAATGCTCTAATGTTAATTTCTTAGTTTTGACAAAAGTAGCGTGGTTACGTAAGATGGTAGGGGAAACTGGATGAAAAGTACATGGGAATTTTCTGTACTAACTGACGCTTTTCTATAAATGTAAAATTATTCCAAAATAAAAAGTTTGTTTAAAAAATAGTAGGCACTTTTGCGTTTGGCTAGAGTATCTCTGAAAGAATATACAAGAAATTGCCAACAATTATTGCCTTCTGGGAAGAGAACTCCCGGCAGGCAGAAGAGGAAAAGAAACTTCACTGCATACGCTTTTGTATTTTGTACCTTGTGCCTGTTATTGCCATGTGCATGTAAATTGCTCAAGGTAATGAAAAAGACAGGCCACAGAATGGGATATAAAAATATTTGGAAAAGACATGTCTCATAAAGGACTACTGTTCAAAATATATAAAGAACTTCTAAAATGTAACAAATAGAAAACTTGCACTGGGTTAAGAAATGGGCAAAAGACCTGAACAGACACCTCACCCAGGAAGATAATAATAAGCCTATGAAGAAATGCTCAAAATTGTATGTAATGTAATTAAGGAATTGTAAATTTAAATGACAGTGAGATATCCCTACACATGTATTAAAACAACCAAAATCCAAAACACTGACAACACCAAGTGCTGGTAACAATACGGAGCAACAGGAATTCTTGTTCGTTGCTGGTGGGACTGCAAAATGGTATAGTCACTTTGGAAGACAGTTTGACAGATTCTTACAAAACAAAACATGCTCTTACCATGCAGTCCAACATTTGTGTTCCATGAAGTCTACACAATGAAGTTGAAAATTAATCCACACAGTAATATGCACATAGAAGTTTATAGCAGCTTTGTTCATAATTGCCAAACCTGGAAACCACCAAGATGTCCTTCAGTAGGTGAATGGATAAATCATGGTACATTCAGAGAGTGAAATATTATTCAGTGCTAAAAAGAAATGAGCTATCAAGCCATGAAGAGAGATGGAGGAACCGTAAGTGCAGATTACTATGTGTAAGTGCAGATTACTGTGTGAAACAAGCCAATCTGAAAGACTATATATTGTGTAATTTCAACTATATGACATTCTGGAAAAGGCAAAACAATGGAGACAGTAAAAAAGATCAGTGGTTGCTAGGACTTAAGGGAGAAGGAGAGATGAATAGGAATTTTAGGGCAGTGAAACTACTCTGTATAAAACTTTAGTGGTAGATATATGTCATTATATGTTTTTTCAAACCAATAGAATATACAACACCAAGAGTAAACCCTAATGTAAACTATGAACTTGGGGGGATAATGATGTGTCAATATAGGTTCATTGGCCAGGCATGGTGGCTCACACCTGTAATCCCAGCACATTCAGAGGCCAGGGCAGGAGGATCACTTGAGCTCAGAGTTCAAGACCAGCCTGGGTAACCTAAGGAGACCTTGTCTCTACAAAATAATTAATAATAATAATAATAAAATTTTAAGAAATGAGCTGGGTTGGTGGTGCATGCCTGTTGTCCTAGCTACTCCAGAGGCTGAAGTTGGAGAATCGCTTAAGCCCAAGAATTGAAGACCGCAGTGAGCGATGATTATGCCATTGCACTCGTGCCTGGTGACAGAGTGAGGCCCTGTCTCAAAAATAAATAAATAAAATACATACAAACATGCATTCTGAAGATCCATGAATTTCTAAGTCAAGAATATTTTTAAACTTTTATTTTTAGGAAACTACAATTCTAATGAGTGATATTAGCAAGTGAGAAGAACTTTTTGGTCAACATTTAGTCCTTTCCCTTGAGTGCACTGCACTCTTGTACCTTTGGGCAGTAGGAAATGGGAAGCATCAAAGACCATCAACAACTTGAGAATATTCAAAAATCAAGATAATCTGTATTTCAGAATTAAGTACTTACATAAAACATCTTAGTAAGAAGACATATAGATGTGTGGGGTGAGGGAAAGGCAGTACAGGAGAAAAATATTGGAGCATCTCAGAGTTAATTCTTTGGTGATAAAATTTTACCTAGGGCTGATCCCTATCACCTTTCTTCTCCCCGTACCCCCAACCCTAGAGGCAAGATAGAAAGACACAAAAACAATTAATATCTGGGTCTGTCCTCAAGTTTACTGGGTGAGAAGTGGGGTTTGAGGGTTAGGTTTTGACTGTCTTTTATAATGTCAATCAAATCTGAAGAGTCCCTTTTTCTCCCCTAAAATGATGATTCTACTTAGGAAACTCTTACACAATTTCAGTTTTTCACTAGCCGAAAGAAACTGGCTCTACAGGTAGAGTTTGAGAATGTGGGTGAGGTTGTTCTGGTGGTCCCCAGGGTTGGGTGTTAGGCAAACAATTCCTTAGAGAGAGATCTGGCTTGGAGGCTCTTGGTGTGGGGGTGAGGGACATTGTTGGGGGGTAGGAGTGGGTTCTTGGAAATGGAGTTGAGAAAAATGTCAGTGAGCTAATTCATAACTTCCCCTTGAGTTTTTAAAGATTCTACTTAATTTGTCAAAATTGTCCTCAACTTGTTTAAAAGTTCTGTTTTTTAAAAAGTGTACAAAGAGCCAATAACAAATGAAAATATACTTTCCTCTGTGTTGTCAAAAATTTTATTGTCTGCAAAACAAAAACTATAATTGTGACTCTTTTAAAATTATAATAAACTATGGTGAATTATAAATTTAAGGTTTTCAGAAATATTTTTCAAATGATTAGTGTTAGTGTGGATGAGTCCTTGGGACAGGTGTTTTTTTGTTTGTTTGTTTTCTTGTATATGTGAAATCTGAAGTAAAAATAAACCACCTCTTGCTTAAAAAGAGGTTTAGGATGAAGTGGCTAAATCTCAAATTTCCCTTTTTGCTTCAGTGTGTCAGTTAATCTGGCTGTAGGATATATTTATCTACTGTGAAGCCCACTGATGCATGCAAAGCTAAGCAGAGTACAATTTTCCCCAGTGGGTCTTCTTTCTCTGGGCATTTGTAGCTATGCCTCAGTGTGTGGAGTCTGCTGGGGAACGCTAAAAGGGCTAAGATGTCAGCTATTGTAAAGGTACTGAGATCCTGTTTTATGAAGGGAATGAGACATCCGGTCTTTAAAAAAAATGCATATTTCTTATTTCCCATAAGGCAGTTAGAAGTCTGCACAATAATGATAATACTTAATATTGTAAATAGGATATCAATTTATGTGGCATTTAAAGAATTTTGAAATTCATTGTATTTTGTTTATCCTTTTTCTATGAGTATTCGAATTTCTATTCTCGTCTTAATATCAGAGATTTTAATTTGTTCTTATAGTTAGTTAACTTAAACCTGTGGCCTAGGTTAGCCATTAACTGAATTAGTTCAGATTATTTATCTTAACCTATTGTTGCGTATAGTATTTTAGGTTTTTGTTGAGATGGATACTATTGTATATTTAAAAATGCATAGAACTTGTCAAAGATAGCTTAATTTGCCTTTCTACATTCATAAAAATGTTAAAAGTTAAGGGATTTTTAAAATGTCATTAGATATTCTTATCTGAATCATTTATATATTACCATAAATCACAGTTGTATTAAGTCAGCCATGAAGATTTCCTCCTTAATGCAAATGAACGCATAAGGTATCTAGAAAGCGTTAATTTGTGAGGGAACAAATTAAAGCGGTTAGAATTGCTGTGGAGCTGTATATGATAGATGAAATATTTTAATTGAAGACACAAATAGTTCTAATATTTCTAATGAGAAAGTGTGTAGATCATTTAATGTCGTAGGAGACCAAAGTAGAAATTTGGAAAAAGTAAAAATGACTCCTAAATTACCCAGCAAGTTGTAAAGATACACCTTTCTCAGCATGCATTCTCATGATAGCATAACAATGTATAATATATCTGATTACTGTCATAATTGACTACCTTGAAAGATAATGGTTCTAAGGGTCAATAAAATACACAATAAGAAAGATTTAATTAATGTGATCAAGGTAGGCTAAAAATAATATTTGTTCATCTGAGTATTAAGATTTTTTAGTTTTAGGAGTTCTATTTTAAATATACCATAGTTGGGGGAAAAATGATGCTTTTGCCTTGAAAGCACTAGCAGAATAGATTAGTGTCACAGATAGTGTGAAACTGTGACACTGAATCTTTTTGGCTTGTGTTAATAGGTTCTGACCTAATGTGTATCACATTTTCATTTTTAATACAGAATCTAAACAAATGCTTTGCCAGTTGAGAAACTGGCGTCATCGTTCCATGGTGCTCATTAATTATTTTCTCTGACTGGCTTTTATGAATTTGGTTGAAAGTTAGCTTTTAATTGGAGAAGCTGAGATTTTTTGTGTACAGGAAGAAAATAATGCAAGAGTAGTAATGAAGGCTGCTGCTTTCTGTCTAGTTCCATAAAACCCTTTAATTTAGGAAGTTCAGTCTATCTTTACAGGTTGCTTGGGCTGGCCCTAGATAGAATGGATACATTGGGTGTTGAAAACTAGAAACGGACTTAGTTCATCTCACTATATAAATGAGGAAACTGAAAGTAAGCCCCTGTGTTTGGTTAGAATGCCAACTGATGTTAAAAAGATTGAAACACTCTAGAAGCTTTACCTTCAGATTATTGCCAACATTAATTATTATGCAAAAAGGGGGGAAAATTTGATATGGTAATAGGAGATTAAAATGGCAGAGTGTGGTTTCCTGGGCTAAAATGGGTCAGTGGACAGAAATGTAGAATTCCAGTTAATGAGGAACCATATTTACATTCTGTCTCAGATGCATTGTGCCTGGTGTTAGTCCCATAGATTGGACTTTAAATGGAATCATCTTTTTAACGTCCTCTCTTTTTTGGCCTGCTGTGATCATACTCTGTTCTAGCTTTTTTCTTGTTTTAAAAATGGAGTTTGTGACAACTAGCTAGCGCTGAATGGACTTCTGGTTGGCTTCTTGGTGGAAGGAATGTGTTATTTCACCCTGGACGGAGTCATGGAGTGTCCAGATCCCAGTGAGTTTCAAGCCAAACTCTTATGAAAACATAGTGCCTACAACTTTTGCTAGATGTTCATTGTGTTCTTAAAAGAAAAATTTCGGGATCACTGTGGGTAGGGACAATTCCTTTTCTCTCTAAGACCTAAGCAAGAGAGATCATTTAGACTGAGGTCCTTGGTGTGTTCTTGTTCAGGGAAGATGACACAAAGGGGAATAGAAGTAATCAGTAGGCCTTGCAACCCAATTTGAAATTCACCCATGACAACCATCAGCCACAGGAGGCCCAACTCCCATCTCCTCTCTTAGTTTGCCTGTGTGGTGCAGAGGAATAGGTAGGTTTGGTTTGTTTATCTTTTTTTTTTTTTTTTTTTTTTTAAGATAGGGTCTCACTCTGTCTCCCAGGCTACAGTGTAGTGGCTCAGTCTCAGCTCACTGCAACCTCTGCCTACCGGGCTCAAGTGATCCTTCGGGCTCAGCCCCACCAAGTAGCTGGGACTACAGGCACGAGCCACCATGCCCAACTAATTTTTGTATTTTTTGTGGAGACAGGATTTTACCATGTTGTTCAAGCTGGTCTCAAACTCCAGAGCTCAAGCAGTCCACTAGCCTCAGCCTTTCGGAGTGCTAGGATTACAGGCATTAGCCACCGCACCTGGCTGGCTTGTTTATAAACAGTTTGTAAGTGGAAGAGGAGAAAGTGCAGAGTTATCCAAAAGTGCCATATGAACAAGATGCTAAGCCCCCTCTCCACTTCTTTTAGATTACCAAAGAAATCTAACTTCATAGTGATCACAGGAATATTTCTGGAGTGTAGTTTATATTTTCCATGTGATTTAGAAGGAAAGGAAATCCTCTGCCCCTCATCCGTCTTAAGAAGGTGGGAATGAGAATTGTACTCAAAACTTTTTAGTCCAGAAACATGAGCCTGCTGACAGCTGAGGGCTCTAGCTCTCTAGATTTGGGTAGAAAGGCCTGGGGGTGGGAATATCCTCCAGGCGGGAATAGCCCTGTGACCTGATCTCACTTGAATTTTCAGGTGATCTGACTTTCCAGTGATCTAAGACTGTAGTGCAAAGAAGCCAAGTCTCAGGCAGTTTTTTCAGGGACAGGCCTTGGGTTAGCTCTGCCTGAAGGTAGATGACTACTTTGGCAGATAATGTGGAGGAAGGAACACTACTCTTTGGAATGCCCTCAGCTGTCTAACTGTGACCGATTGTGCCTGGCCCAGCTGCAACTTGATCTCAACAAATGTTCAAGGAGAGGAGCTGTGATGGGGCCACTTAGATTGCTGTATAGCAATCTAAGGAGTATAGCAGTTGAGGTTCCATCCTTCCAGCAAGGTGTAGATGGCCTGGATTTTTTGTGGAAAAACAGTGGACAGGCAGTTCATTTTTGTGAAATTGATTTGGTATAGCACAAATTCTAATAATTTTTCCTGTAAGAGTTTTACTATAGTATCTCTTATTTTATTGAGTACCTTTTATGTGCTAAACACTGTGCTTAAGAGTGTGGGAAATATCAAGATGAAAAAGACATTACCTTCAAAAGAATTACTAAAGACTCAGACTTTGTACTTAATAAGCTTATGATGAGTATAAAAATAGAATACTGTCTAGACATTACATTCCATATTAAGCTATAGTAATATAGAGCATTTTATTTGAGTAGGAAAAAAAATAAAATCCAAACTCATTTAACTAAAACATGATTTTCAGTTTGAATACTTTAAGTTTCAATTAAGAATTCTGCTTTTTCATGGTAAGAAGTTATCGTGGATCTCCTGCACATCATTGTTCTGTGTGTCCTACTTCTAGGATAAAGCCTCTAGGCTCCTTAGTATGGCACTTGAAGATCTTCATTTTTCTGGCTCAAGCTTTGTTTTTTTCTCATCTTCATCTCTACCAAGTATCCCACACTCTGGCCATATCCCCGTGACTCCCTATTTCTAGAGCTAATATTCACTTTCACAAGTTTTTGCCTTTCCTAGATGACACTGAATTTCTTCTTATCCGTCAAGGATTAGCTTATGCTTGACATCTGTAGCTTCGGAAATAGACATTCACTGCTTCTTTTGTATTTCCTTAATGATCTGTGCAGCTCGCTGAGCAGCATACCTTAGTACCATTTATCATAGACATTTGTGTACACCTCTCTCTTTTTCTGCTGAATTATAAATTCCTTGAGGGCAGGTCTCCTTGTTATTTATATTTCTATCTGTATCTTCTACAATATGCCTGAAATATAGCAACATTCAGTAAATTAGCATTTCTTGACTGGCAATCCCTTACCTTTCTTTTGCTTCTTTTTTTTCTTTTTCTTTTTCTTTTAATGCTCATTTCCTAACATCCCCCTTACCTTTCAAGAAAGGAGTACTGTCATTGTCTGCTGGAAGATACAGAACTCCTGTTGAAAAGTAAATTTAGGCTGGGCTCAGTCGCTTAACACCTGTAATTCCAGCACTTTGGGAGGACAAATCAGGAGTATTGTTTGAGACCAGGAGTTCAAGACCAGCTTGGACAAAATAACAAGAGCTCGTCTCTACTTAAAAAAAAAAAAAAAAAAAAAATTCAGCTAGGCGGGTCGTGGTGGCATGCACCTGTAGTCCCAGCTACTTAGGAATCTGAGACAGGAGGATAGCTTGAGCCCAGGAGGTAGAGGCTGGAGTAAGCCATGATGATGCCCCTGTAGTTCAGCCTGGGTGACAGAGTGAGACCCTGTCTCAAAAAGAAGAAAAAAAATAGTAAATTTAGAGATGAAACCTGGCTTTGGCCCCAGTCTTGAAATAAGAGTCTTAGATCTTCTCAATAGGGGTGGAGGACTTTAGTGAGTGGCTTCAATTTTGAGAACCATATATAAGCCTAACAACTAATTTTTTGTGATCCCTTTTTGAAAACTTGTTTATCTCACTAATATGTGATTTATTACTCTTTGAAATAGGAGCATATTACATGTTCTGTTTATTACTCTATCAGGAGCTTGTTACTTGGGGAAGTGGTTGTAGTTGGCAGTCATCCCAAGGTACTTTCAGCCAGTAGAAGAAACTATAGGCATTTAACCTACTGTAATTGTTTGTTGAGACAGGATCCTGTTCTGTTGTGCAGGCTGGAGTGCAGTGGCATGATCGTGGCTTACTGCAGCCTTGGCCTCCTGCGCTCAAATGATCCTACCACCTCAGCCCCCCAAGTAGTCGGGAGTACAGGTGCACACCACCACACCTAGCTAATTTTTTTATTTTTATTTTTTTGTGGAGATGGGGTCTCAGTTTGTTGCCCATGCTGGTCTTGAGCTCCTGGAATTAAGCATTCCTTCCACTTGGGCCTCTGAAAGTGCTGGGATTACAGGTGTGAGCCACCATGCCCCACGTATAATGTTTTTATAAACAGTTAAGATTTTAAGTGGAGGTAGTAGCGGGACAGGTAGGGTGGAAAGGGTTAGCCATTGTAAGCATTTCTTAGGGTACATGAATTCCTCTCAATTGTTTCTAATTTCACAAAAATCTCAATGTTTTTATTTCCAAATAGAACAACATTCTTGGTTTCACAATATAGTTGGTTGAGTTTTAAGTTGTTGTATATCTTTGGCATCTAGCATAATGCTTTGCCTGAAGGAGGCATTAAGAAATATATATTGAATACGTGAATGAATGAAAGCTATTTCTTACCAAACTCAGGACTAAAATGAGGATTTTTTTTTTTTTGGTAATGCAACAAGGAAGGAAAATAGAAAACAGTAAGCATGTTTATTTTGCTCTCTGTTTATGTTGCATGATAGCAGTTTTAAACAATTCTCAAACAATTAAATGTCTGATTGAGCTTTGGTTTAGGCTGACAGTACTTTGAACTTTTAGATTTGTTCTCTTTCTGTAGTTTTGGAAAATAAATATTCTTTTGGGTTCTGTTTACCTCATAGGATAGATAATGGTTATCCACCCTTTAACTGGAAGAATTAAAGATCAAAGGTTCAAAGTTCTATTCAAAAATTATAGTTTAGTTCCTCTTGTTGCAGTAACTTTAATGTACTTCATTCATTTATTTATGGAGTGAGCTACATAAACTAATAAACAAAACATAAGTGTATTTTAGTCCTGATGTTAGCTTCTGATTATGAAGAAAAACAGGTAATTTCTATGATTTCAACATCAAAATATACATTCTAGTAATTTTTGATGAAATTGGCAGTGACATTAGTGGCATTAGCATCTTACAAACAACTATTATTACCTGCATACTGTCATGGAAGCTATTTTGAAAATACTTAGGACCTGGTGAAGATGTGAATTATATTGGAAGAATCTGTAGTAAGTAGAAAAAAGCACAAGCCTGTAGGCAGATTTTTAGGAAAGGTCATACTGTCTATTTTTGCCTAGATTTTAATTTTTTTTCACTAATGCCTTGTATTCCATTAGTGATTGATTTGGGTTAATAAGTATAATCTGTCAGAATGTTAATATATTATTATAAATTAGTCAAGTTCTGTTGCTTAATTCCTAGCAGAGAAGTTTTGTGCGAGAAAGGTCAGTCATTTTGGCGTGTGGTGTACCATGGATGACAATTTACTGAATGGATGGGATCTATGATAAAGAGTTTAGCACCCTAAGCACCAGGTAAGCAGAGAGATGCTAGGCAATAGGAGAAGATTGTAAGATGAGAGAGAAGAGGAAAACAAAGATGTATTTCTTCCAGGCCTTAACTCAGAAAAATAGGAAAAAATGCCTTTTTCCTTCTCTCTTCTGTCCAGTTCCCAGACTTAGCATTTACATAGTTCCTTACTGTTTTGGATTCTGTCATGATTGTTTCCATAACATTGCCTCATTTTATCCTCAGAAAAAAAAGTGGGGCAGGTATTGTTAGTCCCACCTTATAGTTGAGGAAACTGAAGCATGACAAGATTAAGTATCTTTTTACTTGACACTATCAGTAGTGATAGGGAAGTATTGGTATCCTTGACTCCAAAGCCTGTTTTTAACTATCATGTGTACTGACCCTGGGTCCTACATATACACATTTTCACAGGTAACCAATAAACTTTAGATTCCTTATGTAGCTGACTTTCAAATAAGATTATGGATCTCAGAGGTTGATGAATATTCTATTATTTTTTACTGTGGTATATTTTTTATTTTATTTTATTTTATTTTTGAGACAGGTTCTGGCTCTGCTGAAGAGCAGTGGCATGGTCTTGGCTCATTGCAACCTCTGCCTCCTAGTCTCAAGAGATGCTCCCACCTCAGTCTCCTGAGTAGGTGGGACTACAGGCACATGCCACCATGCCTGGCTAATTTTTGTAATTTTTTGTAGAGACAGGGTTTTGCAGTGTTGCCCAGGCTGGTCTCAAAATCCTGGGCTCAAGTGATCCACCTGCCTCGGCCTCCCAAAGTGCTGGGATTACAGGAGTGAGCCACTGAACCCAGCAGTAAATATTATTATGTAGTATTTTCTAAGTCCAGATTTTCTTTTAATAATTATTTAAATGATATATGAGAGCTATAAGATCTTACCATCTGGGAGGTTACAGTTTATGTAATAATTGCCATTCTCATGTCACTTATAATGCTTCGTTATTTTATTTTTCTCTATATAATTTAATAGCTGAGAAGGAAGTATTTTGGTTAATTGCAGTAGGGTAGCTGAGAAGAAGCTTGGGGACAGTATAATGAAGTAATTTATTAACAGCTTTTATTGACTCCCTTTTTTGGGTGTGAGTTGATTTGAATACTAAAGGTTTCCAGATTTCATCATTATTTGGCATCAGTGTCACTGCTAACCATGTCATGTAGGTTTGTTCTTTTAATGACACTTTTGTTTATGAGGAAAAACAGAGCTAAAGTAGAAAAAAAAAGCCTTATGTTAAAATTCAACTGTTAACACCTTTTTTTTTTTCTTTCTTTTTCATTTTGAGACAGGGTTTTGCTCTGCCCACCTCTGCCTCCCAAGGAGCTGTGACTACAGGTGTGCACCACCATACCTGGCCTTTTTGTTTTGTTTTGTTTTTGGTCAAGACAGAGTTTCACTAGGTTGCCCAGGTTGGGCTCAAACAATCCCCCTGCCTCTGCCTCCCAAAATGCCTCTGATTACAGGCATGAGCCACTGCACCTGGCCTTCTTAGCATCTTTAAAACCCAATAAAAGAGGTAGGAAAAAAAGGATCTTAACATCTTCTTTACTAGTAAAAATTAGGTCTATAATTAGATATTATTAACTTTGACAGAAAATAGCCTCAAGAGTTGCTATAATTTTAAGCTCTGCCATGAATGAGCAAAACTTCTTTGTTACTGTGGATTAGAGTTACTTTCCTACAAGTATGATCTGGGTTCAAATTCTGGCTCTTGTTTGTAAGCATCAGTTTCTTAATATATAAATGCGGATAGTAATTATACTTACATTGTAATATTGGTTTGAGAATTAAAGGACATACTTGATGCAGAAAGTAGTACCTGGCACATTGATAGTACTCTAGCATTTTCTGTTATTGGTAAATTAAAATTTGTAATAACATTTCCCCCAACTTTGGATGAAGGCCATTTTATTTCATTTAGAATCATGCCATTATTAATATGAAACTATTATTAAAATACTTGTATAATTTCCATAGTGGTTTTATAGACTATAAACATGGAACGCTTGCAGATATTTTATAAAAATTGTTTTTATTTTGTGAAGAGTTTATATTTCAATAGTCTGTCCATAGAAATATAAGGGGGGGGAAGGCATATTAAATTAAGTTTTGTTGTTGATAATTTCATTGAGTCATTTTTGTCTGTTATCTTTGTTCTATCAGTTCTTGCATTGCAGAAAGCTTATCTTGTATTCAGTACAATGATCAATTTAATTGGCTCTGCAGTGTCTAGGATGAGGTTGCTTGGCCAGGATATATTTGGCAGTGTGAGGAAGGCAAGCTTCTATGTTGATTATAACACTGCCTTGTCACCATTGTGTTCTTTCTAAGCACAGACACAGCTTGGTCCCCTGGCAGTGATATACAGCAAACGTCAATAACAACCTTTGTAAATGTTAAATAAAAGAGCAAATTGAAGGGCAGTGATTCATTAGGAAAGAATTTTGTCTGAGCAAATTAACTCTTATTTCTGTTAACCCATGTTAAAGAATCACTGACTGTCTCTTGAGACTTTGGATGCAGTTGAACTAGAAACTATACAGATGAAGGTCCTCTTTTCCCTTTAGTGGGTGCTTTGGATCAGCAGTATGTGCTCTTCATTTGAAATATCTTTTTTTTTCTTTTTTTGATATACTTTGACATCTTACCAATTTGATTAAGCTTCAGACAGTGCTGTTACCCTTAACTTGCCTCCCAGTTAACAGAAACCTTCTGAACTTGCCTGTGGAAAAATTTTTACCATTTTTCAGTTAGTGGTTGCGTTTTCAGTTTTAGATTTTTCAGTTAGTGGTTGCATTGTGCATATATGTGTTACTTCTTCAGACCTACTTGTCTAAAGTAGCCAGTATATTTTCAGATTTTTATGTCTAATGTGATTTTCTTTTCCAGTTTTTCTTGTCTTGTTTAACCAGTGTAAAGGCAATCTAAGTGTCTTTAGAGTTAGCTAGAATTCCAGAAACTGATTTTTAATTCTTTCACTAGCCATACTTGAATTTCCATATCTGTGTATGTACACACTTGCCTGAAGATATTTTATTTTTTCCTTAAGATAGAGGTAAAAAGAAAGTGTTCAGATTTTCAAAGCTAACATTTTTTTCCTTTTTTTTCCCCCAAAGGATATAATGTATTATCTATCAACCACTCTCTCAGAATAACTTGTTTGTTTTATCATGTACTGTGATAGGTTAGTCATGAATTTGCAGTTAATGAAGGGCTATTTATTTCATGCCTACCCTCACAGGTTTTCTTTCTTTTTTCTTTTTTGTGACGGAGTCTCACTCTTTCACCAGGCTGGAGTGCAGTGGCACGATCTCAGCTCACTGCAATCTCCACCTCCCCAGTTCAAGTGATTCTCCTGCCTCAGCCTCCTGAGTAGCTGGGACTGCAAGTATGAACCACCATGACTGGCTAATGGTGGTTTTGTTTTTTTGTTTGTTTGTTTGTTTTTTTGTTTTTTTGGCAGCAGGTCGGTGGGTGGGCAGTGTTTGTAGAGACAGGGTCTCACATTGTGCCCAGGCTAGTCTCAAACTCCTGATGTGAAGCAATCCTCTCCGCTCAGCCTTCCAAACCGCTGGAATTATAGGCATGAGCCACCGTACCCGGTCCACAGCTTTTTTTTTTTAAGTATCTTCTTCATACTAGATACGATACTGTATGCTATTTTTGAGACTCCGTAGTCAAGTATAATTGTAAACCAGCTAGTAAAATTGAAGTTTCTTTTTTCATCCTTGTGTTATTTGGAAACAAAATTAAGAAATAGAGTCTCTTTTCTTCCTCCTACTTTATTCAACAGCCCTCACTCCATATGGATACTGTATACTTTGGATTTTAGAATATTTTAACTCTTAAAGGAATGGGCAGTGGAATCACAATATCACTGATTTAGCAGATCCTTGGTAAATATTCGTCATGTGATCCTGTGGCAATCCTAAATAGGAATTCACCTCTTTCTCTTAAGCTTTCCCATAGTACTTTATATCTCTTTAAAAAAATCAGTTGTTTACATTACTACATTGAAAGTTTTTTGGACCACCAACCTTGTTTCTGTCTCAGAACCTTAGCTAAATGCAGGGTATTCAAATATCCCATCCTTATTTCCTGTCATTTCTTGTCATGAGTCTTAGGTCCTACTACTATTTACCTGCTTATAATTACACATTTAGTTTGAAGTGTTTTATGTTTGCATGCTTTTCTTTCACATTATTCCCCCTAACTGAAATGCCCTTCATACATTTTTTTGCCTAATTAAATCTGTCAGTTCATTTATCAGTACTTACTGCATTTCTGCCATTTGCTAGATACTGCGTTGACTACTCGGATGTACATTGGTAATGGAAGCATTTATGACTTTGCCGTCCTGGAGTTTTCAACCCATGCTTGTCTTTTCTAGAAAGCCTTGCCTAAACTCCCAACTTGGATTCAGTGCTCCCTTGCTGTTTTGTCTGTGGCTCCCTGTATATGTTATGCTGAAATTTGCTGTTTGTGTACACTTGCTTTTAGGTTGGAGTTTTCTTGAAGATAGGATGTCTTGATTCATTTCTTCCCTTGGCCCTATCCAATATCTGATATATATCAAGTGCTCAATAATTGTTTGTTGAACTGCTTTTAAACTGTAGATAGATTACATGATCCCTGCCATTGATGAGCTCTCAGGACTTACAGTTCTGTGTATGTTTTGGCTTTTGTTATAGTTGTTTGAATGCATATCTGTCTCTCCTGTTAGGTTGCCAGCTTCTTGAAGAATAAAATTTTATCAGCATATTTTATTTATATTATATGGACAATTATATTTCTATATTTTTTTGCTATGCCCCACCATATCTAATTTTACATATGGGACCTGTAAGATTTTGATCCTTCTCCTAAAATGTTTTTGGTAAATGCTGATCTCCTGTGAGAGCCACCTGAGTGAGGAATCTCAGTGTGTAGGAAAGTGAGACATTCTTTAATGAGAGACTGGAAGAGTTTGGTTGTTAAGTGGGCTCAGAAAATGTCTGTTGTGGCAAGCCTGTGGCCCCATCTACTCAGGATACTGAGGTTGGAGGATCACTTGGACCCAGGAGATTGAGGCTATAGTGAGCCATGATTGCACCTCTGCACTCTAGCCTGGGTGAAAAAGTGAGACTGTCTAAAAAAAAGAAAAGAAAGGAAAGGAAAATGCCTGTTGTCTCTCCTCTGCAAATGAGCTGATACTGAAAGGTAATCTGGAACAGGAGTTTTATGGATATCTGTTTTTGAAACTGAAAGAAGTAGCATTTTGGCATGATCTGGAGCTGACATACATTCCAGAGGCTATATAGATGATGACATCTACCAGTGAGGCTACATGACTGACGTAGAAACTGAGGTTCTTTCGCTAGTCTAGGACAAAGATGAAGCTTAACTTCGCTGATGGATAGAACCAGACTTTGTCACTGTTTAAATAATACATTTTTGGTTGTTTTCTAAATATGAATTCGGTTCACTCTGAAATTAGAGCAGTTCCATGAGTTCACTGAATTTATTTGAACAATAGTGTTTGCCATGGTTTGAATGATGGTATCTGCTCCAAAATTCATGTTGAAATTTAACCCTCAATGCAACAGTGTTAAAAGGTGTAGTTGGCCTGTGGGAGGTTATTAAATTATGACAGAGCTTCACTATCATAAATAGGATTAACGCCTTATGAAGTGGCTCAAGGTCGAAAGGCGCACCTTCTTGCCCTTCCACTCTTCTACCCTGTGAGGACACAGCGTTTATCTCTTGCCCTTCTGCCATTTGAAGATACAGTATTGCTCCCCTCAGAGGAGGCAGCAATAAAGTGCCATGTTGGAAGCAGAGAGCAACCCATATCAGATGCCAGTCCTGCTAGCCCCTTAATCTTAGACTTCTCAGTCTCTAGAACCATGAGAAATAAATTTGTATTGTTTGTAAATTACCGATTCTATGGAATTTTTGTTACAGCAGCACAAATGGTCTGACAGTGTTCTTCTTTAAAAAGGAATAATGTTCATGGATACAGCTCTATTGTTCCTGGAATTCTTGGGGAAGATTCTTTGGAGTTTTGTGGAGTTATATATAACTTACTAGGTTGTCCTTGCCATATTTTTATGATGGTGAGTGAACACAGTATACCTATGGGTGAGATTAGAATAAAATAGAGATTTTTATTTGTGTATTACATATTTAGCCAACATTTATTGTCTACTATATGCTATTCTATTTAAAATGTTTTCACTTTTCCTGCTTCTTATCTCCTTGTTTCCTTGTACAAAAAAAAAAAAAAAACCACCCCCAAACCTGCCCATGCTTCATAGTCCTGTTCAAACATCACCTCATTTTTAAAGTCTTGCTTGATTTTTTTTTTTCACATTTTTTTCACCATGGCACCTTTGAGGAAATAAAAATTTGCCTTGTGTTATAGCTTTAAGTCCCCTTCATCAGAGCTTAAGCAATCTTAGGAGAGATGCATGTTTGATTTCCTGAAACATAATCACTGGACTTCATGTTTGTGGCCAAAAAACAAAACAGAAAGACAATGTAATTCTCATTATAATGATCATATATACTAGTAACTACAGTTTGTTCAGCACATACCTGTAAGCCAGGCATTGTAAGAAGTGTTTATATTCATTATTTCATTCAATTCTTTTAACAGCATTATTTTATGGGTATAGAAACAAACTTGAGAAGTCAACTAACAAACTTGCTGCAGCGACTATTAAGTTGTGATTGAGGAAGTAGAACGAACTCAGATTTCTCTGACTCCAAAGTACATGTTCTTAAAATACAATGCTGTGCTACTACTATAGTTTCTCAGCTTCAAAGAGAACCACCAGAAGAGCCAATTCATCCCATCATTTTATTTCCTGGTTTTGTTTTTGTTAGGACCTTTGGAATGTATCTGTTAAATACAATTAAATTTGGAATGCAGTATTTAGAAAAATGTGTATTCACTAGATCTCTTACAAACTGGTCATAAACTAAGCCTTCTAAGAGTGAGGCTCATAAATTAGGATGTGTTCATTAGTTGTAGAAAAAATTGAACAGAGATTTGAAAGGGATTTATTCTTTCTACATAAAATAGATAAGCAGAGCAGACCAACTAAAAAACAGCTTTTTAAAATAATTTAATGGAAAGGGGTCTCAGATTATTGTGGAGAAAAGGTTGAGTGGATGAGAAAATCAAACATTTAAACTAAATGCAAAATAATTACCAACATTGAAGCAAAAAAGACAGATGTCATTCACAACAATGAATGATACAATAGTAAACTTCCTGCCTTTATGTGTGTTTCTTTCTTGTTAAATTCAAACTTTAGCTCTTTGCTATGTCAGAAAATTTTTGCTTTTACATGGCTTTGATGATTTAAATGAAGTGAATGAGCATGAACGAAAATAATTCTTAAGTGAATGAAAGTCTGAGGCTTTTGCAATAGAAAGTATATAATTAGCATTATTTTTGGTAATGAGCTTTATTTTGAAGCTGAAACCACTGCTAACAATGTTTAAAATTTTTTAATTTCCTTGTTTCTTTAAATGATTTATTTGGGATACTAACACAGAGTTAAATAACTTTGAATTCCATTGTAAGATTCTTTTAAAGTATTTTGTTTGAAAGTCTTTCATTTCTTCTAATTAGGTAGACAATCTCCATTTGCTGCTAAGGCAACTCTACCACTTCTCTTTTTTTTTTTCTTTTTTTAAGACAGGATCTTGCTTTGTTGTCCAGGCTGGAACATAGTGGCACAATCTCAGCTCACTGCAACCTCAGCCTCCTGAGTAGATGGGACTACAGGCGAGCACCACTACACTCAGCTAATGTAAAAAAAAAAAGTTTTAAGGCCGGGTGCAGTGGCTCATGCCTGTAATTCCAGCACTTTGGGAGGCCGAGGCGGGTGGATCACGAGGTCAGGAGATCGAGACCATCCTGGCTAACACAGTGAAACCCCATCTCTACTAGAAAAGTACAAAAAACAAAAAAATAGCCGGGCCTGGTGGCAGGCGCCTGTAGTCCAAGCTACGCAGGAGGCTGAAGCAGGAGAATGGCGTGAACCCGGGTGAACCCGGGAGTCAGAGCTTGCAGTTAGCCGAGATGCGCCACTGCACTCCAGCCTGGGCGACAGAGTGAGACTCCGTCTCAAAAAAAAAAAAAATTTTTTTTTTTTTTCCATAGGGACACAGTCTCACATTGCCCAGGCTGGTCTCAAATTCCTGAGCTCAAGTGATCCCGCTACCTCAACCTCCCAAAGTGCTGGGATTATAGATGTGAGCCACTGTGTCTGGTTTAATTCTTGAGTCTCTCCTCTAAAGGCCTCTGGCTCAGAATCTAAAGCAGGAAGTTTCTGTTCATGGCAAATGCTGCTGATTTTCCATTCTGTTCTAGTGGAGTTTTTCATATACTTTGGTTTCCATGTTTTTGATTCCACTTTGTTCCATAGAGATTTATCATTTTCATTTCCTGTTACTTGATTTCAGCAAAACATTGATGTGAGGAAAATATTAAATAGTACAGCTATGACAAACAATGCTGAGACTGGCTAGGGAATTTGGGAGCTAGCATGTTTGGGTATCTTTGGCTCCATCATCCCCTGTAGAATTCTGGGCACTCTGGTTGACTTCACCTTGGCCAGCATGATGGGGGCCTTCTTCATGGATCCGATTGAACTGGTTACCATGGGTGTTCCAGACTTCCCAGGTATTGCAGGTAACAGCTACATTCTTCTACAAAATGAAGAAATGCAGGCAGCCACATTCCAGAAGTCCTTGTGCTGGCCTCCAACTGCTAATATCCTGTCAGTGCACTAACATTTTCACCAGACACAATGGCTTGACTCTCAAAAATATTTCTTTTTTCTTTTTTTTTTGTGAGACAGAGTCTCACTCTGTTGCCCAGGCTGGAGTGCAGTGACGCGATCTCGGCTCACTGCAAGCTCCGTCTCCCGGGTTCACGCCATTCTCCTCCCTCAGCCTCCAGAGTAGCTGGAACTACAGGTGCCCACCACCATGCCCGGCTAACTTTTTTTTTGTATTTTTAGTAGAGATGGCGTTTCACCGTGTCAGTCTTGATCTCCTGACCTCGTGATCCGCCCGCCTCCATCTCCCAAAGTGCTGGGATTACAGGCATGAGCCACCGCACCCAGCCAAAAATATTTATTTTTTCTTAGAGTGGTTGCATCAACCTGATTATATTTCTTTTTCCGCGACCGCCGTTATGTCTAAGCATTGCCTTAGCAGGAAGAAACTATCAACTGGATAGGAAATTTGAATGGGGTGATGATACAGATCCCACTGAGGACAGATAGCCAAGCTTTCATGCCCAGGTTCAGCAGCCTGACCAGATCGTTATGAAAAATTACTTGGAACTTTTATATGCAGGGAAACCTAAGAAAACCAAGTATGATTTGAGGCCTGAAATGTAACTGGTCTTGTTCTCCTTTATCCAGTGGTAAGGTCTGAAAATAAAATGTTGACTAAAGACTTTATAATATTTCTATAAGTTCTATTGTAGTAGATCCAGCTGTTAAGCCTGAATAAAATCATATGACTACTGCTGTGATTGGTAATAGGATGCACCCAGTTAACTTAAGGCCAACAACAAATGAAGCAATTACTATTTTACAGTTACACGAGGCAAACCTACAGGTAGAATGAGTGATGAGACTCATGAAATAAATAAATAGAAAGTTATTACATATTAGCCTTTAAACTTAAAGATACCAGACAAGCCAACAATGAATTTCTGAACAGCCATGGTAATGGGCTAGTTAAGTTTTACTTTATTACTTTGTGACACATAGCTAATTTCTAGAAAGCAAGAAGTTTTCTCTTTACAGTGGTGAATTTAACATTAATACTTGTGTTTTCAGTAAATACAGAATGTGCTGTACTTAAATTTTTTTCTGCTTATTGTTTATGTAGTTTTAAAATTATTTTATAACCCTTTAAGTAAAAGGCATACACTCTTGTAAATAGAAGCAATTCTCAGCTTGTTTTCTTCACATATAGAAAACTAAAACTGTAGAAAGATATTAAATCAACTAGTAACTCCAGTGAATATGGTATTTTATAATCTTTAGGTTTATCATACTTAGATTTTGTGTGTAGGGAATCTGATTTTAGGTCTGGGCACAGTGGCTTACACCTGTAATCCCAGCACTTTGGGAGGCCAAGACAGGCAGATTGCATGGGCTCAGGAGTTCGAGACCAGCCTGGGCAACATGATGAAACCACGTCCCTACTAAAAATAACAACAACAACAAAGAAATGCTGGGCATGGTGGCATGCACCTGTAGTCCCAGCTACTTGGGAGGCTGAGATGAGAGGATCAGTTGAGCTCAGGAGGAGAAAATTGCACTGAGCTAAGATTGCGCCACTACATTCCAGCTTGGTTGACAGAGTGAGACCCCATCTCAAAAAAAACAAAGCATCTGATTTTTTAAATTGAGACCTCAACAGTCCATAGTAATTTGTCATAAGTACAGTGTTTTTCTTCCAGAGGTGCTTCTTTGTTGAATCATCCTTATAAAGTTATTAGCAAAAATTTGGTTGAGCCTTCTACTTGCATTATAAAACCAAAAAGGTAACTGAATTTTTCAGATTTCATAATCTCTACTCTCCATCCTCTCCAGTATAACATGCTCTGTGTCAGTCCTATTGGAGAATCATTTCTCATGCATATTGCTTTAAGAAACAAAAAACTAAAACCCTTCCTTTAATCTACATATTGGAAAAACCTCAGTTGCTGAAGTTAAATATGTTTCTCTGATAATGTCAGTCTTTGGCTCCTTAGTTAGATTCCATCTTTCTGTCATTGATGTGCCCTAAACCAGCCTGCATCTACCAATCTTGGTTTACTACCAATCTTGCTTTATTATCTGATCTCCCTTAATATCTGGTCTCCCCAGTGATTCTCAAAAGGTCACAGTGAGGATCTCTATGCTACATGTTAATGTTTAATGGAAATTTTCTATGACAAGGCAGTACACAGAAACTATAAGATTATCAAGATTCTTTGTAATTGGCCATAATTTTATCTGTCCAATGTGGCTATTTTGTGTCTTGGGAACATGGGTAGGGTCCTTTCTTAATGGAAACAAATCAAAACAATAAATATATATTCTTTCTTACTCTTCACTTGTACTTTTTTTTTCTTTTCTTTTTTTTTTTTTGGAGAGAGAGAGTCTTGCTCTGTTGCCCAGGCTGAAGTGCAGTGGCGTGATCTCAGCTCACTGCAACCTCCACCTCCTGGATTCAAGAAATTCTCCTCCCTTAGCCTCCTGAGTAGCTGGGATTACACGCACCCACCACCACACCTGGCTAATTTTTGTATGTTTAGTAGAGACAGGGTTTCACCACGTTGGCCAGGCTGGTCTCGAACTCCTGACCTTAGGTGATCCATTCATCTTGGCCTCCCAAAGTGCTGGGATTACAGGTGTGAGCCACCTTGCCTGGCCCGCTTGTACTCTTTCTTCTTTTTTTTTATTCATACATCCAGTAAATATTTATAAAACAATTACAATATACAAGAAGTTCTGCTAAACTTTGAGGAGACAAAAATGGTTAATATTTTCATCATTAATAGTTTTTGGTCATTCATAGTTCACACAAGTAAAGGCAACCTATAATAGAGTAGCGTTTATCATATAAATACCATCACCGTTTATATAGAAAATTTTTTCATCTCCTTACATTTCAGGATTCTGAGTATCTTCCCAGTGCTTCCTGCACCGATTTAAACAAAGTGAGTCCTGTTACTGAGTTTGAGAATGAGTTGACCATTTGTGAAATGTTGAGTGAATGAGTGTGAGTATATAGTAATCAATAGTAAAAACTATTTACCTAATAATTCAAATTAGTCACTCCCAGTGAAAGTGTAAGAATAGATACAGAGAACTCTTTCTAGAGGTTATGGTGCCCCATAGGAAGAGCTGTCCCTACTTATTCTTCACTATTACGTCGGTTGATGAGTTAATTGGCATGTAGGGTCCTGTTTTGATCACTGTTAGAATTCTCGGGCGAGCCATCTAATGGGATGAAACACACATTTTTTGCTTGTTTGTTTTAACATTTAAATACTGTCCCTGGACATCGGAATATCTAATTCTGAAATGAGAACAATTTTATGAGCTTACCAAATTCATTTAACAGTAATGTTCTTTTTTAAAAAGGGGGATATAATGTTCATGGATGCAACTCCATTGTTCCTGAGATGATCCATGACTGACTCATTTGGAGGGGATCCCTTGGAGTTCTGTGCAGTTGTACATAACTCATTTGGCTGTCTTCAGTATATTTTCATTATATGTATGTCCGCTTCAAGTGTGGGCTGTTAGTAAGTCCATTTTCTTTTATACTAATGATAGGTATATACTGATTTTCCTACTGTACATCTATAAACATGTAATTGTACTCCTTTTTCGCTAATCAGATGACGAGAAACAGGTAGCTTTATTAAGCTCTCAAGTTAGAATCAAGATCATGTTTAACTTCTACCGCATTTGACAAAGGAAAAAGGAGGTCCCATTTCGTTAAGAACCTTCATTTATCCTAGGCACCACGCAAAGTGCTTTTGCTCTGTTCATTTAATCTTCATAACACTATGTGAGAAGTTTGCCATTTTTTAAAATATTTAGAATTCAGTGGGGTTTTTTGGTTCCTTCTCAGTAACCACAATTCTGCTCTGTACTTCAGTGTTTTTAATAATAGTTTTATTGAAATATATCACATATAATAAAATCACCCTTTTAAAGTATACAATTCAAGGGTTTTTAGTATATTTAGAGTTGTGCAACCATCACCACTAATTTCTGAACATTTTGGTTACCCCATGAGGAAACCCCGTACCTATTAGAAGTCAATTCCTATTTCCTCCTTCACCCATCTCCTAGCAACAGTTTGTCTTTCTCTCTGTATAGATTTGCCTATTCTGGATATTGCATATAAATAGAAACACATAATATGTGGTCTTTTGTGACTGACTCTTTTTACTTAGCGTATTTTCAGGATTCATCTGTGTTATGTTACATAATCAATATTTCATTTCTTTTTATAGCTGAATAATATTCCATTGTATGGATATACCATTTTTTATTTATCTGTTCATCAGTTGACTGAGATTTGGAGTACTTCTACTCTTTGGCTATTATGAATAATATTGCTGTGTATTTGCTGTACAAGTTTTTGTATGGACGTATTTTCAGTTCTCTTGGGTGTATACCTAGGAGTGGAGTTACCAGGTAATATAACTCTGGTGTTTAACCATTTGAGGAACTGCCAGGCTTTTTCCCAAAGTGGCTCTGCACCATTTTACAATCCCATCAGCAACTTATGAAGGTTCCAGTTTCTTCACATCTTTGCCAACATGCGTCTGTTCCTTTTATTTTAGCCATCTTAATGGTGTGAAAACCTCACTGAGGTTTTGCATTTCCCTAATGACTAATAATGAATATAGGTTGGGTGCTATGGCTTATGCCTATAATCCCAGCACCTTGGGAGGCTGAGGCAGGCAGATGGCTTCAGCCTAGGAGTTCGAGACCAGCCTGGGCAACATTGCAAAACCCCATCTCTAGAAAAATTATCCAGGTTTAGTGGCACGCACCTGTAGTCCCAGCTACTTGGAAGGCTGAGGTGGAAGGATCACCTGAGCCTGGGGAGGTCAAGGCTGCAGTGATCTGTGATGCGCCACTGCATTCCAACCCTAGGCAACAGAGTAAAACCCTGTCTGAAATATATATTGAGCATAATTTCATGGGTTTATTGACTACTTGTGTATCTTCTTTGGAGGAAACTCTGAGACTTAGTGATTTAATTTCTGAAATGGAGATAGTGGTTCTGGCCTTGCACTATTTTTGAGAATGATGTAATAAAAAGATGTATCTAATCCCCCAGCACAGGGCCTAACACTTAGAAGACATTTATTAAACGTTAATTTCTTCTTTCCCATTCCTTCTCCAGTTTCACAGATGAAGAAACTGAGGCTTAGAGAGAAGACATACAAGTAATTCACCAGGGTTCATCTTACAGTTAGCTTGTGAACGCTAGATTCAAATGCAGATTTTTGTATTCGTGCTAGATTCAACACTGTACTCCCCCAACAACCCCTCCTTTTTGCCTATGCTCCTCTACTGTGAAATGGCTCCTTGGAGTAGGTAAACTTAGTTACTGTATATGATACTGTCTTTTATATCTTTGCTGTAAAAGCAAAAATAGCTGATTTGTTTAAAGAAACCTTTTCAAGGAATCGAATTTAATAGACTGTCTCTTTAGATTCATTTGAAATGTAATGTGCCTAAGGAACTGTGTTTTCCTTACACTTTGACCTCTCTAGGATAAAATGTCTGTAACAGATGAAAGGCTCAATTTTGGATGAATGTCTTGATGCATGACCACCAAAGACTGTTTCAGCTAGAATGGTTGAAGAACTCTGGTTTCCAGATGTTATTACCTTAAAGCTAACCTGTTTTTATATGTAGTTTATAGTGAGCAGGACCACTGACATATATTATTGACCATTTTGATTTTTTTTTTGTGGATTTTAGAGAGGCAGCATCTGTAAATTACGTGCATACTGACTTTTGTTTTTGTTTTTTAACTTCACACAACTCCAGAGAAAGAAAAAAATAGAATCTTTTTAGACAAAAGAGAAACCCCTACTCTTTTGGCAGGATTTGCAAACTCAGATACTCTAGAGTGCATTATCAGGGGACCAGCTGAGGAATTCATTGACCAACATCTCCAGTTATTGTTGATTACCAGAAGAGAGCCGTCAATTTTCTTGTGAAGTGCTGTTATTTTAAACAACAGAGTTGGGATCAGAACTGTTTCTGAACTGAAAGTAGAGTGTTAAAGAGATTCTTTTTTTTCTGGTTTTGGTGTTTTCAAATTAGTCTATTTTTAATTATTAATATTAAATGATAATGAAAAATGTGCTTGTTGTGTTACACACGTTGCTAAGTACTACATATATTAGCTCATAAAATCTTCACAACTTACGAGTTGTATGTATTGCCTGAATTACTATGTATTTTTCATATCAGGAAATTAAAGTTTAGAAAGTTTAGGTAACTGGTCCAAAAGTCACAAAATTGGTAAGTCATGGAATTGGGATTTAAACTAAATTTTATCTGACTCCAGAGCTCACCTCCTCACCTTTCTATATTATTTTTTATTTAATTCTGTATTCATAGTAGTTAAAAAGCAAGGGTTCCATTTTCTGTTTTGCTTTTCAGAGCGTTATTGTCAGACATACTGTTAATAAGATATTTCCTGTGTCTTTGGGGGCAAAAGGTTCAAACGTAGGTGCTTTCACTTAGGACTGAATTTGGAATCAAAAAAGAGAAAATGTCTTCTGGTGGTCGCACAAGGTAAACCTGGTGGTTAACAGCTTTGAATGCTGTTTAATTCTGCCTGTTGCTTTGATGAGACCAGTCACTGCTCTTTATGTTTTTTCCATTTCTGGTGAATGGGTGTAATCTGCATTATTTTGAGCTTTAACCGAGCTATTGCATGGAAAGCTCAACCTATGTGTTAGTTACTTCAGAAAATTGTTTGGAGAGGTTTTATGATCTTTTTATTATGTTGTTTGGGGGATGGGTGGGTAACATTGTACCATTTTTCAAATGGTGGTGTTACTCTGTTTAGAAAGCAAGCAAATTTTAAGTCCAATATTACTGTTTTTACTTACTAATGCTTCTGTAAACCAAAGGAATGGTTGTCTTTGTATCCTCATAAAAGCAATCACTCATCATCAATTTTAAATGACCACTTATAACAATAAGTATATCTCATTATGCTTTTCCTGCTGTACTTTTGGAACTGGCACATTTGATCTCTGTTCATCCCTACATGATACTCTGAAGATGACTAGACAGAGCCTTTAAAGTTATGTCAGGCCACAAAGGGAGATTATAAATGAGGAGAAACTTCAAGGTCCTCTCTAATCGTTCTACAGATTAATAAATTGAACTCATTGTTATAATTTCATCTGATAAAGGCTAAACAACAAATAGTAAGAACCTGAAGTAGAATCTGAGTCTTCTGATTTGGGTCTGATGTCTTCTTCTAGTCTAAGATTTGGAAAAGAAGTTAGGTATGCATTTTAAAGTGAATGGTGTATAATAAACCACCAGTGAGTTTATCTTGTCAGCTTTCTCTTTGTGGAATCATGATATCGTCCAGCCTGGCATGGTGGCATGTACCTGTAGTCCCAGCTACTTGGGAGGCTGAGGTGGGAGAATCACCTGAGCCCGGGAATTCCAGGTAGTAGTGAGCTAAAATTGTGCCACTACACTCCGGTTTGGGTGACAGAGCAAGCCCCCTCACTAAAACAAACAAAACAGTGTATAATAATAATAATATCTTATTTTGACTAATCACTAGATTTCTTTCCCAAAGGGAATCTCTGTTGTAGTGGGCGTATTTTCATCAAATGTGTACATTTTTTTCTTTTAGACTGTAGAATATGTAATCACTATTAGCCTTTTGTGCAAAGTGTAGTATTTATATCTACAAGTAAATACTTATGTATCCAGCATCCTAATCTGAAATGTGAAATAATTAGATTTTCTATATGTTGTTTTTGAGAGAGATCAAATAAACATATTGGCAGCAAAAATTAATCACCCAAGTCAACTTTCAGGGTTGTCAAAGGGTCAATTCAGATTCAGCTACGTGTGTTACACTGGTTTCCACATGATTTCTGGCTCTGATGATTGATGTTCCTAATGGAATCTAAGGACCTTTAAGGTGCCGAATTGCCCTCTGAATTATCAAAGAAATCTACTGGTTAAACACGTGTGTGCCCATTCTTGTCCCACCAAGGATTTGAGTTTGCTGGTTTGCTTTTTTTAAGAATGAAACCTATTTTTCCTGATTTTTCTTTTTAAATTGTGTCATCTGTACATGGCATATAGTCAATCAGTTATTCATAATACTAAGTTATCCAAGATATCCCTGCCTACATCCTCTCTGAGTAAAAGGAGCTGACAAGAGCTCTGTGGATGCTACCTAACAGATCATGGAGCTCTGCCTATGTCTAATTATAGCAATGTTTGCTGAAAATTGTTCTATTTATCTTCTCTTGTAATTATGCACTATACAGAGTCACCCCTCACACACCAGGAGAATGTGAGGAAAACAAAGCCAGTGACTCTACATTTAAATTTTTTTCATGGTCACCTAATTTTTATTTGCAATTCAGTTTTAGCTAGGTTATTTTAGAAGGATGCAAAGCCTTTTTATCCTTCATACAAGATTACCAACTACCATTTTTACTTTCATCCTCCTTTGTTTCATACTATTGTTTAACAGTTGTTTTGTGTAGGATACAAGCCTTGCATGCCAACTTTGATGTGGCAGAATGAATCATGTTACCATTGATCTGAGCCTGAACAGAATAGCCATCTTCAAATAGGAAGAAGTTTCTAGCTTCAGGTTGTTTTAGCACTGCGTGCCTTGCTTAGCCTGCCGTGTAAAGTCAGTTGCCTCACTCGAAACAACCCTGTATTAATATGCACAACATGACCATTTTCAGTAGAAGGTTATTAGAATGCTAGTTTGTATCCTCTAGTGAATGAAATGATGTGTGATTATGAAGTCATCAGGCATGGACCAGTAAGACTCCAGAGAGCCTGCCCCCTCCGAGGTCCTCAGGGTGCCATTGATTGGTGGCCATGTGTTTGTGCCCGATAGACTGTGAAATGGTGTGTTGCTACACGGCTGTGTTGCACCTGCGCCCCACCGAGGTGATTGATTGGTTTGGTCATGTGGAATGTTCCCATCTGGTCTGCAGTAATGTGTTTTTTTTTTTTTTTCCCATCTGTGAATAGCAAGTGCTGGCTGAATAGTTACAGCAAACAGTTTCAGAAGCTAAATAATCCTTTTCCTCTAAGAACAAATTGGGATATGAAGGAGTTTGTTTTTGCTTACCTTGCCTTTTGTAAAGGTAGTCATTCTCCATCAGGTTCCTACTCCTTCTGTCTAGGATGTTATGTGCTTTTCTCTTTTTACCTATTTTTACCTCCTCTTCATAATAGATTACGCTTTCTGTATTTCTAATTTGTGCAAGTTTAAAGCAAAATCTGTTCTTTTTTGCTGTTTGTTGTTTTGATATGCCACTTGAAGTGATTTGCAATTTTTTAAAAGATAGTTTCTGTGATCATAATTGGATTATCAGAGTACTGATGTATTTTTAAGCTTTCACTTAACCTCACAAGAGTGGTGGTTTATTTATTGAAAACTACTGATGTTGCAGTTTAAATGTCAAGAAATTATTTATTAGGTTCTTTTTTTAAAAGATTCTATAGTTATATTGGGCGGTCTTGTTTGATATTTCTTAATCTTAGTCCTTTTTCATAATTGATCTATTCATTCCACCTAATGACTAATTACATATCAGAGCACATCATCAACCACATTCATCATAGTAGAATGTAATAATCAATGACATTTCAACAAAGGAAAAAATAAATATGCAAATAAGGCCTCATTAACATTTGCATGAGTTGTTTGAATAATCACGTTGCTGACAAGGCTGTAATTAACAGAAATTGATGCTGAGTTCAGTATTTGATAGTGTGTTTTCTCAGCATTTTATTGTTGTCACTGCGGGGGCTGAAATGAAGTTCTGCTCTACTTGTACCTTGACTGGAATTTGATGTGCAGGGCTGTGCCAGGTACGAAAGGCTTCTGGGAGCCCTTGATTCATCTGTGACCTACACTTAATGCATATAAAGATTCTTTATTTAAATTGCCTTATTTTTTTAATGAAGCACCATTAGATTTTAGCAATTATGAGACAACTGTAGAAAGAAAACAAACATGAAAATTCAAATCATTCATTATTTTGCCAGAAATGGCTTATATGAATCAGATACAATTAAGACTTCAAGATTTAAATTTGCTCATACCATGGAAAACTGATGCCATTAATTTTTTTTTTCCTCTCTCTTAAATCTTGCCCAGTGGATCACTGTCAAGAGGTTGGAGCTTACTGTAATTGAAAATCACTTGCTTAGGGAAAAAAATCTAATTATAAAATGTACAGTTTGAGGGTTTTTGTGTTTTTTTTTTTTTGAATAGCTGTGCACCCCCACATTCCTCCTCCTTTTCCTGTACTGTTTCCTGTTTTTGTCATGGATATTAACTGAAATGCTCTAAACACAATAAAGCTGTTTATGTCAGTTTTTTGGATGACTGCAAGTGCTGATTATAACAAGTTTAAGGAATTTCCTTTGTTGAATGTGTACCCATGCCATATGGCTCAACATGGAACATTAACTTGACAGGGATAATGGATTGTGGTATATGGAGACAATTTTGCCTGCAGCTTTACTATAACTCATTCTGGTTGGGGATCACAGGTTTGTAGTATGGGATGCAACAAACATCCAGATGGATTTACTTTACATAAAAGAGTTGCATTTATTTTTATTTCCTTCCTGTAATTGGAAAAAGAACTTTTTTTAAAAGAATCAAAATATTAAAAAGTAAACGAAGGGAAAATTGTTCAAATGAAAACATGTATTCTGAGCAGTTTTTTTGGTAAAATGCTATGAAAGAGACTATTTTTGTATATTTAGCACATTAAAGTCATGGTGTATATAAGCTGATACTGCTTTTGTCTTTACGGTAGTATCCAAAATGAATTTTCCTCTCAAGATTAGAAAGTTGTCTGTATCAACCTTAAAGGTGTTTCAGGTTTGTAGACATAAATGATCAAGCAGTGTCAATTATGAAATTATTTTAGTAATGCTTATTAAATAGTAGCCCTCTCTGAGATGAATTGGATTTGTAAGATTTGAGATAGAAAAGCTTTTTAAAAAAGTATCCAGTTTTTCTTTAACTGCAGTATATCACATATAATAGAAGAAAAGGTTTGTTATTTCGCCAAGCAGTAATAAAGTTGCTGACTGTTGGCTTCTTGGTTTTATATGTATCCCTGTGAAAGTTACTCTTAATTTATCTGGTGGGAATAAGAAAACTAAAAGCCACTTTGGCAGAATGATCATGTAACCAAAGGCTAGTTACCTAGAATGCTTAAATACATTGTTGTTAAGAACTGACATCTATTCTAGCTGTGTTAGAGGGGGAAAAAATCTGGATTTTTTTTTTTTCATGAAATGGGCTTGTAATGCTAAAAAAAACTAGCTGACTTGGTTATTTTCACTTTCTTTTTAAATAATTTAGATCTTCATTTATCTTCCACTCTGTGTTTAGGTGGAATATAGAGCTTATGTCATCAATTAAATTATGTGGAAATCTATAATTTGTCTAAATAAAATCATTGATCTATACTATTGATCTGCAGTATCCTTGATACATTAGGTAATGTGCTGTCTCTGAGCACAGTAGATAAAGACAGCTATCCCTTGCAGCTTCTAAACACTAAAAATTGCTGACATCTTTGCAAGTTTATTTTGAGTACCTAGGACATACACAGAAGTCAGAGGCCAAGCTTTTTAACCATCTTTGCTGTGTCAAAAAACACTGGAAGTGGGAAGGAAACTAGGCTGGGAGGCCATGTTTTCTTTTTTTTCTTTGCTCTTGGGAGACGTTTGCTCTTTATTTCTCTTATGAAGTCACAGTGGCCTGTCATAACCATGGATTAAATGTTTGAACACAAAAACAATAATTCCCATGATTTAAGTCACAGCTTTTAACAGATCGACGTATATTTCTTATTTCTACATTCCAAGGTATGAAAAATAGCTATCAATTTCTAGTGTATTATCTCACACTAATACATATAAAGGAAATATGTGAACTTACCCTCAAAGAAACAATAAAATTTTCAGAGACATCAAAATAAGTATTTTAGGTTTGAAGATCCCTTTTCCTTCATTTCGTAATAGATGTTTTCTTTTTTTGAGACAAGGTCTCACTCTGTCACCCAGGCTGGAGTGCAGTGTTGCTATCATGCCTTATGGCAGCCTCTACATCCCAGGCTCAAGTGATCCTCACACCTAAGCCTCCTGAGTAGCTGGGACTGCCACACTCAGCTAATTTTTATAGAGACAATTTCCCATGTCGCCCAGGCTGGTCTTGAACTCTTAGGCTCAAATCATCTGCCTGCCTTGTCCTCCCAATATGCTGGAATCACAGACAATAGACAATAGCCACTGCTTCTGGCAGTTTTTTTTTTTGTTTTTTTTTTTTTTTTTTTTTTTTTTTGAGACGGAGTTTCACTCTGTCACCCAGGCTGGAGTGCAGTGGCGCGATCTCGGCTCACTGCGAGCTCTGTCTCCCGGGTTCACGCCATTTTCCTGCCTCAGGCTCCCAAGTAGCTGGGACTACAGGCACCTGCCACCATGCCCGGCTAATTTTTTGTATTTTTAGTAGAGACGCGGTTTCACCGCATTAGCCAGTCTCAAGGTCTCAATCTCCTGACCTCATGATCTGCCCGCCTCGGCCTCCCAAAGTGCTGGGATTACAGGCGTGAGCCACCACGCCCGGCCCTGGCAGTGTTTCTTAATGTGATATCCAGCATTGCTTATAAATAAAACACATTTTTCCCCATGTATTTTAAATACTGTAATTTACAAAGGATGTATTAATGAATAATGAAATTTTTTTCCACTTTGGTAAAAGTTTGACACAGGTATAAAGGGCTTATATTGAAAAATATGGTATTCAAACAAAATATTTTAGAAGTTACTCATCTAAATTGCCTAAAATATTATTTCTAAAAATATTTGTGGATTAACTGAGAATGTAGGAATCGTTGTAGGATTTAATACATTTTAACCATTGATATTTGGTTGTGGTGGCATTGCTTCCATAATACAGTGACTCTGCAACTGCTATCTAGATTTTTTTCACTTGTAGAGTGTAATAATTTGCAAATGTTTTGTTTATTTTTATATTGGCAGAGATTATAATTCTGAGGTACTATGCTTATAGGAAAGACTTAAAGAATATTAGGTCGGGCACGGTGGCTCATGCCCGTAATCCCAGCACTTTGAGAGGCCAAGGCTGGCGGATCACGAGATCAGGAGTTCGAAACCAGCCTGGCCAACCTGGTGAAACCCTGTCTCTACTAAAAATACAAAAATTAGCTGGGCATGGTGGCAGGCATCTGTAATCCCAGCTACTCAAGAGGCTGAGGCAGGAGAATCATTTGAACCCGGGAGGTAGAGGTTGCAGTGAGCCAAGATAGCACCATTGTGCACTCCAGCCTGGCTGACAGAGTGAGACTCTGTCTCAAAAGAAAAAAAAAAAAATAAAGTATTACCACCAGTTCTACTTGTTCTTCTCTTTTCAGTGGCCCATCCTTAAGCCAGTTCTCTCCTTGGTAGAGAACAAAGACAGGCAAAAGAGAAGAATTTCCAGTTTTTCCATTTTACTTTTACTTGTTAATATCACTGATGGCTAAATATTTCATGAAATTATACTTTGATGCTCATGTCTAAAATGACACTTCAGCGTTAACTAAAGATTTCTGTTTTTCATGTTTTTTCATTTAACACTGCTTCTCTACAGCTGAGCCTGGGTTTCAGTGTTTAAATCGGATCTTGGAAGAAGCTTTCTGTAAGCTTGGAATGTGCCTTATCTTAAAGCCTTCTTCTCTTACCCTGTTAACCATTCCTGGCTTAAAACCTTCAGAAGTCATGGGATGTGGGTTTGCCTGGGGAGTCTGCTGCCTCCAGTGGAAATTTAGGCAACTGCTATGGCTATTCCAGACAAGTACTTCACAGATAATCAGATCTGTTTCCTATCTAACCGAAAGGAAAAGTGTAAAGCTTAGAGGGGTAATTCATATATTCCACTTTATAAACCATTCTAACAGCCAGTTGTAGGAACAGGGCAGCTGTTTGTTTTTAAAATCACTTATTCTCAAAAGAGTTCATTTGGAGACAGTTAAAATAAGGCAATAGGCAGAAAGTGGTAGAGCTAGAAGAGGCCTAACTATGTTTATTGGGGTTCATAGATAAAAAGCAAATGACCAGGTATTTTCATTATAAGCCATTATGTAGTCATTTCTTTTTTAAGCGCGTGCTACCAATTGATGTTTTCAGTTATGAAGAGTTTTGCTGTTACTAAATGATCAAAATTTTAGGTTTAGAATATTGTAACTAATATTTCTGAAATTGAGAAAAATTTAAGTAAGTGAATATATGATTAAATTAACCAGTAGCTGAGATCATTTACCTATTTCAGTTGAGAACTTGAGCTAAAATTAAGCTTTATACATAATCCCAGTTCCAGAAAGGACCTTGAGAGGTCCTCTAGATAAGATCATATTTAGACTGTCCCAAACACATTAGCCTATAATTTAGACAAAATTAATCTCAGTCAGTCTCAGTCTGTTTTTCTCTCTCCCTTCTCACCTCTCCTTGACTTCTCTTTTTCTAGTTACTCTTCCTTCTCCAATATCCTTTCCTCTTGCTCTCGTAATCTCTGTCCCCTTACTTTCCTCTGCTCTAAAATTTCTTACTCATGTGTACCACAAGAATGATGGTCTTTTATAATCCGTTTTATGGCTATTAATTACATACACTAAATTTTCAAAGCAAAGACCTAATGTTCTATTGTATAGATGTTTCAGAAATCATCATACATATAACTAGATTTCAGCTGCATGTTGGTATCCATCCCTAAACAGTTTAAGGGTGTTAGCGGTGATTATGATAATTGGGAGCAGAAGACAGATTCTCTTGACTAGGCAAACTTTAGTGAATCTTAGTCCTTTTCCCTGGAAAAATTAATAGTATCACTCATTACATAGGGCTTTGCTCCTGCATAACTAAACCACCAGGGAGATCTTCCAGGTTCCTAGCCATCACCTTTATTTGCAAACACTAAAAAATCTCTAATGTTTACTTCTTTAAACCAAAAAAAAAAAGTTAGAGCATTATAGCTGTGGCCTGCATTCATAGAAAAAGTATGCTTGCACTAATGTTTAGGGGCTAGGAATATTAAAGCATTTGCTATGACACTCAAGAAAAAAGTAATAGTACCAAAAAAGCTTTATAGATGTTTTCATTCTTTAATTTCCATAATCTCCCTATAGAAGATCTGGAAATTACAGTAAGCCAGAAAAAGAGACAGTAAACTTCATTCACTCACAGTCCTATCATTCAGTCATTATCAGTATTAACATTTGGAGTATAGTAGATGCCGTCTTTCCCACAGAAATCGGACAGGCACTTTGCCATTTAATTAAAAACAGTTTATTCCTCAAAAAATCAACATAATTACCATATGATCCAGCAGTATTACTTCCAGGTACATACCCAAAAGAATTGAAAGCAAGATCTGAAAGAGACATTTGTACACCTATGTTCATATCAGCATTATTCCCAGTTAACCAAAGGATGGAAGTAACCAAGTGTGTGTTGATGAATGAATGGATGAACAAAATGTGGTATATGCATACAACAGAATATTATTGAGCCTTAAAAAGAAAGGAAATTCTGACACATGCTATAACATGGATGGATCTTGATAATGTTTTAATTGAATGAGTATGCTAAGTGAAATAAGCCAGTCATAAAAAGACAAATACTGTATAATTCCATTTCTGTGAAGTACCTAGAGTAGTCAGATTCATAAAGACAGATTATCGGGATCAGGAGGAACCTTAAAAGGTTCATCATCCAACAACCCTTGAGTATTTTAATCTCCTTTTATTCAACAAATATTTATAGATCATGTGCTAAGTGTCAGACGTTATGCTAAGGACTGTGGAAACAAAGGAAACAAGTTTGATAAGGTTCCTGCATTCATAGATCTAAGGCCTAATAGTAAAGCCTTCCATCACTTAGGGCTTGCTGATTACAAAGTGCCGTGTAATTATTGCAGATAGCCTTTATTTAACTATTTATTTGGGACACATAGTGGGCTAAGCCTTTGTGTATATTTATGCATTAAATTCAAATTCTATGAGATATAAACAAAATTATTTTATTTTATATTTGAGGAAACTGATGCTGAGATAATTGGTTTGCACAGGATTGAACAATTTACATTGCAAACCCAGGTCTATCTTACTCTGCAATTTGATTTTAACCAGTATATTATGACCTCTGACCTCAAGTTCATTACTTCCCTTTTTTTGCCTTTTTGCATGCCTTTACATCTCTGTCAAGGTATTGTCCAATCTGTGCTTTGAACATCTCTAATAATGTAATACGTTCTCTCAAGGTACTTATCTAATCTTTGGATATCTCTGGTAGGTCTTTATGATGTGTTTTTTAAAAAAATCAGTCTCTATATAATTTTCCCACTTTGGTCCCAGATGTGTTTTGAGGATCACACCAAACTGTGACAGCCGGTCCTTCAGATATTTAAATCAGGCTATCACCCTTTTTCTCCAGAAATACTTCTCCACTGGTATCAAATCCTGTGATTTCAAATGTATTTATTTTCTTAGTCACTGTCCGTGAACAAGTTTTAGATTGCTTGTATTTTTCTTACTATGGCCCCAGATATTGATGCAGTTTCTCCAGATACAGAGTAATGACAGGAAACACTCTTCAGTGAAAGTGGTAAAAGCAGGCATTAACTAACCATTCCCCACTCGCTGTTTGATTGATTGATTGAGATGGGGTTTAGCTCTTGATGCCCAGGCTGGAGTGCAGTGTCACGATCTCAGCTCACTGCAACCTCTGCCTCCCAGGTTCAAGTGATTCTCCTGCCTCAGCCTCCCGAGTAGCTGGGATTACAGGCATGCGCCACCACGCCCAACTAATTTTGTATTTTTAGTAGAGGTGGGATTTCTCCATGTTAGTCGGGCTGGTCTCAAACTCCCGACCTCACGTGATCCGCCCACCTCAGCCTCCCGAAGTGCTGGGATTACAGGCGTGAGCCACTGCGCCCAGACCACTCGCTGTTATTTTTAATTAAATTAACAGTTATTTCACTGGAAACAGCTATAAATCTTGCAACTCAGAGAAGAACTATCTTTTCCTTTTAAATTATGTGAGCCTTATAATTCTGCACTCAAGTGTCAGAAATCAGTCAGCCTAGGCACATCTCCCTTAATTTGCAGTGGCGGGACACAGGGGCAGTTGCTGTAGGTAGGTAGGAACAGGAAGATTAGCTAGATTATGGAAAGGTTAGGCAAAAATGTAGGAACTCTTGGTTGAAGAATATTTCAAGCTTGAATGACATAAAGGGAAGAAGCACAAACGGGAGGAATAGTTTGGGTGTTTAACAGCTCAAGGGAGAAACGATATAGCTACAGTCCTTGGTTTTGTGCAGCACTCTTTTTGAAGCCAGTGATCACAGCAAAAACAAGAGGAGGTGAGATAAGAGCTTCTGTGCAGTAGAGCATCCACACAGAAGGGTGCAGGATGCAGCAGCAAATGGAAGTTGGCTATATACAGGGGAATTGATTAAATATGTAAACATATTATAGATAAAAGACCCATTATCGCTATTAGAGAAGGAAATTACAAATATAGGAAGGAACAAAACCAGAATGAATCCTGTGGTGTTGGATGGGAATTGATTATATCAGTATTTACTCACACTTTTATAGATAGATAGATAGATAGATAGATAGATACAGAAAGAAATATAAATATAACTGTGTTACATATATATGTCTATACAGATTCCCTCAGCTGTGTTCACTCATAGAGCCTGAGAATAGAGCCTGGAGCAGCATCTTGTTATTCTGGAAAGGAAGGATGTGCCAAAAGCCAGGCTAAAGGGGCTCCCACTGGCCAAATCTGTACATTTTGAACAACAAAATAAATAGTGATAGTAATAGATTTATAATTCTTTGAATAAAGTAGGAAACTATAAGTCTATGCTGATATATAAATTATGCTGATAAATGAATAAAGTTTTGTGAGAAACAGGATTTTTACCTAGTCTCAAAATACCTTCTCACAAAATGCTTATCAACTAAAGTGGGAAAAGGTAACTTTTCAGTTGAGGAGCCTTAGCAGACACCACCTAATGAAGTGGTCGATTCACCATCAATAATGGGATAATTCAGATTCATGTGCCACCTAACAGAGTGCATTGAGAACACAGCATCATTTCTGTGTTACTCTTTCCAATCTAATCTTAAGGAAATACCATGCAAAATAAATTGAGGGACATTCTAAGCTACAGTATGAAGGATATGAAAGTCAAGAAAGTTGACGAGAATGAATAAGACTAGCATTTGATAGCACAATGTGACTGCATTCAATAATTTAATTGTAAGTTTTAAAATAACTAAAAGAGTATATTTGGACTGATTATATGTAACATAAAGTATAAATGCTTGAGGTGATGGATACCGCATTTACCCTGACATCATTATTATGCATTGCCTACCTTTACCAAAATACTTGATGTATCCCATAAATATATACACCTATTACGTGCCCCCCCCCACCAAAAAAAAAAAAAAAAGAAGTAAAGCTAATGCATGATTCTGAACTTGGTCCTTTTGTTAAAGGACATTATTGAGACATTTGGTAAAATTCAAACAGGGTCTGAAGATAGTAATGTATAAATGTTAATTAGATGATTCTGATGGTTCTGTCATGCTTATTTGTACAGTACACATCAGCACATACACACCGAAGTATTTTGTGGGTGGTAGAGCATCGTGTCTGCTGCTTATTCTCAAAAATAACTAAGGGGAGGAAGTTTCATTTACTAACAACTTTTATGTAAGCTTGGGACATTTTAAAAATTAAACCGAAACAGCAACAAAAAAGGATTGTTTTGAACCTGAATGTGGAAATCTCAATGTCAGAATATTTAAAAAATGGATTTTGTGTTCCATGTATAGAGAAGGAAAAAAATCTTTTAGGTTTTAAGCTGGGTTGTAGGTTTTCTGACTGGGGCCCTGTACATTTGTGTGGCAATAGGTTAACAAGAGAAAGGCAGACAGAGGTTTATTCACATGTGCATTGCCTATACACATGAGTGTACCCAGAGACGAGTTACTCAAAAGACTGTTTAAAATTTGGAGTTTGTATACCTAACTTGGTAGAAGAAAGAGAGGGAAAAGTCAGGGCACTTATGGTAAGCAAATGACTTTTTGTAAAAATAAATGGGTCTTTAGGATAATAGATTGGAGATAGGCTACTTTGTGACAGTGTCTCTCTGGGTGTGGTGCTTACTTCTGTCTCCAGTAAGAGAGATTAGAGTTGCTCCTGGGGAGGGTTTTTTTGACAATTGAGTTCTTTTAGGAGGCTCTGCTTTTAGGCAGATAAGGATTTCAGAAACTGAAATGCCTTCAGCACAAAATAATTCTTATGCCAAAGTGTAATATTTTAGGATAGCATATCCTGATCCACCTTCACATGCACTGGGAAACTTCTATTAGTTTTTGAACAGTGGAGTGTAATGAAGATGATGTTCTTGTATGGATAGATGGGAGCAAAGAGAAACTAGAGGCAGGGGTATCAGTTGGGAGCCAAATGCTTATGTGTTCATCCACAGGAATCTAAACTGAGATGGTGATTGTTATGGGCAGAAAGAAAGGGATAGATACGAGGCACATTCTAAGGATTATCTTTTGGAATTTGTTCACTCTTAAAATGAAAGTGACAGAAAGAGAAATAGATGATGCGTAGTACAAATAAGTTCACATTCTGGACCAGAACAGGGCGTATTCCTGAACTTACTTGAAAATAATTTGATGACATCTTACTGTTTAATGTAAATGCTTTTAATGTAAACAAGTAGCATTTAATTACATAAATTACTTAGAGTTCTTACACTTTATAGGCTTTCTTTTCTTATACTTGTGTTCCTAAACTTGTGACCGTTTTGTACTGATGATTGGGTAAGTCAAATCATCAAATGACGTAACTTCGTTTGTTTTTCCCTCTCTTTTTGAGACAGCTTCTCACTCTGTAATCCAGGCTGGAGTGTGGTGGCACGAGCTCAGCTCACTGCAACCTCCGCCTCCTGAGCCCAAGTGATCCTCCCACCTCAGTCTCCCAAGTAGCTGGGACTACAGTCACACATCATCATGCCCAGCTAACTTTTTTGAATTTTTTTGTAGAGATAGGGTTTTGCCATGTTGCCTAGGGTGGTCTTAAACTCCTGAGCACTAGAGATCCACCTGCCTCAACCTCCCAAAGTGCTGGGATTACAAGCATGAGCTGCCATACCTGGCAGACCTAACTTCTTTGTGCACATGTTATATGGGTTACTTCACATGCATGAATTCTTTTAAAGATTTTAGCTTATCTGTAAGGAATATACTATATACTATGAGCATTTAAAAATACTTTTCCTGTATCAAATACAATGTTTATTGTAGAAAATCAAAATATGGATGAGCCAAAAGAAAATAAGAACATCCCTTATTTAAGAACATTTAAACATCTTAATAAGAACATTTCCATATGCCCAGGGCTACTGTGCTGCTTTAGTCTTCTGCTCTAAAGTTATTCTGCAGGGTATTCTGTCCATAGCTAATATTGGGAGAAAGGCAATCTAATTAAGCTTATTTACATTAATGAGTATTGGTAATGTGTTACAGTACAGAGAACCTAGGATTTGGAATCAGAACCTGAATCTTAGCAGTGTGCTCAGCCTTCACTACATTTATGACCTTTGGTAATTTAGTTGACCTCAATGATTCTCATTTATAAATGATTTCTCATTTATAAAATGGGAATAATAAAACTTGATTATCAGGGGATTGGTGAGTGTGAAATAAGATAGAAAATGCACAGTAAATGTAGTTTGAAATATGTAAAAAAAAAATGTGTACTAGGGATCATTGATAATGAGTGATGGACTTCTAATTCTTACATTATTTGCTTTTTGAAGTTTCTTGGTCACCCATATTGACCACAGATTGATAGAATCTTAGCTGTTCATTTAAAAAATATATTTTAGAGAATGAAAAAGGGAAAAAGAGTTGGTGTAGGAGTCACTTTGGTAAGCACGCTGACATAGCCTCAGTTTATATACTCAGGGATGCCTTCCTAGAGCTGTTCCTGATTCTCTCTTTCTTTGAATCCACCTGATCTCTAAAAGCTAACTCTATGCCCAAAGGTCAGTCAGCCTCTCCTTATGCTACTCTGCTCCTGCTGCGTGATAGTTGAGGGTAGGAAGGCTTTTGAGTTTAGAGCAGCGTTTCTGAAGCTTTATTGCTTATAAGAATCATCCAAGGATCTTGCTATAAAATGCAAGTTCTAGTTCAGATCATCTGGTATGGTACCCGAGATTCTGAATTTTTACAAACTTCATGGCCTTGCCTCTGATCTGAATATTACACTTTGAGTGGAGTTAAAAAACATGAATGATGTTTTTTATGTGACTTTTTATTTCTAAAGCTATTTGTAACTTAGGGTATTACTCATATTGTTATTACATATACCCTTTAAGATTTCATGTTAATTTCTTCTATTTAATACAGTCTTGTTCTCTGTGTAAAGCCTCAAACTCATTAGTTGCCCCAGGGTAATAATGAGGGTAACCAGTACTAGCATAAAGTGGTTACACAGGAGAACCAATACCAAAGGAAAATGTAACTGATAGTAGCAAGGTTTTTCTTTCATTCTTAAAACTTTGTCAACATCTCTCACTAATAGTAAATTAAATGTGAAATTTAAAATGAAATTACTAGATATACAAATTTGTTACATTTTCACCATGTTACAGAGTATTCATGTAAAAATCACTTATATTTAATAGCCAGTGTATTCATATTGTTTTAAATTAGGATTTTGTCTTAGGAGAGTTATCAAGTTCTATTTATTTCTGTGATACAAAAAATATTCAAATTTATATTATAGAACTCTAAGGAAATGAATACCGGATTTAGTCAAGGCAGAAATACCAAGACACAAGGGGGCACTGTCTTACCATAATCTGACTGATTTTAATTTAGCTTTTTGTTTGCTGTGAATGTCTTTCGTTTCCAAAATTCTGTCTTCTTTGTAGTTAATCATGAAAGCTTAAATATTATACATTCCTCTAAAGCTGTAATACTTAAATCAACTGAGCTTTCAGATTTCACAAATCAAATGTGCTCTTAGCAACATTTGGGAACCTTTCATTGTATTTGGCGTGAAATTGGGAAGAGTGGATGATAATTAGAGATGGTGTAACACACTGTTAGTGTTTAGGTCTGCGGTGGGGAAAATCACTGTAAAAATAATTCAGTTGATTTGGAGAAATATAGTGCCTCTGTTAGGCAGAAATGAGTTGGGATAAAGATTGAACTGTTATAAGCTGCAGCTGCATTTGCCATAAAATACCAAGTTGGTGCTGATGAATGTTTTGTTTTTATTGTCATGGAAACTTGGAGCTGGAGAATGGATATTCTATTCATTTGGGAAAATAGCAGTGCCTTGCATAAAACATAAGGGCCTTCCAAAGCAGTTCCTTAAATAGATATTGGCTGAATATAATCCAAAAAGTTGAGGAAGTAAAAGTGAAATAAATGCAATCATTTCTGGATCACTTCTTCCATTCTCAGTACTAACAATGTAACTATATATTCAGTTATTAAGCTTATTACTTCTAGAAAGTTTAATTCCAGTAAGCATGGTATTTGTTTAACATCAGTGTAATAGTTATCTAACCCTTTAGAGCTATCTTTATATTTATTTCCTTAGTTGTAAGATATCTTTTGGGAACTCTAAACCTATATCCTATTAAACAACTACTTCTGATCCCCAAATAGTTTGTTTTTTAAATTAATCCTGCTTATCTGCTATAATCTTTCATTGAAATATTTTAAAGCATTTTATACTTTTTTTAAAGCTTTACCCAAAATAAACTCTTACCATAAAAGCACTAAGTGAGATCTTTGCATGTTCTAGGGAAAAAAAACAGAAAGTATAAAATAAAAAACCTATAAAGGTGCAGTTAAATCCTTGTGCATATTTTATAAAATTATGAATGGAAAGAGACAGTCACAGGAACAGAAAATGCAAAGGAGTTTTGGGTTCAGTTATCACATATGTGATAATAGCAAAATACAAATATGGAAAATGATAGTAAAATGTAGATAAAGTGACAATACAAATTAAAGCAGAGTTCCTAAACTTTATAATAGGAAAAGGGGAAATTGTGAGTTATAATGGTTTTACCAAAGGTTACTGGCCAAGTTTCATTATCTCTGCAAGGGAAACTAGACTTTTTTTTTTTTTTTTTAAACAAAGTCTTGCTCTTCTGCCCAGGCTGGAGTGCAGTGGTGTGGTCATAGCTCATTTCAGCCTCCAAATCCTGGACTCAACAATCCTCTCACCTCAGCCTTCGAATAGCTGGGAGTACAGGTGCACGTCACCATGCCCTGCTAATTTTTTTTTATTATTATTTGTAGAGACACGATCGCACTATGTTGCCCAGGCTGGTGTCAAACTCCTGGGCTCAAGCCATCCTCCCACCTTGGCCTTCCAAAGTGCTGGGATTACAGGTGTGAGCCACTTTACCAGGTCGATTTTTGTTAACAGTATAATAAAAAGAAAGAAAGAAAGAAAGGCTAGAGTGGGGTTATTTTAGATAGTTTAGTCAGAGAACCCTTCTCTGAGGAAATAATATTTGAATAAATGCAAATGCACCTGTAGTCCCAGCTGTTTGAAGGCTGAACCCAGGGTTTGGAGGCTGGAATGAGCTATGATCACACCACTGCACTCCAGCCTGGGCAGCAGAGGAAGACTTTGTTTAAAAAAAAAAAAAAATTGTCTAGTTTCCCTCACAGACTTAATGCTGTGACAAAAGAACAATTCATACAGAGGGGCTAACAAGCCAAACCAGCAGCCTTCAGTGGGAGGGAACTTGGAAAGTTGGAATGTTCAAGGAAAATGACAAAATACAAGTTTACAAAAATTGTTTTTTCAAAAAATGCTCAAATGGCCAGGCACAGTGGCTCATGCCTGTATTCCCAACACTTGGGAGGCTGAGGTGGGTGGATCACTTGAGTCTAGGAGTTCGAGACCAGCCTGGGTGACGTGGCAAAAAAAAAAAAAAAAAATACAAAATTTAGCTGGGCATGGTGGTGTGCACCTGTGGTCCCAGCTACTCAGGAGGTTGAGGTGAGAGGATAGCTTGAGCCTGGAGGTAGAGGTTGCAGTGAGCCAGGACTGTGCCACTGCACTGCAGCCTGGTTAACAGAATGAGACCTCATCTCAACAACAACAGAAAGCTCAAATGTACTTACAAGCATTATAACTAACAACAACGTGACCAGTTTTCCCACGTGAGACGGGTCTAGGTGTAGTCTTAAATCTATGTTTACATTGCCAGGATATACAAATCCCTCGGAGAAAGAACAGGAGTGCTTTAAGATTTTTCAGTATAAATTTTACTGTTAGTTAGCATATAGTTTGTCAAAATATTTTAATGAAATCAGTGACTTTTTAAATTGAATATAAAAGTGTCAAAATAAATGTAAATATGACGTAGCTTGCATAGTGAGAGACAGACCTCTAAGAAGCAGTAAAATTTAATAATAGCAATTTTCACCAGTGTTTTTCATGCCCTGTGGTTATCTGTAGCATATATTTAGAGTATATGTATGTGGGCAAGGGTTGGGGCCAGGAATTAAAGACCTACACAACAAAATACATGATACTGAATTTGGAGAACTGGTCACAACATGCCAAAGAAAATAGAAGAGAACTAGGAACTGGACATTGTATTTCATAACTGAAATGATGAGAAAGAACTGGAAAATTGCCAGCCTTTTAACCTTTTAGAAATAGCTATGTGTGTAGTTAGTACAGGAGATCATTTTCTTAGAGCAGTTTGTTCTAAATTCAAATATGTCAGCAGACTTAGTGGAATTCAAAGTATTTTAGAAATAAAACATCTAATGTTGGAAATAAGAGAGCACAATATCATAAAAACAGAGGTAGTTTAACAAAGTTTTTAGATTGTCCAAGAGTTTATCAAACCCATTATCTATTATGGTAAAGTCTCGCTGAGTAGGATGTTTTTAACTTAGGCTACTCCAAAAAGTAAAGATAGTAGCAAATGTAGATCCAACTTTTCAGGTTATCTTCTACCTCATGCACTACTCTAAGCAGTCTTTGTTTGTTGGAAAGTCTGATTATTTACAGAAGTCAAGTTTTGTTATGTTCTATCTTTTTCTGATCTGTAAAAATGGGTTTGCTAGAGAAAGACTAGGAGAAAGCTTTTTTATTTTTTTCCTTTAAAGGGGGTGTGTGAAAGGGTTTCTAAGAGGTATAAAAACCTTAGGAAGTTTCATAGTGGTCCTAACTAAATCATTACTTTTCAGACATTTGACAGTAGGCACTCCATGAGAGCAGGAAAACAAGGTGAGTCCTGAAGTTACCCCCACTCTCTCACTGCCTGTAGGAAGATTCTGGGCCACAGCAAAAAGACGAGATAATCAAACGCAGCCTGGCAGTCTTTGTGAGTTGAGAAGACAAAAATCAGAATTCAGAGAAGCTATGGGACTAGGATTTATAGGGTAAAAAGGAAGGAGCAGAGAGAGAGCAAGGGAGCTCAAGATCTTTAGAGTTTGGTTCCAAGTCTTTGGCCAAGTACTGACATGTACATGCATGTATATGCATGAGAGGAAACAACTTGAGACCAGGGAAAGCTCACACAAAGCTGGGAATAATTCTTTCTCCAATGAACCAAAGTGGAAAGATCTCATAATTAACAGGGCATGTGTAGTCTTCAAAAGGGTATTGTGTTGGTGGTGCTGAATTAGACCTGGACTAAAGGGTATTCTTGACCCACTGTTAGAAATATTAAAGGCAAACCTGGAAAAGGAGCAAACTGATTCCAAGTCACTTAACTGCTTGCCAGAACAAAGTCTGACATTCTTTGAAGGAATACAGCAAAATCTAGCACCCAAAAATATAAACATTTTAAGGTCTGGCATTGACTTAAAAATTACTAGCATGAAAAGAACAAGAAAAAAATGTACCCTGTAACCCAGAGAAAAAGTAATCAGTAGAAACAAGAGTCCAGGAAATTAGAGAGATGATGTAATCAAGCAAAGATGTTAAAATGGCTTTTATAAATACGCTTGATAGCTCAAGAATGTAGAGGAAAATAATGAATAAGATGTAGGGATAATGAATGCTATGAAAAAAACGGAATTTATTCATTTACCTCTTTTCCCTCCCTCCCTCCCTGTCTCTCCCCCTCTGTCCCTTCCTTCCTTCCTTCCTTCCTTCCTTCCTTCCTTCCTTCCTTCCTTCCTTCCTTCCTTCCTTCTTCCCTTCCCCTCCCCTTTTCCTTTTCCTTTCCCCTTTCCCCTTTTTTCTCCTTTTTTGGAGGCAGGTCTCTCTCTGTTACACAGGCTAGGGTGCAGTGGAGCGATCATAGCTCACTGTAACCTTGAACTATTGGATCAAGTGATCCTCCTGCTTCACCCTCCCAAGTAGCTAGGACTGCAAGGATGCACCATGCCTGGCCAATTTTTTTTTTTTTTTTTTTTTTAGAGACAGGGTCTTACTATGTTGCCCAGGCTGGTCTTAAACTCCCAGCCTCAAGCCATTCTCCTGCCTTCGTCCCCTGAGTTGCTGGGATTATATGTGTGAGCCACCACACCCAGCCCCCTAAATGTCATTTTTAGAGAGAAGAAAAATACAGTATCTGAAATGAAAAATACACTGGATGATATTAACTGCAGCTTATTCACTTCAGAAGAAAAAAAATCAGTGAATTTGTAGGCATAGAAACAGAAACTATCCAAAATGAAGATCAGAGGACCTCCAGCTTCTATCTAGGGTGTGGAAAACTATAAAGAATGCTGCTTTTGGCCAGGCACGGTGGCTCACGCCTGTAATCTCAGCACGTTGAGAGGCCAAGGAGGACAGATCATGAGATCAAGAGATCGAGACCAGCCTGGCCAACATGGTGAAACCCTGTCTCTACTAAAAATACAAAAATTAGCTGGGTGTGGTGGCGCATGCATGTAGTCCCAGCTCCTTGGGAGGCTGAGGCAGGAGAATCGTTTGAACCCAGGAGGTGGAGGTTGCAGTGAGCCGAGATCATGCCACTGTGCCACTGCACTCCACCCTGGCGACAATGAGACTCTGTCTCAAAAAAAAAAAAAGCCTGATAAACTACAAACTTTTAACTTTTTTGAACCCTTCAAAGAGGCCCAAGCACACAGTTTCTGTAAGTACTGAGGCTGAACTAAAACAGCAGAGAACTACCTCCGTCACAAGCCTAAGGAGTACTAAGCAATAGCAGTCTGCCACTGGGGCAGGGGCAAAAGCTTGAGGACAGACCCACTCTCAAGCACAGGTTTATAGCATCTGTTATAAGCTGAGGATGAAATACTAACAGAAAAGTTTTACAGCACCCCAGCCACGTGCTAAACACTAGGCACAACAGGTGATCACTAGAGGGAGTGGAAGCCTCTGGTAAACTCAGAGTCATCACAGCAACAGTCACACCAAGCTAAACTCCTAACTGATTGTCTGAATTTCTCACTCTAAAGTCCTTATATGGAAAGAGGCATACCCACTTCCAGGCCTAAATATACTACTGTTCTACCCACAGTATCCTGCATCCATCAAAATTATAAGTCACACACATAAGCAAGAGAAAAACAAAACAAATACTTTCAAGAGGCAAAACAGTTAACAAAACAAGACTCAGAGGTGGCCCTGTTATTGGAACTATCGAGGCAAAACAGTTAACAAAACAAGGCTCAGAGGTGGCCCTGTTATTGGAACTATCAGACAAAGATTTGAAAATAGCTCTGGCTAAGATATTGAAAGGATCTAGTGGGAAACATAGCATGCATGAATTAATGGGGAATTTAGCTGATAGATGGAAATAATGAGTCAAGTTGAAATGGTAGTAATAAAAAAAAAAACAGAGGTAAATAATTCCTTTGTGGTCATCAGTAGACAACCCAGTTGCTGAAGAAATGGGTGAACTTGAATATAGGCCAGTATAAATTATCCAAACTAAAACACAAAGAGAAAAAAAATGAAAAAAGATCAGAGCTGCAGGACAGTATCAGTCTAATATGTGTATGCTTAAAGTTTCAGAATGAGAGGGATAAATAATAATGCAGAAGAAATATTTGAAGAGATAATGGCCAAGAATTTCCCAAAAGCAATGAAAGACATCAAACCATAGATGCAAGACTTAAGAAACAACAAGAACTCCCCTCCACACACACACACACACCACACATATTCCCTTAGACATATTTAAAGTGCTGAAAACCAAAGATGAGAAAATCTTGAAGACAACCAGAGGCAGAAAAAAAAACACATCATGTATAGAACAACAAAGATAAACTACAGCAGACTTCTCTTCAGAAACTTTGCAGGCAAGATGATAGTGATATCTCTAATGTATTACAATTTTTAAAACTGTGTCAACCCGGAATTATTTATCTGTTGAAAATATTTTCTTAAAAAAGAGGATAAAGACTTCTAGATATATGAAAATCTGAGAAAATCCATTCCCAGCAGACTACAATAACTGCTGGAGTAAGTTCTTCAAGCAGGGGGAATGTCACTCCAGACAGAAACTTGGATCTGCACCAAGACTCCGCAAACTTTTTTCATAGAGAGCCAGATATTACATATTTTAGGCTTTGTGGGTCAGACAGTTTCTGTCACAACTACTCAACTCTGCCATTGTAGCACAAAAGCAACTATGAACAGTACATAAACAAGTGAGCATGGCTGTTTTCCAGTAAAACTTTATTTACAAAAACAGGAAGCAGGCCATGAGTCATAGTGTGCCAACCCATGATCTATACAAAGAAATGAGAGCTCCAGAAATGGTAATAATGAAAGTAAATATAAAAGACATACGTTTCATCCTTTTAAATTACACTGTGAAATAACTGTCTAAAGCAAAATTAGTACATTATATTGTCGGTTTTATAAAATATGTAACAGTAATCTAAAAGATGGGAGGAAGGATTTAACATCTGTTAAAGATGTATATTGTAAACTGAGGGCAATCGCTAAGAAATTAAAAAGAAATGTAACTTATCTACCAATAGTGGCTATTAAATGGAATGCTCAATCTAAAAGCAGGCTGAGAGCTGGGCATAGTGGCTCATACCTGTAATCCCAACACTTGGGGAGGTGGGAGGATTGCTTGAGGGCAGGAGTTCCAGACCAGCTGGGGCAACATAGCAAGACTCTGTCTCTCCAAAAAAAAAACCAGGTATAGTCTTAGCTACTTGGGCAGCTGACATGGGAGGATCTCAGCCCAAGAGTTCAAGGTTGCAGTGAGCTGTGATCACGCCATTGCATTCCACCCTGGGTGACAGAAGAAGACCCTGTGTCTTTAAAAAAAAAAAAAGAAAAGAAAAAAGAAGTTTGAGAAAGATAAAAGAACAAACAACAAATGAGATAAATAGTAGACGTGTAAGAAAATGGCAGACTTAAATCCAGCCATATCAGTAATATAATGCAAATTTTCAAAATGAAACAGAGATACCAAGAGATAGAGGAAGCAAGCATTTGGCTTTTTTCATTCTCTGTTTTCCAGTGGTTTTTGCACATAATTTTAAGAATAGGGTCTTCGCTAGATGAAAACATTTAAATAGTGAACTACTTAACATCTGTTTACACACTGCTAACCCTGGCGCTCCTTTTTACTGAATAAAAATGGTTTGCCCTTCTTTCCCCCGTGAGCTTCAAACAACAACCAAGCTATCTTGGTTGTTACTAAAGTTACTAAACTTGGGACCATCAGACCCAAGGTGCTCCCCTAAAACCACTTTGCCCAAACCTTAGGGAACAAGGAATAGGCAGGCTAAAGATTATATTCAAACATATCTACCCTTTTTCCTCTATGTTACAAAATCTAAAACTCTGTTGAAATTCATTTTAGACTGTTCTTTTATGTTTCGACTTCTCAGCTCTCTCTACCACCTTTTCTGGATCTTGCATACTTTCTTTGGTGAATCTTTGTTTTTTTCAGTTGTGAACAGATTATGGCTATGTATACAAAGAGATCCAGTTACCCATTCATTAATGCTAAGAAGAGTGACGCCGTTAAATTTTAATGAAATGAAAGGCATAAAGAATTTTAAAACCTCTGAAAGTATCCAAAAGTTTCCTTTAAATTCTTTGCCTAGAATCTAATTTTTTTCTCTTCTAATTAAGACTTTGTCCTTAAGCATGAATATTTAAGATATATATAGTCAATATAGTATTGTATAATATAGTCAAATGTATTTTCTAGTCAGTACATTTCAGTTCAAAAATAATAACTAAAATTTAATTACCCCTTGTTTGTCACTGTTCCACGCACTTAAGATGTTAATACATTTTATCCTCACAAAAAACCCAGTGAGGTAGAACTATTTTTATCCTTGTTTCACAGATGAGGCAACTAAGGGACAGAGCTGTTAGATAATAAGCAACAAAGTGGGAATTTAAACCTGGTTAGTCTACATCTAGAGTCTTCGTTCATTACCATTACCCCATGCCTTCTCTCTAATTTACTGTTACAGAATGTTGGGATTTTTTTCTTTTCTTCCTTCCTTCATTTTTTCCTTCCATCCTTCATTCCTCATTCCTCCATTCAGCAAATATTCTATTCTGACACACTGTGACCTGAATTTACTTGTGTATCCAGTTATAATGAGTTAATATGTAAGATTTTTATTTTGAGTTATGCCTTACTCACAAATCAACTTTGGATTATGACCCATCAAGAAGTTGAGACTGGCCTTTACCTATTTTCAAACTCAAACATAGGATGGCAGTAAATTGCAATACTGGAGACAGCTCAATGAAAATTGAACATGTCATATTTTGTCCTCATGTAGCAAGAACCATATTTAAGTCTTAGCAGGCCAGGCATGGTGGCTCACCCCTGTAATCCCATCACTTTGAGAGACTGAGGTGGGAGGCTGACTTGAGGCCAGGAGTTCAAGACCAGCCTGGGCAACATAAGAGACCCCCATCTCTACAAAAATGTTGTAAAATTAACCTATGTGGGTGTGTGTGCCTGTAGTCCTAGCTACTTGGAAGGCTGAAGCAGGAGGATTGAACCCAAGAGTTCAAGGCTATCGAGCGCCACTGCATTCCAGCCTGGACAACAGATCAAGACCCTGTCATTCATAAATAAATGAGAACATAAAACACATGCATACAGTCTTAGTAGAACCTAAATGGGATTTAAGGCTCTCTTCTGGGCTTTCTCCATGTGTTTCAACAAAATGAAATAGTTACCATTTGATGGCTATTTATGTATTTTCTTTATACACAAAGTGTACAAAATGTGCTTCATTTCTATATTACATAGGTAGAGGCTGTTGAGTCTCAGTAAAAAATTTCATTGACATTTTGTTTTTCTTAATCTGAATAGGATTAAGTCTTGGTAATTTTAAATATACTGACTTCAGTTTGCTGTATTCAGCAAATATATTCACAGCTAAATGTCTCAAAATGTATTAAACAAGTGTTTACACTTTGGTTTTATAACTGTACATCATCTTTATTACAAAAATCCCTATATTTTTAGCAGCTTATCCTTTTTACTATGTGCAGTGTCCAAATTAATGTTCCACCAGAAGGGTATGTCTTATTAATAGCGAAGAGTTGATGAGCATATCAATTTCATGGGACATTAAAAGAAATCATTTAATCCACACTTGCCCCACCTCACTCTATTTTTTAGGTAAAAAAAACTGAGGTCTAGAGAGGTTTAATGACTTATGTATCTCACATAGCTAGTTCACATCAGAGACAGAAATAGATCCTCTTGACTCTTATTTCCATGTTTGTTTCATTCCGTTGGCCTGTTTATGACCAAATAGTTGATGAATGGTAGCAGTTCCATTGACTAGTTTCTTTCCTTCTCTTCCAGTTCTTGCTGTCAGGGGAACTGGCTAATTAACAATCATTTATTATACACTATTTTAGAGCACAGTTCTCTTAAGCTGTCTCTCTGCCTTCATATGGCTTTATGCCATAGATGGAGGCTTGGAGTAGAATCTGTCCCTGGCACGCAAACAACACAAGTCTGGAATTCCAGACCAGTGTTCTCTGAACAAGTGGCATCTGCCTTCTGGTCCCTGGGTGCCATAAAAAACAGAGTTAAACACTGACCTTGCCTGGTAAGGTCATGGTCTAAATTAAATAGTCAAAATACAAAAAAGATGTGAGGTAATAATGGGATTTAGCAACAGTGAGCCTAATGTTCTGCTTATCATTGTATAATGCAAGAAATTTCTTAGACGAGCATTGATACAAGGATTTGGTGGAAACAGAGTCAGTGTGTCAGAAGGAGTAAATTATTTAAGAGTGTGAATACTGAGATACATTAATGTCAGGAAGGAAATGAGATGCCAAAAGTAGATGTATTTGATAATTTGTTCCCTCTATCTTCCCCCAAATTATTTGGTGATGTGATTGTTACTTGACTTTCTTTTTCTTTGTTTTGGAGTAAGTGGAGTAAATAGGGTTAAGGCATTGAATGATTATCTCAGTTTATGTAGTCCTTAGAAAGTTGTAAACCATTAAATTATTTTAAATCGTTTTTTAAGAATGAGATAAACATTAAGACACCAAGGTGACTTGATTATTTTTAAAGAGTACACATTCATGATGGGTTTTTTTTTTTCCTGAAAAACAGCTCCCCTAGTTCTGTAATCTTTTGACTTGCTGTAAAAAATGAAAATGTCTTTATTTCTAAATTCTAAACAACATGTGGTTGGGGAAATGTGGTGACATTAAGAAAAATACTCATATTCTGAACTTTAGGCAAAGCAACAGTGCAATACAGATGTAAATTATGTTATCAAGGACAATTTAGAATATACAACTGTTAAGAAAAGTGATTCCAAAGTGGAAATTAGATTTTGAGCTACCTTTAATTATAGTTTACTTCTTTTTTTTTTTTTTTTCCTTTTTTGAGTCGGAGTCTTGCTATGTCACCACCCAGGCTGGAGTACAATGGCTCGATCTAGGCTCACTGCAACCTCCACCTTCTGGGTTCAAGAGAGTCTCCTGCCTCAGCCTCCCGAGTAGCTGGGACCACAGTTGTGCACCACTACACCGAGCTAATTTTTGTATTTTTAGTAGAGATGGGGTTTCACTATGTTGGCTAGGCTGGTCTTGAACTCCTGACCTCAGGTGATCCGCCCACTTTAGACTCCCAAAGTGCTGGGATTACAGGCATTAGCCACCGTGCCAGGCCCAGAATGTTCTGGTCAGTGACTGAAATTGATCAAAATGTATTTATGTAATTCTTCCCCGTTCATTCATTTAGAATTTTTTACTACCCACCCACCTCACCCTCTCAAATTGAATTGTGCATTTTAATGTTCTCTTCTGGCCATTCTAATGATGGAAATGTAAACTGTTTTCTATAAACCTTCTCATCCTCACCTATTTATATTTAATTTGCAAATCTGATGTTAAGGGGAGAGAAGTGGAGAGCATGAGGAAGGGTAGTTGAGTTGGTGAATGTTTTGCATCCTAGAATACTTCATCACAGATGTTAAAGTCTCAGAAAGTCGTTTCTTTTTTTTTTTTTTCTTTGAGACAGTATCTCACTCTGTTGCTTAGGCTGGAATTCAGTGGACTCACTGCAGCCTCGACTTCCTGGGCTCAGGTGATTCTCCCATCTCAGCCCCCCTGGTAGCTGGGACTACAGGTGTGTACCACCATGCCCAGATGATTTTTTGTATTTTTTGTAGAGTTGGGTTTTTGCCATGTTGCCCAGGCTGGTCTCGAACTCCTGGGCTCAAGTGATCCACAGCCTCAGCCTCTCAAAGTGCTGGGATTACAGATATGAGCCAGTGCACCCAGCCTAGAAAGTCATTTATAAAGCCTATTCAAATTGCCCAGGTCTGACTGTGTGCTTTTATCAGGGTAATAGGATGCTCCATTGGCATTTTAGCACTTCTGCCAGAATTATTGATTGGGAAGCTGCTTACAGTTCTGATGCACATCACAGGAAGCTGGTGCAAAATTAAGATGGCATATGTGATGAGATAAAGGCTGGGTTAGAAAAGTGATTACAACTGGGAACTTGCTAATCACTGACCTCTATAGGGATCCTGTGGTTTATCACTAATCTCACTCACACTTGGCATTTTCCTATGCTGCTGCCTCATCATTCATAGCTGTGTGAGTAATTTGGCATGGAGTGAACAAGAGGAGGGCATAGAGAGTCCAGCAGCTGTGCCTGTTGGCACTAGATATTTAAGCATCTTCACTGTAGCCAGCAGTGTGGTTGGCACAAATGTTAGCCAATAATGCTTAAACAAATTGTTGTGAAGAAAATAGGCAAGCATTTATTTAAAAATCCCCTTTCTCTTTTCTTTAAAAACAAAAAATCTGGTCAATTAAGATCCTTTTTAGATTCTTTTTCTGTACATTTGAGCAGATTACTACCAAAATAAAGTCTATAATTCTGACAGTATCTTCTAGACAAGAATTTCTGAATAGTTTATTAATTAAACTGTGCAGGGTCTGTGTGAGGTACATGTTATTTGGTTGATTTTCCTAAAAGAGTGAGTGGGGTCATTGATGTTAAGCGACATGTTACTTTCCTAGTTGACTCAATGAGAGCGAAGCAAGAGCTAAGAGACGAATCCAGTAATCAGAATTCCCAGGTCTTTGCTCTCATACTCTATGGCATTGCAGGTTTGCCCACTTTGTAAGTTAGCATTTTGTGTTTCTCCAGATGGTTAGTATGATTCAAATTGTATGATATTTTAATAGGATTTGCCCACAAAAGAGGAGCAGGTTCTCCACGAGCAAAAAGGTTAGGTAAATAATGAGTTTTCAAAGACACTCAAGGGGGAGGAGGATAGTCTGCTCATAAAACTGTCATCAGATTTAGATTTGTGCACAAATATTTAGATTTGCCTATGTAAGGATTTCATATTGTTTCTCTGAAAAGTAAATATGGAAAAGCTCACATGACTTACACACTGAAATATTTCATTTTGAACATAGTAATGTTGATCTCATTAACTTTTTTGAAACATCCAGGAATTGTTTCTAGGTTAAGCTTTTAGCTTTTAAGAAAAACCAGTCTAATACTTAAATTATAACACATGGAGTTTTTCTGTGTAAAATATGCTGAATTCAAATTTATGAATGCAAATCAGAATGTCTTACAAAAATGAACAGAAATAATGTTGGCTTCCATACAAATAGAGAAGCTATTCTATTTTGTACTGTTGTGAAGGCAACAATTGTTTCTTGAATAGTATCTATTCATTGAAACTAATAAACTTGTCTGGAAATTTTTAGGTATTTACTGGACTGCTGCAGAAAGAAATGCTGAGCAGGCTTTATATGCCATAATATCATTATCTCTGTCTGTTTCCTCATCAATACATTATTTTCTATTGATAACAACAGAGCACACACCATGAGAGTATTGTAGAATTGCTTTGGTCTAAATTTGGGTGTTGAAGGCAGAGTGAAACTGAACACCATTCTCCAAGTGTGGATTGTGGCTAATCTGCTCTGAGGTTGCTAATGAAGACATACCTGGGACTGGGTAATTTTTAAAGGAAAGAGGTTTAATTGACTCACAGTTCAGCATGGCTGGAGAGGCCTCAGGAAACTTAAATCATGGTGGAAGGAGAAGCAAACACATCCTTCTTCACGTGGTGGCAGCATGGAAAAGTGCAGAGCAAAGGGGGGAAAAGTCCCTTATAAAACCATCAGATCTCATGAGAACTCACCATCATAAGGACAGCATGGAGGTAACCACCCCCATGGTTCGATTACCTCCCACCAGGTCCCTCCCACGACGTGGGGATTATGGAAACTACAGTTCTAGATGAGATTTGGGTGGGCACACAAACCATATCAGGCACCTTCTAACCTTTGCGGTATTTTTAGTAAATATATATTATCAAATACTAGATTTCTGTCACTAAAAAGAGCTAAATGTCTAACAAATGTAGCAGTACTTCTAAAACTTGGTCATCCAGTAGGCTATAAGCTTTTTCATTGTTTGGCACCTATTGAGGGTAGAGCTTGTGGGGGTTTTTTTGTTTGTGTTTTGTTTTTTGTTTTTTGAGGCAGGGTCTCACTCTGTCTCCTAGGCTGAAATGCAGTGGCATGATCATAGCTCACTGCGGCCTCAAACTCCCAGGTTCAAGCAGTCCTCCCACCTCAGTCTCCTGTGACTACAGGTATGCACCACCATGCCCAGCTAAGTTTTTTTTTTTATTTTTTATAAAGGTCAGTTCTCACTATGTTGCCCAGGCTGGTCTTGAACTCCTGAGCTCTAGCAGTCCTCCCACCTCAGCCTCCCTAAGTGCTGGGATTACAGGCATGAGCCACAGCACCCGGCCAGAAGCTTGTGTCTTACTCATCTCCTAACCTCTTCATCTGTCAGTGACTAGCCCATAAATGTTTGATGGAATGTATGGATCTTAGATTCTTCTGTCCAGTCAATGTTTGGATATTTGTAATTGAGATGGGGAGAAATGGGAATGTAGAACTGTGCCTGTCCACTCCCACCTTCACTGTGACTGCCGATTGTATCTTATGTCAAAAGAATAGCATTAGTTTGTATTTCTGTAAGCATTGAAAGGTTATAACTTAAGTATATTAGTGGTAGAGAGCAAGATAACTTTTTTTTAAGTCTGAGAATATTTGTTAGGGTAACTAATGCCTCTAAGAGTTTATGAGTCTGGAGAAAATAATTTCTTGAACTTCAGTCATTTGCTGTTTCTTGAATAAATGTTTTAAATACTGTATAAATTAGTCAGAATTATCTGTCATTTCTTGAGCAATTTTTAGTTTAGGTCAGAAAATGCTGAATGTAGTTAATGTAAACCATGTAAGTTTAGCTACTTAAAATACCTTTGCACACAAGTTATGTGTCTGATGGTTTAATATACATATATATGTCTTATTCTTGTATATTTTCCAATAATATGTTGCTATTCTACTAGAGTTGGGTTTCTTAACCTGGAGTCCAGAGAATCCCAGGACAGAAGGAAAATCAGTGAACTTGAATGGGAAAAAATTGTCATCTTTATTTTTACCAATCTCTAAGTGAAATTTAGCATGGCCTTCCATTTTGAATACGGATAACAAAATAATCCAGACAGTACCTACAGTTTTTGTCACAGTAGAACAATAGATATTTTCATATCATAATTGTTGCAGATATCTTAAGCTATTATTTATGCTTTCAAATTATTATTAGTCCTGCTGCTAAATCTTATTAATGTGTTAATAAATTACAGGAAATGTGAGGTTTTTAAAAGAACATTTTGATGATTACGTGTCATTGTACATTAAAATACTTACATTTTGTTTTGTACATTTATAATCGTGATTCTGAGAAGTCCGCCCAAGAGGCCCATGCACATGTGCACACACCGATACCTATACACACTCACACCCCCGCAACACAAGAGTGTAGTAAAAACCCTGTATTAGACTATCCCAGAGAATTCTTTGTAATAATTTTTTCATAGGTGCTTCAAGGAAAATTAGATATATGTTACATTACTAGTAGTTCTTAAACTGTTTTCAGCTGAAGTTGACTGGTTAAAATTGTCTATACTTCATTTATGTATATTTATGTTAAAAAAAAAAAAGGTTGGTAGAAACCCTTAATACAGTAGCCAGAGATTTTTGTTGTCAGATGCCTGAGATAAAAGAAAGATAATGTATATGATTAATTTTAATTCATGAAAATAGTTCTTGTGAAAAGTAATTTTGAAAGAATTAAAAATGAATGCCTCCTAAGTCTTAGACTGAGTATGCATTATTTTATTTCAAGGATACTCAAACTTATAAGTCCTTAAGAAAATAACTAGTTTCTAATAAATGAAAGGTGAAATAAAAATGTATTTACAGTTCAAAATCTTATTTGAATAGATTAAGTATCATTTTGAAAATAAGCTATCAACTTTCATTTCAGAAGAAACTTTTACTTTGTAACATCTTCAGCTTATGTTAAATTAGTTTTCATTCTCTTTGAATTCAATGTCCTTTATGAAAGGATAAGGAATTTTAATAAGCACAGGAAAGTAAGTTTAAAACTTTAGGTTTTTTAAAATGATCTATCATATGGGTAGCCTCGACACAGATAATTAAGATTGTATTTAAAAGCTGTACATTATTAAAAACAGAGCTAATATTCACCTTTAACCTTGTTCCTTTTTCCACTTCAACTTTTTTTTTTTAAAGAGTTCTTACTAGGACATTTGATTCAAAATACAATACAGTATTAACTTGTGATGGAGTGTGGTGGCTCACGCCTGTAATCCCAGCACTTTGAGAGGCCGAGGTGGGCAGATCACGAGGTCAGGAGTTCGAGACCAGCCTGGCCAACATAGTGAAACCCTATCTCGACTGAAAACACAAAAATTTGCCGGGTGTGGTGGCACGCCCCTGTAGTCCCAGCTACTTGGGAGGCTGAGGCAGGAGAATCACTCCAACCCAGGAGGTGGAGGTTGCAGTGAGCCGAGACCATGCCATTGCACTCCAGCCTGGGTGACAGAGTGAGACTCAGTCTCAAAAAAAATAAAAAATAAAAAATGTAGTTCACTAATTAAAAAAACTCTACAGGTGAATAGGATGTTCAAAATTGTTTATTGATATGATACATAATTATTTTTAAAAACCTTAGAAATAGACTAGTATCATTTTCATTAAAGTATACATGTCATGCTGACTAATTGACGTAGAAGTTTTACAACTCTAAATCTGACATCTGTTAACCCTTTAGATATGCAAAATAATCCTTGAAATAATAATGCTAGGCCACCGTGGTAGCTCATACCTGTAACGTCAACACTTTGGAAGGCTGAGGTAGGAGGGTTGCTTGAGCCCAGGAGTTTGAGACCAGCCTAGGCCATACTATGAGACCCTGTCTCTACTGAAACTGAAATTTTAGAAAATTAGGCGTGTTGGCAAACACCTATGGTTCCAGCTACTTGGGAGGCTGAGGTGGGAGGATTGCTTGAGCCCAGAAGTTGGAGGCTGCAGTGAGCTGTAATTATGTAACTGTGCTCTAGCCTGTACGACAGAGCGAGACCTTGTCTCAAAATAAATAAATGAATTAATTCAATAAAACTAGTTACTACAAAATAAAACCATTAAAGGATTGTACACTTGCAATTCTGACATACACAGCCTTCCCTGCATGTAATCAAAATGGATCAGAAATCTTCTTGGAACAAGAAGATGGCAGAGACTGAAGGGAACTGCCAACTTAGAATGACTGGCATAGAAGGAATTACTGAAACTCAGGGAAGGTAATTGTGTTCTTCTTTGGCAGGTCCGGTTTCTAAATAGATAGGGAATTTCAGAGAACAACTTCATTCTGTGCTTTGCAAAAAACAGAAGATTGTGGGGAGGGGTCTGGTGGAGAGGGCATGACTTAGAGAGACCTTGAGGCTGCTGCTTCAATCCAGCATGTCAAAGCACCATGTTTGGGGGCCTTAGTTACTGAGCCTCAAAAATACCACATTTGCAAATTCATTTAGTATATTGAATACAAATGAGTGAGTACCCTACTGTTAATTGTTAACGCTGTGAGACTTAACCTCCATTCTCCCTCAAGAACTGGCCCATACTATTACTGATACTTGGCCATGAAAGTTTTGAACTGTGGGTGTATTAGTTCGTTCTCACGCTGCTAATAAAGACATAACCCAAGACTGTGTAATTTATAAAGGAAAGAGGTTTAATTGACTCACAGTTCAACATGGCTGGGGAGACCTCAGGAAACTTACAGTCATGGCAGAAGGGGAAGCAAAAGTGTCCTCCTTCACATGGCAGCAGCAAGGAGAAGTACCGAGCAAAAGGGGAAAAACCCCTTATAAAATCATCAGATCTTGTGAGAACTCACTATCATAAGAACAGCAGCATGGGGGTAACCGCCTCCATGATTCAGTTACCTCCCACCAGGTCCCTCCCACGACATGTCGGGATTATGGGATCTACAATTCAGGGTGAGATTTGGGTGAGGACACAGCCAAACCGTATCAGTGGGTATAGTCACAATAAGAATTTTTTTTTCTTTTTTGTTTTTTGTTTTGAGACGAGTCTCACCCTGTCACCCAGGCTGGAGTACAATGGCACGATCTTGGCTGACCACAACCTCTGCCTCCTGGGTTCAAATGATTCTCTTGCCTCAGCTTCTCGAGTAGCTGGGCTAACAGGCGTGTGCCACCACACTTGGCTAATTTTTGTATTTATAGTAGAGATGAGGTTTCACCATTTTGGCCACGCTGGTCTTGAACTCCTGACCTCAGGTTATCCGCCCGCCTCGGCCTCCCAAAGTGCTGGGATTGCAGGCGTGAGCCACTGCCCCCCACCACAGCAAGAATTCTTACATGTTGCTGGGAAGAATATAAATGGGCGTGGTGACTTCTGAGAATAATAAGGCAATCAATGCCTATAAAGCTGAAAGTTCGCATCCTTTAATCTACCAGTTTCCCTTCTTTGTGTCTATCCTGAAGGAATGTATGTCTGTGTGTGTGTGTGTGTGTGTGTGTGTGTGCGTACACGAGATGTGCAAGGATATTTGTTTCAATATTGCTCATGACAAAAAAATATAAAAACTATCTTTCCGTAGGGAAATATATAAACTGGTTTTATTTGTATAATGGAATATTGTATAGCAGTAAAGATGCTCAAACTAGGGATCTGTTATCAACACACAGCTCAAAAACATAATATATGGAAATACAGGTTTCAAGATAAAAACCATGTAATTCCATCTGTTTAAATATATTAAATGCAAACAGTAATGTATATTGTTCGAGAACATGAATATATATTTAAGAGTATAAAACATACATGGTAATCATGCACATCATTATTATGATAATGGTTATCCAGAGGTGTGGTTTGAGCTATGTCTATACTGTATTAATTTTTTTTTTTTTTTGAGGCGGAGTCTTGTTCTGTCACCCAGGCTAGAGTGCAGTGTTGTGATCTTGGCTCACTGCAACCTCCGCCTCCTGGGTTCAAGTGATTCTCCTGCCTCAGCCTCCTGAGTAGCTGGGACTACAGGCGCATACCACCATGCCTGGCTAATTTTTTGTATTTTTAGTAGAGACAGGGTTTCACCTTGTTAGCCAGGATTGTCTTGATCTCCTTACCTCGTGATCCGCCCGCCTTCGCCTCCCAAAGTGCTGGGATTACAGGCGTGAGCCACTGTGCCTGGCCCAATACTGTATTAATTTTTGAGAGAGAAAGAAGAGAAGAAGGTTCAGTCTGAAGCAAACATGGGAAAACATTCTAACTAGTGGGTACATGTATCATATTGTTGGCTATATAAATGTCTTTCATTCTTTTAAATGTGTTTTAAAATACTATACGTTGAAAATAAAGTATTTACATGCTACTTTATATAGCTCAAGTGATCCTCCCACCTCAGCCTCCTGAGTAGCTGGGAATACAGGCATATATCACCATGCTAATTTTTTATTTTTTGTAGAGAGGCTTCACTATTGCCCACGCTAGTCTTGAGCTACTGGACTAAAGCAGTCCTCCCACCTCAGCCTCCCAAAGTGCTGAGATTACAGACGTGAGTCACTACATCCTGCCCAGAATTTGACTCAGACTGACTGAAGTGATAGCAAGTTTTACAAATTATTGAATTGTATCCTCTTATTTCTAATTTGTTCTTTCTATTTTAAAACTGCAATATAATTACCATGAATAGTCTAGCAGTTTGATTGTCTGTCAATAAATGAAGGGTTTTATATAAAGTTAATTTCTTTGTTTTATAGGAAAAACATCAGAGAGAGGCTCATTTTCCCTGTACAGCAGAGATACTGGATTACCAGGCTGTCAAGTAAGTTTAATGATTAAAAAAAGCAATGAGATGGTTTTTAAACACATAAATAAAGGCTCTATTAATAGATGAGATAGAAATTATCCAATTTATTTCACTACTGTTTGTTTAATTTGTAACTAAGTGTTGTTTTTTGCTCTCTTTGCTTAAAATTGTTTCAGTTCCCCAGTTTACCAGGCTGTCTTTATCATCAAAGATTTTCATAACCCACCTCCATTTTAACTGGAAACAAAGCTACCGCTTTCCAAAATGCTTGTCATTTCTGAGAAATTTTTTTGCATATTTTCTCACAGAAAACGTAATTGGTGGTACATAAAGAATATATGATTGATCTGCATAGCTTAAATATCCTGTAATGTCAAACTGATCATTAATATTGGAAGTATTTTGTTTTCAATCCTGCATGTAACCAATTTTTAGGCTTCACACCCTCCCTGACTTGGAATCTTTGTTTCGACTCTCCCACCTTCTCTAGCATTTTGTGCTTCTGCTAATGGGCATCTTTTCTGCCTTTTTCCTCATATCTTTAGACTGAGAATCCTGAACACACAATTCACCTGCAGATTCCCATCAGAATCAAGCCAAAAAGAATAGAAAGGAAAGGCAGAACATATTAAATTTGTTTTCTGCCATCTGCATGCTCTACATGAGGGCCCACCCTAATTTCAGGCATGGGCATGTGAGCCGGTTTTAACTGCCATGCTAATAATACTCCATTTAATACATATTTCATAATTGTGCCTCTAAGAGAGTTTTACATAACATCCTGTTTTGTGATATGCCTTCCCATTATAAAATAATGTATTGTAGTAGGCTGGCCACGGTGGCTCACGCCTGTAATCCCAATACTTTGGGAGACTGAGGTAGGAGAATCACTTGAGCTCAAGAGTTTGAGACCAACCTGGGCAACATAGTGAGACCTTGTCTCTACTTAAAATGTAAAAATCAGCCAGGTGTAGTGGTGCATGCCTGTAGTCTCAGCTGCTTGGGAGGCTGAAGCAGGAGGATCACTTGAGCCCAGGAGTTGAAGGCTGCAGTGACCCATGATTGCACCACTGCTCTCCAACCAGGGTGACAGTAAGACTCTGTCTCAAAAAGAGAGAGAGAGAAAGGAGGGAAGGAGGGAAGAGAAGGAAGGGAGAAGGAAAGGAAGAAAGAGAGAGAGAAAATAAATATATTGTAAAAATTCAGGATCATATATTCCCATGTCCTTAATGGCAAATAGGCATGGTCTGAATAAGTGATTTGTTAAATATCATAGATTTGGGGGTAGTTACTGGACCAACACTCAGATTTCTTGGCTTCAGACCAAGCAGTCTTACTCTATTTTCATCCAAGTGATTTTTTAAAGTTTTAGTGTTGTTAATGATTGCTCTATTTTCCGTTTATGGTTAGCTTTATTTTATTCTAGTCATTTAAAATATATATAGATTAGCATTGTGTCATAGCCAGTGTTTTGCCTTACCAGCTCTTACTAGCTGACAAGAGCCGAATCTGTTAAACTTTTAGGAATTTAGCAAGTATGGTTGACATCACACTGATATCTTAAAATTGGCTATTATGAGCTGGGCACTGTGGTTTATACTTGTAGTCCCAGCTACTTGGAAAGCCAAAGCAGAAGGATCACTTCAGCTCAGTAGTACAAGTCCAGCCTGGGCAATGTAGCCAGATTGCATCTCTAAAAAAAAATAAATAAAAACAAGCAAAACAATGGCCATCAAGGAAGTATTTACACTGCACTGTGGAAATTCAAAAATGTTACAATTCAGGGCTTCCATTTTTTTAAACAGTTGTTAAACATTTACCAGCATACCGCTCATGCCTAGTTAAAAATTGCAGAGAACCACAGAATATAAGTGCTTATTCAGATCACAGTAAAAAATAGAAAAGCAGCAATTGAACATCTAGCCCCCATTAAGGTATCTTTCTGACCTTTTTCAAAGGTAACAGTGCTTTAAGGCCAACCAAGATACACAATTTATTCTGTATAGTTTTAGCAATATCCATTGATGAAAACCAAAATATCCTCTTTTTTGGTCCATATCAAATGTGGATTGGTGATTGTAATATTTCTGCAATTCATAGTTGATATCAGAACTCATTCTTTTTTATGATACAAGTTACTGTTTGAATTTCATAGTCTGAATTTTAGTTCATAAATGACTTGGATTGGAGGCCGTGGATCTAATTTCTGATCTTGGCTATAGTACTCATTTTGAGAGTTTTGTAGGCCACCTAACCATCATTCTTCTGAATCTCTTCAGAGTACAACAAAATTTGAAAAACTAAGTTGTGGCCAGGCGCGGTGGCTCACACCTGTAATCCCAGCACTTTGGGAGGAGGCCAAGGCGGGCGGATTGCCTGAGGTCAGGAGTTTGAGACCAGCCTGGCCAGCATGGTGAAACCCCATCTCTACTAAGCATACAAAAATTAGCCGGGCGTGGTGGCAGGCTCCTGTAATCCCAGCTACTTGGGAAGCTGAGGCAGGAGAATCGCTGGAACCCGGGAGGCAGAGGTTGCAGTGAGCTGAGATTGCACCATTGCACTCCAATCTGGGCAACAGAGGGAGATTCTGTCTCAAAAATAAATAAATAAATAAATAACCAAACTAAGTTACATCATTTGGACAATGAATGATTGATAAAAGTAACTACAAAGAATCCTGTAGGTTTAAGCTTCTAAGCTGTGCAAACTGCCTCTGTGACATATCATTAAGCTAACTTGTCTGCCACCCTGCTTCAGGGCCTTAAAAGTCTTTTCGTCTTCATCTTAAATCTAAGATAGCAGCTTAGTTAGGCAGTATTGAATCTTACATGTATTCTCATAAGAATACCTCATAACCATAACAAATTTGTTTAATTATCAGATATATGAAAGTGCTTTTCTCAGTTCCTAATCATACAGTAGAAGGTCAGTAAATGTCAGTTGAGGGGGGTAAGACAGAGGTTTAGAGTGAAGAGACCTAGGTTCAAGTCCCATCTCTGCACTGATTTCTATCTGAAAGATAGGATTAGCCATTTCTGCTTCTGCCTACTTAGTAGATCTCTGAAGGTTAAACTGTATGGGCTTATGAAAACATTTCAAAAAATAAATAAATAATTTTAAAGTTCTCAATTCATGTAATCCACATAACAAAAGATATTTTGGATCTTTAATATTATTTTTAAGAGACCTAAATGTTTGAGAGCCACTGGGCTAATGTTAACATTACTGCTAAACTTGAGGGGGGAGAAAACACTATTGTAAGCTTTTTGAGACCACAGCTAAGTCTAATAAATCATAGTTCATGCTTATATTAATGTTTTTATTATGTTCAAATGTTTTCACTTACGTATTTATACCCTCTTGGCAAAGGTATTGCTGTTTAGTTAGAGTCAGCAATAAGTTCTATTAATGTAATTGTCCAGTTTTGCAAAGGTGAATCTTAACAGTTTTTACCAAGGATTAATGTGCATTTGTACCACATTTAATTCTCATATCAAAAGACATTTATTTTAAACCTAAATGTGTAGCGCTCTAATAAAATTTGCTACCATTTGCTGAGCACTAACTGAACCAGCCATTGAACTAAACATAATCACATTTAATTCTTTTAACAACAACTCATTTTGCAGATTAGTAAACAGAGGTTCTCCTAAGGTATTATGCTTAAGGCTACATATCTAGCAAGTGGTAAACTTAAACTCATGCTTGAGTGTTTTGACTATATGACTATACTTCAGCATAGGAATCCATCAGATTTCAACTCCGTGCCCTTATTACCTTCCTTCATTTTTATTTGTTTGAGAAGGAGACAGGGAATTAAAAATTTTTTTTTTTTTTGAGGCAAGGTTTCACTCTGTCACCCAGGCTGGAGTACAGTGGCGCTCACAAGACCTCCTGGGCTCAAGGGATGTAAGGTTTAGAGTCAAGAGACCTAGGTTCAAGTCTCATCTCTACATTGATTTCTTCATCTGAAAGATAAGCAGTTTCTGCTTCCACCTATGTAGTAGGTCTCTGAAACTTAAAGTGTATGCGCTTGTGAAAACATTTCAAAAAATAAATACATAATATTAAATTTCTAAATTCATGTGGCCCACATAACAAAAGGTTATTTGGGTCTTCATATACCTCCCTGAGTAGCTGGGACTGCAGGCATGCAGCCGCCATGCCCTGCTAATTTTATATATATATATAATATATATATTATATAAAATATATATATATATAATATATTATATATAATATATATTATATATAATATATAATATATATATTATATATTATATATAATATATATTATATATTATATATTATATATATATTATATATAATATATATATATAATATATATATATAATTTTTTTTTTTTTTTTTTTAGAGATGGGGTCTCACTGTGTTGCCCAGGCTGGTCTCAAATTCCTAGGCTCAAGCAATTTTCCTGCCTCATCCTGACAAAGTGCTGTGATTACAGACAAGGGCCACCACTCCCAGAGGAAATTTAAATTTTTAACAAATGTCCAGGTGATTTTGATTCACATGGACTAGAGTTCATGCTTTAAGAAACCCAACTCCTCTGTGTATGCCAACTCCTCTGTGTAAGCCAATAGGAGTTATCCTTGGAGGAAACTATATGATTACTGTTTAGCAAACAGTTTATAAACATTTTGGAGAGATCAGGAAGGCCTATGGAAAAGAGAAGAACAAGGCTACTAGAATGTTTGATACAAAATAACAATATTGCTATATACAAGATTTAAAGATATTCAGATGAGAGAAAGATACCTTTTTTTTTTTAAGAATTCATAGGAGCAGTTCGTGAGCCCCAGAGAGGAAGCCCAAAATTCAGCAGAGTGGAAAGATTATTCTGCAGCAAGGATAAACTATTCAAAGGAAAACATGTATTCCAGACAGTATTTATTATAATGAGTCAGAGGAGGGACAAAAAATATACTTTAACTAACTGGCTGCCATTTTGTCTTACCTATTCACAAGCGACAAAAAAAATCCAAGGAAATATAAATAGTGACTCCAAAATTATACCCAAACACCACATTAAAACCATTTTTCTTCAACAGAATTCCCCAAGGAGCATTAACTCTGCTATTAATGTACATAAAATGCTGCTGACATACTGCAAAATTCAGACTAATTTAATAATGCCTGATGGGCCTTACTTCATGTTAAGATGATGTAATAATATGTTGCTAAATGAGTGTCATCATATTACATTCACAACAATCACATTAACTGATGAGCCATTAAAAGGAAACTCATGTGGCAGTATTACTGGAAACACTGATAGATCATTCTGCAGTTAAATTTTTTTATTGATGAAACACAGAGCATAGAAGCCAGTGTCTTTATTAATAATAGGTATATCACTTTAAAAACTACCACAGTTAAGTGAAAAATCCTTTTATCAGTATAACAAAGTTTTTCATTTATACCTCTTAAGCAAGTATTTATTCACATAGTTTCATAAGTTTTTCTCTAAGTGTTTAAATGTAGAAGGTGGCAGGGTCTTGGTTTTTTTCAGAAAGTGTGAAGTTCATCTGAGTTCAGATATTATACCCTTGAAAAAATGACAGCTTTAAAAACTGTACCTTACTTAACTCTTAGTTGTTTGGAGATAAGCTTATACCATTTGGTTTTTCCTTGTTCTTTTTTCCTGTTATACCCAATCTCATATGCAGACATTTATAATAATAAAATAATAAAAGAGTTGATGTATCAGAAAGACATAACAATGACAGATGTGTATACGCCTAATAAGAAAGCTTCAAAACGAAGCAAAACAAAAATTGATAGAATTAAAGAGAGAGATAAACAAATTGACAATCATGCTTGGAAAATTGAATACTTCTGTCTTAGCAGTTTGCAGAATAACTAGACAAAAAACTTAGTAAAGATGTAGAACAAAATTAACTATCGACAACCTTGACCTAAATGATATGTATAGAACTCTGCATACAACAACTGAAGAACATAAATTCCTTTCAGGGGCACACATTACACTAACAGGCTGGAATCATACGCTGGTCCATAAAACTAGTGTCAGTAAATTGGAAAGGTTTGAAACCATACAGAGTATGTTCTCTGGACACAAAAGACTTAAATAAAAACTCTGATGAGAACTCAGGGACACAAAGAAGGCACCTGTAGACACGGGGGCCTCCTTGAAGGTAGAGGGTGGGAGGAGGGAGAGGATCAGAAAAAATAGCTATTGGGTGCTAGGCTTACTTCTTGGGTGATGAAATAACGTGTACAAACCTCCCCGACACGAGTTTACCTATATAACAAAGCTGAACATGTGCCTCTGAATCTAAAATACAAGTTTAGTAAAAAGCAAAGTTGTATTAGAAGTCAGTAAGACTAGGTGTGGTGACTCATGCCTGTAACCCCAGCCCTTTGGAAGGCCGATTCAGGAGGATCACTTGAGCCCAGGAGTTCAAGACCAGACTGAGCAGCATAGTTAGACTCTGTCTCTATTAAAATTAAAAAAAAAAAAAAGAAAACTAGTCAGGTGTGGTGGCAGGAGGCTGAGGCGGGAGGATTGCTTGAGCCCAGGAGTTCGAGGCTGCAGTGCGCTGTTATTGCACTGCTGCACTCCAGCCTGGGCAACAGAGCAAGACTCTGTCTCAAAAACCAATGTCAGTAAGATATCTAGAAAAACACCAGATGTTCAGAAGTTAAGCAACATGTTTAAATGACCCATTGTTTTAAAAAGAAACCACAGGAAATTCAGAAGATATTTCTAACTGAATAATAATGAAAATGTGATATAACAAAATGTGTTGGTGCATCTAAACCAGTGCCTTGAAGGAAAGTATACTTTTGAAAGCTTGTATTAGAAAAGATGTACAGTGAATGACCAAGATTCTGCCCTAAGAACTTAGCTAGAAAAAGAAACACAAAGTAAACCCAAAATAAATAGAAAGAAGGAAATACTACAAATAAGAGCAGAAATCAATGTAATAGAAAAAACTAACAAAACCAAAATTTGGCTATTTGAAATAAATCATAAAGTTAACCCCTAGCTAGACCAGTTAACACAAGGGGAAGGAGAAGAGAACAAGAACACAAATTACCAGAATCTGGAATGAAAGAGAGGTTACTGCTATGAATCATATATACATTAAGAATATAATAAATATTATAACTTAGTAAATTTGACAACTTAGATTAAATAAATGAATTCCTTGAAAAATACTTACCAAGAGGAGACAAATTGAAACAAAATCTGAATCCATGTATATCTTTTTTTCTTTTTTTTTTTTTAGACAGAGTCTCACTCTGTTACCCATGCTGGAGTGAAGTGGTGCTATCTCGGCTCACTACATCCTCCGCCTCCCAGGTTCGAGTGATTCTCCTGCCTTAGCCTCCTGAGTAGCTGGGACTACAGGTGCCCGCCACCACGCCTGGCTAATTTTTGTATTTTTAGTAGAGATGGGGTTTCACCATATTGGCCAGGCGGGTCTCAAACCCCTGACCTTGTGATCCCCCCGCCTCAGCCTCTCAAAGTGCTGGAATTACAGGCGTGAGCCACTGCACCCGGCCTGTATATCTATTAATGAAAGTTAATTCATATCAAAAACCTTCCCACAAAGAAAGCATAAGGGTCATATGGCTTCTTTCAAAATGATTAATTCTTTCAAATGCTTAGGAAAAAAATAATACCAATTTTATACAAGTTAGTTTAGAAAACAGAGGAAGAGTGAACATTTCTCAGCTCTTTTTATCAGGTGAGCAACATCCCAGTAATACTCAAACAACACGTGTGGTTTGTAGGAGAAGTGAAAGTTTGGTTTAAGATTTGAAAATCCATGTATTTAGTTCACCACATTATAACAGAATCAAGAAGAAAAACAATGTGATCATTTCCATAGATACAGAAAAGATATTTGACAAAATTGAATACTCATGATAAAATCTCTCAGCAAGCTAATAGAAGGTAGCTTCCTCAATTTGATAAAAGACAAACATGAAAAAAATCTATGGCTAACAGAATACTTAGTGATGAAAGACTAAATGCTTCCCACCTAATGTCAGCACCAAGGTAATAATTTTTGTTCTCATCATTTTATGTTTTGGCCAGTGTATGAGGACAAGAAATAAGGTTATAGAAATTGAAAAGGAGTAAGTTGAATTTGCTGATGACGTGTTTGTGTACATAGGAAATCCTAAGGAATCATCAAGAAAACTTCTAAAACTAAATAGTACTTTTAGCTATATCACAGGATACAAAGTCAATCTAAAAAATTAATTGTATTTCTGTACACTATCAGCAAAAATTAGAAAATAAAATTAACAGAATAGTACTGCTTATAGTAGTATCCAAAAGCGTGAAATACTGAGGGAAGAATGTAACAGAAGATGGCAAAGCTTCAACAGTGAAAACTCAAACATCTGTTGGAAGGCTTACTGTCACTTAGATGTTAGTTCTTCCTAAATTGGGTTATAGATTTCAAGGCCACCCTGGGCAACATAGCAAGACCCTGTCTCTTTAGGGGAAGAAAACAAAACAAAAACTAAAAGACTTCTGCTTATCAAAAGACATAGGTTAAAAAAAAAATAAATCGGTAAGCCACAGTCTAGAAGTCCAGTATTTGCAAAACATATTTAACAAAGGACTGATATACAGGATATATAAAGCATTCCAGGCTGAGGCAGGAGGATTGTTTGAGGCCAGGAGTTCAAATTGCCTGGGCAACTTAGCAAGATTCCCATCTCTACAAAAAAATTTAAAAATTAACTGCAGGTGGTGGTGTGCCCCTGTAGTCCTAGCTACTCAGGAAGCTGATCACTCAAGTGATTGAGGGGTATCACTTGAGCCCAGGAGTTTGAGGTTACAGTGAGCTGTGATCATGCTGCTTCACTCCAGCCTGGGTGACAGAGCGAGATCTTGTGTCTTAAAAAAAAGAATTCCTACAACTCTGTAAGGTTAGCTAAGGCTTCTACAGTTTTTCTCTTTGTAACAGGAGGTTTAAGTACAGTGAATTAGCAAGTTTCCAGTCCCTTCTAGACTTATGTTGTATGGTAATGTCAAGAACAAGATCATTTCCACTTTGTAACAAGATTACACTGGCCTGCTGTTTCGCCAACAGGATTAATTAAAACTAGTTGTCTTAAACAGCAATTTTGATCTTTGTTTATGTAACAACAAACCTAATAGTAGCCTCAGTCTTGGGCAGAATTATTAGAAATGTAATATTTAGAACAAGAAAGTTGATACTGTATTGTATTCTGAGCAAACCTGTTTCAGAACAGGCATAAGTAAACCAACTCATTCAGAGAACTAAGAAGTTAGTTACTCAAATAACATGAAGAGCATCTTTTAAGTGTTTGAAGCATAATTCGACTTTTCTATAACTTTGAAGGTTAAAAAGTTGGACAATAGGTAGAAATTAAGCATTCCAGATTTCAGCTTAATTTTAAAAAGAAATGTTGTCATGTGTTGAGCTGTTAATGGCGTAGAACATTAAACCTTGGTAGATAAATGCCTTTCTCCCACTGGATGTTTCCAAGCAGAGGGTAGACATCTACTTTACTGGTATTTTATAATAGATTACAGTACCTATTGTTTGACTGAAATAAAAGACCTTAAAAGGGGCATGGTGTTGCATGCCTGTATTCCCACTCCTCTGGAGGCTGAGGCAGGAGGATTGTTTGAGCCCAGGAGTTCAAGGTTACAGTGAGCTATAATCGCATCATTGCACTCCAGCCTAGGTGACAGAATGAAACCCTGTCTCTAGAGAAAAAGAAATAGAAGACCTTAAAATGTTCCTCAATTCCGTGAGCTCTCTAGTGACAAGTAAAAGGCTTTCCAAATGGTGTTGATGATCCATCTGAGGTTGGTGACCAGAAATTACTGTTGACACTAACCTGTATGATTGTGTATGTGCTTCAACTTTTATTCTAATACTACCCAGCAAACTACATGTATAAGCACAGACAGCAAATGGTTGAATCAATATAGTGATCAGGATTGCAGGCCAGTTAGCTAGGTTAACAATGATGATACTACATAATAACTAGCATGTATCAGTCACTTGACCCTATAAGCATAATTTCATTTGGTCCCCGCCATACTCAAGTGGTGATATTGTTGCTGCTGTTGCGTCTGTTATTATTATTCCTCCCATTTGATAGCTGAGGAACCTGAAGCCTCAAGAAGTTATATAATTCACCCAAGATTTCATAGCTGGTAAATATTAGAAGGATAGGAGAATTGATGTAGTGATAAGAGAATAGTTGAAGTACTAGACCAGGTTTCAAAGGAAGGAAATGAAGCCATGATTAAACTTTGTGACTGGAAAAAAGGTCAAGATATTGGTTGTTATGCAGTGAAAGAGCAGGTGCAGTAAGTAATAAGGGAATGATGGCACTATAAGAAAAGGAGGTTATGTCAAAGAGTTGAATATTGGACTTACAGATTTCACAAGTCAAGTGGTTTCCAGGGCTAACAATCTAGTCCTCCTTTGGGGAGTAGATTGGTGATTTAGGGAATTGTTGGAGTCACGAAGATTAAGAAGACGTAAGACTAGCTCTTGGATTGATGTGGAAGCTATCCAGAGATGATTGACTCATAAGGTAGCATGTGAAAGGGGCCTACATGCACACTAGTTGGCACACAGTAGGCATTGAGAAAATGTTGTTTGAATCTGAACCATGTGATCTAGGAAAGAGTATATAAGTAAGGCTAACAAGCCATCAGCTGCCTGCAGAGTGATGTGCATTTTGTGGGTTGTTTGGAACATAGGTAAATAAATTGTTTTGTGGAAAGAAAGTCTGATCTTGGAGTATCAGGCAATAGACAATTTTTTTTTTTTTTTTTTTTTGAGATGGAGTCTTGCTCTTGTCACCCAGGCTGGAGTACAATGGCATGATCTTGGCTCCCTGCAACCTCTGCCTCCCAGGTTCAAGCAGTTCTTCTGCCACAGCCTCCTGAGTAGCTCGGATTACAGGTGCCCCCCATCACACCCAGATAACTTTTTGTATTTTCGGTAGAGAGGGGGTTTCACCATGTTGGCCAGGCTGCTCTCGAACTCCTGACCTCAGGTGATCCACCTGACTCAGCCTCTCAAAGTGTTGGGATTACAGGCGTGAGCCACTGTGCCCAGTCAATAGACACTTTTAATGTCCTATTTTTGTTAAAAGGCCAGAGAGAGAGAGAGAGAGAGAGAGAGAGAGTTGGATTAGGCAGGGCCTACTTGGCAGGGAAAAAACTTCATTCATTCTTTCTTTTATTTTTATTTTATTTACTTATTTATTTATTTATTTATTTATTTTGTGAAACAGATCTCGCTCTGTCACCCAGGGCGGAGTGCAGTGGCGTGATCACAGCTCACTGCAGCCTTGACCTCCCAGGTTTGGGTAATTCACTGCAGCCTCCTGGGACTACAGGCATGTGCCACCACAGTCGGCTAATTTTTATATTTTTTAGGTAGAGATGGGGTTTTGCCATGTTGCCCAGGCTGCATTCATTGTTTCTTTCTTTCTGTTCTCTCCATGAAAATTGATGATTATACTTTTGATGATACTTAGTGCTCGTTGGAAGCAGTTTCAGAAAGTCCGTTTATTCTTTCGTAAACTTATTTCAGGAGAAAAGAGCCTGTTAAATAATGGGTAGAGATTTGATGCCATCTCAAAACAGAAAAAAGAGGTGACAACATACTGGCTATTACATGATAAGGGATTATTGTCAATTTTGGAGCATGTAACAAGGGGTAGGAGATGGCAGAACAAATGAAGCCGGAACAACAGAATGTTGACAGCTGTCATAGCTGGGTGATAGGTACATGAAGGTTAATTGTACTTTTTTTTCCTACTTTTGTGTATTATGAAATGTTCTAAACTAAGAAGTTTAATGTTTTGAAGACGTCCAGTACGTAATGTTTCATTTTATAAAGTATGGCATGCCTAACTATATGTCTAATGCTATATTGGGTTTTTTTACTCTTAATTATACTTACAAAAATACAAGGAATTGAGAAGAGAGGATACTTAGTTGCTCCATGTTAAAGCTAGTATTAAAGAGAAAAAGAGTGGCTTCAAAGTATTAGAACTCTTCTGAAAATAGTAGTGCTACTTAACACCATTTCCACGAATACCAAAGAGAAATAAGATTTCATCTCCTGTTCTTCTAATGTTAGCACCTCACACAGCTGGCTTCTTTGTATTCATTAAAGAAAAGGCGCAAAGGCATACTGGTAACACATAGGAGAACATTCAGTTAGCCCTTTTTAATAAGAGAGTTGTAAATTCAGGCATTCAGAAAAACTACTCACTTTGAAGTAGACATGCTTAGAGTATGCTCACTACTAACCTCACAAGACTGCCTTCAAAAAATCCCCTATAGCATTTTTGGAAGTTGGACTTTTTATGGAAGCCTATACATTCCTAAAGGAAAGTCATTCTTATTCCATATTTGTAATTATTCAAATATTGCATATATTAAAATGACATTTAGCTTGTTCTCTTCATATTTCTTTTATTTCTAAGAAGTCTGTCTGTATTGATCTACATCCCGGATCTCTCTACTGTGATATCTTCTCATTGGCTGATAAAAGATTTGGGAGGGAAGTTGAGAAAAAAAAAAATTAGTGAAAAAGAAAAATTAAGATGGTAAAATTTCCTATTGCGACTAATAATTAAAGAAGATTAGGAAACTGAAACTACTAGATTGTCACGTTTTAGCACTGTAATATTACATGCATAGTTTATTTTCTTTTTTTGTGCTAGAAAGACTGGGCTGATTGACTGGGCACGGGACTCATGCCTGTAATCCCAGCATTTTGGGAGGCTGAGGCAGGCGGATCAAGAGGTCAGGAGTGCAAGACCAGCCTGGCCAGCATAGTGAAACCCCATCTCTACTAGAAATACAAAAAAAATTAGTCAAGCATGATGGTGTGCACCTGTAGTCCCAGCTACTCGGGAGGCTGAGACAGGAGAATTGCTTGAACCCAGGAGGTGGAGGCTGCAGTGAGCAGGAGAATTGCTTGAGCCTGGGAGACAGAGGCTGCACTGAGCCAAGATCGTGCCATTGCACTCCATCCTGGGCGACACAGCAAGACTCCATCTCAAAAGAAATTTTTTTTTTTTTAAAGATTGGGCTGATTTCGTTGGCAGGATACATTTGATGGATGACTGTCATCTTCTCAAACTTGCATGACACTTTATAGACAATATTTATTAAGTTTTCAAGAGGATATGTTGAGATTATAAAATTTGGGATTTGTAAAAGAACCAGTGTAAAAGTTGGCTAGTGGTGGCTGGTGGTTTTTTATTGACCTAGGAAAGGATTAGAAGCATCTCAGGTTTTCTTTCACTTTGTTTTTCTGTTTCCCCCCTTCTTCCTCCCCCAAATTAATATATTGTCCAAAGTGTTCATAATGACTTGGAACTATTCAGGTTGCACAAAGCATTTAATGAAATCTTGTCTTAGACAAAACACTAGAGAGGATCATAATTAATGTCTCATTTTCTGCCAGTTGCTATTGATTACTCATTCAAGATCCCTTTGTTCTCAGAATGATAACTGTAGTTTGCATCACTATCTAATGAGATTCTCAGGATAGAATTCTTTAACAACATGCTGATAATTGCTAACATATCCCTGAAATTTCAATGTAAATGAATTTGCATCATAATACAATTATTTTACAAATGGCGATATTTTCCAAATTTGAAATGTGTTAGTTTTTTTAATCATTTGTAGAAAATTAACAGAAGACTGACATATTATTAAAGCCCAACATTTATTTTTTGCCCTGAGTTGCCCTCACCCTTCGATTTTGATTTGATTATGACTTGGGGTGAGAGACTTCTTTATCATTCTTGGGTTACTCTGTCATAATCTCTGAAACTTCAAATGGATTTACAGCTAAAACACAATGATTTTTCGAAATTAGAACAACAACTGCAAATATGGTAATACTATAATAATTCTCCTTTTAGAACAATTTTGTTTCTTGATCCCTCAGTGACAAAAGAAACACGTGGTACTATAGCATAAAGAATCTGCGAAATCATAACAGTTTATGTATTCTGTTATAATTGTGTTTTATACCTTTCTATTCCTTTAATTTCCACATACTCCCTCCCCCAAAAAATAAATCTTTTGAACAGCTGCTTGCCTTTATGTATTTAAAACTGCATACCACTTCAGGGGTGTAAGATAGGCTTGAAATTAAGGAATTCTGTAGAATAATAACACAGCAGAGGTTCCATGAATTCATATCAGTATTTTAAATTTTTGGAGATATGTGACTATAACATATGAGGTACTCTCCATCTAATTTTCTTAAATAAATTAATAGGTAGTACTTCCAAATTTTAATCATAAAATGATGCTAATAATTTTTTTTTTTTTTTTTTTTTTTTTTGAGATGGAGTCTCGCTCTGTCGCCCAGGCTGGAGTGCAGTGGTGTGATCTCGGCTCACTGCAAGCTCCGCCTCCCAGGTTCCCGCCATTCTCCTGCCTCAGCCTCCTGAGTGGCTGGGACTACAGGCACCCGCCACCACGCCCGCCTAATTTTTTGTATTTTTAGTGGAGACAGGGTTTCACTGTGTTAGCCAGGATAGTCTCAATCTCCTGACCTCGTGATCCGCCCGCCTCGGTCTCCCAAAGTGCTGGGATTACAGGCGTGAGCCACCACGCCTGGCCGATGCTAATAATTTTTGACCTACGGTTAATTAGGCCCTTATTTGATGTGAAGTTATGAGTGGCTTGGCGTTTAAGCCAAGCCACTTAATAAAACCCAGTTCCGACAAAGTAAGCCTGTTTTTCAACACTTAATTTTCCCTTTCTGTTTTTTTTATTTTTTATTTTTTGGTCTCACTGTGTTCCCCCGACTGACCTCAAACTCCGAGGCTTAAGCAGTCCTCCTGCCTCACCCTACCAAGTAGCTGTAACTACAGGTGCACATCACTGTGCCTAGTTTATTTTCCCTTTTGAGAATAAAGAATATCCAAATTATAGCAGTATGATTCTGAATCGCCTCCTAGCTTACTGAGCAGCACCATTTTACATAGGATATTCTTCTGCCTCCCTACAAAATCATATTTAGAGTACCTTCTAATATAATTAACAAGAGTTCCCATTAAAAAAAGGATGTTGGCCAAGTCTACCTACTACTTTATTCCTTTCATTTACTTTTTGTTTATTATCACCACCAAAGCTTACACTCATCAAGTTCACATCTGGAAATTAAGCTGTTTCTTACAGATGAAGAGGGAGAAAAAACTTAAAATACATGTATCACATAGGCTGTTAAAGTTCCTTATTTTTAAAAATTGGAAATTTTGTTCACAGGCTAGAGGTTTGTCATATGTAATTCAAAATATAACTTACTTATTGTAGATTTTATCCCATAACCTAGGGCAGTCATCTAGGCTGCGTTAGTGTTTTGGGGGATAACCCTTTATTAATTATTCTCTAGTATTAGATATATTTTTCACAGAGAAAAATGTCTGGATGACTGTATCTATATTTTAGATATATGTATTTCTATAAAAGATAGTCTAGATGACTATAAAAAAGATTATTTTCCAAGAATATGTTAAGAAATTCATACTATGTAATTTCAGAATACTAATTCTTTCTTGAATAAGATAGCTCGGCACAATAAAACTGCTTTGCCTAGTTCTATATCCTCTGGGATCGTTCTGTATTCTTTTTGCCGGAGATACCTCCAGGACAAGATCAGTAGTAATCAATAATGCTTCTCATTTGTTTTAGGAAGACAGAAAAATCAATAATATGAGCTGATACCTAATTTTATTTTAGGAGAAGAAAAATAAAATAGTTGATGTGTGTTTCAGTGTTGCCTAAATGTTTGAAGAATCAAATAAAGAAAAATATATTATTTTATTAGTGTTAGAATATCAAAATCTTAGGCTTTTATAGTTTAGCACTTGATTTTTTAATTGTATTTTTTTCATTGTTTTGTTAAATATTATTTTGTAGACTGTCAAGTCCTTGTGGACAAAATTTTGTCTTAAACTTTTTGTATTTCTTAAGAGTACTGAAGAATTCATTTTAATTAACAGGATAAAATATGGTCTTGTATTCTTAAAAAGAAACAATTTTTTCTATATTTACTTTGCCTCATCTTATGGATCATGATACAGACTAAACACAGGAAAATGGTTATTTCTGTGATTAGGACAGCTGAAAGAAGTGTAACCTGTGCATCTTTTTTGGCATTAATATTCACTGTGGAACAAGAAGACAGGGCATTTCCTAACCACATATCCAGATTTGTCTATAGTGAGGAAAAAGGTTTATCAACACTAAAACTGGTAGCTAGTAAACTTGTTTTTTCCAAAAAAATTTGTTCTCCTTTTTTTCTTTCTTTACTATTGCATAGATAAAAAATCTGCCAATATGTGTTCTATAGTCATCTCAGCCTTAGGATTGTAATCCACAAATTCATTTATAAATCACTTACATGTTTTCAAGTTAACAATCTTAGAAATGATGCATGTTCCCGAGTTACTATGGAAGTCTTGTTGTATTGAGGAAAGGGCTTTCTGAGCAGACCTAGATTCAAATTAGGATTTCACTACTTGTTATCACTTTAATATGTGAAATCTATATAATACTTAAGATTGCTATAAATCCTAAATGAGATAGTACATTTGAAAGTGTATTAGGGAGTCCTCAATATTTTATTCTTCTTTGCTCCAACTTTTTATTTTGAAAAGTTACCAACCCACAGAAGAGGTTGAAGAATAATACAATGAACACCCATGTGAACTTCATCAAGAGTCATCAGTTAACATTTCACCACATTTGTATATACACATTCCTTTTCTTTCTACTCATTCTGCGTGTATGAATATATGTTTGTGTGCTGCTTATGACTTTATATACACAAATGCACACACTTTTGCTAAATCATTTGAGAATAAGTTGACATTTTCCTATTTATTCTTGATCTTAATTGATACTGCTTGAATCTGTCACACCCTCTTTGGATTTAGCATCTGTCAATCCTCTCTAGGGATCTGTCATTTCTGCCCCTATTCTCTTGCGTATTTCCAACATCCTTTCTTACCATAGCCATTGGGAATTGTAACCCAGTCAGCTTGGATTCAGGGCAGACAAGGTCTCCTGAAATCTTAGATCACTTACTTAAGACAAAAGGTTTATGCCCAGGAAACAGAATAAAAATATCATTCGTCTCATTTATTTTGTAATATTTAGAATGTAGTGAGTTAATGGGGAAAGAAAAAAATGAAACTGAGTTTTTTGTATTAACTAGGGCCAATAACTGTGCTGTACACTTTTATTTTTAGGCCTTGTTTACTTCCCCCAACAACCTTGTGAGCTGTTTGTAGAAGAGGGAAACAGACTCATTAATGTTAGATAATTTGTTCAAGATTACCAGTCAGGATTTGGACTCGGGATACCTAACTCCAAAACCAGTGCTGTTTCCAGAACATGAGTATTTGTGTAGATTTTCAGTGTACTTTTAGAAATATAGGAAATACACTTCCTGTTCATCATTTAGATTATTTCTTTCCTCTCTCAGCCCTTATTATGACTACTATTTGATTTCTTTGAAGAAATAATTCACTGGCTAACTTTTACTCATCTGAAAGTTTATGTTTACCTTATTAAGCAAACAGACTTCTCTTCACCACCCTGCAGACTTAGTCCTTTGTCCCTCTGACGTATTAGATTAGCAGCCAAAAAAAAAAAAGTTCTATAAAGGGCCAGATAACAAATATTTTAGGTTTTAACAGACCATACGTTTTCTGTTGCAACACTGAACGCTTAACACTGTTGCATGAAAACAGCCATAGCCAATACATAAATGAATTGTGTTTCATTTGAGACTGTTTTTCAAGAAAAGTATTTTCAAAAACAGACCCACTTTCTCCTCTAAGCTCTGGTTTTTTGACCCCTAATATAAATCACTCTCTTATATTCCCATAAGAATTTGTATGCCAGGGAATGTTAGTGTAAGGGACACTGTTGAGAGACATACACACATCCCTCCTTCTGATATATTTGTTTGTGTGTATGTTATGACCAGCTTCATATGTGCCTTCCCCATGAGAAAATGCAGATGAAGTAATAAATGCAGCAGGTACCTCAAAACATATCAATGAAAGTCAGTTTGGCACTGAGCAGGAAAAATCCTGTTGAAATACCAATGATATTTAAAGGAAACTTTAAGGTACTTGACCCCTGCCCTTAAGCATGTGGTAATAATATGTTCCATCTAGTGTACTACGAGCCATATTCTGATCTTGCCATTTAAGCAATATTGAATGTGCCCAGCCTGAGCAAAATAAAAGAAGGAAATTCAAAACAGATGTGACAATGGAAATTTCAGTATAACATCTATGGGAGATTTAATGATTCCTAGGTCATACTACTCTCACATAACACCATCAGAAAATTCATAGCTGATGGTCTGTCATATAAATAAAATACATATATGCCTATTGTTATATTTATATTGATCATTTTCTCCCTTTTATCATTTCTTCTGGAGGTTATTATTTTAATGGAGACTACTTCTCCTTTAGGTCTGATAATTACATCTTTCTCTCCCAATGTACCAAATGTTGTATCTATTGGAATTTGTACAATTAATGCTAAATAATTAAATTAATATTATGTAGCCTTCATATTCACATTATATTGCCTGGTAATTGAAATTGTCTTCTCTCTACTTTCCTCCTTTATAAGGGAATGTATCAGCTTTATCTAAAGAAAAGTGTACATTTTGAGGAGTCTGGAAAATTACATTCTTAATTATGAGTATTTCTGAAAGATGTGATGAATGACCTTTGGCTGGTTTAGTACATTGTTTGCTTCATGCTCCAACATTGTTGAATAAGCTTTAAAGAAACTGAAGCATTAAATGGAAATGAAAAGACATCATAGCAGAACTTAGGAGATGTAGCAGAAGCCTTAATCAGAGGGAAATTTATTATTGTAAATACCTACATTTAAGAAGAAGCAAGCACCAAATCAGTAACCTAACTTCATACCTTAAGAAACAAGTAAAAGAAGAACAAACTAAATTGAAGAAAGCAGAAGAAGAAAGGAAATAACAAAAGATTAGAACAGAAATAAACAAAATAGAGACAAGAAGGACAATATGGAATCAACAAAATCAAAATTGGTTCTTTAAAAATATCAACAAGGTGACTCACACCTTAATTCCAGCACTTTGAGAGACCAAGGCAGGAGGATCACTTGAGGCCAATTCAAGACCAACTGGGGCAACATAGTGAGACCCCATCTCTACAAAACAATTTAAAAATTAGCCAGGTGTGGTGGTGCACATCTAGTCCCAGCCACTCAGGAGACTGAGGTAGGAAGATCACTTGAACCTGAAAGGTTGAGGCTGCAGTGAGCCATGTTTGTGCCACTGCACTCCAGCCAGAGCAACAGAGCAAACTCCTGTGTCAAAAAGCAAACAAAAGTAAACAAAAAGATCAACAGAATTGACAAACCTTTAGCTAGATTGACTGAGAAAAAAAAGAACAGTGTCAAATTACTAAAATCACAAATGGAAATAGAGGACATTACTACTGACTTTATAGAAATAAAAAGGATTATAAGAGATTATTGTGAATAATTGTCTGCTAAAAAAATTGAATAATCTGGATGAAGTAGACAAATTCCTAGATATAAACACACTACCAAAACTGGCTTAAGAAGAAATAGAAAATCTGAACAGAGCTAAAACCAGTAAAGAAATAGAATTAGTAATAAGAATCCTCCCATAAAAGAAAAGTCCAAGGCAGGACCCAGTGGCTCATGCCTGTAATCCTAGCACTTTGGCAGGCTGACGTGAGAGGATCACTTGAGCCCTGGCGTTCAAGACCACCCTGGGCAATGTGGTAAGATCTGATGTCTACAAAACATTTTAAAATTAACCGAGTGTGATGGCATCCACCTGCAGTCCTAGCTACTTAGGAGGCTGAGGCCAGAGGATCACATGAGCCTGGGAGGTCAAGGCTGCAGTGAGCCATCATTGAGCCACTGCACTTCAGCCTGGGCAACAGAGTGAGACCGTCTCGAAGAAAAAAAGAAAAGTCCAGGACCAAACAGCTTCACTAGTGAATTCTACCAGTCATTTAAAGAAGAAATAATGCCAGTTCTTCCCAAACACTGCCTAATTAATTCTGTGAAGCCAGCATAATTCTGATACCAAAGTAAGACAAATATTACAGGATAAAGGAAATTACACATGAATATCCTTTTTGAATATAGATGTAAAAGTCCTCTACAAAAATACTAGCAGAGTGAATCCAGCAACGTATTGAAAAGATTATACATCACAGCTAAGGGAGTTTTATTCCAGGAATGCAAGGATAGTTTAGCCTATGAAAATTAGGCTGTGTAATTCTCACCACACTAATAGAAAGAAAGGGGAAAAAAACCCATATGATTGTCTCAATTGATGCCAAAAAAGAATCTCAGCTGAACATGGTGGCTCACACCAGTAATTCCAACACTTTAGGAGGCCAAAGCGGGCAGATCACTTGAGGCCAGGAGTTCAAGACCAGCATGGCCAACATGATGAAACTCTGTCTCTACTAAAAATACAAAAATTAGCCAGGCGTGGTGGCACACATCTGTAATCCCACTCCTTAGGAGGCCAAGGCACAAGAATTGCTTGAACCTGGAGGTGGACGTTGCAGTGACCCGAGATGATACCACTGCACTCCAGCCTGAGTGAGAGTAAGACTGTCTCCAAAAAAAAAAAAAAGATTCTGACAAAATCCAACACTCTTTCATGATGATAACATTTAACAAGCTAGAAATAGGAGGGAGGGAACTTAACTCCATTTGGTAAAGGTCATTTACAAAAAACCCACAGCTAATATACTTGTTGGTAACAGTGTGAAAACCATCTCGCTAAGATTGGGAACAAAACAGTGTTTTCTACTTTTACTGATTACATTCAGCATTGTACTGGAAATTCTAAACCAGGGGTATCCATTCTTTTGGCTTCCCTGAGCCACATTAGAAGAATTATTGTCTTGGACAGTACATCAAATACACTAACACTATGATAGCTGATGAGCAAAAAAATAATAATAATTGCAAAAAAATCTCATAATGTTTTAAGAAAGTTTACAAATTTGTGTTGAGCCACATTCAAAGCCGTCCTGGGCCACGTAACCCACAGGCTGTGGGTTGGACAAGCTTGTTCTAAACAGATTAGTGGCTGGGCATGGTGGCTCATGCCTGTAATCCTAGCACTTTGGGAGGCTGAGGTGGGTGGATCATGAGGACAGGAGTTCAAGACCAGCCTGGCCAACATGGTGAAACCCCATCTCTATGAAAAATACAAAAATTAGCCGGACATGGTGGTGCACGCCTTTAATCCCAGGTACTCAGGAGGCTGAGGCAGGAGAATCGCTTGAACCTGGGAGGTGGAGGTTGCAGTGAGCCATGATTGTGCCAGTGCACTCCAGCCTGGGAGCCTGGATGATAGAGTGAGACTCCATCTCAAAAAAATAAAAAATAAACAGATTAGCTAGCCAAGAAAAAGAAATAAAAGGTATCCAAATTGTAAAAGAAGTAAAACTATCCTCATTTGCAGACGATATGATCTTATATATACGAAATTTTAAGGAATTCACAATAAAACTATTAGAGCTAATAAATAAATTTAGTAAAGTTGCAGGATGTATGGTTTATTAGTAATAAACCAAAAATAAAATTAAGAAAACAACTCCATTTACAATAGTATTTAAAGGAATCAAATACCTAAGAATTAATTTAATTTCTTTAATTTTTTTTTCATTTCCCTTGAAAATCACTAAGAATTAATTTGAACATGAAATATAAGACTTGTACCCTGGAAACTACAAAACACTGCCAGAAGAAATTAAACAAGACTTAAATAAATGTAAACACATCTGGTATTCAGTCCATTTGAACACTTAATATTAAGATGTCAGTATTCCCCAAAGCAATCTGTGGATTCAATGCAATACCCATCAAACTTCCAATGGCTTTTTTTTGCAGAAATGAAAAAGTTGTTCCTAAATTTATATGGAATTTCAAGATCCCAAGTAGCCACAACAATACTGAAAAAGAACAGTGTTGGAGTAGTTACCCTTTCCAATTTCAAAACTTACTACAAAGCTACAGTTATTAAAACATATAGACCAATGGGATAGAATTTGGAGTCCAGAAGTAAACCTAAACATCTATGGCCAATTGATTTTCAACAAGATACCAAAACTACTGAATAGGGAAATAGTATTATCTTCAATATATGGGACTGGGATAACTGGATATCCACATGCAAAAGAATGAAGTTGTACTTCTTCATCACAACATATACAGAAATTATAATAATTATCATTATTTTGAGACAGGGTCTCACTCTGTCACCTGGGCTGGAATGCAGTGGCATTATCATAGTTCATGCAGCCTTAACCTCCCAGGCGCCAGCGATCTTCCCACCTCAGCCTCCTGAGTAGCTGGAACTACAGGCGCACACCATCACACCTGGCTAATGGTTTTAATTTTTTGTAGAGATGGGACCGCCCTATGTGGCCCAGGCTTGTCTTGAACTCCTGGGTTCAAGAGATCTTCCTGCCTCAGCTTCCCAAAGTAATAGGATCACAGGCGTGAGCTGCCACGCCTAGCCTACAGTAATGAACTCAAAATGGATCAAGGACCTGAATATAAGAGCAAAAAACTATAAAATTCTCAGGAGAAAGTCTAGGAGTATATCTTTATGACCTTGAATTTGGCAGTAGATTCTTAGATACAACATCAAAAGAATCAGCAACAATATAAAAATACTTCATTAAAATTGAAAACTTCTGTACATCAAAGGACATTATCAAGACAGTGAAAAGACAGTCTACAGAATGAGGGAAAATTTTGCAATTCATATATCTGATAAGCCTAGTATCCAGAATATATAAACAACTCTTACAATTCAACAACAAGAAGATAACCCAGTTAGAAAATGGGCAAAGGACTTGACTAGACATTCTTCCCAAGGAGATATTCTAGTGTACATCAAGCCCATGAAAAGATGCCCAATATCATTAGTCATTAGGGTTATGCGAATCAAAACCACTGCAAATGAGATACCACTTTGCCCCTCAAGGATGGCTGTAATTTAAAAAGCAAACAGAAACTAGGCAAGGATATGGAGAAATTGGAACCCTTGCACATTGCTAGTTGGAATGTAAAATAGTGCAGCCCCTGTGGAAAACAGTTTGGCAGTTCCTCAAAAAGTTAAACATAGAATTACACATATGACCCAGCAATTCCACTGCTAGTTATATACCCAAAAGAATTGAAAACAATTACTCAAATACTTGTACATGAATATACATAGCAGTACTATTCACAGTAGTTAAAAGCTGGAAACAACTAAAATGTCCATCAGTGGGTGAATGGATAAACAGTTTGTGGTATAGCCATACTAAATGGAATATTATCCTAAAAAGGAATGAGGTACTTTGATACAAGCTGTAATATAGATGAACTTCAAAAACATTCTAAATGTGAGAAGTCAGACACAAAAGGCCACATATTGTATGAGTCCAATTGTGTGGAATATCCTGAATAGGCAAATCCAGAGAGACAGAAATGGATTAGTGGTTGCCATGGGCTAGGGGAGGGTGGAATGGAGAGTAAGTGCTTAATGGATCTGGAATTTCGTTTTGGGGTGATGAGACTGTTCTGAAACCTAGAGAGGTGATGGTTGAACAACATTTTGAATGTACTAAATGCCACTGATTTGAAATGAAATGAAAACATTCAGTGTTTATGTTATATAAATTCCACCTCAACTTTTTAAAAAGCTCAAACACCAAAGAAAAGTCATTTAAATGAGAGTTTTTCTTGACTGTTAGACTGGAGGCAGAGATTGGGCTATTAGGGCTACTGTTCCAAAGCTCTGCTCCTGCTTTTTGACCAGAGCTGAGGTTTTATTTCTCAGTTCCTTTGTGATACTTGGTGGCTGAAACAACTACTTTTTAAGAGTATGGTGATGGCAGTAAGGGGTATTAAATATATGATGGGGGATTCGTAAATGTACCAGAGGAATCACAGTTCTTTTCACTTGAGAGTATCTTCTCAAGTGTATTCAACCCCCCTTCCTTTTGAGGTCTTCTTTCCCTCTCCTGTCTTTCAAGTCTCTGTGATCCTATTTCATCTCATCTACCAGAAATCTTGGTGCAAAATTCTGCCAAACTAACCTCGTTTGTTTTGTGAGAGGGTTACTGCATTAGTAGGTTAGAGCTGCTGAATCTCTGAATTATAAATGAAGCACTTCACAAAGTCTCATAATGTCACTGTAGCATACCTCAGAGCTCTCTCCTCACCCTTGTCATCCTGATGGGTTTTCTCTTAATCATATTTTTGATGCCTAAGATATTAAAAAGGCTAGCATATACATTGGTTGACAGATTAAGAATCTGAAAAAGATGGGAATGGATGATAATGGTGGACGAAGTATAACAAGATGAATTTTATCAGAGATAAATGTTAAGTCTTGTATTTGGGACCAAAAAGCACAAACTGAACAAGTACAACATTGGAGGGACATGACTTAATAGCAGCAGATGCAACAAAATGAAGAACCACGTAAGCATGTGATCATTCTTAACCCCTTAATGCGAGCTAACATAAATAGATTGCTTAAATATAGTGTTAAAAAAGAGATGGTGAGGAGGACTCTCAAACCCATGTCATGAGACTCAAGTGAAAAAAGCAGGAATGGGCCAGCTGCAGTGGCTCACACCAGTATTCCCAGCTCTTTGTTAGGCCAAGGTGGGAAGATTGCCTGAGCCCAGGAGTTCAAGACCAGCCTGGGCAATATAGGGAGACCCTATCTCTACAAAAAACTTAAAAATTAGCTGGGTGTGGTGGCACATGCCTGTAGTCCTAGCTGTTTCAGCAGGCTAAGAAAGGAGAATTATTTGAGCCCAGGTTCCAGGCTATAGTAAGCTGTGATCGTGCCCCTGCATTCCAGCCTGAGTGACAGAGCATAATCCATCTCTAAAAAGAAAAAAGGAAAGGAAGAAGAACAGAATTTCTGCTGCCGTATGTGTTCATGAAAGTATTAAAGCAAAGACTAGTGACCATTTTTCAAAAATATTGATGATTAAAAAGTGTGATACCACACAGCCACTAAAGTGTCTTTCAACTCTAAGATTTTATGGATCTACATAATTATTAAAAAGCAGACAATGTGGCTGGGCGCAGTGGCTTACACCTGTAATTCCAGCACTTTGAGAGGCTGAGGTGGGTGGATCACCTGAGGTCAGGAGTTTGAGTCCAGTCTGGCCCACATGGTGAAACCCCGTCTCTACTAAACATACAAAAATTAGGCATGGTGGTGCGCGCCTGTAATCCCAGCTACTCAGGAGGCTGAGGCATGAGAATCGCTTGAACACGGGAGGCAGAGGTCGCAGTGAGCTGAGATCTTACCACTACACTCCAGCCTGGGCAAATAAGTGAGACTCCATCTCAGAAAAAAAAAAGAAAAAAAGGCCGACAATGTGAGGGTGGAGAAAAAAAGAGAAAGTAGGTATGGGCTGAAAGCAGTGGTCTAATTGAATTCAAAACGTACTTAATGGGTGCGTTCTAAGTTAAGACATTGCTGAAGTTGTAAATAATTCAGAAGTGATGAAATTTTCAGGTTTGGGTCAGTATCAGCAGGAAAATAACTTGTTTCCTTGGCCTTATTTTATAGTCTAGTCTCCTGAGACAAGATCTGGGGCTTGGGAGCCCAGCACAGCTATCTTCTTCAGGAAAACCTGGGACAGCATACTATTCATTCTCTGCTACAAGTTCCAGGAGGAGACCACTCCATGACTCTGCAGCGCTTGGTGAGTGTATCACACAACAAATCCCATCCCACATATGTTGTTGTTGTTTTTTCCTCCCATAATCTGTACTTCTGGCTATGCTTTTTTTTTTTTTTCTTTCCGTTTCTTTGTTTAAGACAGCGTCTCACTCTGTTACCCATGCAGGAATGCAACAGCACAATCTTGGCTTACCGCAGTCTCAACCTCCTGTGCTCAAGCCGTCCTCCCACCTCAGCCTCGCAAGTAGCTGAGACTATAGGCATGTGCCACTGTGCCTGGCTAGTTTTTTATTTTTTGTAGAGACAGGGTTTTGCCATGTTGTCCAGGCTGCTCTCGAACTCCTGATCTCAAGTGATCTGCCCACCTCAGCCTCCCAGAGTGCTGGGATTACAGGTGTGAACCACCGTGCCCAGCCCTGTCTGTGCTTTTAATTAGAAGAGAGTTGGATTCGTGGGTATCACATTGATGTCAGGGCTTATTTGCACAAGAATAATACATCCATTAAATATTTAATAAATGAAATTATCAAAATTCTTACTTTTATAAATACATTGTAAGTTTTTAATGAAAGGTTTGGCCATGAATAATTTTGGATGACTGTTCAATTTGTAAGCCATAATTTTAACAAGTTTCAAACAGCCAGTGTAATACTCTTGCTTGGTCCTCACATGAGCAACTAAGTAGTGAAAAATGAGACTTAACTAGTTTTCCTTCTTGTAATTAGAATTTCATGTTCTAATGTTAATAACTTAATTCTTTACTAAAAATGATATAACAAAATTTGCAAGGTGGTTTTATATACATTCTCATCTCATCAGTTCACCAATCCTGCTAGTCAGTTGCTATAAATAGATTTAACATAAAAACTGAGGGTCAAAAGGGAGGGCAGGCACATTCATATAATTAGTACTTAGGATAAAATTTTAAGATTTTCTAACTCCAGGTTCATTGTCTTTTGCATATTACTTGCTTCTGCACTCCACTTTGTTTTTAATTGAGGTTAAATTTACCATATTAAGTTGTACAGTTGAGTAGCATATACTACATTCACTACATTGTGCCGCTGTCACCCCTATCTAGTTCTGAAACGTTACTGCAAAAGCAAACTTTGTTCATATGAAGCATTCAAACCTCATTATTTTTTCATTAGCTCCCTTCTTTTATGTCTTACACATAGCCTAACCAGGCCAGTGCCTTTTGTTTTACTGCTTACAGCAAGCCTTAGGTATTCTCTGATGCTTTATCCAAACTGTGTTTAAATGTCAGAATTTCTGGTGATTTCTACCAAATATCTTTTAAACAAGATACTTAAAGCTGCAAAGCATTTTTAAATTAAAAGTGGGCCAGCTTCTAATATATAGTCCACCAAAAGATTATGTCACATTTTTTTATTGCACAGGCATTTGATGACTGCTTCATATTTATGTATCTACTTTCTATTAACCTGTGTTTTGGTGAAATATTCCTGGTCTCTGGGTCTAGGGTTTGCTTGTGGGTATAAAAGGGCACTATGATAGATCATCATATTCAGCATAGAGAACTCTGATTAGATGTGTCCACTTCTCAGTATCATGGATGATTTAGTATGTTTACTATTAAGTCAGCCCAGGTGATTTAGACCAGTATACTTTTTGTTATTAAAGAAAGGATAAATTGTAAATGCATTTTTCCATCTCCAGTCTTGTTTCCTACCTAATGAGTTAGTCAGAATAGGAACATTGATTGGAGTCTAGACGTGTCAGTGTTACTCTAGAAAAATAACTTGTTAGTATGCTATGTGAGTATATACTGTGACAAAAAGCACTTAGTACAAGCTAATACACTATTAAGTTCAGGGGGAAAATTAGTTATTGAAATAACTAGGGAAGAGGGGAGTAAATTTCAGAAAAATCCAGACTTAAAATTCAGGTTTTCTATAAATTAAAACTTGTATCTTCTTCATTTTAATTTTGATTATGATGATAGACACTATTGATTGTCTCTTCCATGCCAGGGGCATTGCTGTACACACTACATTTTCACAAAACCTCTGTGAGGTTGTAATGTTAACTTCATGTTACAAATGAGGAGCTAAGACCCAGAGAAGCTAAATAATTTGGCCAAGGCTTGAGTTGGGATATGGTAGTTCTCTTGGTGCCCAGGGAGGTCCACCGATTTCCTGTGTAAATGTCATTTAGTGGGTTCTTACTACATTCTTTATGGCTGTTTCTCATTGTTAGCCGCTCTTTCTTAGCATTACAGTTATTGATAAAATCTCAGCGTTTAAAAGCACTCTTGAGATGATCTGCATCAACCTCAGCATCTTCACAAACTATTTAGGTGCTTTAGGAAATCAGCATGCTGCATAACAGTATCTAATTACCCAATTTATAATCATTTTTCCCCACATTTTAATGGAAACCTAATAATAATGGCTAAAATTTGTTCAGTCTCATACTTGTGTTAGGCACTCCCCTAAGCGTCTTTCACGTATTATCACAATACATGAAATACACAAAAGGATGTGTTACCCCCTTTTTACATGGAGGTAACTGAAGCTCAAAGAGGGTTAAGTAACTAGCTGCTATATGATGGAGCTGGAATTAGAATCCAGCCAGCTTACTCTCTTTTTATTCTATTCACTTATATTTATGTATTTTTCTTTTTTGAGACGGAGTTTCACTCTTGTCCCCCAGGCTGGAGTACAATGGCATGATCTCGGCTCACTGCAACCTCTGCCTCCCGGGCTCAAGCGAGTCTCCTGCCTCAGCCTCCCGAGTAGCTGAGATTACAGGCACAAGCCACTGTGCCTGGCTAATTTTTGTATTTTTAGTAGAGAAGGGGTTTCACCATGTTGGCCAGGCTGGTCTCGAACTCCTGACCTCAAGTGGTCCTCCTGCCTTGGCCTCCCAAAGTGCTAGGATTACAGGCATGAGCCACCGCACCCAGCCATCTCTTAGCTATTATATTTTGCAACTTCCCAGAAGTGGTCGGTGAATCCCAGGCTCTCATGATTTTAAATCAGACATTTTGTATTTGATTGTATAGTGGTGGGTAACCAAATACAAAAGAAAAATTTCTTTTCACATGGCAGTGGAAAAACTGGCCTAAACTAATCTTTTACTAATAATGACCTCTAAGTAGAATGATAGGCTCTAAACTGGTAGGGGCAGTTCAGTTGACTGTTTTCGTACAAGGAGTATGGCTTTTGTTCAAGGGAATGCTGTATTAGTTGTGAGTAGTTGGGGTTTTATAAATACAGAGTGTGCCAGATGTTGTTCATCTTTGGCACTTCTGTTTTAAGGAAATATAGGCTTGCCTCTTGGGGTCAGAAATGAATACTTCCCCCCTTTGCTGTTGTGTACAGTTTTCTTCATATGCTACATATAAAGTTGCCTTTTTAACTTTGCAGCCTCCTGGGATATTCACTGTAGAGAATTCCCAGTCCAAAGTTAAATGGGTTAAACTGGGGCCGGGCATGGTGGCTCATGCCTATAATCCCAGCATTTTTGGAGGCCAAGGCCGATGATCACTTGAGACCAGGAGTTCAAAACCAGCCTGGGCAACATAGTGAAACACCTCTCTACAAACGAAATTTTTTTAATTAGCTGGGTGCGGTGGCACACACCTGTAGTCTAGCTACTCAGGAGACCAAGGCAGGGGAATTGCTTGAGCCCAGGAATTCAAGGCTGCAGTGAGCTGTGCTCATACCACTGCACTCCAGCCTGGCCAACAGAGCAAGAACCTGTCTCTGAAAAATAAATGGGTTAAACTGCATGTTTTATTGTATAGTGTCATTTATGGACCAGGAAAATATAATCCCAGCACTTTGGGAGGCCGAGGCCAGAGAATCACTTGAGGCCACCTCTACATCCATGGGTTTCTCATCTGTGGATTCAGCCAACCACAGATAGAAAAAAAAAAAAATGTAATGGGTGATTGCATCTGTACTGAACATGCATAGACTTATTTTTTTCTTGTTATTATTCCCTGAACAATACAGTATAACTATTTACATAGCATTTTCATAGTATTAGGTATTATACATAATAATGTAGAGATAATTTAAAGTATGTAAGAGGATATGCATAGGTTATATGCAAATACTACACCATTTTATTTAAAGGACTTGAGCATCTGTGGATTTTTGTATCCTCAGGGATCGTGGAACCAATCCCACTGATACTGAGGAATGATTGTGCTGTGATTGTTTAATTCCCATTTTTACAGCTTTCAAAAGTATTACACTTTACATCAGCTTCCTCATGTGTTCTCTCTTCCTAATAATGAGCCCCTCAGAAAATTCTGAATTTGATCCATTTTTTGTGTAAACCTGGAACCCTGTGTTTATCACTTTGTTTTACAGTAAATAAGATGAACAAGTTTTATATTTTACATATAAGTAAAATTAACTCATCAAGTGAGACTGGTTAACATATGAAATACTCATGTTTTCATTTATATTGATAAATTCTGAGAAAGAAATATACTTTCTCTGTCAAGTTATTTCCTGGAAATATAAACATTCAAGGACAAATTGTACAGTAATTAATGCTGTAGTTGTGGTTATAGCCACATAATGTTAAAAGTAAATGTGTCAAATACTGAATGATACTGCATTTGTCAATGCCCATATTTAATAGTTTATGTATCATATATTGACATTATAACCTTCATTTTATTTCTTTATTTCAAATTTTTAAAAAACTGTAGGATAGCAAGCATAGCATTAGCTCTCAGTTTTTAAAATATGCTTTTAAGCCTAATTCTCAGTGTGATGCAATCACTAAATATGACTCTGCTAAAGGAGTCATATTATCAACATGACCTATTACACTAAGTGCCCCTCTGCAAATGAAACTGTAAAGTACCTAGTATAGTACCTGGCACAGAACAGCTTCTTTTTTTTTTTTTTTTTTTTTGAGACAGAGGTTCTCTCTTGTTACCCAGGCTGGAGTACAGTAGTGCCATCTTGGCTCACTGCAACCTCCATCTCCCGGGTTCAAGTGATTCTCCTGCCTCAACCTCCCGAGTCGCTGGGATTACAGGCGCCCGCCACCACGGCCAGTTAATTTTTTTGTATTTTTAGTAGAGATGGGTTTCACCATGTTGGCCAGGCTGGTCTCAAACTCCTGACCTCAGGTGATCCGCCCACCTTGGCTTCCCAAAGTGCTGGGATTACAGGCCTGAGCCACCACATCCGGCCGAACAGTTTCTTAAGAAATGTTCATTCCCTTCCCTCATACTAGTTTGTTGTTTTCTTTCTTGTATTGGTTCATTTGCTGTCATCTTCCCAAATTTATGGGATATGTATTTTCAGAATGTATCACTTTTTTAGGAGAACCTGTTTTTCACTGGGACTAGTTAAAAGGAATGAAGCCCTCATTACTGTATTTTGCTGCTTACTCCCAAATATTGGAAAACAAGAAAGACGCTAGGGGAAAAGTTATTCTGTTAATTTGAAGTCTTGATTTTTTTCTGGTATATTATGCTGAAGAAATGTATTGTTTTCCATCTGCAGATCCCTTGCAAGCAAAAAAAGTCAGAAAGGTGCCTCCTGGTTTGCCTTCTTCTGTAAGTACCTATCTTTTTTTAACTTGATGGTAAACAAACTGATTTCAAGTGTTCCGTATTACCTTGCTACAAGGGTACATTCGATTGATGCGAGTGGGCATACTTTACATAGTAATTGTTCAGTGCTTAACAAAATCATTGATTGAGGTAAATCCACATTTAATGTTTGGTTTTTAGATTTCTCTGCAATGATTTGTAGCTTACTCATATGCTCTTACTCCTTGTCCCTGTCATTTGAATTCCCCTCTTGGGAAGAGGACTAGGCCAGTAGCTGTCAAAGATGATCTCCTATGCAGGTCTTTTGATGTTTAATTAGTCATTATGTTGCTGAACAGGAGGACAGACAGAGATTAATAGCTGAAAATCTTAGAAATTTACATTTGTAATAATCCCAATGGAGCTAAAGACATTAAGATTCGGAGTACATGTTTGGCTCAGCTTGCCTCAGTAGGACTGAGGTTATTAATATGCATAAATCACCAAGTCAGATGTTCATTGTGAAGCCCTTGTGGGTTTTAAAGCCTTCATTAAGCCTTTCCTAACTTCAGCCTAGCATCAGGAAAGCTTTCAAGCAACTAGTTTGTTGATCCCTCTTTGCTCAAAAATGTATCCTTTGAGAATAAAGGGCTTTGATGAAGAAGGTTGGAAAGGTTTGGTGGAACAATCATTAATGGCCATGATAATCTAATACTGTAGGGGCGACTGTGCTATTAAATATACTTTATTCTTTAAAGGAGTAAAAGTACTTGTAAAGGAACCTGCATCGTAAATCTACCTACAATTTTTAAATCTCTGGTGCAAAAAACGGAAGTTTTTTTTTCTTCTCCCTTTGCTTAGAAGAAATGGTGAGTGAGGCTGTTTGATTGAGGCCCCAGTGCCTTGTAGGGTACATCTTTTTGTTGTGTAAATGGATGTTGGGCTTTTATTTGGCAGTACTTAACCCATGGGCGCAGGTGCCGCCAGATGAGTCAGCTCATCGAAGTATAGACTGAATGGAATATCCGGCTTGGCAAGTAGTAATCTAGAAGGAGCAGCATGGGTCTGAGCTTTTTAGTTTTTATTAAGGCTGAAGTAGAGATACAATCTTTTTGGTTGTCTGCCTTCCTTCTTTTCTGTGTTATTCCCCTGCCTTCTCTACCGTGTGATACATGAAAAGTCGAATTTGAAATCCTCTCTGTAACTCAGTTCCAGATGGATCTGAGTTTTATGCAGCCTAGGGCAGCTGTGCTCTGAACCTGCAGCCTACCTGGAAGGTTGGCTTGCAGCTGCAGGCATTCTTAAAAGCTTTTGCTTGCATAAGCACTTGGGCCCACTAGAGACTGCTTGATAAACAAAATGAACACAATGCCTCAAATCGTTATTCCCGAAGACAGGAATTTTTTTTCAGCAGCAGCTAAAAATAGTTGGCAATTTACATTTTAACAGTTGTGTGCTATGCAGGGGTAGGTGGTTCAACAGCATAACAGATGATTTCTGTTAAATTAACAGAAATCATATTAAAACTGACAGTACTGCTAAAACATGTAGCAGTGCAATTTTCTTGTAATTTATTACTGTAATTCAATGAGAGTAATAAAAGTTAAATTACACATTAATATTTAGTAGAACTATACAGGTTAAAAAAACAGATTAGTGAATGAAAAATTCATCTCATTTCTTAACCTGACATTAAGAAACAGTGTATGTTCAGTGTTCCATAGTTCTTTGATTTTAAAAGCAGTAGGCAAAATGGACAGAACAGTCTGGAAGGAGAGTAGACACTGGAGGTCACCAGCATTTCTTACATTCGTAATCGTAATAACATTCATTACTTGGAGGTAGTAGTTCTCTGTATTGTCTCAGGTATCTGGAACAAGTCACTGAATTCTGATGAAACTTGATTTCTTTGAGAACCATTAGGAAATTTTGCAGGCCAAGCCTACTTATATATTGTATTTTACTAGCTATATTAGTATATATTAAATGTTATTAAGGATGTATAAATAACACATTCATTTTAATTAACTGAAAGTATGTTTTAGATAAAATGCTGTGTTGAAACCTCAGGGTCTTTTTGTTTTATTTTGGTTTTTTTGAGGCAGGATCTCACTCTGTCACACAGGCTGGAGTGCAGTGACACAGTCACTGCAAACTACAGCCTTAACCTCCTTGGCTCAAGCGACCCTTCCACCTCATCCTCCCAAGTAGCTGGGACTACAGGGACAGGCCACCACGGCTGGCTTTTTTTTTTTTTTTTGTAGAGACGAGGAGGTCTCTGTCCAGGCCAGGATGGTCTTGAACTCCTGGGCTCTGTGCTTCTCCTGCCACAGCCTCTCAAAGTGCTGGGATTGTAGGTGCGAGCCACCACACCCGGCTGAAATCTCAAGTATTTAAAAAAGAAAACAGAAAAACCTTAAAGACAGATATTTTTCCCACTTCTAGGATTAACTGAAAAGATTTTAAAAGAAAATACTTTAATAAATAATGACAAAATATGTCCTAAGAACACTTAAGGTTATACTGTTTACCTTCTCAGGATCTAAAATAGAATTTTAAGTTGTGATTTCCTATTTCAGAGCTTTTATTGAAAAATATGCAAACTATAAACTTTTGACATGCAAACTATAAGAAAAATGGAGTATTAAAAATGAAAATTGACTATGTATATTTTATTTTATGATAATTTGAATATTATACTTTCCAAACCATATTGGAAATTTGGCAGTAGCATTCAGGATTTCATCAGTTTCCTACTTGTTCATTCTATCTTTAATCTGTAAAATATATGTGACTTTTTCTAAAGAAACAGTGAAAGGACTAAGTATCGCTGATACTGATACAAAAAATAATAGGCAGGGTTACTTAGCATGCAAAGCATTGATAATCTGTATAATTTGATCATGTAGCATTGATTAGAGACTTTTTTTGTAAACTGTTTTATATTTAGGTATCATAAGTGCATAACTCAGCTTCTCTGTTCCTCTCTGCAGAACCACTGACTAGTAACTTTTGTTTGTGGATGAAGGTCTAACTAAGCTGTATTAAATATCATTAGAGCAGTATAGTCAGTAACATTAAGTGAATGGTTCACCTAAATCTGCCCAGCTCAGTTACTGATTGGCTGTATAGCCTTAGATTAGTCAGCCCTTAGGATGTTTGGAGTGGGAAATTCGAAGTTCCTTTCAGGTCTAAATTGCTACATACTTACGGTTTTAAAACTGATATGCTCAATAAATAACCAAAAAAGAATAGTGAGCATAGTTTTCTTCCTCCTGATGAAGAAGTGATGTTTTTAAAGCACATGAGATTCTCCACTTGCTTTTCTAGACAGATTTAAAGATTGGGAAAAGTGGACTTTTGTAGCAGCAACAGTAGAATAATGCTTGGACACCGAGAATTCAAACATATACAAACACCATAATTGTCTTCTAGGACCTCACTATCTTATATGAGAAACAAGCATTCAGGGAATTAATTATATTGCAGTGAAGCAAGTAAGGGTGTGTACCAGGTGCTCTGGTGACATAGGGTAGGTAGAACTAACCCTACTATAGTGACTTCAGGAAGAGTTGACATTTAAGTTGTGTCTGGAAAGATGCGTAGCAGCTCATCTGTTAGAGAAGGAGAGAATGGACCAGACAGGTAAAAGGCCTGGAGGTGTGAAAAAATAAACACGTGTTGAGGTCACATCTAAAAGTACAGCATTACTAGATTATATACAAGTTGCAACCTTTGTAATTTTCCTATAGCAAACCCACTCTTCTACTCCAGAGGTAGATTGAGTGGGGGCACACATAAAATCAGTACAGATATGAGAAGAGATAAGTTGTCATAGCAGTCTATCCTGGATAAACAACTCAACTGTTCTGGCCAAGAGATAATGGAAGGCATTTATAGTTGTTAAAGTTTTATCTGGGAGTTTCCAAAGGCATGGGTGGTACTTTGGATTTGCAGGGTGTTTTACTTCCGTTTTAGGGTTCTTAAACCTCCCCTCCCATTCTCTAACTGCCAACTCTTGTCTTTGTTCTTTGCATGTACATCAGCTGTTTTTCATCTATATGAGATCTTCACTAAGATACAAAGTTCAAGGGAATTTTGAATCTCTGGGTGGGGATTTGGGGCAGGGTTTTTTCCTGGTAATTTGTCGGGGGAAAAAAAGGAAACATTTGTAATATATTTGTTAGCATCCTTTACAGCCTCAGTGTCACTGTGTTGTTAGTGGTGCAAGACTTCATGTGTGAGGAACTTTGTTAACCATTACCCATATCCTAATCTTCAACCTTTTGCCAAACAACTCTATAACTAATATTCCCTACTTACAAATAAGAAAATTAAGACTCAAAGACATAAATTAACTTGCCAAAAATCACACATAGGGCCAAGATTACAACCTAACTTAATATCAAACACCATTTTCTTTTTGAGTGTTAAAATCTGATTCTTTAATACCTTGGTTTATTCAGAAAATATCTTGCTTAGTATATTAAATTAAAACTTAAATTTATTCTGTCAATTATGTTTTTACTGATCAAATTTATTTTTATTTGGCTTTGTTGTTTAAGGACCTACAGTAGTAGAAAACCACAGACTTCCCAATTAAGCATGTGATGGATTTTATTTATCTGCCCTCAGCTTTTTTTTTTTTTTTTGAGACAGAGTCTTGCTCTGTCTCCCAGGCTAGCGTGCAGTGGCATGATCTCAGCTCACTGCAAGCTCCGCCTCCCAGATTCATGCCATTCTCCTGCCTCAGCCTCCTGAGTAGCTGGGACTACAGGTGCCCACCACCACACCCGGCTAATTTTTCGTATTTTTAGTAGAGATGGGGTTTCACCGCTATAGCCAGGATGGTCTCGATCTCCCGACCTCCTGATCCACCTACCTCAGCCTCCCGAAGTGCTGGGATTACAGGTGTGAGCCACCACACCCGGTCTGCCCTCAGCTTTTTATTTTGTAACCTTGGAGAAGTTGCTGTTGAGTTCTCGGAACCTCCAGTTTCTATTTGTAAAAGGGGATGATAATGCCTATCTCAGATGTTATTGTGAGAGTATTATGTACCTACTATAAGTGTGGTGTATCCTAGATACTCAGTAAATGTTCCTTCATTATTCTAGCTAGTTCATACCACTACAGCCTGAAATTTAAAGAAGTTTAGCATTTCATTTTTACCAAATTTTGATGAAAAGCAAACAAAAAAAAGTTTGAAGATATATAAAAAAGGATAAGTATTATAGTGAAATAAAAAGTTTTCACGTTACCTCCACCTGTGTATATAATGTATGTGCCTGGCACCTAATGACTGCATGGTAAATTGTAGCAGTTCCTTTTGTTGTTTAGAAAGCATTCACTTGCAGAAAAACAATCTACAAAAGGAAGGAAAACTTGTTGAATCAAATCCGGCTGCCCCTAGAATTCATTCTAATTATTTTTGTTTTCTGAACTCTCAGGAGTCGACACTTTTTTTTTCCTTTTCTAAATCACTCGTTGAACATCTTTATGGCCCTCTGAAGCATTTCTCAGATGCAGAAAAGTTTCTTTGCTCTTTATTCTTTATTTCTTAAGTTAGTGTTAATATTTCCAAACATAGATCATTTTCTTTTATGTGCTGCAGTAGATAATAGAAGAAGCAAGATATATCAGAACAAGTCTTTCCAAAATGTAAGTAAATACCTGGAGAGATTTGAAATCCCTTCCTAGACCCAAATACCTAAAGTTGTATTCTTGTTCTATGGCAATTGAAAATACCTTTTTCATATCAAATATTAACTCTGCATCAAAATGACGTGTCTTACAAGTTTTGAATGTAACTTGTTTGCAGTCCCGTACGTAGCCTGATGACATGATTGTTTCTTAATCAAGTGTCATGTTAAAGAGTGTATGTATATATTCCCACAAAAGCTGTTACTGTAATTTCTTGCTTAAACTCTCAAAGTGTAATTTACCCCATCAAGAAAAATATTTTGTCAGGGCACGGTGGCTGTAGTCCCAAGGCAGGAGGATCACTTGAGCCCAAGAGTTCAAGACCAGCCTGAGCAACCTAGTGAGACCCTGTCACTGCAAAAAAATTAGCCAGGTGTGATTGGCACCCCCTGTGGTTCTGTCTCCTTCGGAGGCTAAAGTGGGAGGATCACTTGAGCCCACCATGTTCACTCCATTGCACTCCAGCCTGGGTGACAGAGGAAGAGTCTGCCTGCAAATAAAAATTTGCTAGCTCTTCTCCACCACTATAAGGAGCTTTATTGTTTCTGACATGAATCAAAACAGCTTAGACTCTACTTTTTCTTGGTTTGATGCAGACAGTTACAAAGTTCAGTGGCCCTTGAATTAGTCACTGACTGTAATTTAGAAAGTGATGAGGCCAGGCATAGTGGCTCACGTAATCCCAGCACTTTGGGAGGCCAAGGTGGGAGTATCCCCTGAATCCAGGAGTTTGAGACCAGCCTAGGCCACATAGTGAGACCTTGTCTGCACACACACACACAAAAAAATATTTTAAAAAACTGTCCAGGTATGGTGGCATGTGCCTGTGGTCTCACCTACTTGAGATGCTAAGGCAGGAGTATCTCTTGATACTCCTGAAAGAGTTCAAGGCTGCAGTGGGCTGTGATTTCACCACTGCACTCCAGCCTGGGTGACAGAGCCAAGACTCTGTCTCAAAAAAAAAGAAAAAGAAAAGAGGTAAGAAAGTGGTGCCTTTCTTTCTCCTAAAGTTTTTATGGAATTTCATTTTGTTGGGAATGGCTCTTTTTAAAAAAATGTGAATTTTTAGTCATTTGTTATCGTAAATTTGAAATTGTAGGGATACCTTTTGAGACAATTGGAAATATCCTGAGGTATTCCCAAACCATAAAGACTGCTAGACCATGTCTAATAATCTAGCGTGCTGCTATACATACTAAGTAGAATAAGAATATTCAAAAGAAAAAAATACTAAATCCTGAGGGTGTCTAAACTGAAGATTTTTTTTTTTAATAGGAAAGAGATGACAAACAGAACTTTCTGGGATGGGTGGAAATGAATAATTTTAAAACTATGATTTAAGAGCTTGCTAGCCATCTGAACCAGTAAGAAAAAGGTCAAGAGTTAGAACTATAGAGAAACTGATAGCTCCAATTTATCCATGAAAATAGTAAGATGAGCAGCAAGAAAAATACTCTGTGAGTAGAGTCGTATGGAAGTCACTAGGAAGCCAAGATAACAGAGTGTGTTTATAGGCAATTATCCGGCCCGGCCAGGCGCAGTGGCTCTCACCTATAATCCCAAAACTTTGGGAGGTGGAGGCGGGCAGATCACTTGAGCCCAGGAGTTCGAGATCTGCCTAGCCAACATAATGGAACCCCGCCTCTATAAAGAAATACAAAAATTAGCTGGCATGGTGTTGTGTGCCTATAGTCCCAGCTACTCTGAGAGAGCGTTGCTTGAACCCTAGAGGTTGAGATTGCAGTGAGCCAGGATCACGCCACTGCACTCCAGCCTGGGTGACAGACTGAGACCCTGTCTTAAAAAAAATAAAAATAAAAACAAACAATTATCCAAGGCCCTTAAGACTAGCAAGAAATCTACTGATTCTGGAATAAATAGTATTTACATAAAGTACCAGCTTTTGCTGAACTTCATGAGTAAACCCTCCAGATCTTGAACATGAGTTAGAATAGGTATTTGCTTAGTTCCTTGGGCAAACAGCATAGAGAACACACAACAACTGTATATACTTAAGAGTTTCGGGCTGTTAGATGAGGTATCTCTATTTGAAGGCTACTGTGATACAAAATTTCCAAAGTGGCTTATTCAGTCTCTGACCTTACAGGTCAGACTAGCAGAAAAATCTTTGTATGTAAAGTACGTAAGTGGATTATCCTTTAATCCATTCCAAACTTATATTCAGTTTAGTCGTTAAGTGAAAGATTTTTTTCATACATTAATAAGAAGTAGCCACTGTTTATGCTGACAGTAACCACTGTTCAGAACAGTGTCAGAATTAATAGCCTTTAATGTGTAGTTCTAAGATGTTGATTTTTGTGAGAAGTCGGTAATGTCTTTGATGTAATTTCAAACCAAAAAGCAGAAGGAAAAGTAACCAGTGAGTGAGTCCTATGGATCCAGTTGTACTGATATGGCTGTATACAGTGATACTTGTTATTGTTATTTTCTGACTTCTCTATTCCTTTTAAAAGAAGAACATGGCTGCATTTCATTTACAGGTAGCTTTTAAGGTTTATTGAACTCTTTGGCTGCTGGTAAGATCTTAGAGACTTCACAAAGCAGATGTAGGATAAAGCCCAGTATGTGTGCATGTTTGTAACTCATATGGTTTTTAAAGGCTATATGGTTGAATTATGTAAATGCCTTAGTCTGTCAATACAATAAACTCTGGCCCAGTGCCCAGGGTCTTAAGGCACTAAAGAATACAAGGTAATGAGGCCAGGCGTGATGGCTTATGCCTGTAATCCCAGTGCTTTGGGAGGCCGAGGCAGGCAGATCACTAGCTCAGAAGTTTGAGACCAGCCTGGCCAACATAGTGAAACCCCTTCTCTACTAAAAATACAAAAATTAGCCGGGCATGGTGGTGCACACCTGTACTGACAGACACTTTATAAAACTTTATTTATGAAAATAAATAAAGCTTTATTTATGAAAATAGAAGTTTGCCAACCTGCACTAGATTTAAAGAAAAGGTAAATGTAGTTCCAGTGAAAAACAGACCTAAAGAGTTAAAAATAAAATTAAATACTTCTTAGTCCTGATTCTTGGTTTTATTAAGATCCACTACCTTGTATTCTCTTTTTTTTTTTTTTTTTTTTTTTCTGAGACAGTCTCGCTCTGTTGCCCAGGCTGGAGTGCAGTGGCACGATCTCAGCTCACTGCATCCTCCACCTCCTGTACTCGGAAGGCTGAGGCAGGAAAATCACTTGAACCCAGGAGGTGGAGAGTTTATTGTATTACAGACACTTAACTTAAACTTAGATATATTTGTGCCAATCACCATTTTTTTTCCTGTTCCAACTTTCTGATAGAACCTAAAGCTGGGCCATAGTGCCCAGCAGTTTGGGAGGCCAAGATGGGAGGAGTGTTTGAGCCTAGAAGTTCAAGACCAGCCTAGGCAACATAGCAAGACCCTGTCTCTACAGAAAAAAAAAAAAAAGAAAAGGAAAAAAAAAATTGGTCGTGGTAGTGTGTGCCTGTAGTACTAGGTACTCAGGAGGCTAAGGTTGGAGGGATGGCTTAAGCCTGGGAGTTTCAGGCTGTAGTGAGCTGTGATCACACCACTACACTCCAACCTGGGTAACAGAACAAGACCCTGTCCCCAAAAAAACAAAAAACAGAGGAACCTAAAGTTAAAGATAGTTGCTGGCAGCTTGGGAATCGGTTCCAACCCAAGTGTGACTGTGAAACCAATTCTTTTGAATCATGTGTCATGTTTCTGGTCTAAACATAAAACCTTCATACAAAAATTAAGAATATCTTCCATCCCTAGAAAATTCATTTTTTCAATGTTAATCCCTATGAATCTAAGTAAATTTTATATGGTTCTTAGTTTCCTTTTTGCTTTTATGAGGCTAGTATTAATAATAAATAATAAATAGGCCGGGCGCGGTGGCTTAACGCCTGTAGTAATCCCAGTATTTTGGGAGGCCAAGGCAGGCGGATCACTTAAGGTCAGGAGTTTGAGGCCAGTCTGACCAACATGGTGAAACCTCATCTCTACTAAAAATACAAAAATTAGCCAGGCATGGTGGGGCATGCCTGTAATCCCAGCTACTTGGGAGGCTGAGGCAGGAGAATCACTTGAACCCAGGAGGTGGAGGTTGCAGTGAGCCGAGATAAAGATCACACCATTGCACTCCAGCCTGGGCAACAAAAGTAAAACTCCGTCTCAAAAAACAACAACAAAAATAATAAGTAAGAACTAAGAAAACTTCAAGTTTTCTGACTTGAGCTTGACAATTTTTTAAACTGTCAAACTCATCATTATTTGAAATCATGATTTTCAGTATCTTCTCCAGTAACACAAAAGATATTTTAAAATTTCAAAAATCAGTAACTTAAATGAGATTTAGAAAACTTATTTGCTACTAGTATGGGCTCCATCTAGTAGATTCCCAGTCAGGAGAATATGAATCCCTTCTGTCAAAATCAACAAATATATACTAAGTCCTTATCGTGAATGAAGAACTATTTTAGACTTTAGGGATTTAAATATGAATAAAATATGGACCCTGACTTCAAGATTCTTTTTTTTTTTTTTTTTAAAGACAGAGTATTGCTCAGTCGCTCAGGCTGGAGTACAGTGGTGCGATCTTGGCTCACTGCAACTTCCACCTCCCGGGTTCAAGCAAATCTCTGCCTCAGCCTCCTGAGTAGCTGGGATTGCAGGCATCTGCCACCACACCCAGCTAATTTTTTTGTAATTTTAGTAGAGACGGGTTTCACCATCTTGGCCAGGCTGGTCTTGAACTCCTGACCTCGTGATCCACCCGCCTCAGCCTCCCAAAGTGCTGGGATTACAGTTGTGAGCCACCGCCCCTGGCCAAGATTCTTATAGTCAAAAGATAACCTTGTTCTTTGGACAAAAATATCCTTTTTTTTTTTTTTTTTTTGGAGACAGAGTCTCACTCTGTCACCCAGGCTGGAGTGCAGTGGCATAATCTTGGCTCACTGCAACCTCCACCTCCTGGGCTCAAGTGATCCTCACACCTCAGCCTCCCGAGTAGCTGGAACTACAGGCAAGTGCCACCACAACTGGCTAATTTTTGTATTTTTTTTGTAGAAACAGGGTTTCATCTTGTTGCCCAGGCAGGTCTCGAACTCCTGGACTCAAGCGATCCACCCACCTTGGCCTCCCAAAGTCCTGGGATTACATGCGTGAGCCACTGCACCCAGCCTGGAAAGAAAGAACTTAAAAAAAAATTTTTTTTTTTCTTTTGAAACAGGAATTCAGTCTGTGGTCCAGGCTGGAGTACAGTGGTGCCATCATAGCTCGCTGCGGCCTCAAACTCCTGGGCTCAAGCAGAGAGGCAGTCCTCCCACCTCAGCCTCCTGAGTAACTGGGACTACAGGCACATGCCACTACACCTGGCTACATTTTCTATTTTTTGTAGAAAAGAGGTTTTGCTGTGTTGCCAGGGTTGGTCTCAAACTCCTGGCCTCAAGTGATCCTCCCATCTTGGCCTCCCAAAGTGCTGGGATTACAGGTGTGAGTCACTGCGGCCAGCCCAAAATGTTTTTTGTTGCATAATTGTTGTTCACCAGGCACATGATGTAGTATTTAGGAAATGCTTTTTGAATTAAAGGGATAAAAATAAGGACTACAAGGCCATTATTTTATGTATCTATAATAGGAAACATCACCTGTTAATGACTTCCTGCTCTAAGCTGTACTTTTTAACTTACTTCTCTGATTGTTCAAACCTTCAATATGTTAACTGGCCTTCTTTGTATAAGAAACTGAATTATATGTCCCATTTCTCCCTTCAATTATGCAGTTAATTCCTAGTTACCAAAATAGGAGCATTTTACCAAAACCAAAACAGAAAGCAGGAAAATTACAGGTAATTCAGCCATCAGCATTAATTCTACATTGTTTTAGGATGACCTAATTAAAAATATAGGGCCATGGTCCTCACGCGAAAGAAAAGTATGGAAAACAACAATACAGGAATTATTTTTCTAAAGGAAATAAGTTACGGTTTCATTGACATAAATTTGAAACAGAGGACAGTCTTATATTTCTCTTACTAGAATTCTCTTCAAGAATTTAACCATTCGTGGTCACCTGTGTAGCTATCATCTTTGTCTAAACCACCTTTACCTCTTTCTTAAATTATGGCAACAGCTTTATAACTGGTCTTCCAGTTTTATTTTGTTTTTATTTTTAGACACAGGAACATCCTTTTAAAATCTAGGTCAGATCATATACTCCTCTGCTTAAAATCCTCCAGTAGCTTCCCTTATTATAAAACCAACATCTTTAAAATGGCTTATAAGACACCTGCCACCTTTCAGACTTCATCTTCTACCACTCTGCCCCTCCCTTACTTCACTCTAGCCATACTCTCCTTTTTACTGCTTCTTAAAGATGTCAAGCACACTCCTACCTCAGGGCCTTTGCATTTGCAGTTTATGGAACACACTTTCCCTCGTATCCAAATGGCTAGTTTTCTCTTTGATGTCATATCACACTGTCAATGAAGATCTTTTGTGACCATCCTATATAAAAGGGCAACATACCCCTAGTACCTCCTCACTCTTTTCCTGATGTATTTTTCTCTACAGTACTTCATACAATCTGATATGGCCTAATTCGTTTATTCTTTATCTGTGTTACCCAGGAGCAACATAATAAAGCAGGGATTTTATTTATGTTGTTTATTGCACCTGCAGCACAGAGGTGCATAACAGATACTTAATAACTATTTGTTGAATAAATGAACAAAGGCAAATGATTAGCAATACAGCCATAGCTCTTCTTTCTAGACCATGCTTAGCTGACTCAGACAAGGTATGAGCTACATACTAGATAATCTAAATTATCTTCAGGAGAAAGATAGCTACATAACTGTATGTTTTAACTCACTGTATTATAAAACATCTAACATGCTTAAACTTTGTAAACACTTTTCAGGGAGGAAAAGAGAGAGCTCCAGGTTTTCATCAGAAAACTAAAAGTCTTTTCAGCAGCAAAGAACACTGTAGTTATTTCTATTTACATGGACAGTGTGCCCCTTGGTTAGATAGGAATTATTAGATAGGAATTAGATGAGAGCTAGGAAGTCATGCATTTGTTTTCCAATGTGAGGTCTTAGCATTAGAGTATCGTGTTCTTTTATTCATATAATCTTTATTCCCATTTTAACAACAGTAATACAGTTTGAACCTTTTTTATATAACAACCATTTCAGTCTGAAATCACCAGTGTTATGGCAAGGAAGCGTCCTCAAGATCGCGCACCTATAAAGTTACTGTAGTGTTGCCACCCGTTTTTCACTCTTTACTCCCTTACTTTATCCTGTAAACTTTCCAACCTACATACTCACTACAGCCACATTTGTGTATAATAGTCCTGTTTACTGCTCTACTAAATTCTCCAGCCAAAAGGAGCAAAGAAACAAGTCATAGATGGGCACTGCATCTTTATTACAGAATAGTGCAGGAGCCTCAGCCCACTTACTTAAGATGAGCTCCCATATTGACTCCTTAACTCTGTGTTGCGTGCTAAAATTATAACAAAGCCATCCCTGGAGGAGATTGTATATTATTTGAAGGGCATAGCCATAAATGTTTTGTTTTCCAGGTGATGCTGTATTCACCATGAAATATCTGACTTGTAGATTAACTTGCACATTATTGAGAAACCAAAATTGTTATTGAGTAAATTAAACAATGACAAAGTTAGGTAAGAGTTGTTATCTATCGGTAGGATGTCACTGCTTTTCTTTATTTTGTTTTACTATTTTGTTCAAGATAAAGTTGATAGGGCAGGGAGCAGGGAGCAGTGGCCCACGCTTCTAATACTAGCACTTTGGGAGGCTGAGGTGGGAGGATTGCTTGAGCCCAAGAGTTCAAGACCAGGCTGGGCAACAAAGTGAGACCTTGTGTCAATTATACTTTAAAAATAAAAAGAAAAAAGAAAGATTATGGTTTTAAATGAACATATTACTAGGCAATGGAGTTATATATAACTAGCCTTTTAGATACTTCATTTGCTGGCATAAATGTTATTAGAATACAAAGCTTTTGGACTCTTGTCTTAGAACTGAGAAGTTGTAATTATGTTTTCAAATTCCTTTTTTGGTTCAGCCTTTCATTTCCTGTGAGGGTTTAGACTTTTAATTATGCCTCTTGCAGGTATGATTATAAAAATACAATTTAAGGCTGGGCATGGTGGCCCATGCCTGTAATCTCAGCACTTTGGGAAGTCGAGGCTGGCAGATCGCTTGAGGCCAGGAGTTCAAGACCAGCCTGGCCAACATGGCGAAACCCTGTCTCTACTAAAAATACAAAACTTAGCAGGGTGTGGTAGCACACGCCTGTAATCCCAGCTACTCTGGAGGCTTAGGCATGAGAATGGCTTGAGCCCGGGAGGTGGAGGTTGCAGTGAGCCAAGATTGCACCAGTGCACTCCAGCCTGGGCAACAAAGCAGGACTTTGAGACATACACACACACGCACACACACACACCACACACACACACACACACACACACACACTTTAAGATTGGTGTGGACACCTGGTATCATCTATGCCAGTGGATCACAGCTTGAATCTTGAATCTTGAATACAACAAGATTCAAAATACATCAGAAAAACCTAACAAATTCTGTGGATTCTATACTTTACCAAAATAAAATGGTAATTAAACATCAGGTTTCTTTCACTGGAATTATTTCAACTCAGTATGGCAATGCTTCATTTACCTTTTAATCTGAAGTTCTGAACTGCAGTTACATGGCTTTGAGTTTTCTTTTTTGCTTTTGTTCATTTGTTGTTGTTGTTGTTTTTCTAGAGACGGTCTCTCTCTGTCACCCTCGCTAGAGTACAGTGGCACAATCATAGCTCACTGCAGGCATGAACTCCTGGGCTGAAGCGATCCTCCCACCTCAGTCTCCTAGGTAGCTGGGATTACAGGTGCACACCACCCAGTGAATTTTTTAACTTTTTGTAGAGACAGGTCTTGCCATGTTGCCCAGGCTGGTCTCAAACTCCTGGGTTCAAGGGATCTTCCCACCTTGGCCTCCCAAAGTGGTAGTATTACAGGCATGAGCCACCATACCCTGCCTTGATTTTTCCTTTTAAGAGAGAAAAATATTTATCATAATGGAATTTTAAAAAAAGAGTCTGAGAGACAAAAATCTTTCAAAATAGGAATTCAGAGTTTTGGGGTGGAGTGCATAATAAAATGTTTTATTAGTGGTGAAATGGCTAGGAAGTCTTTGGCCTAGTTTAATGGTTTAATGCCTGCATTTTACAGAAATGGAAAATTAGGCTCAGGGAGAGTCAACGACCTACCCTAAGCTCTCTTGCCTCCTGAGAGGCAGAGCTGAAACCTGGATCCCTGTCTCCTGACTCCCAGTTTAGTGCTCTTTCGCGTTACATGATATAACTCCACAGTTTTCTGGGACCTGAGTAGCCCATCTTATATTACATAGAATACTAATGAATGATAGGGAGAATACTTCTGCCCTACTGCATACACATGTGCTACTGCTACATAGAACAAGTAGCTTAACAAATTTCTTCCAAGTTTTATATCTGTTTCCCAGTGTCTGTTTAGGGACACTTGTCATTGTTAGGAATAGTGAAGCATAACCAAATACTGGTCAAGCACTGCTTGTTTTGCGTTGTTCTTTGTTGAAAATGTATGACTGACACCATTTCCCATCTTTTTCCCTGTTGATGTCACTCTTCTTAGATGTCTTTTCAAAGTGAAGTATTTTTTGGCTTTTGTTAAGAATGGTCACCAGAATTTACTAATAAGAAACCATTCTTAAAAGATACGTCTTTTCATAAATTCAAGATCTGTATGATTTCTTCCAGTGAATATAGCAAAAATTAGCTTTGCTTTTTTACTTTATTGTCACAAATGTGAGGGAGGATGTTTTGGTAGACTCAACATTTATTTAGAGGCAAGAAGTATTAAAAAATTACTACCACTAGCAAGAATTTTTACTGAAACAAAAATATAGATTGGGGACCAAAAAATAACTTAATGTATAAGTTACTTACAGCTTTGGATTGCAGATTTTTGAAATGGTTCTGGGCTAAGATGCAGATGTTAACTTCTGGTCTTTTAAAAAATGAATTTAAAATAGAATAGAATATCTTGGTGCTGTTCCATTTCTCATAAATTGAAAGGATCTGATGTCTTCCAGTTCAGAAGAAAAAAAAATCGCACAGGCCAAAAGAAGAAACAAAAAAACGGGTGGCACTTTCTTTAAGAGACAGCTAATTTGACCCAAGACATCATGTTCACAAAAATTATTTAGCTTTACAGATGATTTTGAATGATAGCTTTGTTTGCCTACAGTTTTGTTTTGTTGTTAGATTGCCTAACGAGTCAATAGCGCAAAGCCTTGTGTCAGTCTTGAAAGCTCTTCAGAAGTGCTGGTTTCTTAAGGAATTTAAAAACCTGAGGGTCATCCTCATTGTTTTTTTTAATGTGTGCATACACACACCTTTAGGCAGTCCTTTGATTATGGAGCCATCTGCAGGAAAATTATCAAGTTGCAACATAGTTAATGATTCTCTTACTGTGTTACTTCAAGTGGTAAATGAGAAGTGACAAACTGCAATTCACGTAGGGAAGGAAAGGGGAAAGAAAGGGACAGCCAAGAGATGCAGGGGCAGGGGGACCCCCCCTCTTTAATTTTTCAAAGAAAACTGCTTTGTCGTTGTGAGTTTGTGATCAAAAGAAACGTGCAATTTGCTTCAGATTTTACATATTCTCAGTAATTATATAGTTCTGTCTCATTTGAAGGGTTATCTAATGATTGCCTTTTAGAAGCTTTGTATGATCTGTCAGTTCTGTTCATGTTGATGTCGGAGGGATACAATTTATTCACCTCAGAAAGAGATTTATTTGCTTTCTTCTCCAGGAGGTATGGCTGTTTTTACATATCCTCATTATAGTCGTATGGTTGTCAAAAGGAAATTAATTGTTCTTTTGCCTTAAAAATGCAGTTTACAGAGGTGATTGTTTCCATTGGCTATATAGGTAGGTGTTTTCTGTTTTGTTAATCATTAAGCATTTCTAAAACTCAATTTAGACTTGAGATATTTGTAAAGAAACAGTATGACATCTGATATCCTGTATCTGAGACAGACGCTATTTTATGAATTTTAGCATGTGTCTTTACATTGTGTTGAGAAGTGTATATTTATATGTGTTGATATCCAAATAAGTTATTTACCAGTACTCAGACTAATCTTTAATATCCACTGGTTATTGGTTTGGTTAAGATTTTGGTAATCACAATTGAGGCTTAATTGGAACAGTTTTTTTCATGGAGTGCCACTTGAGTAAAGATCACAAAAATCAAGTCTTTGATTTTTAAGATTTTCATACAGTGGAAAGATAGTAATTAGAAGGCTTTTTACTGATAGACTGGGTTATCAGCAAGATGGGAGTGATTGTTGAATTAAAAGATGCACTATTGATTTTAGATCAATAACACTATTAACTTTAAATAATATGCATTGAATGCTAGTGGATTGGTTTGAAAATGATGCATTATTTCACTGGAGTTTTATATTCTTGATTTCTTTCTTGCAGAAGTAAATTTTCTAAAATGTGAGGATATTAGAAAAACCAGAATAACAACTTTCTGAACATATTTACAAAGTAGCATATACTACCAGAGAAGTCTGCAATATAATGTTCAGATATAAAACCTGGAATTTTGATGTCTGACTTAATTAGCAAGGCTAACTAAAATACTGCACATTTGAGAGACAGCATTCACTCACATGTCATCTCTTTACAAGGTAGATGAGGAAGAAGAGGCATTGGGGAAGGTTCTTTTGCTTTGAATTTGTTCAGTTGCAGATTCTCTCACTATCCTCTTAAATCTATCCTCACCCCTACCTCCCTTGCAGCCAATAATTTATTACTTACCGAGTTCATCCTTTAGGAAAATATAGTGTTCATTCGTGGAGTTATTCATGTGTCAGCTTTTAAGTTTGGCTTCATTTATTACTCTGAAAGTCTGTTTTCCAAGATTTGATTCACTTAGAAATAATGTTGAAACTTTTCGTGAGGAATATTATGAGTGGGTTTTAGGTTTACTTTTCCAGCCAGATCTTCTGGCTTTTGGGACAGTGGAATGTTGCCTGTTTGTTTTAGAAGAATATACAGTAAGATTAACCACTAACTGGCCTATGTTAACTAATTCAAGATACATAATTCACTTCAATTAAAAATTTTCTTTCCAAAACTATTTAGAATTTTGTGTTACCTTTAGAAACATTCTTGCTTACGGATCATTTAAAAATAGCTATAACTGTTGTAGTGATCCAAATATCAGGATAAAAATGAGCTAATAAAGTAGATAAAAATACTGCGTGGATAACTCTAAGAAATTTTATATAGCTCTCCAAGGAAGATCTGTTTCCCAATCAACAGAAAAGTAAGATGGAAGAGGGAAATTTTGCCTGGAAGCCTGGAATTTAAACTGAAGTTTCCAGAGAGCTCTTACTTGGTAGACTTTTTGAAAACATCTTTTCCTATATCGTCAGTAAAGAAGTAACTTGTTTAGGCAAAGCACGTTATGGCTTTTTCTTGCCTAGTTTAGGTCTGTGCTTAATGACTACTGGAATAGCAGCAAACATAACATCCTGATAACATTTGGGAGGAAAAGCCATATTTGAAAATTGGTGAAATGCAATAATCTTTAAACCAGGAATCATCAGTTTGCTAATAAAAGGTATATGGCTCCAAGTTACGTATTTTGTCAGGGTCCTCTGGCATTTTCACTAGTCATTTTGCTAGTGTGTACAATGATTCCTATCTTGCTGTAAAACTTGGTGATTTTTTTATATTGTTGAACTAGGTGACATGAATATTGAGTCAGATCACATAATCTTAGAGTAACACATAAGTGATTATGTAGCGTTGTGGGTGGAAACAATTCTGGATAAAAAGTGCATGACAGTTCAGAACTACTGTGCAGGCAGCCTGTCTGAAATCAGGTTTAAAAATTGGCCCTGTCTCCAGCTGACTCGTTTTGTCAGACTGAGTCATAGGATTAACCCTTGACATGTTCCTTTAAAAAAAAAAAAAAAAAAAGCAAAGATTAAACAACTGCATTTACTAAAGCAGCACTTGATCCATCTATATGCATTTTTTTCCTGTAATATGATTCTCCTTAGGACAAGAAATTGTGCTACAGCTGTTGCATAGATTAAATTAATTTTTAAAAAATTGGGAGCAGAGAAAAAAAGATTTTATTATACAAGATAATTTATAATGGCAATCAAGCAATGACCATCTACATCAAACAGTTTTAGTTTTTTGGGGGGTAAGGCAGACTTCAAGAAAAATGCTGTTTTGGAGCGACAAACTTAAAAGACTTTTCCATAGCATACAAGTAGAATATAGGGGCATTTTATGTAGATTACCACCAGTTTTGTTGATGATTTACTGTTTTTGAAGAATGAGATTTTAATATCATATAATTATAGATACAGGCATAGAGTTTTGTTGTTGTTGTTTTTTTAAGTTTTTATATCTATGCTCAATTTAGGCAGTAGTGTATACCAAGTGACTACGGTTTGTATTGGCAGGGGAGGTCTTACCTACACATGTACGAGTTTTATATTTATGTTTTTTAGGAGAACAATGAAAAGTAGAAGCAAAAGCTTTTAATTAGTTACTCAACTCTCTTTACAAATTATGTTTCACATTCAGGTTTCATGTTTAACACTAAATCTTACTTAGGTGTTTAATAAACTGATTAGGTTTGTGCAAAAGTAACTGTGTTTTTTTCCATTAAAGAAATTTGATTATACTATTTGGCTTTTACAGTGAATTTCTTTTTTATCTGAATGTATGTTTATTCTCTTCAGATTATCATATAATTGCCTCTAAAATAAAGAACTGGTGTTAAAATATTAAAATTTTCATTGTGCTTTAATAACCAAGGTTGCTTAGTTGGGTTTACATTATGATGTTTGTTTTATCAAACAACATAGTAAGTACCCTCTCTGTTTTCTGCCCGGCATCAGGGAAATGGGCTTAACTGTCATAGGTGGATGTTTTTTAACCAATATAAGAAAGTTTTCTCAGATTGAAGCGATGATTATAAAAATGTTGAAGTATTGTCAGTGCTTTGTGGCTCCCCTCTTCTCCCTATTCCTCCTCAATTTCTATTGAAAAGTAAGTGTTATTTTTAATAATTAATAGAAAAAGAAAATTTTGATTCGATTTTGTTTGATTTTCCTTTTTTTTTGTTTTGAGAGTAGCCGATCTGTCAGTAGAGAAAGACTGTGTATGGAAGACTAAAATTTACTTGAATGGTTTTAAGGCATGCTATTGTTAATTGTGAATCAAAGCTTTTTACACAGTTCTCCAAGGATTGAAATGGGTCTTTGTGGTCTCTCAGGAGGGAGGAAGTTACAAACCACTCCGCAGACTGGCATTTTAATAGTCTGCTGTACAGCGATGTTCTTTTGCAGCTGCTGCTTAGCCTTTTCTATATCTGGAGAGTGTGGGGAGGTTTTATTGTTGTTCCAATACTATCAGCTTTTAAAACATTGTGAAGTTAGTTGCCCTTATTGTCTGATTTAGTTTCGTTACTATAATTTGATCAATATGTTAGTAAAAATGAGGTTGGGGGGATAGGGGGTCCCTTATAGTATATTCCTAGAATATTTCACAGAGGATTTCTGCTTCATGAAAGGTACCTTTAAAAAAAGTGATGTGCCCCCTTTTGCAGCTTGTGAGCTCTCCTCTGATTAATACAATCCCGTTAGAACCTACAAGGCATAGAGGGAAGGATAGTACAAAGAAGTTTTGATGAAGGGAAATGACACAAAAAGGGAAAGTTGCTATTCTGTTTTTCCAGGTTGTAATTACAGCAAACGATTGATTGGAAAACATTTAAATAGCAAAACGTGTCTGTGTAAGAGACACATGTTTTTGTAGACAACTTTTAAAACCTTTTGACTTCGAAGTATGAGTTAGAAATGTCTGTAAGACATTTATTCCCACACTTCTTATTTTTCCTTTCTGAGAAATGTGAGCATTAGCATAAAAATATGAATATACAAAGTATTAAGAACAATAATAAACTTAGAGGAAAGACTTATAGGAAACTGTTTAGTTTATTCTCTCATACTTTATATGAAAGATGTGTGAATTTTTTTTAAGAACAGTCCTATTGCAGGACATTATAAACTTTTGATTGGTGTTGTGTATGAAGAATTCAAGGAGCTTTATAACTGAAAATCTGTATTATTAAGTGTTTCCATTTTAAAAACAGGTAATTTAGTTTCAAGATAATCTATCTGATTTTTGGACTAAGCTTTTTAATAAAATGTGTTCCTTTCAGTTTTCCTCAACATAATTTTTGTAGCTTAAAGTATGGTTTGTTCTAGCTAGTTAAGAGGTATTTGCATGATGGTCTGCTTTCTCCAGGAAGTGATTTTGTACAAGATTTAACTGTCTAGATCCTTCTTGTTACACATGATTCAGTGTTTCCAATTCCTGATTACTTGATCATGTGTTTATCAAAGTTGAAGCAACTTTAGACCATGGCAGATGGTAACGCTGGAGGTGTAGCAAGCTAGGTTTCTCTGCCACAAGTGCTCTAATTTAATTAAAACTAAAAACAGATTAGCAGAAAATCTGTCAGTATGCCTTCCTTTTGTGTGTGTATATATGTATATATGAGACAAATCTAATAATTTCTTGGGTTATTTTTATTCAGGGCATATTTATTTAGCGCTTAAAAGTGACTTGCATTTTTTTAATACCTCAAATTTTGTCTTATTGGTATCCTCCACCAATGCAAGGACTTGATGGAAATTGAAAGAGGTTACTTACAGCATAAACCCTCCCTCTGTGCTCTGTGAGTTGGTTCAGTCCTATTTTGCATAAGTTCCTTTTGAGTAGATCCATGTGTGAATGCATAGTACTGAAGACTTACTCCCTTTGCCTGTGTGGATATATGTCTTGGAGAGAGGCTGTGTGCATTAGCTACAAATAGTAACATTTTCAAAATCAACATGTATTGTGCTTATCCTGTCCCTGGAATGGGCAGCAATTCTTTGATGTATTACTACAATGGGAAAACGGTAAGCCTTTTTCTTTGTATAGCTTCTAACTCACTTGTTTAAAGGAAAGCAGTATACATTACTCGCTTTTTACTAAAATCTGTGAGGTTTTGTTTTATCCTTTTATGCAATGTATTAGATTGTAGATTTCTTTTTTTTTTTTTTTTTTGCGGGGGGACGGAGTCTTGCCCTGTCACCCAGGATGGAGTGCAGTGGCTCGATCTCGGCTCACTGCAACCTTCGCCTCCCGGGTTCAAGCGATTCTCCCGCCTCAGCCTCCCGAGTAGCTGGGATTACAGGCACCCGCCACCATGCCCAGCTAATTTTTGTATTTTTAGTAGAGACGCGGTTTTATCATGTTGGCCAGGCTGGTCTCGAACTCCTGACCTCAGGTGATCCACCCGCCTCGGCCTCCCAAAATGCTGGAATTACAGGCATGAGCCACCGCGCCCAGCCTAGATTGTAGATTTCTTTAGAAGTAGTGTCAGTAAAGTCCTGTCTGCTACATAGCTACTCAATAGTTGTTGGCTTTCATTTTATTTTTAAGATAGTGTAGAAAATAAACTTGAGTTTCTGAGTTGTTATTAGCCTGATATCTTTACTAGCAATGAGCTTGAAAGTACATTTGTTTTTATGTTTTCGTATATTGTGAACAAATCCTTACATAAAATATGTATATACACACATATGTATTGAGAATTATTTGATGCTTTGTAGATGGAAGGAAAAGATGAAAGTCATCTAGGATATTCATAAAAATAACAAGTATGAAGCTCTGGTAATGATTAGGGAAGCAGTCAGCTAGTAAGGGCCGTATTTCCTGTTTAGAGTTTCAGGTCCAGAGCCTGACTTCTCTGGGATACCATCTGTTTCCAATCAAACTAGAATTTTGACCTTGTGTGGATTCATGAAATAAATCACTATTTTTTAAAAGAATGCATTTATACATTTTCCAAAGAATGCACTGTACTTCTGGTTGATTTATAGCAAGCACATGACTAGGTGTTTTAAAATAATACTTTTTTGTTTTGCTAAACAAGAGTTCTATTCTTTAAATTAATTACCTAATGTTAATAATTTACTGTGTTTCTACAAAAAAATCTATAAGCCAGAGGATTTTATATATTCTAAAAAAAAAAGAGTAAACTCGGAAAGTTTCAATAGGAGCTATCTTTGTAAGATACTTGATAAATATTATTAAAAGGTACACTAATGAATAACAGTGTTGGTTTATGTCAGAAACTCAGTGTTTTCCTTCTAAATCTTTCACAAATAATTTTACCCTCAGGTGTCTTATGAAAAAATGCATATATGGGCTTAGTGAAGGGGGGGAGAGGGGAGCATTTTTAATGTTAATGTTTTAAGTTATAGAGAATATTCAATTACATTTTACTAAAATGGGCTTAAAATTAGATATGGTTGTCTCTTCCCTTTTCATCACTTGGAAATGTTTTAAAGTAGCCTATGGCTACAACTAGGATACTAAGAACTAATAAAAGCACTTTTTCATTCACTGATTGCTTTAGTAAGGGCTCTTTGGACTGGGCCAGTGTTTGGTTGTGAACTTTTGGGTAAGCTTTCAAAAAAGATAAGCAAGTCAAAATATCTTTAAACTCATTAAAAAGTGTATGTTCAAGCTGCCCATATAAGCAGAGCTTTGGATAATGTAAGAAGTAGATTTAGATGGATGAGTGAAATTATTTAATCTCTATATAATTTTCTTGCCAGCTGTCTTTCAAATGTGAAAATAATTTTCTTTTGTGTCTGATTTTAAGTAAAACAGTCTGAACATGGTATGTGGGTATGTGTGTGGGGTGTGTGTGTGTGTGTGTGTGTGTGTGTGCACGTGTATAAGTTCAGTAAAATTAATTATGTAGGACCCTGAACCAGACTAACTCAAAATGAGTTTAGATTTTATTCTTTGGAAAGCACAGGTTACTGTATTACATTTCTCTTTGTTCTACATTGGGAGGGGGGTAGGGGGAGCTTTGATAGTGGTATTTCCAGGCTTATGGTAGATGGCATAGCTGGTATGGTAGAGAGCCTGGAAAAATTGATAGTCTGTGCCTAATATAGGTCAAAGGTGACTTTTATGTTCTGGAAAAATATATAAATAAAGAGATGATATGTTGGCTTAGTCCTCCAAATCATAAGACCCTAGACTTGTATGTATTTTATTTTTACCCACCTCTAGTTTTTAAAATTATTCTCTAGTAGTTATTAGAAGTCATTGGCAACATTATTATTTTGTGATGACTTCAGTTTTCTTCAATAAGAAAATCGTGGTATGTAATTACATTGTCTCAAGATTATATAAATGTATTATTTTAGTGTATATTGGGAAATGTCTGCTTGTCAATGCCTTAAAATAAAAACTAGCACTTTCATTAACATTTCTAGACTCTTAAGTGAAATATATGTCTTCACTTAAGTTATAGAAGTTTAATATACTTCTTGTCATGAACAGGTTAAATTTAAACTATTTAATCTCATTTTATAGATTTATTTTAAAATGATAGAACAAAATAATATTTTGAAATACTAATAATAAGTTCACATTGATTCATTTTTAACATCCCATTTCAGGTTTTATGAGAGAGTGACAAACCCTAAGTGGTCCTGCTCTTAAACAGAAAGCTTTCTTTCCCTTTTTTCCAGTTTTTTTTTTTTTAGTTTTCGAGTTGATTGCATATATTTAAGGGTATTTCAGATCTTTTAATAAAACTGAACAAACTCTAGGAAGAGACCAAAGAACTTTTTTATATTTTATTACCTAAAATTGTATGGCCAGTATTTTATTCTTGGATATGTAACAGACTTGGGCATGTAGGTGTAGAAAAGAAAAGCCAAAAATGTTAATGCAGTTTTTCCTACTGCTTAAAAAGAGAAGGGGTTAATGTTTTGTATTATATGTAATTTTTGTGTAGCTGTATTCTTTATCATGTTGTAAGGTATTAATGTGGGTTTATAGTAAGTATGAAAACTAAAACTATTTTGCACCTTATACTGTTTTGAAATATAAAAAATAGTAGAGAACAGTGGGTTTCTGAGGTTCCTTCTTTATAAAGAACTCTGCCTGCATTCAGTTTTCTCATTAATTTGAGTAAATTTTGTCCTTTACACAGAAAGTGAGAAAAAAGTCTTGAGAGCAAAGGAAAGAAAAGTTTTGGGGGAAAAAAAGGACTGCCATTTTTTTTTTTTTTTTTTTTTTTTTTTTTTTTTTTTACTTTTAAGATTCTGGAGTGCCTTACTCCATTTTTCTGACCAGTCTCCATTTTTCTTAGTTTTGGGACTAAAGATGCTACAGAGTATTCCAGGTATAAAAATTGCCACACAAACAGACATGATGGCCTTTTCATTGTATGAGGAAATTATTTTAATCTTCTGAGAAACAACACAGAAATCCAAGTTTTAAAATTCAAGCTAGACGCACATTTTGAATATTAAGCTTCTTTGAATGGAATCTGGGAAAAAAAAGAAACTAATTTGATTGTAAGGGCTATTCTGTGGGAGGAACTGTGCTGGGAACTTTGTTTATCTGATTTAATTTTCACAACCACTGTCATTTAGCTGTTACTAGCTCATTTTATAAATAAGGAAAATGAGGTTCAACCTCACCTATTTTGTAAGTACTGAGGTCAGAATTTGAACCCAGGTCTATCTGTCCCCCAAAAGCACATTTTCTCCTTTGTATCATCCAAGGACATGTAAATTAGTCTCCATAGCAAAGGGCCAAACTGAATTTATCCTGACTACCCATTTACATTAAAATATACTACATTGGATCCAATGTGTATTTGGATATGTAAAAATACATATATATACTACATTGGAAAGAAAACGTAACTGGGAAAAGCACAAGGCCACTCTTACAAATCTTTTGCATGTGTGGTCAGAGTAACAATTTCATGAATACTAATTGATGTGGTTAGTCAAGCAAATTTTTGTCAACTTTTGTTTAAGAATTTAAAATTAAAACTTTCAGATACGTTTTAGCAAGTCTCCTCTTCTAATAGAATTAATCATACTGAAAATTGGTTTAGCCATGGTTTTGGCACCTGCCTACCAATGAGGTTTTTTTTTTTTTTTTTTTTTTTTTTTTAGAAATAGAGTAGCAAGTAAGTAAAATTACATTGTAAATACTTATAAGACTTATTTTTAAAACAAACATTTTCAGTTAATAAAAGAACAGAAACCGATGTGACTGTATACAGCTGCATTTCTGTTCTATTGGGGTATTTATTGCTAGTTAACATGAGAGAAGAATATACAATTAAATTAATTCACATTTCCAGACTGTCCATGGGCCCAAAAGAGTTAAATCTAACATTTTTTATAATAGGGAAAACATGAAGTCATTTTTAAAATCTCTTAATATAGAATGCTAAAGACATTGAATGACAAGGACTTCAGCATAAACCTACTTCACATTTTTCCCCTTTACCAAAAATATCTGCGACTATGGTGTGTGAGCCCAAGAAAGTTTTCTTATCTTGATTCAAGTGAGTACAAATACTAGTGAGTTAAAACTAGCTCCTGCTAGTTTTACATACTAGAAGGTATGTTGTCACTGGTCAACTTTATGAATGTTTTTGAGAGAAATTTGTGTTCCTTTCCACTTGTATATCAAAGGGGATCAGGTGCAATATTGTTGAATCTAAATTTTTTTTAAAGTAGGTAGGTAACGTGTCAGTCATTGATTTGTTCAGTATATTATCCTAGCAAACAAGTTTCAAACCCTGTCCCTTAGAAATTCCATAATTGAAGAAAAACATTGAGATTATTAGAAAAATGATAGCACTTATCGTAGAAAATCAGTAATATGCCCAGTGATGTTAATTTAAGATTAACTAAAATGTGCTTGATTTTCCTAGAAAACCAGTGATATGCCCAGTAATGTTAATTTAAGATTAATTTAAATGGGCTTAGAAGGAATTTTTCTCACAGTTGAAAACCAGTAATGTTCACCTGTGTTTGTTACACAGTAAGAGCAGCAGTTGGTTTTAAAATGCTTTGTATGAAAACTAGAATTCATTTTTCTTACTGTTGTTAGAAAAGAAATTTCATTTTATTTTCCCTGGAAAATAAACATGTCTCTGGAAGTTTTTGGAAAGAGATATTGGTCCTTTTACTTAGGAAACTGCTGAAAATATAAACACATATTTATCCCTTTTACAGAATTTCAAGTTGTATTTTTAACAGGCTAATTAGGTAAAAAGAATCTTCCGTGGAGATGGCTTGTATGTGCCTGAGTCAGTCTTTGTACTTCAGACGTTTTGCTTTATAATACCTGTGGTTTCAGTTCTTGTGGTATTTTTACTGGAACTATCTAAATATTTTCCCCCTCAGGCTTGAAATTACCATTAAAAACTCTAGTAGCAGATTGGAGTTTATGGCAGAATTTGCCATTTTATGTAATATGAAAATACTGAAAGCATTGAGATATTTATCAAATCTGTCATTTGTTGAAATATTCTTAGATATTAGGGAATTATTGAATTAGACTATCATTTTAATATTTATCTAGATTTTTAGGTTATTTTCTTTGGGATTACGTTGTTTAAATTTTGATTACCGAAGGAACAAGGAAAGTGAGAAGGCCTAAGTTTCAGAAATTTTTAAATGTTACCATTTAGGTTACTGATATATGCTTTTTTTTTTTTTTTTTTTTTTTTTTTTTTTAAGACGGAGTCTTGCACTGTCGCCCAGACTGGAGTGCAGTGGCAATGGTGTGATCTCAGCTCACTGCAAGCTCCGCCTCCCAGGTTCACATCATTCTCCTGCCTCAGCCTCCTGACTAGCTGAGACTACAGGCGCCCGCCACCATGCCCGGCTAATTTTTTTTATTATTATTTTTAGTAGAGATGGGGTTTCACTGTGTTATCCAGGATGGTCTCGACCTCCTGACCTCATGATCCACCCGCCTCGGCCTCCCAAAGTGCTGGGATTACAGGCGTGAGCCACTGCGCCCAGCCAAGGATATATGCTTTTTATCTGAGGATGTATATAAGATCAGTATTAATACAAAATAACAGATCAGAATGATCTGAAAATGATCAGAAAAATATATAGGAAATGGTTTTTAGGAAATGTCTTTAATTTTCTCTGATATCTTCCTAGCACTCTAATACAAATGGGTATAGTTATTAAAGCAAAATTTTATTTACTCTTCTTAAAAGAGCCTCTTTTTACTAAATTCCAATCCCATAAAATTGAGAAAGAGACATGGGTTGTATATATTGCTACGTGTGGAACTTGCGTAGATTAATCAATTTATTTATTTATTCATTTTTTTTTTCTTTTATTATACTTTAAGTTTTAGGGTACATGTGCACAATGTGCAGGTTAGTTACATATGTATACATGTGCCATGTTTGGTGTGCTGCACCCATTAACTTGTCATTTAACATTAGGTATATCTCCTAATGCTATCCCTCCCCCCTCCCCCCAGATTAATCAATTTAAATTAAATTAATAATTTAAACACTAAAAATCTTAAAATTACCTAGTTTTTTGAATGCTGACTCTTAAATGTACATATGCTTAAAATTATAGGCCTAGAGTCTTAATTACAGTTTTTTAATATAGGGTTTGACCTGGGTTGGGATATTCTTTTATTAATATTTCATTGACCTAGACTTTTTTTTTTTTTCTCAAGGTTTTAGGTACTTAGCTAGATCTTGTAAAGTTTTTATTGTTTAATACTAAATATAATTATATAAGATACCAGATAAAGTGGATGTTCCTGAATATAATATCATATTTTCATTTTAAAATTATGATGGCAGGGCAAGTTAGCCAAATAATTTTGTTATGTTTTGTTACTTTGGTAAATTGATGTAAATTATGCTGAATATAATTTCTGTTATTGGCACAGACCTTTCACATATTTGAGGCCCACATTAGCGTGTGTTAAAGTGTTTAATGATACTGAACATATGGGAACTTAAAGAGAACTGCTATTCAAACCATCTTGACAAAAGATCTAACAGAAGCCCAAACATAGTGAAATCTTGGTAATTAGTTCTGTGTTGGACCATGTTCAGAAAAGTAGGTAGCCTTCTCCATACTTCTTTATTCCAAATTAGGTGAAGGTGTTCTCAAAATGTTTCAGAATGTAGGCTGACTTTGGTTTTCTTAGGCCTTGAAGCACATAAGAATTCTAGAATATGTTTCAAAATAATTTATACAATCTTAAACTGCCGGATAAGAAGGATCTAAATCTGCCTTGTTCAGTATAGTAAGCAGTAGCCACAAGCAGTATTTAAATAAAATAAAATAAAATTTAAAATTCAGTTTCTCAATTGCACTATCCACATTTCAAGTGTTCAGTAGTCATGTGACTGATAGCTACTGTATTGTACAGCATAGATACGGAACATTTCCATCATCACAGAAACCTATTGGACAATACTCATATAAAGCATTCTTCTTATTTTCTGTGGAAGGGTATCTCAATTAGGATATATAGCTATTGTCACATACTAAAGAAAATTCCCATCTCTTCATCCCTTGGTACCTTAAAAAGTATCAGCCACCACACAGGCTGTAGATCTGATTTTTAAAGTATGGATAATCACACCATGCTTTAACTTTGTCTTATCTGAATGTGACTAGATAAAAAGAAAAACTATCTTCTTTAGCAAAACCTCTGCTTCTTTGCATTTTTTCTCAATAACAGAAAGTCATTACGCCTCCCTGCCTCACAAGAATGTTTCCAGTGTTAATTACAGGAAAGATGTATTGAAATCGAGAGCACAGTGCACAGCTCCAGCCTCTAGAGCTGAACAGAGTGTATGCCTTGAATTTGGGGTTATCCATATGACTAAACTGAATCATCTGAGCAGGAAAAAAGGGATCTGTCTTTGCCAGTTTGACTCAAATTTGTTGTATGAACTAAAACATTTTAAGGATAATTATGTAATCACTGTGAAGAGTAACTGTAAATATTCATCCCAAAGTATACTATCCCTTTTTAAAAGTTGCTTTACGGTGAGTGTGATGAGGACATGCAAGATATGATTTATGTGATTGCGTTGTTTTCAACAGACTTAATAGTGAAGGGGAGGTATCTGTTAGATTTTCTATTTTATTCTTCCAAGTTAGAACTGTCTGTTCACCACACATTCAAAATTTTTCTTAACACCATTCTTAGAGGGGAAAGTATAAGTGCTTGGGAAAAGAGTTGGTCCCATGGTAGCTACTGTGAGCTTGGCATTCTGAAAAGGAGGATAGAATTCTAAAGAAAATATCTACCACATTTTAATAGAACATCTTAAATTACTTAATTTTACCCTTTTTCTATTCTCTTTAAAATAGTTTGACTCCTGGTAGATTTTAATTATCTTAAAGCATATATATTCCTTTCTCTTAATTTTAAGATCGACTGTCATGATACAAAATCATCCTTCAGATTTAAACCAATGATTAGATCATTAACTAGGGGAAAAAAACTGGCATCTATGTTCAGGTGATCAGATGACATAAGCAGTCTGATTTTAATTTGTGGCCAGTACTGATTGTAACCAAGAGAGACTTGCTCTTTTTGTGGAATTGGCTGACTATTTCCCTACATCTGGAGTTAATAAAGCCTTTGAGACCACATCAGTTGTGCTTTGCCGCAAGAAGTCTTTGATCTGAAAAATCAAGACTGGCACAACTGCTGCTTCATAACATTGCATCTATGTTTTTGCAAGCTATAGTTAAGATACCAAAAGTAAAGTTATTTAGCTTATTTAGCCTGTGTTAGAAATGCTGGTAAATGTACCTCTTTGAAAGCCATATATTTCAAAACATTCTTATGATGAAAATTTTGAACTCGTGTTAATACAAAAATGATATAGTAGGATTTTTTTTTGCCATTTTCATTTATAAGGTCTGTCCTTTAAAAGTCCATTGTTTTCAAAATCTGTTTGAAAGAAATAGCATTAAAAACAAACTTTACCTCTAAAATGTGCCATTTTCTCCATACAACTTCAAAATTTTTGCGTAAGGGAAGGCAAGTCTCTTTCTGTGCTTTGTGTGGTTTATCTTAGTTTTCTTGCTCTCCATGACAACCGTGAATAAACCATTTTCTGATCAGCATATTCTCTTTTATTTAGCAGCGATTTGTAAATCAGGAAAGTTTATCCTTTGACTTCCTTCTGTAATTGTAACCATTTTCAAAATTTAAAAATGTAAGTATATTAGTGTGTGAAATACAGCGAATTGAATGGGAATAAGGATAAAGAAATATAAATTGATAAATTATGTAAAAATTTAAACTGACAAATTATGTCCATTTTTGTGTGAAATGACACATCAAAACTGGAGTGTTTTCATAATTATCAAGTATGAGAGACTGACTTACTGTTTCAGTCTATAACCTGGATAAAATTAGAGAATTTTATATTTCATACTTACATATCAAGGATGATGTGTATAGTAAGTGCACATTTGTGATAAAAAGCATGTGTTCGGGTGCTGTCTTCTAAATTTGATTCACATTGTACTTTCTGGCTAGGTCTGTGGATTTATTCTGTTTTTTTGTTGTTCATGGTTTAGCTTGGCTTGAGGAAATCTATATAGAAAGGGGACAGAGAACTTCTAGCTAGGGCTAAGTTTAGAAGATGAAACTTGATTAAAAGAAAATAGTCCAAAGTTCCTTTCCTGAAAACCTTATCTGCCTATCAGCCTGTACAATACATTGCAGACACATTGGTATATAGTCAGTTATTTTATTTCAACACAATCATTTGTGAAATACCTTTAAACCAGAAAAGTATGCTTATGAGGAACAAACCATTTTATCTGCCATATTCCCCAAACTAGGGGATCCTTCTAGATGATTCTTGGGAATATACTGTATCTTTTCTAAGACTTCTCAGGTACCACAGATGTGTGTTTTTACCTCTGGGATGTGAAAGGTAGGAAACAAACCTGAATGCCAGTCCATTTAAAAAAAAAAAAGTCACCTGTGCTAGTATTATCAGGACTAGCACGAAGAGTAAAAATTGACTTTTTAACCTTTTATTTAGAATAAACTGTATATATAACTAAGCTCATGTTAGACGAAAACTGTAATGAACAGCATTTGAGTAGTGAACAGGTAATATTTAGCAACATAACTACTTCTGTTAGAATGAAAGGTGATACTGTTAGCTATAACTTATTGCCTGCATACTTCGTACAAGGCACTGTGCTAAACATTTTATATATAATTTCATCTGATCTGCCCATCAGTCTCCTCATGCAAGTAGTGTTAACACCATTTTACAAAAGAGGGAATTGAATCTTGGGAAGATTAGGGTAATTTGCAAGGGGTCTTTACAGTTAATACCTCCAAGAAAGAATAAATTAATATAATTGACAGTTTATGTAAATAAAAAGTTGGGATCCCATTTTAATCTGGGTGCGCTTCCTTAACTCTTTTTCTATTATTAGTCTATAGAAATATATGCTTGGGGTAAAATATCAAATTATGTAGAAGAACATAAAGTAAAAGTCTTCCTTCCCAATTCGAAGTCCAAAGAGGTAACCATTATTGAGTTTCTTGTGTGTAATTCTAGAAATTTTCTATGCTTATGCAAACAAATTAATACATGATTTTTAAAATACATGCTTCCATAATGTTAATGTTATTCTGTTTCAGTCAACACTTAAAATTTTTATTTTGTTGAATTTTTTGTATCATTTCAAACTAAAACAAAATAATTTGTTTGTTTCATACACTGCTCATAATAGCTTACCTTTCTCTTCTTCCTGACTTCTGGTTTACTTCTATAGACTGTGCATCACTTTAGATATTATTTGTTTTCCACCTTTGTTTCAATAGTTATGAGAATAGTGTGATCACATTTTGATCATTAAGGTTATTTGGCTGCCCATTTAGTTTTCCAGAGGAATGCAAATGTTGGCCATTTGCTAATTCAAAATGTTTATAGTTTGCTTATCTAAAGCAAGGGTTTATCAAAGGAAATTAATACTGCTCTAACAAATTAAATGAGATTTTTCTTAAAGCTTTGCCAGACTTGAAAGTGTACTGGAAATGTGTTTTTAATTTATTTGCTAACTCTACCAAGTTAAGGAAGTTCCTGAACAATTGTGTTGTGCCTTTGATAGTTACCCCTTAATAGTAACAAAGATAGCAATGTTTAATCAAACTCATGTTGATTTTATTTGGTGAATCTTGTAACACTGAAAAGAATGAATTTTATGAACCCAGATTTTATGTTATGCTATATTGAAAGGACATTTGTTTGCTCGATCAGATTTTGAATCCTGAGCCTATGTGAGGTTTGTGTTTGGTAAGCCAGCTCAATGCTTATTCAGTCACTTGGTGTAACTGTCATACCAAGATGCATTACAGAGATATTTAGAGTAGTAGTTTTCCCTAATAACCAGCTTAAAAAAAAAAAACATGTGGATGGTAATTAAGTTTGACATTATTTATGTGGATTTAGGCAGTATTCTTTTCATTTGTGGTAGCCCTTTATAAAAATTAGATAGGCCTTTTTAAGCCCCTTACAGAATATAGAACTCATTTTACATAAGTAATATGATAGTCATTTACATTTTAATTAAATGTGCTGTTTAATTTTAAGGTATATGCACCATCCCCAAATTCAGATGATTTCAACCGTGAATCTCCTAGTTATCCATCTCCTAAGCCACCAACCAGTATGTTCGCTAGCACTTTCTTTATGCAAGGTAAGTACTACCAAACAATTGCCAAATACTACTGCAGTCATCTGTATATCAGCCAGTATTTTAAAGTATTAGGAAAGAGAATACCTATATTCAGGCCTTATTTAGGCATTTTTTTTGGCTAAATTAAAATTTAGCTTTATAATTTTCCAGTGGTGTTTATTGCTGACTGCAATTTAATTGAATTATCTAGCAAACCATTGGAGTGCTGGTCCAGTATTGATTGAATTTATAAAGGTCTTAAATTGAGAAAAATTAATAGAGCTGTTCTTGCTCATTTTAGAATTGAAATGTATGAAAACTGTTAACTCTAGTTTCTTGTTTAATTTATGGATTCATATCATGCCTAGAATTACCAATATAAAGAAAGAGTGAATATCATAGAACAGAGTAAGACTTGTTAAGAGAGAAAAAGTGTTGCATTTCCTTTAATTCATGTCTAGCAAATCATTTTTATTTGGTCTCCTGTGGTTTTGGACTATGGGAAACAAATATATGGGAGCAATAAATTATTACATAAATGGTTCCTTGACTTTATATTGTTGAGTGGAGTCATTGCTGACACATTTCATTTGAAAGCTAACTATAATATGGTAATTATCAATTACTTAGTTTTACTATTAGAAAAACTTCTTTGTTCCACAGTTTCAAAATGTTTGATATAATGCACATTGCGTGTTATGCATTAATAACTTTCTGTGTATGTATAAGTATACCACTTAACTAAAAATAAATCTAGCCTATTCCCAAATTTGGAATTTTTACTATCTTCCTTGATATGAATTGAGATCTTCTGAAGATTTTTATAATGGCCTGCCTATTACAGCTTAGATTACTTTTTTCCCTAACTAAAATGTTAATTTCTTCTTTTTAAATAGTAATTTTACAGTTTAGAGGGAAGAACAGTGGGTAGAAGACTAGGTTGGAAAAGGGAGGAAAAATATCTGGAGGGTACCCCTTGAATTTTTATAAGCAACATCAAAATACAAGAAAATTTTTAGCTAAGGAAAATTTTATATTTCTCTTTTTGTCTTAGATGGGACCCACAATTCTTCTGACCTTTGGAGTTCATCAAATGGGATGAGCCAGCCTGGTTTTGGTGGAATTCTGGGGACCTCCACTTCCCACATGTCTCAATCCAGTAGTTATGGCAACCTTCATTCACATGACCGCTTGGTAGGCTATAACACGTGACTAGGGTACAGCAACACTTTGTCCTCACTTGTGTTTCTTTTTGGATTAGAAGTGTAAAATCTAAGTCTGCCAAAACTTCTGAAGTTTGAAGTACTTCAAGGCTTACCGCGTTTACCATGCCTTTCTAAAAAATAAATGACAATAAGTAGTGCTCTTTAGCTGTAACTTGTAAATGCTCTTTTTGACCTGTTATCATAGTTGTCCATTTTATGTGAATATTATTCAGAAAATATATTTAATAGATCATATCTCTTTCCATCTAGAGTTATCCTCCACACTCAGTTTCACCAACAGACATAAACACGAGTCTTCCACCAATGTCCAGCTTTCATCGCGGCAGTACCAGCAGTTCACCTTACGTTGCTGCCTCACACACTCCTCCCATCAATGGATCAGACAGCATTCTAGGTGAGCTTTTTGAGTTGGCAAAACTTCCTAAAAGTTTGTGGACTTTCAGTGACCCCGATATCTTTATATATATATATGTATGTTTTATATATATAAATGTTATATATATGTATATATGTTATATATGTATATGTGTGTTATATGTATATATGTGTTATATATGTATATATGTGTGTATATATGTTATATATGTATATGTGTTATATATGTATATGTGTGTTTTTTATATATGTATATATAGGTATATATGTATATATGTTTGTGTATATATGTATATATGTATATATATGTGTATATATGTGTGTGTATATATATGTATGTTGTTTGTTTGTTTGAGACAGAGTCTCTCTCTCTCACCCAGGCTGGAGTGCAGTGGCACAGTCATGGCTCACTGCAGCCTCAACCTCCAAGGTTGAGGAGGTGATCCTCCTGCCTCAGCCTCCCCAGTAGCTGGGACTACAGGCATGTACCACCATACTCAGCTAATTTTTTTTTACTTTTTGTTGAGACAGGGTCTCATTATGTGGCCGGGGCTGGTCTGAAACTCCTGGCCTCTAGTGATCCTTCCACCTCGGCCTCCCAAAATGCTAGCATTATAGACATGACCCAGCACACGTGGCCTCTTTTTTTATTTTTATTCATTTATGTATTTATTTTTGAGACAGGGTCTCACTCTCTCAGCTCTCTCACTCTGTGGCTACAACCTCCGCCTCCAGGCTCAGGTGATACCCCAGCTTCAGCTTCCCAAGTAGCTGGGACTACAGGCACACACCACCATACCCAGCTAATTTTCCATTTTTAGCAGAGATGGGGTTTGTCCACATTTCTCAGACTGGCCTTGAACTCGTGGGCTCAAGAGATCTGCCTGCCTCAGCCTCCCAAATTGCTGGGATTACAGGCATGAGCCACCGCGCCTGGCCTTGGCCCCTCTTTCGATATATTTTTTAGTGTTGAATTTAAAAGTGAAAGACAGGAAGACAAGAAGCTTTTTTATTATCATCAATATAGACACTGGTAAAGACCTCATCTTTAGTTTATTAATAAGTACAACACATGTAGAGTATTTCCTAGTTTACTGTAACAGATGTGAGATGATGATAGAGAACACCCTTGGAATAATGGCAGAGTGCTAAAATATAATACTTGCTTGTAAAATTCTTGATTTATTTCTCTATGAAATATCCAGGAACCAGAGGGAATGCTGCTGGAAGCTCACAGACAGGTGATGCACTTGGAAAGGCTTTGGCATCTGTGAGTATTGATTTTACACATTCTACTGAATGAATTTTACACTACTGAATACAGTGATTAGATTTTGTAGGTGATAAGTATCTAAAGAGTATAGATGTAACAAGATCAATTTCATTACACATTTAGAGTTATTCTCGGTTTGTATTGATATATGCCCTTAAATGCTATGCCTGTGGTACAGCAAATGCTGGGAAGAGGAAAAAGAAGTCATCTAAAGCACCAACTGCCAAGATTAATCATTAAATCTATTTCTTCTAAATACATAGTTAGTAAGTGGTCCATTAAAATAAGTCAAGTGGAACCACGAAAGATAACTCAGTATTCTGATCCAGAGAATGAAGTACCTTTATAAGAAACTTTTCCAAGATCAAAAGCATTTTATGTACTGTATTTTTTTTTAAAGTCAACTGCACCTGATTTACTCAAGGAATAGGAAATGAGAGCCTTCTCCCCAAAAAAGCCAGATTCATTGAAGAATCATGTTAAAATGAGTAAAAGTGATTTGAAGGAATCCGATAGTATTTTCTTGAGCAACTAGTTCACATACATCACTTCAGAACATTAATGACAAAGCAGTGATTATATTTTAATATCTGATTCTTAAAACATTAAAATCTCCTCTTTCGGAATGCCAAAACTAGAAGGGAGAGCAGTTTTCAGTAAATCTACAACAGTTTCAAATCTAATTATTTAAAAGGGGCACTTGTGCTTTGCGCTTCCTAAAATTTCACTTTAGATGATTTTTTTTCTTCTTGTTTTCTGAGTAGTATGCCTCTTAGAATTCCCACAGAATTGTCTTTTATTTTCTATGAAGTGCAATTAACTGTCAGATACATTTGTTGCCATTCATGGAGAAGGCAGAGCACGTTAATACCTGAGTGGTAGGAAGCAACTGTTGAGCATTTAAGGAGATAAACCTCTTTGTATATTGTTGGTGTAAATAAATTTTTCTCTACAGCTGAATACCAGCTTCTTGGAAAATGAAGCCAAGTCAGACTCATTTACTACATAGTAGAGATGGAGCACACACAAAATGCAGCTCAGTGAATGTTTGTTGAATTCTGTCTTGGATCATATAATAATAATAGTAATGACAATAACAAAACCCACAAAATATTTCAGCTATAATTTGAATGCGCACCTATACTGAGCATTTACATGCCCTGTTTCATTTAATCCTCAAGAAAGCCCTGTAAGGTTGGCATTGTTATCCCCACATTACAGATGAGGAACTAAGGTTTAAAAGGTGAAGTAACTTGAGCTCAGAAAGATTAAGCAGCTCGCCCTAGGGGAATCATAAGCTAGCATGGATAAAGCCCATATATATTAGAACCCTGATCAGACCAGCTTCAGACTCTGCTCCTAACCACTGCTGCATACATCCAGAAAGTGCGGTGCTGTGGTAATTATCTTACAAGGTATTGATGAGAATGAAAGAAAATTGTCTCACCCTTTTTTCGACTTACTGTCACCTGATGAAAATGACCTATTTAGGAAGACAGTTTTATTCTATACTAAACCTGTAAGGTCTCCAGGTATTTGATTGGCTTGCCATATTCCTTCTCCTGATTCTGGAAGAGTCCAGTAACTGATATTTTACATGTAACAGGACAAATAACATTTGAACTTTCAGTGCTAGATAATTTTTTAAAATTTAACCTGCATTTTGGGGGCTTTTTTTCTCAAAGGTCATTTGTTTGTTTTATTAAAGAAAACTTCTATCAGGGAACCTTGGCCTACAGGCAGGCAAGAATTTGTGATGTTCTCAGTGGCCCTTCAAGTTCATTTTGTTACCCTTCACATCCTTGAGTATCTTCCCCTGTTATAAACAGCATACTAGCCAAACCAAAATGGCATTTGGAAAAGAAAACCCAAATTCACCGTGAATGGAATCCAGTGAAGAAATGTTTAATCTAGTTAGTGGGTGGGCTTTGGTTGTCATGGAAACTCAGCTCTGTCATCCTGTGTTGTTACTAGGCAGGAGCAGCCAGGTCATTCCATAAATCATTTCTGTCATAGCTGACGGTGATGCATTCCATCTGCTCCATCACTGCATGCCATAGTCTGCACATTTCAAATCCCTTCCTTCAATCCATCTGCTTCCCCACTTCCCAGCCGGACACCTCCCCAAATACATTCTTTTTCCAACTTTCCTTACAGACTCGCATTCACTTTAATATATGTTTAGTGCACTCAAAACGTACTGAAAAAGAAAAACATTACATTATCTGGGGATAGGAAGGATTAGAAGAGATGAGGAGAAGGAAATTAATGAGGATTACTTTTGAGAGTCTGACATGCATATCATAATTTTATGTCAGGTATTATAGATATTTTGAAATGGTGACTGACTCTTTTGAAATTTTAAGTTCTTTAGAATGTGACGCTTTTAATATAGCCTCTGGTTTTAGATGGAGAAACACTATGCTATTGTCATTAAAAATTAATTCTATTTCCCCAATTGTCTAATATATGTCTTAAAAGATCTTTCATATTGTGAAACATCAGAGGGTACAACCTTTGTTCTTCAGTTTAGGTATTAAAGAGCACACAGAATACTGTGTGATTAAACATGTAAGGCCAGATAATGCATTTGCAAAGGTTCCTTTATTTTAGGTTTAAGCCTGCATAATTGTGGTCTTAATCTCAGGATAGCAAGAAAGAGAATTGTACATGAAAGTATTTACACAAAGTTCCCAAAGCCCTGTGGATTATGCATTAGTTTAGATAAAAAAAAAGAAAAAAAAAAAACCTAGGGTAGATAGAAGGAAAGGAAAATCTGGGTATTCGTGCCATTTCTAATGTGTTTCCCTGAACATTTGCCAGACAATAACCCTTTAAGATTGTGCCCGTGGAGAGTTATATAGAGGAAGAAACATCTGGTTTCTTTCGGTGCCTAATACCATATCAAAACACTTGGTCTTTAATTTAGAGGAGATCAAACAAGAAGACTGTTTAACTTTGTTGATTATATCAGACTTCTTTGTGATAATTTATGTTTTGATTTCTACCTCAGAGCAAGGGAAAAAGAGAGAGAGAGAGTGTGTGTGTGTGTGTGTGTGTGTATATGTATGTGTGTATTAATCTGGATAAATGGTCAGTAGTCTCTAACAAAAGAAAAGAAAATTCAGGGAAGTTGATGTTTAAAAGTAATTCATGAAATAACTTTCTTTGTTCCTTAGACTCAATAACATTAGCATAATAAAGATTAACTGAAATGTGCACTGTAGTGTTTAAAAAATTGGGCTCACAGTTCCGGGGTTGGGCTTGGGAGCAGTCCATTGTTTCTTTTTTGTCTAAAGCCCTTTTCATTAGCCTCTGGCTTATTGGCACCCTGCTGATTGGAATAGACCATGACTGATAGGAGGAGGAGTCTCATTTGTTGGAGTAAAATGAGGCATATTACCGTTTAAGCCTGGCAGAAGGCATTGGGAGTTATTCATTATTGGTCATTTAACAGTATGAGGACCATGGACTGCATGCAGAATGAGTGCTTACTTTGTTTATGCTCTAGACTCTAAATCACTCTTTACCCCCATTTTTTTAAGTAACTGATTTTGTTCTTCTTTTTATTCTTACCTTCAAACATCAATGTAGGAGTTCTTTTAAGTCCAGAAAGTATGAAAAGAAACATATTCCTGATTTAGAATAAAGCCAAATAAAGCCTGTGTTTAGAAGTTAAAGTAGCACAATTTTTATAGAATAAGTATGATTTGTTTGCGATTTGGTAATAAAATAAACACTCAGAGATAAAGCTTAGTGAAATGACCTGTGATCCAAAAGGCTGTGTTATCATGCTTTTCAAATGTTGTATTGCTCCTCCTCTCCCACCATACACATTCTTTTTATGAAAGTAAAAGTGATTTTTTAAAAAGTCCTGTAACTTACAGGGCTATCTGTAAATTTAGGAAAAGTATTGATAACAATTCTGTCTGTCATCACTTTAACTGGCAAAGTAGAACCAGTGACTGTGATGGATGAGTGGAAAAATTGGCTTTTATTGTACAAATGGAGAAGCTGCTTTTGGAAAAAATACCAGAAATGATATATTTTTATACTTGATATGTTTTTGGTGCTGTTTCTCCCGTTTAGACAGTGATTTTTTTTTTTAAGTTTACACCAGTTTTACATATAGCATTGGGGCATTTCACCAAGTCATTTAAAGATAGTGCTCTTATATGACTCTAAACTATTACCTCTTCCTTCCTTGATATAAAGGAGCTTTCACCAGTTGTTGACATGGTTAGGGATTGTTTAAGTGTAAGGACAGAGTTTTCAGGGAAAATCGGGATTGGTAGTCCATTTCTACCCTCAAAAGCCCATGCCTACCTAACAGTGTGATATGGACAGCTTAGTACATCAACACTAATTCCCAGAAATAGTGAAACCTCACCATATGATTATTCTCAAAGCTTATGCCATAAAACTGATTTGAAATTAAGTCATATTTATAACAAGCTCTTTTGCCCTTGGTATTTCTGTTGCTGACCCACATTGTATAAATACCAAGATAAATACTACCATTTATTGAGTCCTGCTTTTTATCAGTTAGTATTATAGCAAATTTCAATTGTAGTTTAATCACTCAAGTTAAAAATATATATATTGGGCACCTACTTTTACAAGATACTGGCATACAATAATGGATTCAATGTTGACCAGTATAAGTTTCCTGTCTTCAAAGAGCTTGTAGTCAAGGAGAGAAGACAGATATACAAATAATGATAATGTATAACACAGTGTGAAGTAAAAGAGCAGAGAGAAGTTCAGACTATTTTCTAAGAGTATAAGGAAGGTGAAAATGTATAAATGGGGAAGTGACATTGGAACTGAGCTTTGATAAGTAGAATTCCATCTGGGAGAGGTTAAGAAACAAGCGTTCTGAAAGGAGGACAAGCTGTGTTTAGAAAATGAAAAAAATATTTTGTTTGCATAATAGGGTATGTAGGTTAAAAGTAGACTATAAGGGCTAGGCAACACCACGCCTGTAATCCCAGCACTTTAGGAGGCTGAGGCAGTGGGATCACCTGGGTCGGGAGTTCGAGACCAGCCTGACCAACACGGAGAAACCCCGTCTCTACTAAAAATACAAAATTAGCCTGGCATGGTGGTGCATGCCTGTAATCCCAGCTAGTCGGGAGGCTGGGGCAGGAGAATCGCTTGAACCCAGGAAGCAGAGGTTGTGGTGAGCTGAGATTGCACCACTGCACTCCAGCCTAGGCAACAAGAGCGAAAGTCCATCTCAAAAAAACAAAGAGGAAGAAAAATTAGCCGGGTATGGTGGTACACGCCTATGTAATCCCAGCTGCTTGGGAGGCTGAGGCAGTAGAATCACTTAAACCTGGTTGCAGTGAGCCGAGATCGTGCCACTGCACTTCAGCCTGGGCAACAGAGCAAGACTCCATCTCAAAAAAAAAAAAAAAAAGTTTTTGAGGACAGTAGTTCAGGGCAATTATGTATAGGATGGAAAGAGAGGGGAGTAACTAGAAATATAAACACTTAAGTAGTCCAGCCGCAAGTTTGAGTAAAGATTTAAAGTGGTGTCATGGCAGTGATTATGACATGTGCCTGTCCCAGAAACATTAGAGAATTGTGGATATCGGTGTCTCCAGAGGGAAGGGTAGAGTGGCAGAGGAAAAGAGGAGAGAGTACTTATGGTAACCATAAGCATGGTGCTACTAACCTAAATAGAAGAGTAGAGATGGGAAGGATGGGAAGCTTGGGGTGGTGATAAAAAATTTGGGTTTGGACATAACTGCGCTTGAGATGAAAAGAGATCCTGTCCAGATAGAAAAGTCTAGCAACCAGTGTGACAAGAGAGATACCAATTTAGGAGTCATACCTGGATGTGATAGTTGATATTTGACAAAGAATACTATTACCAAGAGATAAAGCACAGGGAAATGAAAGAATACTGAGACTAGAACTCTGGGGAAACCTACATTAAGGGAAATGGAAGAGTAAAATAGAGATGGACCCTAGGGACTTTATCAAATACAAAGACTGAAAAGAATCACTTAAATGGAAATTCCTGGCAAGGATTATGCTTTTCATTCTTAATGACAACTGTATATCTGTACATTGAACCCTCACCATTTATCTGCACTGTTGTGGAATCTGAGGCTACATTAATAAGACAAATTCCTCATTCTTCTGGGGCTTATATTTTACCATGGGAAAGGATAAAAAAACAGGTAACAGACAAATGTAGATGATTAGAAATACAGTGTAAGCACTATGAAGAATACGAAAGAAGGAGTATGTAACAGAAAATGCTGCTTCATGAGTTGGGCTAGTTGACAGTTTTGCATAGAACTGACGATTTCTCACTCATCCATCCACCATCAGTGTTATCAGCCTTTCCCTCCCTTGCCAATATTGTAGTCAAGACATATTTCATAAAGATGAGCATCAATTGCTCATAAATGGTATAATTATTTGAATTATGAACATAAGAAATGGTGGTTTTCAGTGGTAAAGAGGTATGTTGAGGGCCGGGTTCAATGGCTCACGCCTGTAATCCCAGCACTTTGGGAGGCCAAAGCAGGCAGATCACTTCAGCCTAGGAGTTCAAGACCAGCCTGGGCAACATAGCGGAACCCCATCTCTACAAAAAATACAAAAATGTTGGGTGTGGTGGTGAGGGCTTGTAGTCCCAGCTCCTTGGGAAGTCAAGGTGGAAGGATTGCTTGAGCCCAGGAAGTTGAGGCTGCAGTGAGCCATGATTGCACCACTGCATTCCAGCCTGGGTGACAGAGCAAGACCCTGTCTCAAAAAAAAAAAAAAAAAAAAAAGAAAGGGAAAAGGTATGTTGAAACATGTTTTGTTTCTGTTGAAGTTTGATGACCTTCCCTAATTTACTTATGTGGTTGAAATAAATCAATGTATGTGTGCAAAGCCACTAAGAACAAAAATGTACTTTCCCAAGCTAATTTTCCCATGTGTCCAATGAATGTTTTAAAAGGTAACAACTTAAAAACCAATAATATTGATTTTTTTTTTTTCATACACTGTCTTACTCTGTCACCCAAGCTGGAGTGCAGTGGCTCGATCTCGGCTCACTGAAACCTCCACCTCCCAGATTCAAGCGATTCTCCTGCCTCAGACCCCGCGAGTAGCTGGGATTACAGTCGCCCACCACGCCCGACTAATTTTTGTATGTCTAGTAGAGACGGGGTTTCAGCATGTTGGCCAGGCTGGTCTCGAACTCCTGACCTCAGGTGATCCACCTGCCTCGGCCTCCCAAAGTGCTGGGATTATAGGCGTGAGCTACCGCACCCGGCCTATTATTGATCTTATACTACCTCTCTGTTACTAGATCCTCCCAAAGTGTTTTGAACTCTTTTCCATAGCTTTACTTTTCCAAAATAGCTTTTTAAATAGAGTATACAGTGTCTAGATCCTGAAAATAGAGTATACAGTGTCTAGATCCTGACTGTTTGAGATAGTTGATGTATAAAGGCATTTACAATTATAAGTTACTAATGTCATACAAATTGGCGTATTTTGTTTGAAGTGCATATATCCATTTGTAGTCAAAGGAAGGTAGACTTTGGGCTGCTTACAATTTGAAAGCCTGTTACCTTTTTAAAAAATGAAATCTGGTGGGCCGTGGTGGCTCACACCTGTAATCCCAGCACTTTGGGAGGCCAAGGTGGGAGGGTCATCTGAGGTCAGGAGTTCAAGACCAGCCTGTCCAACATAGCGAAATCTTTTCTCTACTAAAAATACAAAAATTAGCCAGGCTTGGTGGCACGCGGCTGTAGTGCTAACTACTGGGAGGCTGAGCGGGGAAAATCACTTGAACCTTGTAGGTGGAGGTTGCAGTGAGCCAAGATCATGTCACTGCACTCCAGCCTGGGTAACAGAGTAAGACTCCATCTCAGGGAAAAAAAAAATGAAATTCGTAAATTGTGACTTGTATAGTTTTGTTGTATATGAACCTGTCCCAATAATCTGGCTTTGTCAAATCTTGAAAGAACATTTTTATGCTTTCTTTAAAAACAATGTTGAAATTCCTTGTATGCTGTAAATTGGGTCTCTTTAAATTCATTAGAGCTCTTAAGTTTATTCAAAGCAAGGTCATTTCTACTGGATGACTTTTTGCACTCACAAGTAGTTTTCCTTTTTAAAATATTTGACCACAATTTATCCATATAAGTTGGTTTGTCTGCCCTGAGTGCTGAGATACGAAAATGATTATTATGCATATTAAAAGAATAGGATTGTCCAAGAAGAGATCTTAGGGATGGGCCTTTGGTGCCTGGATTAAGGGGACTTTTAAAGTGTTTACTGTTGTTGCCAGGCACCATGGCTCACACCTGTAATCCCAGCACTTTGGGAGGCCAAAGCGGGTGGATCACCTGAGGTCAACCTGACCAACATGACAAAAACCCATCCTAAAAAAAAGTTAGCTCGGCATGGTGGCATGCACTCGTAGTCTGAGCTACTAGGGAAGCTGAGACAAGAGAATCGCTTGAACCTGGCGGGGTGGAGGTTGCAGTAAGCTGAGATTGCGCCGTTGCACTCCAGCCTGGGTGACAGAGTGAGACTTCATCTCAAAAAAAGTGTTCACTCTTGAATTAGATGTACTTGAATTAATCTCTGTCACCATTTATTTTTGGCAATATGAAATATATATAAAGTATTGCAATAAAAGTTTGAGCCAGAATACCTAAATTTATGCATCCGATAATTTATCCTTTTCAAAGTAGACCTATTAGGATTTGAAGTCCACAAATCATCTTGGAAACAGTTTTTGAAGCATAACAGGATTTTTTCACTTTCTTCAAGGATGACAGAGTATCTTCTGAGAATAAGTTTAATGTTTTACAACACTCAATCATTTGGAGCTAAAATTGGCAAAAATGTGGTTGATCAAACTGAGTAACTTTTTAAATGAGAGATAAGGGGTAACTATTAAAAAGATTATTTTCTTTGTCCAGCCTTTAAACTGTCCATAAAGACCATTCTAAAAGATAGTATTAATAGCTTTCTGAGGTGATTATTTTTAAAGATACCACTTAGTTAGATAACATATTCTAGAAAGATTGTCAGATTTGTTAACTTTGTAGATACTTCTCCTTTTTCTGTTCTAACAGAAACTTTAAGTTATTTTCACCTAGAATAATAAATACATGTGATCTATTTTATTCCTCTCGTATTAGACTATATATACTTTTTAATCCTGTTTTTTAAACTGAGGCTTCTGTATGATGAAACAGTCTAAAACTTGACAAGAAATTTTTTCACTCTGAAGTCTTAGGGGTGACAACTAGATTATAAAAATAACTCCATGTGAACGGATTTGTGTATGTGCTGTTGTCACATGTTGATACATGTATATTTCTTGTTTTCTGGTTAGATTTATTCTCCTGACCATACCAGCAGTAGTTTTCCGTCAAATCCATCAACACCAGTTGGATCACCTTCACCTCTCACAGGTAGGCTTCTGTTTTATCTACTTCTAACTGGTGGGACTACTTGGAAATATTTCTAGTTCATTTATTTCTCAACAAACTTTAATAAAAATTTGTGAAAAATCATTTAGATTTTGACTATAAGAAAGTGTGTAAAGAGAGCCTTCCTCTTGAATTCATTTTGGAGAATATTGAAATATTTGCTAGTTTTGAGTTATTTATTAATATCTTCCCTGATTCTTAATGTAATTTGTGATCATTTCTAAGAACAGTAGTTACAACAGGATAAAAATAAGACCAGGCAATTGGAATGAAGATAAAATATGGAGAAAGAATGAAATCAAAAGTTTTTCTAAAGTTATTTTTTTTAGAGACAGGGTCTTACTCTGTTGCCCTGGCTGGAGTATAGTGGTATGGTCTTGGCCCACTGCAGCCTCCAACTCCTGGGCTCAAATGATCCTTCCACCTCAGCCTCCTGAGTAACTGGGAATACAGGTGTATGCCACCGTGCCAAGCTAATTTTTTTACTTTTTGTAGAGACTGGGTCTCATTATGTTGCCCAGCCTAGTCTTGAACACCTGAGCTCAAGCAATCCTCCCACCTTGGCCCCCCAAAATGCTGGGATTACAGGTGTCAGCCGCCATACCTACCCCCCAAAAAATGGTTTTTATAAGATAGCATGTAAAATAAACAAGATTAATCTATTTAAAAGTACATGTAACTTCCTCCTTGTTCTCCACACTTGTCATGTACTACGGGTAAGATTCAAAGATGAATAACTATTTCTGCTAGATAGTCTGTTTTTATTTTTAGGTCAACTAAGTTATTTCCCATAGATAAAAAAATTCTTGGGAATGATGTGGTTTTTCTGCCGAGGAAAAAAACTCTCTGTGAAGGTGGATGAATATTGTTAGTGGAGATAAGTGGTTCACATTTGTTTTTGTTTTGTTTGAGATGGAGTCTCACTCTGTTGCCCAGGCTGGAGTGCAGTGGCATAATCTCGGCTTACTGCCACCTCCACCTCCTGGGCTCAAGGGATTCTCCTGCCTCAGCTTCCCGAGTAGCTGGGATTACAGGCGTCTGCCACCACACCCGGCTAATTTTTGTATTTTTTTGTAGAGATGGAGTTTCACCATGTTGGCCAGGCATGTCTTGAACTCGTGACTTCAAGTGATCCACCTGCTTCATCCTTCTCCCAAAGTGCTGGGATTACAGGCGTGACCCACTGCGCCCGGCCCACATGTTTTTTTTTTCTTAATATTTTTTATGTTAGTTTAGACAAGTTCTAAATACTATCCTACAGTATAAATTTGTGGAGACATGATTGATGTTATTGTAAACGGGATTTTTTTTATTTCTTAGGAATAAATATAAGTATATAAAAATGTTTAATATCTTTTAAGCTATAATTTTAAAACTCGAACTATATTTTTCTGAGCAGTGTTTGGAGAAAAGCCTTGCTGAAGAAAAAATATGTTAGATTGTTTTGAGGAAAAGGCATTTGGCAACTGGGTAAAGTTACCATATTCCTCCAACAACAGTTGGGGAAATAATTCTGTTTTCCTAATCAAGCCATTAGTTAAGTCCATGCAGTTTTGTGTTTTGTTGTTGTTGTTAAGCCTTTTTGCACTGTGGCCCTGGCCATCACCTATGCTTTGTGTATTAGCCTTGTGGCTCTACTAAGAAGCATTCCGGTTTGGGGATGATGAACTGCTGGCAGCTGCTTTCAGCTATTAGCAGGTTCTGCCACTCTCTCAGACACCAGGGCTTCAGCTGTCTAGTAAAAGTTAAACAGCTGTTCCCCACATAGACAAGACTATGAAAGACCCATTGACTTAAAGATGTTGTTTAGCAGAGCTGAAATTACAGGAAGAATGATGTAACTCTAACCCTACTCACCCTCTTTGCACAGTTCTACTAAAATTATCAATGTCATTTTTGCTACAGCTTGTTTCACTTTCTCATCCGAGGTTTCCATATCAGCATTCCCACTACCTCGCCTTGTCTGTGTAGTAAGATAGCTGCCAAAGTATCCTTTGGTTTTAATGAACACTGAGTAGGAAGGCAGGCCATGGCAGAGCTCAGCATCTATGAAGGGTCATCAATGAAATGCAGAATCCAAGATTTAGACATTTTCCAAAAAACTAGTGGTCACAAGTAAAATCTTACATTTCCTCCTTCATCTTTATTTGATATTTAATGGGCGATGCTGTCTTTTTCTCTTTAATTCAGGTTGTTAATGAAAATCTGGGCTGTTGAATTATGTAATGAAGCCTTCTTTTTAATTCAGCAGTCATAATCAAAGAAAAATACTTTCACATACTTGTGTTGAAACAGCAAATCAAAGACTGATTTTAGGCAGGTGCATCTCTCCTGGCTCCTGTGTCTTGGTTCTTATCTACACACACACACCCTTACCCACCCATAGCAGGGCAGAGATGAGATAGAAAGAAGAAAGGAAAGCACTGTGTGATAAAATATTCACTGTCAAAGGGAAAAAAAAAGGAAAAGAACAGAGCAAACCAGAGCTCCTATATAAATATGTGGACATTATTTTGCATCTTGTGTGGCAATGGCCTGTTATCTAGAGTAAAAAAATTCTACCCACTCTGTGAGTAGAATTGTCCACACTTGCCCTATTCCTTATGTTTTTGAGCATCAGTTAGACTTAGCACAGGTCTTTTAAAGATAGATACACAGGTGCAGAGCCACATAAGCAGCTTCTAAGGCCATCATTCTTTAAATCCCCAGTGTTTTCCTTGGGAACTTTTCAGGTCAAGAGCATACATTTCTACATAGAGAGTGCTTAGAAGGAAGGTTCTGAGATATTGTATCAGTTAGGATGCTTTAGGCTAAAATGAGGAGAAACTCTTGTCTCAGCTAGTCTGAACAGTAAGAGGATTTATTATCTTGTGTTGTGAGGTCCTGGCCCCCTATGTCAGGGCTCCTGCTCTACTTTGCAGTTCTTCCTCAGGCTGGTAGCAAGACAGCAGTTCAGGGTACTACATGCAGACATATCTCCAGTAGATGAAAAAAGACCGTCTCTCTTTTTTTTTTTAAAGTTAAAAATTCCCTATTTTTTTATTCCCAGTACCACTACCACAGTTTACAGGGCAATATACCTGATGTAGTGAAAAGAAAAAGACGAAGCTACAACAGATGAAAGACCTCAGGAATATACATCTTACTGACACTACATTGCATTAGTCAGTAGCTGCACTTTTTGCAAACTGGCTCTGACAGTCCTGAACAAGAATGGTTTCCTGTTTCAGCTGCAGTAACTTTTCTGACTATGGATCATTGTTCCTTCTGTGGCAGATTTTTACAGTTCCTCTAATGCCTTTCGGACAACTGTCTCAAAGTAACCTACAGCTTTCCTGACAACTCCTCGTTCTCTCTCCTGCTAAGAACTGTAGCCCTTTTCTGCTGTTTTTAGAACCTTCTGCTACCATATCCACCACTTTCACCACCATGGGGAATGCCTGAGCTTCTTCCACCAAAAGTGCCCCCTTTCATGGGTTCATAGTTTGATTGCTGTTGTTCACTATAATTTCCGAACTCATTATAGTTCCCACCACCACCGTAGTTACCACCGCCAAAATTTCCTCCTTCACTCCACCGTCACTCCACCACCACCACCATATCCTTGGTCCATCACCATCATAGCCCCCTCTACTACTGTAACCAGGACTACCACCATAGTTGCCACCATCACCTCCAAAACCATTATATCCGCCATCACCTCCTCCATAACTACCTCTGCTGCCACCACCTTCACCACCATAGCCTCCTCTTCCATCAGAGTTTCCACCACAGCCAAAACTACCTCTACCACCTCCAAAGTTTCCTCCATAATAAAATTGCCAGATCTACCTCTGTGACCTCTGTCATCCAGCAGACTACATCTCTTGTTTAGAAAGGGCCTTTTTTACTTCACAGTTATGCCCATTAATAGTGTGGCATTTCTGAACAACAATTTTATCAACTGTATCATGATCATCAAAAGTTATAAAAGCAAATCCTGTCTTTTTTCCACTCTGCCTGTCTTCCATAACTTCTGCGGTTTCAATCTTGCCATACTTTTCAAAGTAGTCTCTTAAATTATATTCTTCTGTTTCTTCTTTAATACCACCAACAAAAATTTTCCTCACTGTTAGATGGGCACCAGACTTTACAGAATCCTCTATAGAAAGAGCTCTCTTTGGTTCCACTACACACCTGTCAGCCTTGTGTGGTCTAGCACACCTTGCTGCCTCCACCTCTTCAACACAAGAGTAAGTCACAAAACCAAAGCCCCTGGAACGTGTTTTTTGGGGTCTCATTACCACACAATCTGTGAGTGTGCCCCATTTCTCAAAATGTCTCTTAAACTATCATCTGTAGTTTCAAAGCTCAGACCACCAGTAAAAAGTTTTTGCAAAAGCTCTGGTTCCTTTGAATCATGGCCCTTCTCCCCCACCACCCCACCCCCACAGTGGTGGCAACGGCTGCAGTTGGGCAGCGGTTTTACCTCCATTTTGAGACCAGACAACTGGACTCATGTCTTCCAACTCAAGTTCAGTATCCCATCTCTTTCTTTTGAGAGTCTTTTAAAAATTATTTTAAGGATCCTTTTCCAGAAGCCTCTTAAACAGATTTCCCCTTACGTCTTATTGGCCAGCACTGGGCCTAATGCAGTTGCTTGCAAGAGAAATGGTGCCACCATGTTTATCTTAGCATCTGGATTTGTCCCTGGGGCTAAGAATAGAATTGCTCTCTCCTGGTTCCTATTAGGAAAGGACAGACCCACCTCCCACACCCCTTGTGAACAAAATCAGTGCTCTGGCCACAAGATAGAAGAGAGGAATGGCTTTGTTTACTACAGTTGTTATTTAGGAAAAGATGAGCATTTGCAGTAAGAGAATAAGTTTACTAAGGGAGCTTGGAAGGCAAACAAGCAAAGTCATCCTTTGCCTTTCATTACCTCCTTCTGGAATATAAATGAATAAAAGTTCAATAATTGTAGTACTCAGTAGTAATCTTCAGAGCTTTCACAGAAAAAAATAATAAGGAGAGAAAGAGAAATTCTCAGTTTCAGCTAATCAATGAGCTACTTATTTTTATTACCTGTCAGATTGCCTGGTGTTAAGTCAGTTACCTGACTTCAGCATGCTTTAACAAAGTGCGTTACACTGGAACGGGCCAGTCTGTAATACAAACAAAATAAGTTTAAGTGTATGTATATTTTTTTCCAGTTTAATGAATTACACATTGAAGATAGACCTTTGTACAGTTTTTTTAATAGCACCAAAAATTATGTAGATGATTACCCAGGTAATTCAGTGTGCACATCTTGATTCCTCAATATTAAGCTAATGAACAATCTCAAAAACAGCCTGTTTTGCAAAAGCAGATGCATGCTGACAATTCTGAGGCATTTGAACGTAAAACGTGTTAATATTGCACACAAAGTCAGTAATTTGATGATCAGGCTTCTGTTACGGGGGGGCTTACAGAAGGAGTAGAAAAAATGATTGAAAAGTAAAATATTACCAACATTAAGATAAATTCTTTTTTAATAATTAAAGGTATTTTTCAAAATCGATTATGATTAACCTGGTCACCTAAAATTCATAATTCTGCATCAGTGCTTAGAAAGCAGTAATGCACTGAAATCAGCAGTAAGGTGTTGGCTAGTTGTTTTTATATATTTTTCATATAGTCAGTTATTGAGATTTTCTGGTTGATTAATTCTGCCTTTTAATTATAAAATTAGCCCACAAGCTTTTGTTTCAATGAGCAATTTTAGATTGTCCATAATTTGTAGTTGATTTATGATTACATTTGTATGTCTAGCAGGAAGCCTTTAATGGTCCTTAAAATAATTTGTTTATAATTTGCTCATAAGTAAAAAAAAAAAAATTAACTGAAGTGCATATTTTTTCTCACAATTTTAGTATTTAAAGTATATTTATGTAATTATAACAGTATGCATATAATTGTGAAATCTAATCAGGTTATGAAGAATCTGTATCCAACTTTTCAACTTGCAAAATGTGTATAATTGATGAATACACTTACTACATTGTTTCATAATTAAATAGTCTTGTTCAGCTAAAATGAACTATAATAGTTCTAATTTACCTCAAGTTTTTCTAAGATAGCAAATAAATTGTAGTGTCACATTAGCTTCCTAAGTAAGGCAAATTGACCTGCAATAAAAGGTTCTAGTGTGAGACAAATTAAACCTTCAACTTCCAACTTCGATTTCTAATATAATTCAAATTGTCACTGAAGCTTTTATTAAGAATAAAAATATATTTAGTCTTTATTATTTTCTGTAAATGACTTATTTTCAGATGCACAATCGTGAAATAATGAAGATTTTGATCAGTTGTTTTTGTCTTTTTCCTTTGAAAGGTATTTTCGCAAGACCATTAAAACATTGCCTTCTCTCTAACATATGGATGAATTATTTTTTTATGCTTCTTTTTTTTCATTCTTTATACTCTGAACTTGTATCTTTTCTTTTTCTATCTTTATTTTTTAAATTAGATTTATACCTTTCTAACATCAAAGGCTAAACAACATCTAACAAGTTTTTATAACATTTTCCTAATTAATGTATTTGGTATAAACTATTTTGGGAAATTTTTTAATAGATGACCCCAAGATCATTTACAGTCATGGGAAATTCATTCATCTGTGTATTGCTAAAGGCACTGTCAGTTACTATTACCCCTTAGTAAGGCAATTTGTCCTTACGTTAATATATTTATACCCTTTGATTCAGAAATGCTACTTATCCTCAAAACATCCTTCCCCCTGGGGGAAAAAAACTCAAGAGTAATGTTTACTATATCACTGTTCATAATAGCCGAGTGGTAACAACCAAAATGTCTAGCAGTGAAATAATAGTGGCTAAGCAAATTAGGTGTAGAAGCCAGGCAAAATGGCTGGCACCTGTAATTCCACCACTTTGTGAGGCTGAGGCGGGTGGATCACTTAAGGTCAGGAGTTCGAGACCAGCCTGGCCAACGTAGTGAAACGTTGTCTCTACTGCAAATACAAAAATTAGCTTGGCGTGGTGGTGTGTGCCTGTAATCCCAGCTACTTGGGAGGCTGAGGCAGGAGAATCGCTTGAACCTGGGAGGTAGAGGTTGCAGTGAGTCAAGATTGTACCAGTGCACTCCAGCCCAGGTAACAGAGCAAGATGCCATCTCAAAAAAAAAAGAAAAAAAATTAGCCAACGTGGTGGCACACACTTGTGATCCCAGCTACTCGGGAGGCAGAGGCAGGAGAATCGCTTGAACTCAGGAGGTGGAGGTTGCAGTGAGCCAAGATCGTGCCACTGCGCTCCAGCCTGGGCGACAGTGAGACTCCATCTCAAAAAAAAAAAAGAAAAAGAAGAAACAAAACCAAAAAAACAGACTAGGTGTAGAGAATAAGGGAAATAATAATGTAGTCATTAATAGTATTATCAAAATTTCTGTACAATGCTATAGGAAGGGGGACAGAATTTTAAAAGTGTGTACGTTATAAGTGCATTTTCTCAAGATACATAGGCATGTGGACTAAGTCTAAAGAATGTGCAAACATAAAGGTAGCTGTATTTAAAATTACAGGGTTTTTTTTCTGTTTTCTCAGCACCCCATTTTTTTTATTAATAATGAAAGATTTTTTAAAATGTGTTGGGCTTATAAGTAGCCAATACTATGCTGAAGGCCAAACAAAAATATTCATGTAAATTTATTTAGTTATTGAGTATCTTTACCCTTTCCTTCACAACATTATCAAGATCACTGAGTTAACCCAGGTGTGTGGCTACTTTTGGGTTTTAACAGGTACCAGTCAGTGGCCAAGACCTGGAGGGCAAGCACCTTCATCCCCAAGCTATGAAAACTCACTCCACTCCCTGGTAAGAGCCTCTTATACATCAGTTTTATCTGATAGCTTAGAGTTTGTTTGTTTTTGGTCAATCTGGCATAACAATAAAGAAACAGTAGGCTAGCATTGCACATGAATTCTTTGCTAACAAATGGCTGATTCATTTGAACAATATAAGACACATTGGGTATGCCTTTTGCCATCTGTTCTTTGGGACATCAGGCTTCTGGTGTCAGGACAGCTGATGTTAAAATTGTGTTATGAGGGTTTTTGTTTCTTTGACAAATCTAGGGCTTAATCTTTCTATGCTTCTATGTCTACATATAAAGGGAAACTTTTTTTAAAAAGACAAGTAAAAGCAAGAAAATTTAATCCAGCAATGCAAAATTTTACCCTTTTGTATTTTACACTTTCTCATAATACTGTGTGTGGTTTATTACATTTCCATTAAAAATTTTAAGTGAATACCAGTGTTTTTTGTCATGAAAGTATTATTTCCCATGTTTTCTTATGGAAAAAAAAGTATATTGTGCAAATTATACAAGCAAAACATTATTTAACAAGGCAGTAAAGGAACCTTCTAGATATTTGAGCGTGAAGAATTTGTGGGAGAATGTTGACTACTGTTGCTTTTGTATACTTATATTTGTAACCCAGAATTACACGGTATAATAAAAACACAATAAAGATGATTTGATGGAATGCTAAGTCATGCTCTTATTCGTAATTCCAGGTTGCAAAGAGAAACATTCTTTTTCTGTGACTAACAAAACATTTTAAATTGAAGGAACGTTTGCTTCTCATATATTTTGCAAGCAATTATAAGCAATGTGTGCTGTTTAGATGCTAACCTTGTAACTTCCCTGTTGAATCCCAGCCTTTTCATATCTTAATAAAATAGATCTCGCAAGTCTTGGCGTTAACTTTACTAACATGTTATGCTGACATGCATATCAGCTATTTCCTCATCTCTTTTGGAGTTAATCTTAACCTGTGCTTTGCCTCCTGTTCTGTCTTGACTTTGCCAGAAAAATCGAGTTGAGCAGCAACTTCACGAGCATTTGCAAGATGCAATGTCCTTCTTAAAGGATGTCTGTGAGGTACTATTTCTTTTAGATGGTGCCTTTTTTGTGTTTCAATTAATTATACTTCCCACTATTCATTTAAAATCTTTAAGCTGTACAGACTCCCATCTTTAAAAATCAAACAGTTGACTGTTTCAGTTTTTATCACAGTATATAGGAATAATTTTGTCTCTTATGTTGTTGAAAGTGATCCTTTTTAAAACAGCTCTACTGGCATGTGCTTTTGATTTTTTTAATTCTAATATGTTTGTGTATGGGGCATGTGTGTATCCACAGACAGACAATACCATTTATTTAGTTTTGTCAAAGAACATATCTGGATATGTTCACCATATAAGTTACATGTGCTTTATATACTTAAGACAAAATTAAAACTTAAACTTACTGGATTTGAGGTCCCTTCCCCAAATTGCCATCATTCAAAGATCAGTATTAAAGTATAGGTTGTACTTTTTTTTTTTTTTTTTTTTTGGCAGCTCTTATTGAGAAATGACATAGTATCCTTCATTTTTTGTAGAAGCTAAAAGAAATAACCTCATGGTAGTTTGGTAAATTCGTTTTATAAAGCAGTGATTTGTTTCTGAAGCTTTGAAAATTTAGCATAATCTACATACATACAGCCTTTTTTTGTTGTTGATTTATAGTTCAGGTGGTTGCTTTTGAAGCTACTTGATACTGCATTTCACTTGCTATCTTCCACATATCACATAGTAGGAAACGTAGCAGTTAATGAATCTAACAGATGCCAGCAATAACCACCATGTTTTTTTTTTAATCCATACAGCAGTCTCGAATGGAGGATCGTTTAGACAGACTGGATGATGCAATCCATGTGCTGCGGAACCATGCTGTGGGACCTTCCACCAGTTTGCCTGCTGGTCACAGTGATATACATAGTTTATTGGGACCATCCCATAATGCACCAATTGGAAGCCTCAATTCAAACTATGGAGGATCAAGCCTTGTTGCAAGCAGTCGATCAGCTTCAATGGTAAAATCATGCTCATCTTTTTTGTAGTAAACCCTAAAGATTCTTGTCCTAAATGTCTTTAATGAAATCTTTGGGAAGAGGATCTTTCTGAAAGGAAGGCAAAGACTGACTTTTCAGAATTTTCTTTACTGTCTTTGGCAGTAAAGTATTGGCTAAGTATTAGTCCATAAAATCTTCTTGTGACCTTGTGCAAAAAGCATAAGCTTTCTACAGAGATCATTTTTAGCTAAAACTTGGATTTTTTTCCAGATGTGTAATAATTGGCACAGCAGTTTTTGCCTTGAAATAGTGCATAAGAAATCTGAATAGCAAGAGTTCTGATCTAGAAAAGTTGTTTATTGTAATTTAGAACCAGCCTTCAGTGGTAGAAAGAATGTGAAACTGTAATTTATACAGATCCAAATTTAAACTTTATTCCCGAACTGCGGGGGAGGTAGTTTTAAGAATGGCTGTAATTTCAGTAATAAATAAAGGAAACAATTTTAGATTAATCCACAAAGAGAATTTTTAAGAACTCAGTCCATCTTTTAAAAAAGTATGATAATTTTTAAAGGGGGTGTTCGTTCTACAGCCATACACATCAAAAATTCTGTGTTTACCATCTTACATTATTTTTTATCCAAATTATCTTTTAAAGAAATGAAGTTCTTTTTGAACCTGCTATTTTAAACTTATACCATGTGTTGGCATGTTTATGGCATGGTTTTTAAGGTTCATTGCATGCTGTGAAATGTTCTTCTACGAAGCAGATTTTTAGCTATAAGCCATGTGATGAAGGCTAAAAACTTACCTATCATCAAAATAATTAATTGCCCTAAATGCTGAAGGCTTGTATTCTGTAAGATAGGGTTGGTTCCAGATTTTCACACTCACATATCTTACACATACATACACTCATTTTTGAGCCTCTGAAGTAAACGTCACACAAGGCTGCTTGTTTTCTGAGAACTGTATTTTCAGCAGCATGGGTAACATTAGATACCTGTTTTGTGTTTGTTTTTTTAATGTCAGGAAATCTTGAAAATCAGTCTCCTTTTAAAGTACTTTTTATTGCTATTGATAAGCTAATAAGTGTCAAAACATATGTAAGTTATTAAACTAGTAAAATGGGGAAGTGTCAGATGGCTCACACCTGTAATCTCAGCACTTTGGGAGGCCAAGGCGGGAGGATTGGTTGGAGTTCCAAGACTAGTCTGGGCAACAAAGTGAGACCCTCATCTCTACAAAAAATAAAAAAAAATTAGTCTGGCACAGTGGCATGCGCCTGTGGTCCCAGCTACATGGAAGGTTTAGGTGGGAGGATCTCTTGATCCCAGGAGGTCAAGGCTGCAGTGAGCCATGTTCATGCTACTGCACTCCAGCCTAGGCCATAGAGCATGACCCTGTCTCAAAAAAAAAAAAAAAAAAAAGAAAGAAAGAAAAAAATATGAGAGGGTATTGTTATCACTGCTGGTAATAGTAATGAAATAATTTTAATGGTATAATAAAAGGAATTTGTTACAAATGTGAATGCAGAATAACTTAATAATTTGTTGAAATACTATTTATCCTTATTTAGAAGCATGACTTAAAAATCAATATTCTTGAATTTTAAGTTAGTCTCAGCAGCAACATTTGCAGTTCTTATTCCTTACCTCTTAATGATTTTTTAATTCTTCACTTTTACTAGCTTACTGCTCCTATTCCAACTTATCAGCTACAGTATTTATTATATATCTGGCTCCTCCCAGTTGGAGTTTGCATAAAATGGAACTTCTGTCTTGAGAAAGTTGTTTTTTTACCAATTTCAGATATTCCATAATAGAAAGGGAGACTTATCAAAATGTAGTCCTCCAAAGCCACCTAGAAACCTAGTGCATTTTAGAAGACTGTTAGAGGGAAAAACTCTTTCATTGGATGGCACCCTAAAACTTATAACTAAGAAAGTAGCTCCTACTATATGCTGAAGGAATGCACTGCCCACTTCAGAACAACAACAGAAGGTCTGCCAGAGGTATTTTTTTGTTGTTGTTTTTTGTTTTGTTTTGCTTTTAGAGATGGAGTCTCACTCTGTGGCCCAGGCTGGAGTGCAGTGCCGTGATCTCGGCTCACTGCAATCTCTGCCTCCCAGATTTAAGCAATTCTCCTGCCTCAGCCTCCCGAATAGCTGGGATTATAGGCACCCGCCACCACGTCCGGCTAATTTTTCTGTTTTTAGTAGAGATGGGGTTTCACCATATTGGCCAGGCTGGTCTCAAACTCCTGACCTTGTGATCCGCCCACCTCGGCCTCCCAAAGTGCTGGGATTACAGGTGTGAGCCACTGCACCCGGCCAGAGATATTCGTAAAAAGAAAAAAAAAATCTCAAATTAGTCTAGAAAAAATGGTCTTCTGAGACATGAAGTGAGTCTGGCTTAGTCTGAGCTGCAACATTAGTGCCACAGCAACTAGCCCAAGCTGTTGTTCAGTGTGTCTGTCACAGCCTTCTCTTCAGTCCTTATCACCTTCTCAGCGGGTACAGAGCTGTGGAAAATCTGCCAGAAATCATCTGCTATCTTCATCTCATCCAGACACAATCACTAGTACTTTTAGTAGTGGAGATAAGATGTATCTGGCAGGCTTAGCCTCAAAATATAAAGTTACTAGCTGACAAAATCTGACACTGTTAGGTGAGTCAGTATTCATCTCCTGTCCTTCTGAAGTAAGCCTTTTAGCTGTTGAGTCCTCAGTTCTCAGCTTCAGCAAAAAGACCAAAGGATGGAATGAAATGAAGATTAGTCTGCCACTGACTATCCCCGCAGAGTCTTAGGCATGTTATTGAGGAAGACTGTCTTATCGTGGTGGTTCTTTTCCGTGTCTGAGGGCTTCCATTAGTACTGCTGGGATCACTTTATTTACATGCTCAGCACCCACCTATATGGAATCAACTCTTCATATTCTTTCAGAGTGTGTGATTTTGGGGGCATGTTTTTGTAACTCTTGCCAACTGGCTCCAAGAGTTAATCTCCAGCTTTTATTGTCCCCTTGTCACAACAATACATCCTCCTAACTAATCATGACTAAGAAATAATGTGGTTTTACATTCTGGAATCGATTCCCCACCCCCACCCCCACCCCGCCCCACCTTGTTTTTGGTCTCTTATAACTTTCCAGAAGTTTGTCGATTTTTTCCGGAATTAACATAAGTTAGTATTTGTTTTGGGCTCCTAATAATGGAGGCTATATGGCCAGACTTACAAAGTGATCACAGAAATACTTGTTGATCAGCAATTTGGTACCACCATATAGAATTCATGAGGTCAGCTTCTTTCAAAGACATTTGCCTTTCATTATTCCATTTGTTTATTGCAGAGAATAGAAGTATTCTGATAAACGTAGATATTTTCAGGACCTCCACAGAGCATTCAGATGACATTTTTGTTATAATGGAACTTTATCCTAATGGGCAGCATCCTAATTGTAGGGTTTAAATATATCACTCTTCCTCCTAGCATTTAGAAAAGGGTTTGATATGCTTTTTCTATAAAGGGCCAGAGAGTAAATATTTTCAGCTTTGTAGGCTGTATAGTCTCTGTCACAACTACTTAACTCTGACAATGTAATGTGAAAGCAGCTATAGATAATATGAAAACAGATGGGCACGGCTGTATTCCAATAAAACTTTATTTACAAAAACAAGCTCCTTTATTTACAAAAACATAGGTCAAGATTTGGCTACAGGCCAGACCTTGGGAATTCCTGCTTATAAATTGGCACCTAAGCAGATATAATGGGGTTAGCATGTTTTTCTTTTTCTTGGAGCCTATAACGTTTGGCTTATGTTAATGAGTAGTTTGAGAGTTTTATTGAAGTAATTGGAATACTTGAGGCAAGCCAGGATCCACTGGTAGTGGAAGAGTAAGAGTTGATGGCAGGATAAAAGTGGTACAGGCCAGGCATGGTGTTTCACACCTGTAATCTCAGCACTTTGGGAGGCCATTCTCGATGGATTGCTAGAAGCAGGAGTTTGAAACCAACCTGGACAACAAAGTAAGAACCTGTATCTACAAAAAAAAAATTTTTAATTAACTGGGCATGGTGGCATACACCAGTGGTCCCAGCTACTCAGGAGGCTGAGGCAGGAGGATTGCTGGAGCTCAGAAGTTTGAGGCTGCAGTGAGCCATGATCATGCCACTGCAGTTGAGCCTGGACAACAGAGTGAGACCCTGTCTCTTAAAAAAAAAAAAAAGTGTATATATATATATATATATATATAGTGGTACAGACAGGTCAGCTCCCAGCCTGCAGTACGGACAAGTCAGTGATCAAGGTTACTAGCAGTGTAAGGTCTACACGGACACAGTAACCATTTGGCTGAGCATTTCCTTGTTCTCATTAGTATTTGATACTGATATATCATTTAAATTTTAAAGCGCGAAATCAAGAGTTTTTAGAACTATTGAAATGTCAGCATTTGGCTTTAGTTTTGTTCCCATTTATTTAGCGTAAGGCTAAACTTTTAGAATAAACTGCTGAGAAGAAGGAAAATTTTTTAGTAGAAAACTGAAAATAAAAGGAATCATGAATTTTAGCAATGTATGGTGGCTTACACCTGTAATCCCAGCACTTTGGGAGGCTAAGGTGGGACTACTGCTTGAGCCTAGGAGTTCAAGACCAGCCTGGGCAACATAGGGAGACCTCATCTTAGCCACATGTGGTGGCGCATGCCTGTAATCCCAGGTACTTGTGAGAAAGAGGTGAGAGGATCACTTGAGCCAGGAGTTCAAGGCTCCAGTGAGCCGTGATCACACCACCATACTTCACCCTGAGTGACAAAGTGAGACCCTGTATCAATTTAAAAAAAAGGGGAATCGTGAATTTCATTGGAGCAATAAAAAGAGCTCTCTGCAATATAAAGTTAGCGACATCCCATTGATTTATGGCCGTAATACCTAAGTACCTAGGCCCAACAAGGTAACTCCATCAAAACACCTTTCTCTTTAATGAAAAGTACGGTTATTCCTCAGTCAGACAGTAACTTCAACTTCAAACCAAAACTAAATGAAATTCGAAGCATTTTGTACTAATGGAAGCTTGATGCAGATCTAAACAGTTTCTTATTCATGACATAGGATAAAATTTCATTTGTGAGATCTTTTGATTCATTGTTATAAGTCCTGATAAAATTTAATACAGGTATTTCTCTTAGTTATTTTTTGGTATTGCTTGGGTTTTTTGTTGTTAAGGGGTGGTTGAAGAAGTGACATATTCTTGTATGAGAGCGTAGTAACTAATGTTAAATTGTAAAGTGTAAGGCTACCCTATATAATGATTTAAAAATATAAATCATGTCTGTTTTCTAAATTTTAAAGCAATTAGAGAAACTATATTTTTCTTAGTTACAGGAGACTTTAAGTAAAGACTGACAGGCAAATAGGGTAATATTTTATTCAAAATTATCTTGGCATTTTTGTCATTTATCAAAATAAATTTGAAATCATTTTAATCTTCCATTTGGACAGTATTTAATTTTAGTAATGGGGTTTGTAATACGGTAGAAATTATGTGTCTATGTTTCAACTGAATAGAAAGATTTTACTTTTAACCACTTTTTTGCTTTCTGCAAGTAATTTTTTCCTAAATGGGCAATTTTTTAAATTTTTATTTTTATTAAGACGACATTATAGTGCTTTTTTAAGGGTTTTGGTAACATTTTAAAATATAAAATTGTTCAAAATGGCAACTTTTTTAAAATTTGAAAGCCATAGAGGTTATATACATTTATGGAAATATGTAAAAGGAACTGTAACAAATGTAATACTACCAAGTTTCTAGTAAAACCTCTCTTCAGATAAATCAAAATCTTGGAGTAGACAGTATGTAAAGATCCTTTAAGCAATCTGTGTATTAATAGTGATTAATTTAAATCATTAGTATTCAGTGAATGGTACAAATTATTAGAATACGATTCAAAATCAAGAGGAATTCATGCTGTTTTCCAGTTTGTCCCTCAATTCACAAGACCTCTCTTATTCATCAACTAATTAGATTTAACATTTTTCCATTGTGAATGCTAAAGCCATCGGCCAAATTAAATGAAAACAAGTCCCTTGTTGGGTGCTTCCAGAAAAGTAAGGCCATACATAGATTGTGAAGATTGAGTATGCAGGATGGTGTCATTTAATGGCATGGGCCTTTTATTCTGAAATGGAGCTCTTCATAATCATTGAAACGTGGAGGGTAGCAGGCCTTGGGGTTTGCCTTGCCCTGCTACTCCCCTAACAGCGGCAGCCTGTCAGCTGTATGCTAACGAGGTGAACAATTAAACCGAGTCCTATCTGGCTGGCCCCACAGGCTCTAGGCTCAGACAAAGAACTGTTTATACACCTGTTGTATGTGTAGACAGAGCCATTTGAATGTGGAGCTGCGGATTAAAGGGAAGACATGGGAGCCCAGGAGAGCAAGGGTTAAAGAGAACTATAAGAACTGTGAAAGTCAAATTCTCCAGAAAATATATGAGGGCCATTTGCAAGGAGAATCAAGTTACAAAGAAAAAGTTCCTGCTAACTTCATTGACATGAAAAACTCCAGACTTCAAGCCTTCGTCTAGTCTGAGGCCATTTTTTTAAAGGCTTATATTTTTGCTATGTGTGCCAGTTAAATTTTTTCTTTTGTAAGCTAATTATGTTTAAGTTCGTGTGAGAAAATACTTAGTTTGTATTGTTCTATAGTGTAAAAATATTTCCTGGTGTTTCTGTTGCAAAACAAATCTAGCACCCATTCTGATTTTCCTTAAGGGAAAAGTAAAATTTCTAAGATTTATTATTTAGGTAATGATCAGACACTTTTTAATAGTTGAGCTTTAAAAAAATCAAATAATTATTTATACTGATGAAGTAAAAGGAAATCAGAATTCAGCAGATGAATCATCACTTAGATAAGTGAAAATTCAATTTGTTACTGTTCAGTAGTATTGTCTTACATAGCTATAAAATGTTTCACATGTATAACATACACTAAGTATACATATGTTTAAAATTTAAATTTTAGAAGGCTGTTTTTTAAATTACTTGGTGTGATAGTTCAAAATGTTATGTAAAACAGAATTAGTATATATTGCCAGGGGTCATAGAAGTTTTAAGTCCACATTATTATAAATACAAATACACCTCAGCTTTTACTTTAACTTACAATTATTTCCCCAGCCCGTCAAAATTCTCCTAGATTTATTTAATCTTTAGAGTAGGCCTAATCTTCCAAGGTTCCAAAGAATTTGCAGCCGTATATTATGTTTGCCCATATCTATTTTTATAAAATGGGATTTTGAACTTCCTTTCCTCTTAGATCACTGAGTACTTCATAGTAAGAAAGCACCCTCATTCGTTAAGAATAAACAAGACCAGGATACCCTTGAAACAGAATTTCATGAAACATTTTAAAAATAATTTGTTCTCTTGAATACAATTTTCACAGTCCATTTCTTTACTGATTGTTAGGTTGAGTACTTCAGATTCTTCTCAAGTTTTTTTAGGGGAACAACCAAATACTAAAACTTTCTGAAAGTGGGAAGTAGGATGGAAGTCTGCCATAGTTTCTGTGGTCCCTTCCCAGCTTTAAGGTTTTGTGATTCTAATACATCGTGAAATTGTGTGGTTTAGAGAAAGGGTGTAGTGGAGGCATGATTATTACCCAAGGGAGTAGTGACACAAATAATGCTCAGCAATGACCAATCCTAAAATCATTTTAAAAGTAACTATTAAATTAAATTTTAAAATCCACTAAATGGCTATGTTTCTTAAAAATAAAGATGAGAATAAGTGTAAAAGACAAACATTTCATGGAAAGTGTGGTGGAAGAACGAATCTATTCTAATTAGATCTACTACCAAATGACCTGCATTGCCTAAAATTTTGCTTTGGTTCCTTTTGTTTAGTTCACAGAAAAACCAAAGGATAAACTTGCATAGGGGTATTTATTCCTCTTAGGGTAAAATCATGCAAAGTCATGGAAGATAAAAGCTATATTAATTACTCAAGAGGGATTCAAAGCTTGGCAGTTTACTAGGATTGAAGGATTTATTGAAAAACAGTGGTTCTCATGTATAACTCCAGCCAATAAACCTATTTAATTAAAAGCTTAATCTTCTAGTTGACACGTCTGCTACTATTCTAATAAAAACTTCATCCGTAACAAGTTTTTTTATGTAAGTTAATACTGCAATAGCTGACTGTTTGATGGTGTTTGCATTGCTTGGAATGTAGCAGTATTTTGTTAAATGCCAGTTCATGCATACTTTAATGTATTTAGGTATTATATGAAATAGATTTTCAGATTGATTTATAATACGTAGTGCGTTGTGGCTTATAGAATGCTTTGTCAGCTCATTTGCTTCTCACAAACACCCTCTGTGGGATTTAAAATTTACAAATTAGAAGTTTCATTTTTTAAAAAAGGTATGTTTTGGTTTGATTTAAAAGCAGTACTGCTATGAAGTATTAATATTTTGAAATTCTCCCCAAAAACCAGAATAATGGCATCCAGAAAAAGTTGCTGAAATCAGATGAGTGACACTGTTTTCTCTATTAAACCTAGTAAAATAATTTGGACAGTTATTGCCTCTGAACTATCTTAATCTTTTTTTATTTTTGGGTTTTCCTTAACTTTAGGTTGGAACTCATCGGGAAGACTCTGTCAGTCTCAATGGCAATCATTCAGTCCTGTCTAGTACAGTCACTACTTCAAGCACAGACCTGAACCATAAAACACAAGAAAATTATAGAGGTAACTATATTGTTGGTTTTCAGAAATAATGCAGACAGAGATATCATTTGGAACACTGTCACCTTTCTCACAGCTGGATTGACATCTGTGAATCAAAAGTCATTGAGGTGAGGGAATTCCAAATAGCGTGGAGAGCAGATATTTAGGGTTCCAACTGGCCCACCTAGGTTGACAATTACAGATACTTATTGATGAATAGAGCCACGTACAGACCATTGTTCAGTATTTACCAGTTATCTTTTACCTCTTCCTGTTCTGTCATGTCCCTCTTCCTCAGACATTTTCCCTCATGAGTGTATCTTCATGGTCTTTAGAGGCATTGACAGAGATATTTCTGATTATACTGAGAGCTCCGAATGATGGAAGCTGTTGTTTTAGAGATTATCATTTGATTGAAGAGACATGCAATTTTGATAAAAAGCAAACTTGATCACTGTTCCAATAGAGCTTACAAGTAAGTGTGAAGATAGAGCACTTGAAAGTGCAAATAAGATCACCAAAATAAAGTTCTCCCAGTTACATTTAACCATGATGCCTGTTTTACTGTTTATCCAGGAAGATGTTAAGCTTATGTCCTTTACCTCTGCAACATCTTAGAAGTTAGTTTCTAAAATACATAGTTTCTCATCCTTGTTCATTTGTTAAATAGTGCCTGAAAGTGAGCATTAAATTGGTCATGGGGGTCAGACTTGTTCTTCTAAATACAAATGCTGTTAAAAAGCACAAGGATGTGGATATATTCTTTTCAGCTCTAAATAGTATACTTTCCTACATCTTCAAACCTCCATCATAACCCTGTAACTGCTAAGGATATTCACCAGCTAGAAAGCTTTTTATTGTCTTAGCTGTAATTCATATATGAGTCTCGTCTTTTATTTTATCTTTCCTTTGCCTCTTTGTTAGGTGGCTTGCAAAGTCAGTCTGGAACTGTTGTTACAACAGAAATCAAGACTGAAAACAAAGAAAAGGATGAAAACCTTCATGAACCTCCTTCATCAGATGACATGAAGTCAGATGATGAATCCTCCCAAAAAGATATCAAGGTTTCATCTAGAGGCAGAACAAGGTATTTGTTAGCATCCAGGTTTTAAATTTTATTCATTTTCCATAGGTAAACATACTTGAGAAGCTGGGTGTCATGCATTTATTAACTGTCAGCTATGTTCTAGATATTGTGTTAGGATTTTTGTGTATGTTGTCTCATTTAATCACCACATCATCTCTATAAAAGAGAAGTATATGAAGGTTTGATTTCAAAATTATGTTTTCCTTCATACTATACCATTTGAGGGACTATATATAAAATATAATTATATCTCTTCACTCAAGTTGCTTAGTCTGTTAGATAAGTAGAAGGTAAAATAGCTAAAAGAAGTTAAATCATGTGGTACGGACATTTAGATAGATTTGATCAATAAATATTTGAATATGGTCAGGTGTCACTTAACAATGGTATATATTCTAAGAAATGCATTGCTAGGCAATTTCATCATTGTGCAAACATACAGTATACTTTCACAAACCTAGCCTGTTGTTCCTAGGCTGTATACCTGTATACCATGTTACTGAACTGAGTGCTGTAGGCAATTGTAACACAATGGTAAGAATTTGTGTATCTAAACACCTAAAAGGCACAGTAAAAATAAAAGATAAAAAATGGTACCCGTATAGGCCACTTATCATGAATAGAGCTTGCAGGACTCGAAATTGCTCTGGGTGATTCAATGAGCAGGTGGTGAGTGAATGTGAAGGCCTAGGACATTTCTGTACACTATTGTAGACTTTACAGACACTGTACATTTAGGCTATATTTCATTTATTAAAAAATATTTTTCTTCAATAGTAAATTAACCTTAGCTTACTGTATGTCATTTACTTTATAAACTTAAATTATTTTTAACTTTCTGACTCTTGTAATAATAGCTTAAAACACAAACACATTATATAGCTATACAAAAATATATTTTCTTTAAGTTCTTTTGTAAGCTTTTTTTTTTTTTTTTTTTTTTTGAGGTGGAGTCTTACTCTCTCGCCCAGGCTGGAATGCAGTGGCATCATCTCGGCTCACTGCAACCTCCGCCTCCCAGGTTCAAGTGATTCTCCTGCCTCAGCCTCCCAAGTAGCTGGGATTACAGGCACCCCCCACCACTCCAGGCTAATTTTTGTAGTTTTAGTGGAGACGGGGTTTCACCATGTTGGCCAGGCAGGTCTGGAACTCCTGACCTCAAGTGATCTGCCCACCTCATCCTCCCAAAATGCTGGGATTACAGGCATGAGCCACCGCACCCGGCCTTTGTAAGCTTTTTCCTATTTTTAAAATTTTGTGGTTTTTTGTTTGTTTGTTTACTTTTCAAACTTTTTTGTTAAAAACTAAGACACAAACACACATGTTAGCCTAGGCCTACACAAGGTCAAGATCATTAATATCACTGTCTTCCACCTCCACATCTTGTCCCACTGAATGTCTTCACAGGCAGTAACATGCAGGAAGCTGTCTCTCCTAAGGTAACAAAGCCTTCTTCTGGAATACCTCCTAAAGGACCTGCCTTGAGGTCTTGTCGCCCAGGCTGGGGTGCAGTGGCACAATCTTGGCTCATTGCAACCTCTGCCTCCCGGGTTCAAGCAGTTCTCTTGCCTCAGCCTCCAGAGTAGCTGGGACTACAGGTGCCTGCCACCATGCCCGGCGAATTTTTGTATTGTTAGTAGAGATGGGATTTCGCCATGTTGGCCAGGCTGGTCTCGAACTCCTGACCTCCAGTGATCTGCCCACCTCGGCCTTCCAAAGTGCTGGGATTACAAGCGTGAGCCACCACACCCGGCCAACTTTTTTTTTTAAGTTAGAAGTATACTCTAATGATAAATAGTATAGTATAGTATAGTATAGTATAGTATAGTATAGTATAGTATAGTATAGTATAGTATAGTATAAATACATAAACCAATAACATAATTAGTTATTATTATTATCAAGTACAGCAGGTCCTCAAAGAACATCATTTTGTGAAATGATGAGAAAAAAAATTGATTCCTAGCTAGAGCCTCTTTGTTTGTGGAGTTTGCACATTCTTCCCATGTCTCCTCATGTGGGTTTTCTCTAAGTACTCCGGTTTCTTCCTTCACCCCAAAAATGTGCGTATTAGGTTGAGTAATGTGTCTGAATTGTCCCAGTATGAGAGAGTGTGGGTGTATGTGTGAGTGTGCCCTGCAATGAAATGGCATCCCGTCCAGGATTGTTTCTACCTTGCTCCCTGAGCTGCTGGGATAGGCTGCAGCCTCCCCCGACCCTGAACTGGAATAATTGGGTAAATAATAATCTTACTTATTTTTATGAGTCTTTCTTAAATGTATGCATAGTTCACATTTATTTCATTGTTTAATATTAGAAGTGTATTTTGGTTTTTATTTAGAAGTTTGATGATATTTTGTCACCAGAAATGTACTGTAGGGACTTAACTCTTATTTATATCAATTAACCTATGATAAAACTGGTTTTATTATGTGTCATTTTCCTTAAAGTTGCAGTTTCCAAGAACTGATCAATGACATTGAGGACTTACTGTAGTGTGTACTGTACTTAATTGCATGCTTTTATACAACTGGCAGCACAGTAGGTTTGTTTATAACAAACAAAGAGTTAACGTGACTAATGTGTTGTGCTGCAGCCTTACCACAGCTACATTACTATATAATAGACATTTTTTAGCTCCAGTATAATAAGACCACTGTCATGTATGTAGTCCCTCATTGACTGAAATGTTATGGGCTCATAACTGTATATTAATATAAGGGCTAAATATATGGTAAGACTCTGATTTAAACAAGCAAATTATGGCCCATGGGCCTACCCAGCTCACTGCCTATTTTTGTTTTTGTTTTTATTATTTATTTATTTATTTATTTATTTATTTATTTATTTATTTAAAGACAGGGTCTCGCTGTCACCCAGGCTGGAATGCCATGGGGTGATCTTGGCTCACTGCAGCCTCAGCCTCCCAAGTAGCTGGGATTACAGGCAGATGCCACCATGCCTGGCTAATTTTTGTATTTTTAATAGAGACAAGGTTTCACCATGTTTTCCAGGCTGGTTTTAAACTCCTGGCCTCAAGTGATCTGCTCACCTCATCCTCCCAAAGTGCTGGGATTACAGGCGTGAGCCACTGCGCCTGGCTGCTGCCTATTTTTATGTTTTATTAGAACATCACCATGCCACATTCATTTATCCATTGTCTGTGGTTGTTTTCATACTGCATTGCCAGACTAGAATAGTTGCCACAGAGACTATATGGCCCATCAGAGCTGAAAATATTTACCATCTGGTCCTTCAGAAAAAATGTTTCTTTTTAACAAACAATTAAATAGTAATTTGAGAAAAGTATGAAAAAGGAAATATTCTAGGCAGAATGATGTTGTCGTGGAGTTTTCTAGAAAATGGACTTGACTTTGCTTTGAAGTATGAATATAGACACATAGTACATTAGTTTCAAGTGATTTCTGGATTTTTCCTTCAAATTTTTCTTCCAGTTCTACATTAAAATTAGATGAGTTAGGCCAGGCACAGTGGCTCATGCCTGTAATCCCAGCACTTTGGGTGGCTAAGGCAGGAGGATCTCTTGAGGCCAGAAGTTCAAGACCAGCCTGGGCTACATAGCTAGATTCTGTCTCTACAAAAAATTAGCGGGGCATGGTGGCAAACACCCGTAGTCCCAGCTACTTGGGAGGGTAAGGCAGGAAGATTGCTTGAGTTCAGAAGTTTGAGGCTATAGTGAGCCATGATCATGCCACTGCATTCTAGCCTGGCTAACAGAGAGATGCTGTCTCTAAAAAAAGACTTTTTTCTAATGAAAATTTAAAAGTTAGATCATTTAGTATATTTGTGGTACACCCTATTTCTTGGCATACATATTCATTTATCAATGATATGTGTATATATCTTATACAGATTTAAAACATTGTTCTTTGTGTTGAATTATGGTGCAATGAGGATGGTAGATAAAACTAAAAGAAGCAGAATGTTCCTTTCTGTCATTCACAACTTAAAAGGTGTCCTTTTGCTCTTTTGACATTCTCACTGTTTTCAACACCTAAACATTTATCTTGGGAAAAAGGAAATCTTAAGATCTTAATATTATTACTTTAATATGTATTGTACTCAACTATCAGGGGCATAAGGAAGGAAAAAACTGTGTCAAGGAATTCAGAGACCACTCTTTGGAGGCATCTTAACTCTTACATAGTTTTTATTCAAATAGAATTTTAAGGGAAACAATTTACATCTTTCCTCCATATTCATCTTCTTATAGATCAGGAATCAGCAAACTTTCTCTGTAAAGTCCCAAATAGTGACTATTATTAGGCTTTACTGGACATACAGTCTCTGTCACAGCTACTTACCACTGCCATTAGAGGACAAAAGTAGCCAAAGTCAAATGGGTATCGCTGTTCCAATAAAATTTTACTTACAAAAAAGGATGACCAGCTCATAGATCAGTTTGCTGACCCATATTATAGGTCATCAGAAATTAGGAGGCAGTGTAATAGGTTAGTAATAGTCCATAATAATGAATAGGTTAATAACATGACCTTTGGACAAAATAAGGGTTTGAATTGTGGTTCCATTACATACTTGCCGAGTGACTTTGGGCAAGTCTTTGAGCTCAGTTTCTTCTTCTCTAAAAGGAGACTTTCTGTTACAGGATTCTTGTAGGAATAACCTGAAAATGATGCATGTAAAACCCTTTGCACACGGTCTAGCACACAGTAAGCACTCAATAAAGATACTATATCTACTGTTACAGTGGTAGTGTTATGGTGGTAATTTTAAGTGTATGGTGTAGGCTTGCTTCCATGGAGCACTGAGCTGACATCTCATCATCATACTGCCACCAGTTAGCTCTGTGATCCTAGGTCTTGAAGTGGTTCTCAACCCTGCTGCCCAGACCCTGGAACATTTTAGAAATACAGGTGCCTGGGCCCCAACCCAAACTCACTAAATTAGTGAGTCTAGCATCTCTGGTAGTGAGACCTGGAAAGCTGTATTTTTCAAGTGCTCTTGGAGATTCTAATGAGTGGCTATCTGTGGACACCACTGGGCTCGATGATCTTTAAAGGACTTTTTGAAGTCAAAGAACCAGTGATTTTCTTTTGTCAAAAGAATGCATTTATATGATTCTTAATGATTAGCAGGTTAAATATTGCATACTTTTTAGGGACAGAGTCTCTGTTTGTCACCCAGGCTGGAGTGCAGTGGACAATAACCTCAAGCTGCTGGACTCAGGCAATTCTCCCATGCCCGCCTCAGCTTCCCAAACCACTTAGGTTACAAGCACGAGCCACCATGCCTGGCCTGTGTACTTGTTCTTTTATTAGAATACTCAGGGTATTAAAGAAGAGGTAAAAATGTCTAATATTTTTGTACATTATTTCAAGGTTCTGAGAAGCTGTGGTCAGTAATTTATATCTGAATCATAAATAGAACTTTCTATAAGCTGTTACAGAGCATCTCCCTCATATGTTTTTTTTTCTGATTATGTAGTCTATTTTCATTACAGAAATGTAGAAAATACAGAAAAGTATGCACAAAAATCACAAGAAACACCACTATTCAGAATTAACCACTGTTTACTTCTTTTTTTTTTTTCCTGAGAAGTTCTAATTTGATTTCACTGTGGTCTGAGAGACGTTTTGTTGTGATTTGTGTTATTTTACATTTGCTGAGGAGTGTTTTGCTTCCAATTATGTGGTCAATTTTAGAATAATAAGTGCAGTGTGGTGCTGAGAAGAGTGTATATTCTGTTGATTTGGGGTGGAGAGTTCTGTAGATGACTGTTAAGTCCGCTTGGTCCAGAGCTGAGTTCAAGTCCTGGATATCCTTGTTAATTTTCTGTCTCGTTGATCTGTCTAATATTGACAGTGGGGTGTTAAAGTCTCCCATTATTATTGTATGGGAGTCTAAGTCTTTTTGTAGGTCTGTAAGAACTTGCTTTATGAATCTGGGTGCTCGTGTATTGGGTGTGTATATATTTGGGATAGTTAGGTCTTCTTGTTGCATTGATCCCTTTACCATTATGTAATGGCCTTCTTTGTCTCTTTTGATCTTTGTTGGTTGAAAGTCTGTTTTATCAGAGACCAGGATTGCAACCGCACAACCCCTGCTTTTTTTTTTTTTTTTTTTTTTTTTTTTTTTGGCTTTCCATTTGTTTGGTAGATCTTCCTCCATCCCTTTATTTTGAGCCTATGTGTATCTTTGCGCATGAAGTGGGTCTCCTGAATACAGCACACTGATGGGTCTTCACTCTTTATCCAATTTGTCAGTCTCTGTCTTTTAATTGGGGCACTTAGCTCATTTACATTTAAGGTTAATATTGTTATGTGTGAAATTGATCCTGTCATTATGATGCTACTGGTTATTTCACCCATTAATTGATGCAGTTTCTTCATAGCATCGATGGTCTTTACAATTTGGCATGTTTTTGCAGTGGCTGGTACCGGTTGTTGCTTACCATGTTTAGCGCTTCCTTCATGAGCTCTTGTAAGGCAGGCCTAGTGGTGACGAAATCTCTCAGCATTTGCTTGTCTGTAAAGGATTTTATTTCTCCTTCATTTATGAAACTTAGTTTGGCTGGATATGAAATTCTGGGTTGAAAATTCTTTTCTTTAAGAATGTTGAAATATTGGCCCCGACTCTCTTCTGGCTTGTAGGGTTTCTGCAGAGAGATCCACTGTTAGTCTGATGGGCTCCCCTTTGTGGGTAATCCAACCTTTATTTCTGGCAGCCCTTAACATTTTTTCCTTCATTTCAACCTTGGTGAATCTGACAGTTATGTGTCTTGGAGTTGCTCATCTTGAGGAGTATCTTTGTGGTGTTCTCTGTATTTCCTGAATTTGAATGTTGACCTGCCTTGCTAGGTTGGGGAAGTTCTCCTGGATAATATCCTGAAGAGTGTTTTCTAACTTGGTTCCATTCTCCCCATCACTTTCAGGTACACCAATCAAATGTAGATTTGGTCTTTTAATGTAGTCCCATATTTCTTGGAGGCTTTGTTCATTTGTTTTCACTCTTTTTTCTCTAAGCTTGTCTTCTCGCATTATTTCATTAATTTGATCTTCAATCACTGATATCCTTTCCTCTGCTTGATCGCATCAGCTATTGAAGCTTGTGTATGCTTCACGAAGTTGTCGTATTGTGGTTTTCAGCTCCATCAGGTCATTTAAGGTCTTCTCTATGCTGGATATTCTATTTAGCCATTCGTCTAACCTTTTTCCAAGGTTTTTTACTTCCTCGCAGTGGGTTAGAACATGCTTCTTTAGCTTGGAGAACAGCTTTCTTATTACCGACCTCCTGAAGCCTACTTCTGTCAACTCATCAAACTCATTCTCCATCCAGTTTTGTTCCCTTGTTGATGAGGAGTTGTGTTCCTTTGGAGGAGAAGAGGCGTTCTGGCTTTTGGTATTTTCAGCCTTTCTGCTCTGGTTTCTCCCCAGCTTTGTGGTTTTATCTACCTTTGGTCTTTGATGTTGGTGACCTACGAATGGGATTTTGGTGTGGATGTCCTTTTTGTTGATGTTGATGCTATTCCTTTCTGTCTGTTAGTTTTCCTTCTAACAGACCGGCCCCTCAGCTGCACATCTGTTGGAGTTTGCTGGAGGTCCACTCCAGACCCTCTTTGCCTGGGTATCACCAGCGGAGGCTGCAGAACAGCAAATATTGCTGCCTGATCCTTCCTCTGGAAGCTTCGTCCCAGAGGGGCACCCACCTGTATGAGGTGTCTGTTGGCCTCTACTGGGAGGTGTCTCCCAGTCAGGCTACACGGGGGTCAGGGACCCACTTGAGGAGGCAGTCTCTCCATTATCAGAGCTCGAATGCCATGCTGGGAGAACCACTGTTCTCTTCAGGGCTGTCAGGCAGGGATATTTAAGTCTGGAGAAACTGTCTGCTGCCTTTTGTTCAGATACGCCCTGCCCTCAGAGGTGGAATCTAGAGAGGCAGTAGGCCTTGCTAGGCTGCGGTGGGCTCCGCCCAGTTCGAGCTTCCCTGCCACTTCGTTCACACAGTGAACATAAAACCACCTACTCAAGCCTCAGTAATGGTGGATGCCCCTCCCCCTGCCAAAGTTAGGCATCCCAGGTCGATCTCAGACTGCTGCGCTAGCAGCAAGCAAGGCTCCGTGGGCCTGGGACCCACCAGGCCAGGCACGGGAGGGAATCTCCTGGTCTGCTGGTTGCGAAGACTGTGGGAAAAGCGCAGTATTTGGGCAGGAGTATACTGCTCCTCCAGGTACAGTCACTCATGGCTTCCCTTGGCTAGGAAAGGGTAATCCCCCAACCCCTTGCACTTCCCACGTGAGGCAATGCCCCACCCTGATTCAGCTCACCCTCCGTGGGCTGCACCCACTGTTCAACCAGTCCCAATTAGATGAACCAGGTACCTCAGTTGGAAATGCAGAAATCACCCATCTTCTTCTTCGATCTCACTGGGAGCTGTAGACCAGAGCTGTTCCTATTTGGCCATCTTGGAAGCAACCCACCTCGGCAATGTATTTTTTTTAAGTATTTTGTTTTTGTTTTGGATCAGCTTTATTGAGGCTTAATACACATGTAATAATAAAATTCACTAATTTTAAATATACAGTCTTTATTATGTATGTTAAAATGTATATATTTTGTCATTTTGACAAGTGTAAAAGTTATTTAACAGCCACCTTATTCATAATGTAGAATCCACCTCAAAAAATGTCCTTATTCCCCTTGGTAGTGAGTCCCTTTCCTCCATCCCGTGGTCCTTGGCAACCATTGATCTGCTTTCTGCTACCATAGTTTTGTGTTTTCTAGAAGTTCATGTAAATGGAATTGTAGAGTATGTATGTGATCTTTCATGACTGGCTTTTTTTACTTAGCATAATCTGCAACTTGATTTTAGATACAACATAATGGGCCATTGTCTGAATGTACTATGATTTATTGAACCCATTTGCTATTATTAAATCCCAATATGTTGCTAATGTAAATAATTCTGTGATCATCTCCCTTTACATAAATTTCTATGTACATCTCTAATTATATCCTTAGGATGAATTTCCAAAGTTGGAATTGCTGATCAAGAGGTAATAAACATTAAGGCTCTGGATTCGTTTTGCCAATTTGCCCTTCAAAAAATTGTGTCATTTCTCCCATGTTTTATAATTATCACCACTGATGATAATTTATCTCTAGAACAAAAAAATAGCCGTTTTCTGGGATACTTCTCTCAATCTATATCTTAAGCTTTCCTTCTTTCTTTTCGCCAGGTAACCGCCAGAGTATATTTAAGAGCATAGGCTAAGCAAATTATACATTCATGTACTAGGGGGGCTTTTAAACTGTAATGTGTATATCAGTCATCTGGGAAACATGTTAAAATGCAGCTTCTAATTCAGTAAGATGGGAGCAGAACCTGAGAGATTCTACTCCAGTGTTTTTAACAAGCTCCCAGTAATGCTGATGCTGCTGATTTGTGGATCACATTTTGTGTAGCAAGGTGCTAAAATATTATGTAGTTGTTGATCTTATATTTATGAAGAGTTTCTGGAGAAATCTTTATGCTATAATGTGCAATGAAAAATGCACTTAAGAGTGTATGTAGTATATTTCAACTGTATGACTGTATATGTGCATTGAAGAAAAATTTGAAAGGAATATACAGTCATGTTAACTGCACCTATTACAACTGTTTACAAGATTTATAGGTGGTTTTCATTTCCATCTTTACGCTTTATAATTGTGCACAATCAGCATATCTTACTTTATAGGAAACCTAATAGACCTTGTTGTTACTTTATTTTCTAGCAGTACTAATGAAGATGAGGATTTGAACCCTGAACAGAAGATAGAAAGGGAGAAGGAGAGGCGGATGGCTAACAATGCCAGAGAACGCTTACGCGTGCGGGATATTAATGAAGCATTCAAAGAGCTTGGCCGAATGTGTCAGCTTCACTTGAAGAGTGAAAAACCCCAAACAAAACTCCTTATTCTTCATCAAGCCGTGGCAGTCATCCTTAGTCTAGAACAGCAAGTCAGAGGTAAGTAGGTTCAGCCGAGATGTATAACTGTTCTGCTTCAGATGGGCAGACATTTCTGTTTACAGTTGCTCTTCTGCTTGGAGAAGTTGTTTGTTATTTCTCCCAGTACTTCTTCTACTGTATCATCAGGGTCGTTTTTCCTGTAATTCTCACTTCTGTCTCACTGTATCACCCAATATCTGTGGGCTGAGTGTTCTCCACCAATAGAGAGTAATTCTGTGAAGCAAAGCAGATAACAAACAGCCTCTGCCTGCTGCTCAGCAATAGTGCTTTGTGTCTCTTTGCTCTGGTTGCTTCTGATCTCTCAACCATTAAATTTCCCTGCCTGGACCTGCCCTCCTCCCTGCTCTTTATGTCTTTCCTACTTCTCTGTATTCATTTTCTTGCCTGCTCTACTTTGGAGTATCTACCGTGCCCTGCTGGTTAATAGGATGCCTTGTTATCATCCCTTCTGCCTTTGCCAGATACCTTTACACCCATGTCAATAAGGTCTCAGGGCTTCTTTGTTGACCCCAGACCAGGAACACCAAGAACTTTTTGGGCTAACATACATCGGCATGCCTCTGTGTCCTTAAGGGCAAAAGAGCTCACCCAGTGCTGACTCAGTTTCATTTTTCAGGAAGTTTGTTGCAGTTTTGAAGAAACTTTGAAACTTCATTTGTTCAACATGTATTTATTGCATACCTCCTCTGTTCCAACCAGCTGTGTCCTAGGCCCTGGGTTATCAAATAATAGAAGCTTCTTATCTTTAAGAGGTTTTACCATCAAGCTTGAGTTTCTCCATATACTTATATATTGTCTTAAAATATCCTAAGCCTTTTTGCAAGGAATTCATAGATGTGGCCCTAGGTTCCAGATCTGACCACTAGTCTCTCTCAGAGCAATTCTTTCGATTTTGTGTGAAGACGGTTCAAAAAAGAATAGGGTGGGCAGATGCTTGAAAACTACAGCCATGGAGCCTCAGCATTAGATTACAGAATGAGTACTCTTTCTTAGGAAAACCAGAGTTAGAGAACTTGAACAAACTTTCAGAAATATATACAGTAGTAGTTAATTCATCCACTTCCCTCCAATATATTTAATGAATAAGAATGAGGGATAGATCATTTTGTGTATAATCAACCTAATGTTAAAAATGGATACTTGCTCCTCTTCTCCCAAGGTCCTTGAAATATCTGTGGAGTATAAATGTTAATGAAACCTAATCTTCAAGTAATTATAGACTCCCTTGTGATATCCATAAGGAGGCAGATTGTTACCCACTCGCCTGTGGCAGAAGCAGTGGTTCCTTGAACTACTGATACCTCCTGTCACTTTACCAATGGTTTTTTTTCTTGAATTGTGTCTGACACCCTTTGTCTCGCTCTGAAGGCAGCAAGGCACCTATGTTCAGTGGTTCAAGTACACTCATCCTCCTCTTCTTCAGCCCAGGATATCTTCTATCCTGACTTCACCCAGCCATTTATTGTTAAAGCCACTGCCTCCATCTCAGCTGTAAAAGTCTTACTGTCTGGTCAACAGGAGTACCAGAATTTATTCTAGTACACAGCACCTTTTCCTCCCATAGTGCATTAGAATCAGAATGCAGTCATTTGTGTTTTTAAAAACTTTTTTTTTAAGCACAGAGATACCTACTTCAGATCTAAGCCATTAAAATGAGAAATACTTCTGTGATGGAAAAACACAAACATAAATAAATAAAACATAAATTCTACCATGCCTAGATGGACCTTATTCATTTGTAACATTGGAATTTCCAGTGGTTCCATGCGGGCACCTAGAACAGAAAATATGAGTCTGAGAGAAGATCTGTCATCTAGGCTTTCTTACTACTGACTTTCTGGTCTGTTATGGGTACTGACTGTTTCATACAGTTCTGTAAAGCTCTGTCTAAGGACTCTTTGACTGATGAGAGTTTGAACAGATTTCAAATACACTGAACTGTAACTTCGTTAGGGATTGCTTTGATATTCAGAAAAGCCTACTTCTCCCCGGCCTTCAGACTGGGCTTGAAGCCTTATCTTAGGACTTTACATAAAAGCCCAGGGATCTTTGTAAGGTAGGGGTGTGTGTGTGTGTGTGTGTGTGTGTGTGTGTGTGTACGTATGTAGAGATGGTCTCACTGTGTTGCCCAGGCTGGTCTTGAAATCCTGGCCTCAAGCGTCTATAGGCCTGAGCCACCATGCCTGGGCTCAGACTCCTTGAAGGACACTCTTATGGCTGTCAGATAGGGTTTAGAACCCTTCATACAGGCCACAATACCTGTGCCTTGTCTTTGGCAACACCTTCAGAGTTTTGTATAGCCACTGTCTTTTCCTCGATTTACCTACAGTTTTGAGTTATTTTGGTGACTTGATCACTTTTGAGAGCCTCTTCATCCTGTACAGAGACCCTCCTTAGCAGTCCCTGATCCAACACTTTCTATAAAAACAGCTTTTGTTTACATGACCTATTTGGGCATCCTCTGCACTCTGGCTCCCCTTCTGATTTGGGATGATGCTGCAAGACTGTATCTGATTGTGACCCAACCTGTCACAATCACTGGATGCTTATTTTTACCAGGAGGCAAGCAGACCCAGGTCTAGCAGTTCATCCCAGAGAAGAGTGGCTTCTCTTCTAAGCCTCAGATTTTGCCAGAGCATTTTTTGTGCCTTGTTGCCCCACCTGTCAAACCCTAAGTCCCCACTGCCAGTTTAAGCTTTTCCATTATCATGACTACAACGTTATTTGTACCTTTGCCATTTTTATTCCCCAGCAGATAAAACAAATGACCTTCAAGTTTGTACTCTCAGCGTTACTCAAGACTCAGTGGTTAAACATTTCCTCCTCTCAAGCTCTTTCACAGGTCAGCTTAGTCAGGTCACTGTTCTTTTGATAATTTAGTGATGAGAGAACTATTAGATTTTCAGTTTCCTGTTCTACAAGTGAGTTTGAACATAAATGGTGTTGGACAGTGGTTTTGAAATCTGGCTGGTCCCAGAATCACCTGAAGCTTTTCTTTCCTCAAACATTTCCAAACCTTACCCCAGGAGATTCTGGTGCAATGAGATGGTTAAATGTGGTAGACTTAGCATATGCAGTGATAATACTGCAATCTTTCCTACATCCCCACTAAAATAAATAAAAATGATATTCATTTTAACCCACAAGGACAGATGAGAGAGGAGACCATAGCAGATGAAATAGCGAAAGCTGCATGTAGGATAGAAAGTCGATGGAATAGTGGTACTTATTTGTTTCTAAGTACTGAAGAATACATGTTTCAAGAGTGGTAAGATCTAATCTTGTGCTGAATACAGTGATTTCTTAAATGCCCCGAAGTTAAAATACATAATCATGAAATTTCAGAGCATTCGGGTAAAAAAAATATTCTAAAGCTTCTGGAGATAAAATATAAATAGCTTATAGATAAAGAAACAAGAATCAAAATATCATCAGCGTTCTGGACAGTAGTACTGGATTCCAGGAGATAGTGGAGCAGCACCTTCAAATTTCTGAGGAAAATAATTTCAACCTAGAATTCTTTTTTTTTTCTTTTTTTTTTCCTTTTTTTTTTTTTTGAGGCCGAGTCTCGCCCTGTCACCCAGGCTGGAGTGTAGTGGTGTGAGCTTGGCTCACTGCAACCTCTGCCTCCTGAGTTCAAGCGATTCTCCTGCCTCTGCCTCCTCCATAGCTGGGATTACAGGCACGCATCACCATGCCCAGTTAATTTTTTGTATTTTTAGTAGAGACAGAGTTTCACCATGTTGAACAGACTGGTCTGAAACTCCTGACCTCAGGTGATCCGCCTACCTCAGCCTCTCAAAGTGCTGAGATCACAGACGTGAGCCACCGCACCTGGCCAGTTTCAACCTAGAATTCTATACCTTGCCAGACAATTAATCAAAAGATGGATATAGAATGAAGATATTCCACATAAGCTGGGCATGGTGTGTGCCTATAGTCCCAGCTACTTGGGATGTTGAGTCAAGAGAATCACTTAATCCCAGGAATTTGAGGCTGAAGCGAGCTGTGATCATGCTACTACACTCCAGCCTGGGTGACAGTGCCAAGTCCACCCTGTCTCTAAATAAAAATTAAGTTGGCAGCCGGGTGCAGTGGCTCACACCTGTAATCCCAGCACTTTGGGAGGCTGAAGCAGGCAGATCATGAGGTCAAGAGATCGAGACCATCCTTGGCAACATGGTGAAACCCCATCTCTACTAAAAATACAAAAATTAGCTGGGTGGGGTGGCGTGCGCAAGTAGTCCCAGCTACTTGGGAGGCTGAGGCAGGAGAATCGCTTGAACCCAGGAGGCAGAGGTTGCAATGAGCCGAGATTGTGCCACTGCACTCCAGCCTGGCGACAGAGTGAGACTCCATCTCAAAAAAAAAAAAAAAAAAAATTAAGTTGGCTGGGCACAGTGGCTTATGCCTGTAATCCCAGCACAGTGGGAGGCCAAGGCAGGAGGATCCCTTGAGCCCAGGAGATGACTTGAGACCAGCCTGAGCAACAGTTAGGCCGCATCTCTAAAAAAAATTTAAAAATTAGCTGGATGTCTTGGCTCATACCTGAAGTACCAGCTACTTGGGAGGCTGAGGTGGGAGGATCACTTGAGCCCTAGAAGATTGAGGCTGCAGTGAGCTATGGTTGTAGCACCACACTCCAGTCTGGGCAGCAGAGTGAGAACCTGTCTCAAAGAAAAAAAAAAAGATATATCAGATATGCAAATCCTTTAAAAATTTACCTTCCATATACATCCTTTTAAAAAATAGAGACAGGGTTTCACTGTATTGCCCAGGGTGGTCTCAAACTCCTAGCACAAACGATCCTCCCACCTCAGCCTCCCAGGTAGCTGGAACTGCAGGCATTAGCCACCACACCTGGCTCGTGTATATTTTTTCAGAAAGCATCTGGAACATATGCTTTAACCAAATAAGTGCATAATCAACAAAGACAAATGTTATAGAATCCAGGAAACAAAGGATTTAACATAGAAAAACAGCAAAAATAAATCCCATGACAAGAGCTACTGGGCCTAGAGAGCAACTAGTCCATTGAAAATTGAATACTATTAGCTGCAGAAGAAAGGTTTCCAAGGAAAGAAAATGGAATTAATTGATGATGTGTTCAAGATTTTAGGAAAATATATTGATAGGCATTTGTTAGATCTCTTGGAGCATTCAGTGGTGGGGTTAGGGAGACGGAATTTGCATTACTAACAAATGAAAAAACAAGTAGCTATTAACTATAGGAAAAATAAACAGTTATATGAGCAAGGGAGCAATCACTGTAAAAAAAAAAATTTTTTTTCTTTTCCAAGTTGAGGTCAGATGGGTAATGTGCTGAGGTCATAACAAGGTTGGAGGGTGGCACATCTCACACACACTCGTGAACACCCAATCATCATGCTCATGAACTACAAAAGGATCAAACCTTTCCTCCCTCTCCCTCTCTCTCCCTCCCTCCCTCCCTCTCCCTCCCTCCCCTCTCTCTCCCTCCCTCCCTCTCTCTCCCTCTCTCTCCCTACCTCTCTCTCCCTCCCTCTCTCTCTCCGTCCCTGTCTCTCCTTTTCTTTTTCTTTCTTTCTCTTTCTCTCTTTCCTCCTTTTTTCTTTGTTTTTCTTTCTTTCTTTTTGTCTTATTCTTTATTTCTGTCTTTGTTTCTTTTTTGTTCTTTCCTCCTGTCTTCCTTCCTTCCTTTTTTTTTTTTCTCCTTTCCTTTCTTTTCTTGTCTTGTATTTTCTTTTCTTTCCTTTCCTTTTCTTTCTTCCTCAGGGTTTTGCTCTGTTGCCTAGGTTGGAGTGCAGTGGCACAATCATGGCTCACTGCAGTCTCAGCCTCCCAGGCTCAAGTGATCCTCCTACCTCAGCCCCCTCAGTAGCTGGGACTACAGGTGGGTACCAGCACACCTGGCTAATTTTTAAATTTTTGTAGAGACAGGGTCTCACTTTGTTGCCCAGGCTACTGTAAAATTCTTAACCTCAGCAGCTATCTCCATATAGTCATAATAACATAAATATTTTCCTAGTCATAATAATGTAAGAAGTGACTAGTGAGTTAGCCAAAAATTTTGCTATAAACATGTTGCAAAGTTGATGTTATAAGAGAGTCAAGTCCTCAACTACATAAGAAGTCAATAGATAGAATTCCCCTAATTGAAATATGGGAAGACATACTTCTCATGCCCTGCAGGTAATGAGAAGTACCAGATCTTTCTGGCTACTTAGCACACATTTGCCGTGGTCTGTGTCACACACCAAGAGGTATGAAAGAGTAGCCTTAGTCTTTTTTGAATCAAAGTTGTGTATTTATTTCACATTTCCTAGAGTCTGCCATAGTATTGTTCTTCCTGCCAGAAGTGTTCTTTGTCTGAATATAGGAACCTGAAAGATCTTGCCTAATTTACTGAGTTTTTGGTGCTGATCCTTCCAAGCATTTCTCATCATGTCTCCTAGATCCTGGTGTGATAGAGTCATAGTTGGCTAAGAGCAATTTTCCATTATAAAGAGAAATGTGAGCCTTTTTTCAGTTGGAAAATTTTCACATCTCACATTCTCCTCTTTAAGTTTTACATGCTAATCCATGCCATCTTCTCAGTCTCTCGGGTCATTATATGAGACTTTAACCTCCACAGTCTCACTTTTTTTTTTTTTTTTTTTTTTGGAGACAGAGTTTTGCTCTTCTTGTCGCCCAGGCTGGAGTGCAGTGGCGCGATTTCGGCTCACTGCAGACTCCGTCTCCCCAGTTCAAGTGATTCTCCTGTCTCAGCCTCCCGAGTAGCTGAGATTATAGGCACCCGCCACCACGCCTGGCTCACTTTTTGTATTTTTAGTAGAGATCGGGTTTCACCATGCAGGCTAGTCTCAAACTCTTGACCTCAGGTGATCCGCCTGTTTCGGCCTCCCAAAGTGCTGGGATTATAGGCATGAGCCACCACGCCCAGCCCACAGTCTCTTATAAAAAACAAACTGATGAAGGACGAACTCTTATTTGTTAGAGGTGCACAACTACTTATTAAGAAAGCAGCTCTTAATATTTTTTGCATAATGATGAACATACTATTTTTTCCTGCTAGTTACCCTAATAAATTAACTAAGAGTGTATCTTTCTTCCTTCATTCATCCTCCTTATAGTTGTATAGGCTCTATGTCTTTCTAAATACAGGGGCTTAGAAAATTAGAACTCTAAAATGAAATTTTATTAGTATGCATCACTGATAGTCAGGAGTCAGCTAAGTTTACCATAATGAAGATTTTTGTTTACTTTTTAAAAACTTGGATGTGAACTGTAAATGTGTATTGAAATTTATACATCCAGATACACTTTTACCTACTTTAAAGGGGAATCCGGCACAGTGGCACTTGCTGGTAGTCCCAGCTTTTTGACAGGCTGAGGTGGGAGGATCCTTTCAGCCCAGGAGTTCAAGGCAAGTCTGGGCAACGTAGTGAGACCCCATCTCTGAAAAAATGGTTGGGGGTGGGGTGGGGACATGGAAAAAGGGGAGCTGTACTAATGGTATATCGGCTATGCCCTCATTTCAAGAAAATCTGACATAAAATATTACAACTTCTAAAAAATACTATTTTCATTCTAGACTAATTACAAATGATCCCTTTATATTATATTCATTAGGGCATTTTTAATCCATTTATAAAAATATGTGGAACAACTGTTAACCTATACTATATGTTATAATCAAATGAAAAGCTATATCAGAAGCTATGGATATCTTGGGCTTAAAACTCATTTTTTAAAAAATCCAACAGGAATAGTAAGTAGTGTGTAAGTAGATTTTGATCCAGTGGGTTTTTGATCTGATGGATATTCTTTCCCTTTATTTCTCACAGTAGCACCCTATTCTTTTTTTTTTTTTTTTTGAGACAGGGTCTTGCTCTGTCATCCAGGCTAGAGTGCAGTGGCACGATCACTGCAGCCTTGACAACTCTTGGGCTCAAGCGATCCTTGTACCTCTCAGCTTATTCTTTAACCTCTTTTGAAAATGCCCGTGTCACAGATCCCACGCAGTCTTGTTTGCTATCTTTTATAAGAAGCAGCAGAGGTTTTTACCACCCTTTTAATAACACCTCCAGCAATAGAAAGACCAACTCATTCATCTTGTTTCACATACATATCAAAGTAGAAAAGTAAGATGTGCTCCACCTATCTATCCTTCTCCCTCGAATTGGCACATTTCCTATAGAAGAGGGGTCCCCAACCCCTGGGCCACGGACCAGTACCAGTGGCCTGTTACGAACGAACGGGCTGGCTGCACCGCAGGAGGTGAGCAGAGAGCAATCCAGCAAAGCTTCATCTGTATTTACCGACACTCCCCATCATTTGCATCTCCACATCCTGTCAGATCAGCGGCAGCATTAGATTCTCATAGGAGCATGAACCCTATTGTGAACTACATATGCAAGGGATCTGGGATCTAGGTTGCTTGCTCCTTATGAGAATCTAATGCCTGATGTGTCATTCTGTCCCATCACCCCCAGATGGGACCATCTAGTTTCATGAAAACAGGCTCAGGGCTCCCACTGACTTAATGGTGAGTTGTATAATTATTTCATTTTATAGTACAATGTAATAATAATAGAAATACAGTGCACAATAAATGTAATGTGCTGAAATCATCCTGAAACCATCCCTGCCCCCTTCCCCCCAGCCCCCCGCACCCAGTTCATGGAAAAATTGTCTTCCACGAAACCAGTCCCTGGTGCCAAAAAGGTTGGGGACCACTGCTTTAGAGGAATAGCTGAGGATATCTCTTACTTTATCCTTTTCTGAACTGGTAACATTTTAGATAAAGCACAGGTGTCTCTCTCTAAGTACAAGATGTCAGCATTCATGTCAATTCAGTGTACCGTGTCTTAGTAGGACATTGAAGAGACTTGGTAGCCTAATAACAACAGCATTTGCCAAAATGTTTGAGTGAAGAGTAGCATTTTGATTTAAATCAAATCAAACCCTAGAAAACTAAATCATAAGCAAAAAATGAAGAAAACACAAGATGGTCACTTAGAAGTATAAATCTGGAGGCTCAGTTCAATGCTGAGGTTTTATGTGAGCACATTGTTTCTTCTATGTGATGGTACTTAGTATGGGAATGAAGTTACACAAAACAACAGCAATTTGTTCAGCTTGAGACCTAATTCATAACTTAAAACCATAGTGATAAAAATTCTTTCCCCCTGTTTTAGAGAGGAACCTTAACCCCAAAGCAGCCTGCCTTAAGAGAAGGGAAGAAGAAAAAGTTTCTGCCGTATCGGCAGAGCCGCCAACCACACTGCCAGGAACCCATCCTGGGCTTAGTGAAACTACCAACCCTATGGGTCATATGTAAACATCAGCCAGGTAAGTACGGGTTTGAAAAGAAACAGCAAGGAAATAACCTTAAGATTCATCTTAAACTGGGTTAGAATCTTTGAACAGAATTCTCTAGTGAGCAGTGGCCATTGTAAAGGTCACATGTAATTTGAAATATAACAGTTTGTCTTTCTGTTACATTATCAGACTTAGAGAGCCAGTGTCATTTTATAGCAAATTGCCATTTTCTTCAAAGTGTGGCAGTATCTTGTGACTTTGGTTCTTCTGTTCGGAGTCATCATGTGTACTCTCTTACATGAGTATCTTCCTGATCCAAGAAGAAATAGTACAATGACTCAACCGTCAGAAAACGCTCTTGTTACCACTCATGTTCTTCATTTCTTTATTCAGAAATGCTGACTATATCATCAACCAGTTTTCTGCCAATTATCTAGCTTTTTGTCATGAAGCCTTTATACATGAAAAAGTTATCACTTGTATTTGGATCAATAATGCAAGTTTATGATATGATGCTTCTTCCCCACTTGCAAGCACATCAGTTAACACCCTCTAGAATCTATTAATGAATGGGAAGTTATTATATATGTTAGAGCCAGAATGCCCTTCTCTCTGGTGGAATTTTACTTGTTCAAAGACTGTTCTTTATATCTTCCTTTTCATGGACTAAACATAATTCAGTTCCTTGTGATTTTTTTTTTTTTTCCTCAAGACAGAGTCTCGCTCTGTTGCCCAGGCTGGAGTGCAGTGGCACGATCTCAGCTAACTGCAGTCTCTGCTTCCCAGGTTCCAGCAATTCTCCTGCCTCAGCCTCCCGAGTAGACTAGCTGGGATTACAGGTGTGCACCACCATGCCCGGCTAATTTTTGTATTTTTAGTAGAGATGGGATTTCACGATGTTGGCCAGGCTGGTCTCGAACTCCTAACCTCAGGTGATCCACCCGCCTCAGCCTCCCAAAGTGCTAGGATTACAGGCATGAGCCACCTCGCCCAGCTGGTAACTTCATTTTTATAATCTGCTTTCAGCAGTATGTAGTTTTTTTCCCAATTTTATCAACAGATTAAAGGTAGTAAGTAAAGGCAGATGAGTGCGGGGTGTGGAACAGAAAAAAATATCAAGTGCAGTTTCATTTGGTCAGTTTCGTGGCTGTCTCATTTTGAACTGAAAGTCTGGAATTTGATAGATTGTTTGATAGATAAACTACAAATATTAGTAACTCACCTTTTCCTGAGGGTTTTAGTTCCTACCGCCACTACATATATAGGGTCAAATGAGACTACATATAGGGTCAAATGAGACTACATATAGGGTCAAACCAGACCACAAAGAAGATTTCATTTAGGGTAAAAGAAAAGAAGAGTTAAGGCAGTTATTTCGTAAGTCAGTTATAACTGTAACATTAGCACACTGGAGAAAACCTCAAACTACCTCCCCCACAAAAAGTATCCAGCAATCTAACAGATTGTACATGTCAGGGACTTTAGGCAAGAGCTAGTTTACAGATCCTCTAAAACCTAGATCATTGTTTCATACTCTGTAGAAAATATAGACTACTATGAAACAGTAAGTATTTTTGCTTCAAAAATAAACTTTGAAGTTTTTTTGTTTGTTCTGGGATTTTTTTGTTGTTGTTGTTGTTTGTTTGTTTGTTTTGAGATGGAGTTTGACTCTGTCGCCTGAGCTGGAGTGCAATGGTGTGATCATCTCGGCTCACTCCAACTCCCGCCTCCTGGGTTTGAGCAATTCTTCCACCTCAGCCTCCTGAGTAGCTGGGATTACAGACATACACCACCACGCCCAGCTAATTTTTTTGTATTTTTAGTAGAGACAGCGTTTCGCCAGGCTGCCCAGCCTGGTCTCAAACTCCTGACCTCAAGCGATCCGACCACCTCGGCTTCCCCAAGTGCTGGCGTTACAGGCGTGAGCCGCTGAGCCCGGCCAAAAAATTAACTTTGAAGTTTTAAAATAAAACCATGCCACTATTTCTCAGTGCAAAAGAGACTTTCTAAACTGATAGATTATTTCAAAGAAGAGTGATGGGAGAGGTAACTTATGCTCAGGTCCCAGATAACCACCAAGCTGTGAAAAAGAGCACTAGGCATTCTGCCCTAACACTTCTCTTGGAGCCTGTGTCTTATTTTTCTTGTCTCGCTCTAGTTAGTTCTACCCATTTCCTCTTGTTTTCTTCTCAGTCTCTCTTACTCGTTCAACTTTGTCTTCTTATTCTCATCTCGTTTCCTTCTGTTTACTTCCTGTGCTTTTACTACTTCTCTATTTCATACTGCTCTCATAGCTCTACCTTTATCTCTTTATAATGTGGAAATTTTCCCACTTAGGTTAAAATTAAACTTTGGGCATTCCCACCTATCAAAAAAGGATCAAGAATTCTTTTAAGTTTAAAAAGGCATCAAGATATGAGACATGTAGTGAATGCACTTTGTTCCATAGATTGTATAGGCTAGTGTTTGTCATCTTAGAATATGTGTTAAGGTTGCTAATTTCATAAAGATAGTTATCTGGTTTCATAAATTGGATAGCAGATTAAAAGTAGCAAGAGACAGGGCAGCAGGAACAATGCTACTAGAATCAAAATGGCTAAGACATGACCACAGAATGACTGGTTATAAACGTACAAAAATTTGCCATCCTGTAATGTAGGCCAAGTAGCTTTGAATATCTTAGTTTTCCGTCCCTAAGAGCATTGCTGTGTACCTAAACAATACTGTGGTTATTGTTTAATAAGGAAGTAAAAGTTATGATTCTATCTAAAACTATTTTATTAAAAATTTAAAGTAGAAAATTTCAGAGTTACTGCTATATATATTATATTGGGAACATAAGTATGTATAGAATTTGTACTAATAGAGTAAAATATTCTTAATAAATAGCAAACATTTGTTGAGGACCTACTGTGGACCAGGAACTGGGACCAATATGAAAATGAATGCAAGGTAGCCTCTGACCTCAGGTGCTCTCAGTTTAGATGAAATAAATGTAAACTATTAACACTGTGGTTGAGTGGAGGCAGCAGCAAATTGAGGGCTTTACCATTGTCTCACTACTGAGGAATGAATGAGTAGCACCTCAGAGCTCAGTTATTGCCAACTTGAGTGTTATTAAAATGAAGGTTTGCATCATTGCGGCAGCTGTTTTATACGCCTATAGTTTGTGATTCTGTAATCGCATGATCTCCTTTAAAAATCTTACCATATAGCCGGGTGTGGTGGTGCACACCTGTAGTCCCAGCTACTCAAAGACTGAGGTGGGAGGATTGCTTGAGCCCAGGAGTTGAAGGCTGCGTTGAGCCATGATCATGCCACTGCGCTCCAGCGAGGGTGATAGAGCAAGACACTGTCTGAAAAGAAACAAACAAAAAACCTTACCATACACATCAAGTAAAACCATTTCAGTATACCTTAAAAGGAAAAAGTTCATTAAGTCACTTAGCAGACTACAAATTTAGTGCAGACCTGGATATAGATGAGGAATACCAGCATTTTTTTGTTGGTGGGAGGGGGAAGGTGTTTTATTTTTAACAATTATGTACTAACTGGTATTGTCCTCTCCCTTGGCTGTCCCTGCCACAGTTCCAGAGTTATCAGTAGGCTAGATAGAAGGTGACCTCTCCTCATAAGGACTTGGACAACTCAGATTATCTGAAGACACAAACCTGACAGGAGGGAGAAGAAAAAACAAAACACTTGAACCAAGAAACTCAAATGTAATCCTACGATCAAAGCAACTGGTCAACACTTCCATCAGAAGTGAAGATAGGAAGCTCATCAGATAGAACATCAGCCCATGAGATGTTTGCAACAAATCTTTTGTTGCAAGCAGTGTGTCGCTTCTGCACAATCAGAGACTGTCTCGATCTCTCCACTCACCGTGGAAGTTGCCTTGTGCCTAAACTGAATTGACAAATGCATTGTAACTACAAATTTTATTTATTGTTATGAAACTGTAAGGTCTACATATAAAGGGAAAAAGTTAATGTGGAAAGCTGATCTACACTCAGCTGATGCCAGCATACATTAAAGCGGTTCACGTGCAGAGAACAAAGCAGTGACAACCATTGGCCCTTAGCATTCCCGGCATACCTATTAGTGTCTTAAAAAGGAAGGGAAAAGTCTTTTGTTGCCCTCTCCTATCCTCTTGCCATATGAATAGCGTTTTCCATGAAATAGGAAAATATTACTTGGTATAGCATTTCTCTTGCTCTCATTTTTTGATTTATTTTTATTTTCTCTTTGTGGGTGTTATATTTGATCTCTAAATCTGAACAGTTTATGGTCACAGTCCAGCCTCCTCCGTGCAGCCCTGTGTGCTTTGCACATTTACCTTACAGTGGTAAGCAGAGACCATCTGTGACCATAGCCTAGCTAGCATTTTAAAAGGGGAAATTTTGTTCTCTAGGTTTTCCCCCAAATAAACATTGCTTTATTTCTAATAATAACCAAGACTTTTCAAGCTTCTAGATCTCATAGGAAAGCTTGTAATAGCAAAATTGTAAATTACAAGGGAAGAATCTACTTTTTAGAAATCGCTTTGTTTTCCAAGCAGTAAGTACTACATACAGTACTTGTAAAGTGTTAGCTGTAAGTAAGCACAAAATACATTTAAAATACAAAGACGATTTTTTCAGGCTGTGATTATGGTGAACATAACAAAACCCAGTAGTCACCAAGGCAGGTAGTGTGATAAATGAACACACCACTCTGAGGCTAATTACCTAATGGAATACAAGAGCAATGGTCACCCGTATTTCCTTATCCTAGCCTTTATTTCTCTGTCATTTGGATGGCTGGTCAATGGGGAAGAATTGAGTGGGTGATTTAATCAACTGCAAACCATCTGCCCCTGTCCCAAAATGATGAGCCAGATTAGCATTAAACCAGTACTTGTCAGTCCATCTTAATACTGTTCATTAAGGCACTCTCTGTCTCTAATCCTTAGGAGTTGTTTTAAAAGACATAATCACTTTGAACTTCCATGAAACCTGTCTTCCACCACAACAACCCTGGGAGAGAAAAACATGCTAAAGGAGGTATCTTGGCTTAATAATTCCTTATAGCCAATATCAACAGTGGCAATCAGCACACAGAGGAAAGGACCCAAATCACTATGTAGCTTAAAGATTTCTGTTAATTTGAAAGAACAAAAACAAGACAGAACTTCTGGTACTCTAATCAGGATGATTCCTAACAAGTCAGTCATTTGTGAACTTAGTGGACTTTTTGGTTACTTTAATTTGCATATATTCTCCAGTTACATCGGACTCTATCTGTGGCCTTGTTCTTCATTTCAGTGTTAATCAGCTAAACAGAAGTTGTTGCTTATGATGTGTGAGTGAACATATGCCACTGCCTGGCCTTTTTTTCTTCAGAGCTTGTTGTCTTTTTCGCTATATTAGACTTTGCAGTATGCCCAGAAGCTTTCCTTCATAAAATAGAAAGAAAAAAACATTTGGCTTATTTTTCACTGTAGCTAGTCTTTTATACAATAATCTTGTAAGAAAATTTCTTGAATTCTAAATATTACTCTTTCTAGATTTTTGAAATCAAAAAGTTTTCAGTAAAAAGTTTCTTACTTTATTTTATTATATTAGGTAGTAAAAAATGTAGGGTTATTTACCATAACCTGTTCATTAATATCAGAAATTTACAATAGCATTTTAAGACCATAGTAGGATTCTAGCATACCGTGTAGTACCTATGGAGTATTGTAAGAGCTAATTGTTGGAGATGAATTGCTTCTCATCTTGTTCTCCAGTTTCCATTGTTGGTTTATTGCAGATTTGTATCCTGTGTCAAATTCAAGGTATTATTGATAAACCTTTTCAACCAGCAGCAAGAAGTTCAAATTTTTTTCTGTCACTGTAACAGAAAACACAATATGTATATAACATTTATGTAGCAATAAATGTGCCATCTTTTTTTTAACACAGTAAAATAGTGAGTTTTTTACATTTCTCTTTCTCAAATAATAATGTATTTTGTTTTATTTTCTCCATCTCATTCGTCCCAGAAACACTCACACTGCTTTTCCTAACTGCATTACCGACATTATCTGGGAAACCCTTCAGGACAGAATCAGGCTTGTGGAGCTAAGTTGGCAATCTGGTCTAGAGCTTCTCTAGCTTGTGCTTTTCTCCTCTTGCCCTCACTACTGACGGTGGCCTTTTAACCTTTTCCTAAAGATTGACCAAACAGCAACTAGTAGTTATAGAAAATCTACTCATTTGTAGATACAGAGAAAAATGAAGAAGATGGAAAAAGACTCAAAAGAGGCTTTTTAAGTTATTCTTCAAAGCACTTTTCACATTTCCCCATACCCTTTCTCACAAAAAAAGTGTCATAATTAAGTAATGGTATTGTTTACTGTTTAAAAGTTAAAAGATCAAAAATTTGCTTTTATCCCAGTTTTTAACCACAAAAAAAAGCGTAGGGATTATCCATGAGGACTTCATGCCAAGCAAGAACCTCAAACAAACTAGACAAACTTTTTTTTTGACAGTGAATGACTTTTTGTAGGACCTGTGCGTGCGAAACCCATGGCAATTGTCACATCCTCTTGGTATGCTGGCAGATTGCTTCTCTTGGTGAATTATGAAATCCACTGTTCACATTGGGTGCCTAACAGAACATTTTGCTTCTTGTGGGATTTAGTGAAAACTATTAAACTTGTTAAGTTGATTTTATACAAAACGATAAATAAAAAGCTCTAAGAAGAAAATGTATAATCTTAGAGCTGAAATAAAATATAGAGACCATCTAGTAAATGACCTCATTAATATATCTGTGAAAACTGAGACTCAGATTGTATGTCTCTAAGAACACATAATTAGTAACAGATCAAGACACTTAAAACTTTCCCTACAAAACCTCCCTGCCTTGACTTTCTCTTTCTCTTTGCAGATTTCTAGGCCGCTTCTGCTCAGTGTCTTCATTTTCTTCCATATTTGTTTTATTTCATTTTTCTTTTCTATAGTTCATGTTTTCTTTTTCCTTGGAAACTCAAAATTTAAACACACGTCGTGTGTGTGTGTGTGTGTGTGTCTGTGTGTGTGTGACTTAAAGAATCTTAAGCTTTGGCATTAAATAGTCCTCGATTCAAATCTAAGCTCAACATCTGATTAACTTCATTTTCCTATCTGAAAAATGGAGATAACATTAGAATTGTGTAAGTATTGAATGAAACAATGTATGGAAAGCTCTTATGGTTCTTGTCACCTAAGAAGTACTTAATAAATGATAAATATTTTTAAATAAATAATATTATAACCAACTCCCAGGATGATTCCTCTTCAGCCATCCTGTCAGAGGTAAATGGTAAAATAAACCCCCAGAAGATGTCAACCCATCTTTGTAGGAGTCTACATTCTTTTGCAGCCATCCAATGAAACACTGCATTTCTTTTCAGTGCCCTCCCATGGCTGCATTTTAAGAGGATTTTTTTTTTTTTTTTAGACCTTCACATTTCAAAAGAGTGAGTCTGGCTGGGCGTGGTGGCTCACGCCTGTAATCTCAGCACTTTGGGAGGCCAATGCGAGCGATACACAAGGTCATGAGTTCATGACCAGCCTGGCCAACATGGTAAAACCCCGTGTCTACTAAAAGTACAAAAATTAGCCAGCTATGGTGGCAGGTGCCTGTAATCCAAGCTACTTGGAAGGCTGAGGCAGGAGAATCACTTGAACCCGGGAGGTGGAGGTTTCAGTGAGCTGAGGTCACGCCATTGCATTCCAGCCAGGGGAACAAGAGCAAAACTGTCTCAAAAAAAAAAAAAAAAAAAAGAGTGAGCCAGTAGGCTTTGCCCAGTCACACTGTGTGGGTGGACAGCTGTATCAGTTTGGGTTCTTAAGACAGATGCCAAGAGGAAGTTAGAAGGGTAAAGGATTTATTAGGAGATGTACCTGTGAAAAACAAAAGGGCAAGGAATCAAAAGTAGACAGGGATGGTCTTCACACCATGCTGCAGGTTTGACATTAAAAGAAGGGCAAGTAAGGAAGGAGGATTAGGTAGGGAGAGCCTCAGGCTGCCTGCAGTTCTGAAGAAGGCCCAAGCAGCCCAGTGAGGGTGTTCTGGCACAAAGATTGCCGGTGAAGGAGGCTTGTGTTGGGCAGGAATGGCAAAGTATCAGTGTCCCTGTTTTGGTCAGTTATTGACTGGGAGTTACATGGGGAGACTGAGGCCTCAGTTTGAACACTGCAACAAAAGTGCTGCAGCTGGAAGCCAACAGCTAACCACTCTTTCCCAACAGGTTGTCTTTGAAGGGAGACCTCAGGTGCACCTCATGGCTTCCACAGCACCTCATCTTCCTACAAAAGAGCAAAATAAAACCAAAGGGTCTTCTGAAGTCACTGAGACAATAGCTGATCTCATTGGGCCAATGAGTCTTCTAAAAATTGCAGTTCCTTCTCCCTTGGCATTCCACAGTCAAGTAAACTTACACGTATTGTCTGGAAGAATGAATCCCATTCCTCCTCCATCTTCTTTGGCTCTGGTGTGGGCTTATGTAATCTGGATACAATCCCATAAAGTTGCTGTGTTTAGTAATGTCATTTCTCCGTGTCTGTTGGGGACTGGTTTCACGATCCCCTAAGGATAGCAAAATCTCTGGATGCTCATGGCCTTTATATAAAAGGGCACGATATTTGCATACAATCTACACATCCCCCCACATACTTTCAATCATCTCTACTCATAATACTGAATACAATGTAAATCCTATGTAAATCGTTATTATGCTGTATTGGTTTTTTCGTCTGTGATATTTTCAGTATTGCATTGTTTTGTTGTGAAAACAGGGTCTTGCTCTGTCACCCAGGCTGAAGTGCAGTGGTATGATCCTAGCTCAGTGTAACCTCAAACTCCTGGGCTCAAGTGATCCTCCTGCCTTGACCTCCCAGAGTTCTGGGATTACAGGCATGAGCCACCATGCCCAGCCTGTAATGGTTTTTTGTTGTTGTTGTTTGAGACAGGGTGGTACATTATTGCCAAAGCTGGAGTACAGTGGCAAATACATGGCTCACTGCAGCCTCAACTTCCTTGGTTCAAACAATCCTCCTGCCTCAGCCTTTAGAGTAGCTGGGAGCATAAGAGTGCACCCCTATGCCTAGCTAATTTTTTTTATTTTTTGTAGAGTTGGAATCTCCACATTTGCCAGGCTGATCTTAAACTTATGGGCTCAACCTATCCTCCCACCTTGGCCTCCTAAAGTGCTGGGATTATAGATGACTGCGCCTGGCCCCTTGTTAATTTATCATTAGTTTTTTTTCCCCCCAATATTTTTGATCCATGGTTGCTTGAATATGGATATGGGACCTGCATGCAGATTAGAAAGGCCAACTGTATTCTGGTGTTCTTCACAGGACAAGTGACACTCCCTGCTTGCTGGGTCAGTGGATTGTCCACGCGTCTTTGTGGTCACCTGGCTTAGGAAGCTCACAAGGTCCTCATCATTTGGAGGTGTTTCCCTGTGAGTGCCCTCAGCCCTAGGCTTTCTTACGTGTGCCTATACTGGAGGATGTATATGGGAGTAGAGATATCTTTCCTATGTTTGTTATCTTTCTCTCTTTAGTTATTGCCAAAAGACAACCTGGAGAGGTTTTCTGTTCTCTTTGACGCAGACCTTCAATCCCTTCCCCAAACTGTCATGTGGTACCTCTGCTGTCTTCTGCCAGGGTCTCCTTTCTCACTCTTGAGGGTCAGTGTTCCACTACGCTGGGTCCCCAGGGTCTCTGAGCCATTTTGTCTTTGGGCTTGGTGAGCACCATGTGCAAGATTTCCAAGTCTTTCAAAGCTTGTGAAAATGTTTGCAATCTGAAAAAATATTACAGTGCCAAAAGAAAAAAAATGCAAAATGAAATTAATTTCAAATACAATTACAAAAGTCATACAAAATTGTTATAGCAAAACTAAATTGCTGTTTAATGTGGAACTTGAGCATATTTTAATGTATTTGATCTTATTAAATTTGGTATAGAAGGAATGTACCTTAACACAATAAAGAAGCATCTATGACAAACCCATAGCTAACATCCTAACTCACTGGTGAAAAGTTGGAAGCTTTTCCTCTAAGATCAGAAACAAGACAAGGATGCCCACTCTAGCCACTTCTGTTCAACATGGTAATCCTAGCCGGAGCAATTATGCAAGAGAAAGAAAAGACAGCCAAACTGGAAGAAGTTTAACTGTCCCTGTTTGCAGATAAGATAATGTTATAATACAGAAAACCTTACTGATTCTACCAAAAAAGTTAGAACTAACAAATGAATTCAGTTAAGTTGCAGGATACAAAATTCAACATACAAAAATTCATAGCATTTCTATACACTAACAGTGAACTATCTGAAAAAAAATCAAGAAAACAATCCCATTCAGAAAAGTTAAAAAAATTAAATACTTAGGAATAAATTAAACCAAAGAGGTGAAAAACTGATACACTAAAAACTATAAAACATAAATTGAAGAAGATGCCAATAAATGGAAAGATAAACCATGTTCATGAATTAGAAGAATTAATGTTGTTCAAATGTCCATACTACCCAAAGTGATCTACAAACTTAATGCAACCCATATCAAAATTTCAATGACTTTTTTCACAGAAATAGAAAATATCCTGAAATTTGAATAGAACCACAAAAGACCCTAAATAGCCAAAGCAACCTTGAGCAAAAAACAAAACTGGAGGCATCACACTACCTGACTTCAAAATATACTAAGAAGTTATAGTAATCAAAACAGTACAGTACTGACAACAAAGAAGACACATAGACAATGGAACAGAATAAAGTGCCCAGAAGTCTGTGTATTTACAGAAAATTGATTTTTGACAATGGTATCAAGAACACACATGAGGAAAGGACAGTCTCTTCGATAAATAGTGTTGGGAAAATTGTCTACATGCGAAAGAATGGAATTAGACCTTTATCTCATACCATATACAAAAATCAATTCACAGTGGATTAAAGACTTAAGACCTGAAAATATAAAATTGCTAGAAGAAAACAAGATTTAAAAAAAGAAAATAAAAGAAAAGAAAACAAGATAAAAGCTCCATGACATTGGTCTGGGCAATGGTTTTTTAAATATGATCCCCAAAAGCACAGACAACAAAAGCAAAAATAGACAAATAATATTATATCAAACTAAAAAGCTTCACAGCAAAGGAAACAACAGTGAAGAGACAACCTGGAAAAAATATTTGCAAGCCACACATTCTGATAAGGGTTTAATATCCAAAATATACAAGTCAATAGCAAGAAAACCAAGAACCCAATTAAAAGCTAGGCAAAGGACCTGAATAGACTTTTCTCAAAAAAAAGACATACAAATGGTCAACATGTATATGAAAAAGTGCTCGACATTATTAACCATCAGGGAAATGAAAGTTAAAACCTCAATGAGATATTACCTCACACATGGCAGAATGGCTATTATCAAAGATGGCAGGGCACAGTGGCTGATGCCTGTAATCCCAACACTTTCGGAGGCCTAAGCAGAAGGATCGCTTGAACCCAGGAGTTCGAAACCATCCTGGGCAACAGAGTGAGTCTCCACAAAAAATAAAAATTAACCAGGTATGGTGGCGTGCACCTGTAGACCCAGTGACTTGGGAGGCTGAGGCAGGAAGATCACTTGAGCCCAGGAGTTTGAGGCTGCAGTGAGCTGTGATTGCACCACTGCACTCCAGCCTGGGTGACAAAGTGAAACCATGTCTCAAAAAAAAAAAAAAAATGCACAAAAGTTAAGGTGTTGGCAAGGAAGTGGAGAAGAGGGTACCCTTGCACACTGTTGGTGGGAATGTAAATTACTATTATAGAAAACATTATAAAATCATACATTGTACATTATAGAAAACAGCCATTATAGAAAACATTACGGAGGTGCTCAGAAAAATAGAAATAGAACTACCATATGCTCCAGCAACCCCACTACTGGGTATATATCCAAAGGAAATAAAATCAGTATGTTAAGGAAATAATCTGCACTCCTGTGTTTGTTCATTACAGCATTATTCACAATAGCCAAGATACAGAATCAACCTAAGTGTCCGTCAGTGAATAAATGGATAAAGAAAGCATTTACACAATTAAATACTGTTCAGCCTTAGAAGGAAATGCTGTCATATATGACAACATGGATGAGCCCAGAGGACATTATATTAAGTGAAATAGCCCAGGCAAATACTACATGATCTCATTTATATCTGGAATGTAAAAAAAAAAAAAAAAAAAAAAAAAATTGAGGCCAGGCGCGGTGGCTCACGTCTGTAATCTCAGCACTTTAGGAGGCCAAGGCAGGCAGATCACGAGGTCAGGAGTTTGAGACCAGCCTGGCCAGCATGGTGAAACCCCATCTCTACTAAAAATACAGAAATTATCCAGGCGTGGTGGCACAAACCTGTAATCCCAGCTACTCAAGAGGCTAAGGCATGAGAATTGCTTGAACCCAGGAGGTGGAGGTTGCAGTGAGCCAAGATCACACCACTGCACTCCAGCCTGGGAGACAGAGCGAAACTCTGTCTTGGGGGAAAAAAGAAAAATTGAATGCATAGACGCAAAGAGTAGAATGGTGGGCCTGGGGGTGGCGAGAGGTGGGGCAGTGAGGGAGCTGGGGAGATGTTGGTCAAAGGGCACAAAATTTCAGTGAGACAGGAGAAATAAGTTCAAGAGATCTGTTGTACAACATGGGGACTATAGTTAGTGTATTTGTGTTCTCACCACAAAAAAAATTATGTGAGATAATGCATATGTCAATTAGCTCAGTTGAGCCATTCACAATGTATACGTATTTCAAAACACTACGTTGTACACAATAAATACATACAACATTTTTTGTCAATTAAAAAAACGTTTAGGCCGAGCACCCCAGCATTTTGGGAGGCTGAGGCAGAAGAATCACTTGAGGTCAGGAGTTCGAGACCAGCGTGGCCAACCTGGTGAAACCCTGTCTCTAATAAAAAATACAAAAATTAGCTGGGTATAGCAGCGTGCACCTGTAATGCCAGCTACTTGGGAGGCTGAGACATGAGAATCACCTGGACTCCAGAGGCAGAGGTTGCAGTGAACCTGGTCCACAGAGCAAGACTGCACTCCAGCCTGGCCTACAGAGTGAGACTCAGTCTCAAAAAATAAAAAACAACAACAAAAAAAAAACTTTTAAATCTATTTGATACAACATAGGCTGGGACTTCCAAAATTTTAAAAACCATCCTAAGTTCCTTCAGTCCTAGAGTTCTTTTTCAGTTATCACTGTTTTTGGTTCTCTGGCTTCTTGATAGTCTCCTTGGAAGAAAAACAACTGCATCTTTCCCTCTAAAGGCAAGGGCCATCTCTATATCTCTGAAGATCTAACCTTCTGCCACAGTTCGAATATGTTGGAAACGTAATCCCCCATGCAACAGTGTTGAGGGGGGTTGCCTAATAAGAGGTCATGAGGGCTCTCCTCCCAGGCTGTTTTGCCCTGCCGCCTTCCACCACGGATGATGTAGCACAAGGGCCCTCAACAGATGCCAGCCCCTCCGTCTTGCACTTTCCAGCCTCTAGAATTATAAGAAATAAATTTCTGTTATTCTTTTTTAATTACTCAGTCTCAGGTATTCTGTCATAGCATCAGAATACACACTAAGATACCTGCCTAGGCCATGAGGACCCCAAGACACAGCACAAATTTTGTACAAACTCTAACCAGACCACCTTTTTCCTACTCCCAGGGTGAGGTCCTTCCTTCCCCTGTCCCTTGCAGCCCTATGGGCTTTTTTGCTTTCTCTCATTCTCCGGGCCTTCTGCAGCTCTATTTCCTGCAAGATTGCATCTTTTCTCCTGGATATTTGGTCGTCGCTGGGCTGAGGTGGCAGCCTAGTGTTGGGAGCAGGCTTCTGGCTGGCCTCTGATCAGTAAGCCAGAGGGGTCACCTTGTCCTGAAATACAACCCAGCCATTGGCCATGTTTTCCACCATCTTATGAGTATTCCCAGTGACCAACCTCAGCAGTTCAAGACAAGTTGGGTTACACAACAAGGCAGCACAATAATGAAGCTCCCACCCCTGGCTTGGGCCTGGGCGTTAGAAAGCCCTGCCTGCGGGGGGCCCTCTCACATGCAGAAGGCAATGGGTAGTAGCTTCACCAGACGATCCTCTGCCTACCTGCTCCAGGTCTCCCCCTGGGGCCATCCCACCTCTTCCTCATTAAAGCCTGTGCTGAAAGGAGCGGGGTTGTTTTTCAAATTCTTTCAGCAGTGAGTTATTGATCAACACTGATAGTGCGAGCAGCTTGATCTCACCCTGAACTGGCAGAGATTAATTAGCTTGATTCCCAAGCATAATTCCTAATTAGGCACAGGAAGAAAGGAAAGAAAACACAAAGGAACTATTCTTCTCCAGGAACCACCGACCTTCTGTCCAGGGGTGGAGGAGGAAGAAACAGGTAAGCATGTCCCAGCACCAGAGTGCTTCCTGCCCATTCCAAAGCTGGGCAGCCAGCCCGTCAGCACAAACAACACCGAGGACGGTGCCAGTGCCATCCTGCAAGGGTTTCAGAAGAAAATGTGCATTTAATTTGTTTGCTTTACTCTCTGCCTAATGATGGGCAGGGAAGGCACAATTAAGCAGGAGGCTTTGAAGTACCTGCTCTAGGCTTGCTTAGCCACCAGAGGCTGAGGATGCAAGCAGGGGAGAGTTCAGCTCCAATAGGCTGGGGAAGAAAGGTTGGATGGGGAGGGTGTAGTGGCCCTGAGACTTGAGCAGAAATAGTGAAAGGAACCACTTCCTGCAGCTGAGAGGCAGGAGCCATCATGTTCTGTTGTGGGCATTTTCTAGAATGTTCCAGCCAGGACCAGCAGCTCAAATGGCTCTTCCCTGGTGGTGGGTAGGGCAATAGGAGATAGGAGGGACCTTCAATGTGGCAACTGTGAGGTTTGGCCAATCAACTTACCCATGCTGAGCTTCGGTTTCTCTTCAGTGAAATGGGGATAATTAATGATCGTATCAGCTTACATGACGGTTGTGAGAATTAACTGAAGAATTCAGAGATGCATGGCACATAGGAGGCACTTCCTAACCCACCTAAAGAAAGCAAACCCACAGGGCAGCAAATCAGAAATGGATGAGGGCTGACCTCCTCTTTATTCAGTAGCACATGTCTAATAGACCCGACTGTGTCTCGCACATGCTGCCCCTGAGGAAGACTTATTATAGGGAGCTACAAACAGTGTCACCTGGGAAAGACAGTGAACTCAGTTATAGAACAAGAACACCTGCCCGGGCTGACTGGGGGCCAGGATGCAGGGAAGGCTGCCTGGAGGAAGTGACATACCCCTGAGTCTCAATTGGCCAGGGAAACAACTGAGCAATGATTTGTGAAAATGAGTTCAGTAGAGGTTAATAAAAATTGGGAGTCCTGGCCAGTGGCTCACGCCTGTAATCCCAGCACTTCGGGAGCCCAAGGCAGGCGGATCACAAGGTCAGGAGTTCGAGACCAGCCTGATCAACATGATGAAACCCTGTCTCTACTAAAAATACAAAAATTAGCCAGGCATGGTGGTGCCTGCCTGTAATCCCAGCTACTCAGGAGGCTGAGGCAGGAGAATCGCTTGAACCCAGGAGGCGGAGGTTGCAGTGAGCTGAGATCATGCCGCTGCACTCCAGCCTGGGCAACAGAGCAAGACTCCGTCTAAAAAAAAAAAAAAAAAGGGAATCCCTGCTGTCTGCAGTAGGCCAATCAAGTGTCCAAGAATTGTGAGAATGTGCTTCCCCATCACCACCACCAGCCCACACCCACACCAAAATGTGTCACCCTTCAATCCCTTCAAGTCTGTCTGCTCAGCATCCTGATCCAAACAAGCCACTTTAAAAAGTGCAGTTATGAAACAATTCGAACACTGACTGGACTACTGTTTATATTTTTAGATGTGATACTGTGGTTATGTTTCTCTAAAAGTCCTTGTCTGTTAGAGATACACACTGAAGTGTTTACAGAGAGAATGATACAATCGCTGTCTGGAATCCGCTTCAATACCATCCATTGTTGGAGGGTGGGTAGTGGGGTTAGGGGGTTTTGAGGAAACAAGATTGGCCCGGTCTATCAGCATTGATGCTGGGTGAGATAGGTAAATGGGGGTTCATTATACACTTTACTTTTGAAAATGAAGTTTTTCGTAATAAAAAGTTGAAAGAAAGAAGGAAGGGAGATGGGAAGGCAGGGAAAGGAGAAAGGGAAGGAGAGAAGGAAAAGATTCTGCTCAAATGTCCCTTTGGAAACCTTCCTTGACCCCCGCGTTGGTGTGGGGCCGGGGGAATGGGGAGGCTGTTTTCTGCTCAGCCAGAGCAACAAGGCCCATGAGGAGACAGGAGGGATGTCTGGGGAGCAGTCCCAAGCCACAGAGTCCTTCTGGGGACCAGCCACACCATGAAGAGAGAGCAGAACAGGGAGCATAGCACAGACCTATGACATAGCACTGTGCCATGACATCAGCTGGCAAAGGCCCATGGGACCAGGAGGGAGGCATTAGAAGGGCGAACACTAGCAGCTGTTGAGTAGGAAGAAATGTGAGCCGACTTCTCTACCTAAGGAAGCGGTGGCAAGGCCGTGGAGGTTCGGGATGGGGACGGGTTCCAGGATTAGAGTGCTTTTTTTTTTCTTTCTTTCTTTTGAAGGAGGAGAGGCTATGGGAGCCTCAGGTACCGAGCATCTGGTGTCTGGAGAGATGCAGCTACTCAAGGCAGTTTCTGATCTGGAACCAGGAAGTCTCTGTTTCCCCACCAGCCAGCAAACGTTCTGGACTTGGTGCTGGGCCTGCCACCACCAAAGGTGGAGATGCCCCACATACCTGCGTCAGGCATGACAGGTCACCCCTGAGTCCTTGGGTCTCCCCAAGGCTTCTCCAGGGCTTCCCAACAGGGCTGAGATTCAAGAAAACGCTCAAGGTCCACCCCACTGCTCCGACCCTCTCACCAGAAGAAAAGGGCTGTGTCCCAAGGGCAGCCTGCTTGGGAAAAGAATATGTGGGGTGACTTGTCCAGATCTGCCCAGGGAGGCTGGGAATGGAGAGAGAAAGGAATCTGCCCACCAGTTGGGGGAAAAGTGGATTTCGCAACAACCTTGATGATATTAAATGCTTGGGGGGCCTGGGAAGACCAAATGTTTAATATTTGGAGAAGAGGCTGTCTAAACAGAGTAATTAGGAGGCTCCTTTGTAGTGATATGAAAGAGATGAATTGGGTATATTTGACATCAAAGACAGGAGATCCAGTGGGGAATGAGACCCACGGCCGGGCGTGGGCAGCGCTGGAGGACAGGCTCTCCCAGTGTGCTGCGGGGGAGGGCAGCCCCTGCAGTGTGCGTGTTGAGTGCTGGGAAACCCCCAAGTAACACTTCCCCCCTCATTTAACACACTTCCTAAAACCTCTCCTCCCCAAAAGCCACTTTGCAAAAGCAGCGATTACCACCAACCACGAGAAACACAGGAGCCTGCCTTCCACTGTTTACCACTGGGCAGGAAGTCGTTTATGGACCAGTCTCTTGCCCAGGCTAAACTCAGAAGTGGACACTGAGGGCCGGTTGTGGGTGCCACCAGGCAAGCTAGGGCATCGGAGTTCAGCAGAGCTGGGTGGGAATTCTGCTTCTCCCTCCACTACCTGGGTAACCCTGGGCAAGTCACTTAGCCTCTCCGAGCATAAACTGGTTTGCTTGTAATATGCAAATAATAAGGGGTGGGGGAAATTTTTTTTTTTTTTTTTGAGACAGAGTCTCGCTCTGTCACCCAGGCTGGAGTGCAGTGGCGTGATCTCGGCTCATTGCAACCTCCGCCTCCTGGGTTCAAGCAATTCTCCTGCCTCAGCCTCCTGAGTAGCTGGGATTACAGGCGCCCGCCACCACTCCCAGCTAATTTTTGTATTTTTAGTAGGGACGAGGTTTCACCATGTTGGTCAGGCTGGTCTCAAACTCCTGACCTCGTGATCTGCCCTCCTTGGCCTTCCAAAGTGCTGGGATTACAGGCGTGATGGAGATGATACTCCCTAAATCACAAGGGTGTGGTGTGAAGATGAAATGGCTGCACGTGACAGAGGAGTTGGAGAACAGGAAGCAAGTGGATTACTTGGATGAACTGTGATGGGCCCAAGAAGAACTAAGCCAATCACTCCAGGGGGCGTTTTCCCAGGATCCAGGCAGAGAGCTGATTCCAGCATCCACGTTGTATCCCCCTCCCGCTGTGGCCGGGGTCTCCAAGAGCCGGGCACCCACTGCAGAGCTTCCAAGCCCAGGCCCATTTGAACACAGGAGGACTTTTGAGGTTCATTTAACCCCAAAATCAGTGATTCTACATCTCAAGCTCATATTTTGAAGTGTTTACGGGTAAGTCATATGATACTGGTCATTTATTTTTTAAATATTCTAGCCAAAAGTACATGGTAGACAAAGTGAGAATGTCAGAATGTTGATAATTAGTGAAACTAGACGAAGATACATGAAAGTTTAATTTTGATTCTCACCTACTTTCATGTGCATTAGGAAACTTTCATAATAAGTTAAAGTAACAAAATAGGCCAGACTCGGCTGCTCATGCCTGCAATCCCAGCACTTTGGGCGGCTAAGGCAGGCGGATTACTTGAGGTCACGAGTTTGAAACCAGCCTGGCCAACGTGGTGAAACCCCATCTCCCCTAGAAAATAAAACAAAAAAAAAAATTGTAGCTGGGCATGGTGGCAGGCCCCTGTAATCCCACCTACTCAGGAGGGTGAGGGAGGAGAATCGCTTGAGCCTCAGAGGCAGAGGTTGCAGTGAGCCAAGATTGCGCCATTGCACTCCAGCCTGGGTGAGAGAGCGAGACTCCATCTCTGAATAAATAAAGTAACAAAATACATTTCAGTCTCGAGCTCCAGTTCCCTGCCAGGAAGAGCTGAAGCTGAGCTCTGGCACCCCCTGCTTCTTCTCCCTCATCCCTAAAACATGTGGGGTACTGGGTGCCAAAGGAGATCTGAAGATGGCCACCACTCAGACCAGCAGTAGAGGCCAAGAAGGTGGTGAGAAATTTTAAGGTATTGTAGCATATGCTCTCCAGGGTGAGGACACAGGATGCTGGGACCTAAGGAGGGAGAAGTTAACCCAGAGAGGGCCCAAGTCAGGGAGGACCTGACTGTGGTGACAGAGCCAGTCATGCTAATAATAGGAGCAGTGGTTTTGCAATCACAAATATTGGTCTGGGGGACTGCGGGCCCAATGTGGTGGGAGTTTTAGAGCAGGGACCCCTCCACTGTACGTGGATTCTTATACTTGCTAAGTTGCACTGAATTCTCAATCAACCCATTTGGAGGCTCTCACCAAGACAGGAGTCCCTTTGAATTGGTAGGATGTTAAAAGCTTCCTCCAGCCATTGACCCTGGGTCCCATTGGTAGAAATCAGATAATAAATCAGATTTTCCAGGTAATCCTCAGTTTAATGTCCATTCCCTCATTCAATCAATTATTCAATTACAAATCATTTTTAATATGATTTTATGGTTCAGGAATTCAGGCAGGGCTCAGATGGGCAGTTCTTCTGCCCCACATGGCATTGGCTGATAACAGGCTACCCCAAGGAAATCACAGTGTAATGGGAGATGGGAAATAGGTTAACACAAAGTTACTATACTACAAGAAAAATCTTCAAATCTTCAATCTTCATTCTTCATGGGTGTGAGTCTTCTCTGGTGGAGAAGAGAGTTCTTTGCTAAATTATATTCCTGTGTTAGCCAGCCAAGCACACACGGAGTACAGCTGTCCCTTGCTATTCATGGCAGATTGATCCCAGACACTGCCACCCCCAGCCCTGTGAACACCAAAACCCATGGATGCTCAAGTCCTTGATATAAAATGGTATGGTATTTGCACATAACCTACACACATCTTCCCATATACTTTAAATCATCACTAGATTACTTATAATACCTAATGCAATGTAAATGCTATGTAAGTAGTTGCTACGCTGTATTGCTTAGGGAATAATGACAAGAAAAAAAGGCTGTACAACTTCAGTACAAATGCTATCATTCATTTTTTTATCTGAATATTATGATCCATGAATACAGAGGGCTGGCTGTAAAAAGAATGTACAGTTTGGTACTTTACTCCTAGTTTAAGTCATCTCTTTCGGCCCATACAGGTTGCCTGGGGCAGGGCGGTGGTGAGTGTGTTGAGTCGGCCCTATACCCTGTTCCACAATGCCTGGTGTCCTTGGCACGTAGCTTGCAGGGCTGCTTCCATGGATGGCTGCCTCATCCCCCACCCCTCCTTCATGGCACCCTCTTTTCTCCAACTCCTTTTCCTCTGCTGAGTCCTACCTTTTCTTGCCAGACCAGGGATTTGCCAATTATTCTGGATGGGCACAGGGAAGGGGCCCTCAGATCCTGCAGAGGGAGCATCTGAAAGACAATGAGACCCTGTACACAACCAAGCTGAGCCTCCTGTAAGCACATCCTCTGGGTGTCACTATGCGAAAAGACTCTTTGTCTGTTTACATTGCACAACGAATTGTCCCTCTGATTGTCCTAGCGTTGGTGCATGCATGGATCCAGGAAGAGCAGGTATTTGGACCCAACGAGACAGGTTCATCTTGGCAGTTTGTCTCCTGTGGTTGCTTTGTGCCTGCCCCGTATCTATCCACCCAACTTCTGGCAGCAATCCCTCCAGGACCCACCTCTGTCTTCATGGTTTGTGTGTTCTGATCCTGCTCCTTGGCCCCAGAATACACCCTCCACATCTAAGCTATGCAGTGCCTCATCCCCACAGCTGCAGCGATTGGTTTAGGAATGGGAAAATAATCCAATCAAAGTAAGATTGTCTAATATCTGATCCCGCTTACCCCGGAGCCAGAAGTCCCACCTTTCCAGGCTCCTCCATGTTCCTTTCTGGAGCAATGAGGAGGAAGGTTCATTCCCTTCTCAGGGAACTTGCTGCGGTGTCCCAGTCCTGACTGTCCCCTCTCTACCCCTGCCTGTGGCTCTCCCGTCTCCTGGCATTCTAACCTGCCACTGAATTCTTCCCACGCCAAACGCAGGTTAGGAACCTAAGCTCGGATGAAATGCTGGCTTAGACCTCATTGCTACTGAGAAGCAGAAACCACACTTTTTAGTTGGTAGAGGTGGATGTGGATTGGGGCCATAAAGTTTCCTCAATCATTGAATAAGGATTTCATTATTTGGACTAACTAAATACATTAGATTATTTATACTAACTAAATAAATTAGATTTATTTTTCGAAGTTTAAAATCATTTTCAATAGTGACGAAAAAGGCTGTAGATGAGATGGGAGAATCTTTCGACGCCAAATTCTTCCCATCTCCTGCCTAGTATGTATCACTACACCTTGCCCAGAGAGACTGTAGGGGTGCTCAGCAAAAACCATGGCTGGTTGATTCCCTGGAAAAAGGGGTGCTGTCCCAGGGAGCTCTGTGCCCTTCCTGCCAACACTGGGGTCTAGAGGAGGCAAGTTCCCCTCTGAAGGTGAGTATGATTCACTCATTAAAACTAAGAAATTTACATTGGTATGTTACTGTTAACTAACCTACAGACTTTTTTTAGATTTCACCGTTCTTTACACTCTCGTCCTTTCCAATTTCCGGGATCCAATGCAGGATACCAGGTTGCATTTTTGGATGTGTCCAGTCTGTGATCATTTCTCAATCTTTCCTCATTTTCTCATGACTTTTGACATTTATTTATTTATTTATTGTGTGAGACTGAGTCTCACTCTGTTGCCTAGGCTGGAGTGCAGTGGCCCCATCCTGGCTCACTACAATCTCCACCTCCCGGGTTCAAATGATTCTCCTGCCTCAGCCTCCCAAGCAGCTGGGATTACAGGCGCACACCACCACGCCTGGCTAATTTGTATTTTTAGTAGAGATGGGGTTTCACCATGTTAGCCAGGCTGGTCTCAAACTCCTGACTTCAGGTGATCTGCCTGCCTCGGCCTCCCAAAGTGCTAGGATTACAGGCGCAGGCCACCACGCCCAGCCTGACTTCTGACATTAGAGTACAGGGAGGGATTCTGTAGAATGTCCCTCAATTTGGGTGTGTCTGGTGTTTTGCCATGAGACTGGGGTTATGCTTCTGGGTGCCACACAGAGGTGAAATGTCCTTCTCATCACATTATTCGAGAGGTACATGGTACCAATGGGACTTATCGCTGCTGATGTTAACCTTGATCTCTTGGTTCAGGTGGTGCCTGCCAGCTGTCTCCACTGTGGAGTTACTATTTTTCCTTTTCCCCATTTTATTCATCAGAAGCCAGTCACTAAGCGAGGTCAAACTCCAGGACAGGGGAATTAAGTGCCACCTTCTGGAGAGGGAGCATTCACATTTATTACTTGGGATCCTTCTGTAAGGAAGAGCTGTTTCTCCTCTAAAAAACTCTTTAATCCTTTTAAGCCTCAATTTCTTAATTGTGAAATGGGGCTAATACCTGTATCCAACCAAGGGAGTAGTTAGAAGGTAACATGATAGGTGGAAAGCACTTAACATAGGCAAAATGTTATTATCAGGAATGATCGAGAGACCCATCCAACTATCTGAAGGAGTCACTTAACTCTACTGTACTGCAGCGCTGTAAAGTCTGCATCTTTCACTGGGGGTAAAGGCCCCCAGTCCCTGAGACGGGCCAGTTTGGAGACAGGCTGGTTTTTTCTCTGTTCTCCTGAGAGCCCTTCAGATGAGAAGGGAGGTCTGGAGACAGAATGCCAAAAGCCCATTAAAGGCACGGCCTTGCATTTCAGAGAGGGAGCAGGTCTAGAGAAGAACCAGAGGAGCTCAGCTGAGATATGGTGTATGGATTGGATTTTGGTAGAAGATGGGAAGAACCAAACACCTGAGAAACCACTTTGAAGATCGGGGTCAGAGTAAGGCCTAACACATAGTTGGCTCCCAGTAATTATTGGTTGATTGAACAGCTCAAAGAGCAACTCGACCAAGAACACTGGACTGGGAGTCCAGTTACTTGGATCTTGCATTCCTGATTTATTTTTATTTTATATGTATTTTTTCTATTTTTTTGAGACGAAGTCTCACTCACTCTGTCGCCCAGGCTGGACTACAATGGCACGATCTCGGCTCACTGCAAACTCTGCCTCCCAGGTTCAAGCGATTCTCCTGCCTCAGCCTCTCGAGTAGCTAGGATTACAGGCATGCACCACCACGCTGGCTAATTTTTGTATTTTTAGTAGAGACGGGGTTTTGCCATGTTGGCCATGCTGGTGTCCACCTCCTGACCTCAGTTGATCTTCCTGCCTCAGCCTTCCAAAATGTTGGGATTACAGGCGTGAGCCACCGTGCCTGGCCGTGATTTATTTTTTTTGTGTATGTTTGTTTTTGTCAACTTGCTGTGTGACCTTAAGCAAGTTACTTAACTTCTCTGGGCTTCACTTTCCATGGATGAACATTGTAAAGAGGCTGGAGAGAGATGAGGACTAGGTACAGGCTTTAGAGGAGAGCCACCGCCCCGGACTTCTCCCTCTGTCACCCCGCTTTCCATGACCCTCCTTGCCTGACTTTGTGACTCCTTGCCTCGCTATCAAAACAAGTGCTGCAATCTCAGTGCTTTCCAAGAGCCCTGCATTGTTAGAAACTTCCCAGCACGCAGCAAAGGCTGCTGCAATACTCGCTCTGCCTGCCTTTGCCCTGCGCTTCCTACTTACCCTCCTTTTGTTTCTCCCAAACATCTGTCCCTGACTATGCTCATCTCATGTTTGTCCTCAGCTGCTGAAAGGGCCACGTTTGTTTTCATTACAAATAAGACCACCGAGTGGGCTCCTGGCGTGGGGGCGGGACCAGCCGCGCGCAGTCTTCAGAGGCAGCCCCCCAGGCTGTCTCTGGAGGGTGTGTCTCTGCTTCCCTTTCCCCGTGTTTATTTTCAGACGAAGCCAAGTGGCCCGGGGGGACCCTCCGGACTCCCAGCCTTCAGAGAGGAGGGCAGCTCGGGCTTTCGCCGCAGTGCTTCCTGCCCGTCACGTGTGTGCTCCTAGCCGGGGTCGGGGGAGCTGGTATCTTGGCCCTTCTGGGAGGACGCGCACAGCCCGAGGAGGCAGAGCCCCAGACGGGAATGGGCTTTTCAGAGGTGGGGTGCGGGCGAGGGGACGATGCATTATTTTTAATATTTGATTTATTTTTCCAACTGGACTTCTTCCCGGGGCTCTTTCTGGGCCCAGCTGCCTTTGTGATCCCGCGCCCCGGTCCTCGGCCTCTCACCTCCAGCGCCGGGGCGCCCCCTGCTGTCGGAAGCGGCTGTGACCGGGCAGAGGTGCTATCTGGGACTCTGGGTTCTCAGCCCGGGGACAGCGAACCGAGGGGCAGATGATCCATCAGAAAAGAGCCGGCACTGCCCAGCCCCGCGCCCCTGCCCCTGCCTTTTTCCGGGAGCGCGCCGCGCCGCACCCGCTACGGCCGCTTGACCCCATCTTTGAGCCCGGCCCCAAGCTCTGGGACCGTCGTGCCCCTCATCAAGGAAGAGCCAAGGACCCCAAGGAGAAGGTCAGGAGCGGCGGTGTGGATGTCCCTTGGCTGCAGGCCCCGCCGCGCACTCCCTTCAGTCCTTCCCTTCTCTAGGGACCAGGTAGCATCAGTGCCTGGATCTCGGCCTTGTGTGCCCTGCTCCCTGCCCCACCTACTAAGAACCAAGTCTGGTTCACCGGCTCCCAAGAGCTGGAACCCATTCTCAGCTAGCTGGGGGCCCAGGCCACCCCTTCCCTCCAGACCTGTGTGCCTTCTGCCCTGGCTCCAGGGCCCCCCACACCGTGACCAGGGCGGGATCCCTATGGGGCTGGCCAGGCGGCACCGTGCCAGGCCCACAGTGCCCTGGGCGTCCATGGAAGTCGTTCTGTGTCTTTAAAATCAGAAGGAAGACATTAACCTTTAGGCTGAAGAAAATGTTTTAGTACACAGCAATAACTTATTTGTCTTTATCCAACAGCCATAAAATATAACTTTAAATATTCTATTGATAGAGAAAGGAGTTCATGAAGGCAGAAATGCCTGGGGCCCACGAACATCCCAGTGTGGCCCTGGACGGGACATCATGCTGGGCAACACAGCTAAAATGCGGGTGAAGACCAGATTTCTTGCACATGGCGGTGACGGGATGCTCCCTAGAGAGCTTCAAGTGGATTCTTTGCTTTTTATTTTCTCTCTTAATAAAAATGTATGATGTTTACATTGTCAGAGAACAAACAGAACTGTGGCTTGTGTTTCATGTCTTACGAAATGGGTCTTGTGTACTTTTGGCTGTTCTTTCATGTTCTTAGCAGTTATAGATTTGGCCCCTCTGGAATGGAGGGGCCATATATCAGGGGGTTTGGGGCAGGGGACACGGCCCTCTGTTCACCCTGCCCTCCCTGATAGGTTGATTTATCTCCCTGCAATCCCTTATTCGCCTTCCGGGCTGGTCTCCTTCCCAGTCCGAGATCTGCCCCCAAGGCTTTGTTTGGCACCGCCCCACCCCTGCCTTCCCCAGTAGTCTTTCTACAGATCACCCCTTCCCATGTGTCCTCAGCGCACCCCTGCCTTCCCCAATAGTCTTTCTACAGATCACCCCTTCCCATGTGTCCTCAGCGCACCCCTGCCTTCCCCAGTAGTCTTTCTACAGATCACCCCTTCCCATGTGTCCTCAGCGCACCCCTGCCTTCCCCAATAGTCTTTCTACAGATCACCCCTTCCCATGTGTCCTCAACGCTGGCCTTCTCAGGAGTTCTAGCACCCGTCTCCACTGCTTTAGCCTGCTAAGACTGCCATAACAAACCACCACAGCTTGGGGGATTCAACCACAGAAATGTGTATGCTCATAATTCTGGAGACCAGAAGTCTGAGATCAAGGTGTCCACAGTGCTGATTTCTTCTGAGGCCCGTCTCCTTGGTTTGTCAAGAGCCTCTTCTCCCTGTGTCTTCACAGGGTCTTCCCTCTACGCCTGTCAGTGTCCTGATCTCCTCTCAGTCACATTGGGTTAGGGATCACCATATGACCTTGTTTAACCTTACTCGTGTCTTTAAAGACTCTATCTTTTTTTTTTTTTTTTTTTTTTTTTTTTTTTGAGACAGGGTCTCACTATGTTGCCTGGGCTGGAGTGCAGTGGCGCCATCTCAGCTCACTGCAAGCCTCTGCCTCTGGGGCTCAAGCAATTGTCCTGCCTCAGCCTCCCGAGTAGCTGGGATTACAGGCGTGCGCCACCACCCCTGGCTAATTTTTTGTATTTTTAGGAGAGACGGCGTTTCACCATGTTGGCCACGCTGGTCTTGAACTCCTGACCTCAAGTGATCCACCCGCCTCGGCCTCCCAAAGTTCGGAGATTACAGGTGTGAGCCACCACGCCCAGCCGTCTCCAAATACAATCACATTGTGCATTACTACAGTTAGGATTTCAACATGTGAATTTGAGGGGGACTCAAATCAGTCCATACACCCACCACCACCTCCACTTCCATTCACAGAAATGATTGCCAGAACTACAGACCTTGAGCTTGTGTGGGGTGACAATCCGACAAGCAACAGTGAGACAGAGCTGAGAGGGCTGCAGACCAGGATGGTGGGACCGAGGTTGCTAACAAAGCGCTGCTGAGACCTGCACAGCATGGAGGTGCTGCTGGGGGAGAGGGGTCCCCGTGAGTGGATCTGCTTGGTCTGCCCTTGCAAATAGTTCTTGTCAACGGGAAGGACTTAGAGCCCCTTGATCTACACTCATGGATACTTTTTTGAACTCAAGGTTTACAGTAGAAACCAGCAGCACCCCATCCCCTAGGGCTCTCTAACCCACTGTGTCTCTACCCTGACCTTACCTACCTTTTTTTTTTTTTTTTTTTTGTGAGACAGAGTCTCGCTCCATCGCCCAGGCTGGAGTGCAGTGGTGCGATCTCCACTCATTGCAAGCTCCGCCTCCCTGGTTCACGCCATTCTCCTTCCTCAGCCTCCCGAGTAGCTGGGACTACAGGTGCCCACCACCACGCCCAGCTAATTTTTTGTATTTTTAGTAGAGACGGGGTTTCACCGTGTTAGCCAGGATGGTCTCGATCTCCCGACTTCGTGATCCACCCGCCTTGGCCTCCCAAAGTGCTGGGATTACAGGCGTGAGCCACCATGCCTGGCCCTTACCTGCCTTTTTTTAACCAAAAATTCTGATCTATGTTCCAATAATTATTCAATAACTGCAGCTCTAGATTCATAAATAGAGTTTATGGGGAACCCCGTGGAGGATGCTGTTCAATGGGGAAATCTTGTACAAACCCGGTCTAGGCTTATCCAGTCCTTGGGTTGAACATTCTTGGAAAGAGGCTAACCTCCCACAGGCCCCCCTACAACACCCCCTACCTCGGCCCCCAACTTTCTTGCCGTGCTCATCTGGCTGGTACCTGCTCAAAGTAGTCATGTTCATTCAAAAAGACTAAGAGGACAAAGTGGGGAAGATGAATCTTTCTGAAAAAGAATTACTTCCTGTATTTCAAAGTGAACTGCAAATTTAAAAATTTTTTTTTACGATAAAATGCTGCTTGCATCATTCAAGCTGGTGCCACCCTCTCTCACTGCAGTGTCAGGTCTCTGTGCCGAGCCCATCGATTATCCTGCTAGTAAAATAGGAAGGAGCTGGAGGATCACTTTTTAATCTTATCCATTTTGGCGGTGATCCTTTTGGCTCTGTCTTAACACCCTAAGACGAGTCCTGGCCCACATTTTTCCTGGGGGTAGAAGAAGAGGGAGACGGGAGACAGTGCAGCTGTGTCATCTCCTTCAAAGCAAACCTCTCTGCGTAGACCTCCAGATGCAGAGCGGGCTTTGGAGGAACACTAAATCCCACCCTGATTGCCATTTAGCCCAGAGTTACTTGCGCAGAATAACAATATCCCCAAAACTACCCTGAACGAGGAGTTTAAACTCGGAGTGAGACGTGCTCATGGCTGCCTTGCCTTTGCTAACAATGTGAACTACAAACTCTTCTCTTGCCCGGTCCTCTTCCCGGAAAGTGCCTGGAACAAGCCGGAAGTCTTTCTGGGGATTTTAGCCATAGAATCTCAAGCCTGCTTTTCGGGATTTGCATCTGCCTTGTTTTTCCCAGTCTCACCTTCCCACCAAAGCCAGGACAATGCTAGTCAAGTTCATAGCCACAGAGTTCTGTGGGCATTCATTCCCTCATCGACCCCCTTTACTCGCAAAACCCAGAACCACGGAGGCTCCCCATAAACGCATCCAGGCCCTCCTGGGAACCTCCAGATGCAGTCTCGCGGGCCCCACTCCCAGTCCTTTCATAGCCTCCCACTGGAGCCTTGGGGTGATGTGTGTGTGTGTGTGTGTGTGTGTGTGTGTGTGTGTGTGTGTGTGTTGATGATGAAGGACACACGAGTGCTGTCCCCTCACTGCCATGGCTTCTCTGAGGTGCTGCCTCCAGCTCTGTGTCCTCTCAGAGCAAACCTCACAAGTAGCTAAACGGTGCCGTAATTGCTTCAGTGCCCCTGTGGTCACACTGTGCTCCACATGCGTCTATGAGGGCCGCTCTCCAGTCCGTGTCCTGCTATCTCACTGAGGCCTGGAGCCTCGACTTGTGCTCTGTACTTCACCAAGACGCTTGTGAAAATGGCCACTAGGCTGTTCTCTGCTGGGGAAAGACTTAGCTCCTGGGGCCATGCTGGGAAACAGGCTCCACACAGCTCTTTCCGCTCCTCACCTCTCTCACCTCTGCTCCCAGGCACCTTCACCCCAAATACACTTTTTTTTTTTTTGAGATAGTCTCACTGTGTCGCCCAGGCTGGAGCACAGTGGCGTGATCTCAGCTCACTGCAATCTCCACCTCCCAGGTTCAAGTGATTCTCTTGCCTCACCCCCCCTGAGTAGCTGGGATCACAGGTGCTCACCACCATGCCTGGCTATTTTTTGCATTTTTAATAGAGACAGGGTTTCGCCATGTTGGCTAGGCTGGTCTTGAACTCCTGACCTCGAGTGATCCACCTGCCTTGGCCTCCCAAAGTGCTGGGATTACAGTGTGAGCCACTGCGCCCAGCCCCAAAACACACTTCTTATTGCTTCCTTTCTTTCCCACACAAAACAGCAAATGTTTTGCTGGAGGCTGATGGCGCAGAAATTATCAGACACAGCTATACCCAGAATCCAGGTTAGGCTTAGTGGGATCCGCCTCCCATCCCGGCAGCTCTTCCTGGAGACACTTCCCCACCTCTGGTGGCCTAGCCGTTCAGTGTGGTCACTGTGGCACCCGTTGGGAAGCTGACACCAGCTGGTGTTGGCATTGCACTCCATCAACAAAACTGAGTCAACTGTCCTTCAACATAATATCACTTATATTGTTTCCACATCATCAATGTCTTAATATTTTACATAACTGATGTGGTGTTTCATCAACTACAATCTCTCTTAAGTGGAGGAAGCCTCACCAAATTAGTAAAATGCAATCTGAATTATATCTTTTAAATGAAACAGTTTTATTATTTCCAGCGCATGTGGAAATTTAGGCGAGATAAGTTTCAGGTGGACAACTCCTTCGGGATCTTTAATGAAGTCATGAAAATGGTTTATCATGAACTTATCAATTACTAGACGGAAATGAAAGCTTTTTGTAGCTTTGGAAAAGCCTGTTCCTTCTCCTCTACAGCGACATCTTGTTTACATCATCATGTGCTCAGCCTACTCTGCCCTCATAATTTCCACCAAAGTAAACGTCAAGCCTGATTCTGCAAAATATCACACATTTCAATTTGCTGCATTTAAGAACATTCTTGATATGTTATCCTTCTTTATCCCAGGCTCTTAAAATGCTTTTTCAAAACACTTGCTTGGACCTGTGGAAATAGGCGGTTCTGATGTTTGCGTTTTGAAGATAAGACGGCAGAAATGTTGAGGCCCTGATTGCATGGCTTGCCTGAGTTCCCAAGGCCTGAGCTCTGCCACTCCCATCTCTAGCCCAGTTCATTGGGCTCAAAGGTGGAAGGAGAGGCTGCTTCGGAAACCCCCGCCGCCAGGTGTAATTACAGTACCAAGAGCCGACCTCTTTGCCACACCAATGGTCCAGTGACCACTGCCCAGCACATGACTCTTGGCCTGGGAACGAGATGACATTCACTGAGTGTGACTGCCACATCTGAGTCAGAGGCGAGGGGGAAAAACAAGCACTTGTTTTCCACATGCATCTCCAAGGCTGCATTTCCAACTTGGCCATGGCCATAGAAGCCAGAACCTTACAGTGTCTTGGCAATTAAATGGTTTTCACACTTCTATTTTTAAAAGCCTTGGAACGAGTAACCTGGGGGATCAGAGTGGTTGGGTGAATGTCTTTCCAGAGCTCCCCACTGTCGGAGGCCCTGTCCTGGCAGCATTCCAAAGCAACTGCGAAACCAAAATGCTACAACAGGGCCTACTCTGCAAACCTGCTCCTCATATGATAAAAACAGAAACACCAGAGGCACCGGGGCCCTTGCAGTCTGTCCTACGTGAGGACAAAGAGTACATTCTGGCCTCCGGTCCCCAGGCAGTAAGATTATGATCCCACTATTTGCATGTGTACATAAAGCTTTCACATATGGGATTGCAGTGCAGGGGTCCCCAGAAAGCCATCTCAGAGAGGGAGGTTGGCACGAAAGAGGTTTCTTTAGGGTGAATTCTTGGGGTCAACACCTGGGAAGATCAGAGCTAATTCTTGGGGTCCACACCTGGGAAGAGGAGGGGAGGCGAGGGGACACGAGGGGAGGAGAAGGGAGGGAAGGGAAGGCGCTGACAGCTGTGGCCTGTCTGTGGGTAGCGCCCAGCAGCTGGGAGAGTAAGTCCTGCCTTCCTGAGGAGCTGAACTGTGGTCGAAGAATCCCTCACAGCATTTCATCTTGCTTTTTAAACGTGCAAACTTTAAAAAAAATTGAGGTGAAATGTACATAATATAAAGTCATAAAATTGACCATTTTTTCTTTTATTTCTTTTATTTATTTATTTGCTTATTTATTTGAGATGGAGTTTTGCTCTTGTTGCCCAGGCTGGAGTGCAATGGCGTGATCTCGGCTCACTGCAACCTCTGCCTCTCGGGTTCAAGCAATTCTCCTGCCTCAGCCTCCCGAGTAGCTGGGATTACAGGTGCCCGCCACCATGCCTCGCTAATTTTTGTATTTTTAGTAGAGACAGGGTTTCATCACATTGGTCAGGCTGGTCTCTAAGTCCTGACCTCAAGTGATCCGCCCACCTTGGCCTCCCAAAGTCCTGGGATTACAGGGGTGAGCCACCGCGTCCGGCCTATTTCTTTTATTTTTTTAAAGAGAAGGTCTTTCTCTGTCGCCCAGACTGGAGTGCAGTGAAGCGATCATAGCTCATTGTAACCTTGACCTCCCAGACTCAAGCGATCCTGCTGCCTCAGACTCCAAGTGGCTAGGACTACAGATGCACCCAGCTAGTTTTTTAAACTTTTCATAGAGATGGGATCTCGATTTGTGGCCCAGGCTGGTCTTGGGCTCTTGGCCTCAAGTGATCCTCTTGCCTTGGCCTAACATTAACCATTTTATTTTATTTTATTTGAGACAGGGTCTTACTCTGTCACCCTGGCTGGAGCACAGTGGCATGATCATCGCTCATCGTAGCCTCAACTTCCCAGGTTCAAGTGATCCTCCTGCCTCAGCCTCCTGAGTAGCTGGGACTATAGATATGCACCACCACCCCCGGCTAATTTTTTAATTTGTTCTAGACATGGGGTCCTACATTGCCCAGGCTGGCCTTGAACTCCTAGGCTCAAGCAATCCTCCCACTTCAGCTTCTCAAAGTGTTGGGATTAGAAGTGTGAGCCACTGCACCTGGCCAAAATTAATCATTTTAAAGTGTACAATTCAGTGGGATTTAATGACATTCATGATGTTGAATGTTAACATTGTGAATTTAGGACATTCCGCTTGTATCACATTTCAAAATATTTTCATCACCCCAAATGAAAATGCTACACCCATTAAGCAGTTACTTCCCCATCCCCTCCTTCCCTGGGGTCCTGGCCAACACGAATCTGCTTTTTGTTTGTATGGATTTGCCTCTTCTGGATATTTCATATACATGGAATCATACAATATGTGACCTTTTCTGGTCAGGCTTATTGCACTCAGCCCCATGTTTTTGAGGCTTATTCGAGCTGTAGCATGTGTAAATACTTCATTCTTTTTTGTGACCGAATAATTGTATGGCGATGTCTCATTTGGTTTATCCATGCATCCACTGATGGGCATTTGGGCTGTAGCATTTCATCTTTTAAAAAAGGAACTCACGGTCAGGCATGGTGGCTCACACCTGTAATCCTAGCACTTTGGGAGGCCAAGGCGGGCAGAATGCCTGAGGTCAAGAGTTCGAGACCAGCCTGGCCCACATGGCAAAACTCCTGTCTCTACTAAAAATAGAAAAATTAGCCAGGCATGGTGTCAGGCGCCTGTAATCCCAGCTACTCGGGAGGCTGAGGCAGGAGAATCGCTGAACCCTGGAGGCAGAGGTTGCAATGAGCTGAGATCGTGTCATTGCACTCCAGCCTAGGCAACAAGAGAGAAACTCTGTCTCAAAAATAAATAAAATAAAATAAAAAAGGAACTCAGTATCCTAAAAATCTTCTGTGTTGCAGACCTACTCATCCTTCCCTCCCGCTAAGCCCTGGCGACCACTGATCTTTTTACTGTCTCCATAGTGTTGTCTTTTCCAGAATGTCATCTAGTTGGAATCATACATTCCGTAGCCTTTTCAGATGGGCTTATTTCACTTGACAATAAGTTTCCTCCACGTCTTGTCATGGCTTGGTAGCTCCTCTTTAGTGCTGAACAATATTTCGTTGCCTGGGTGTACCACAGTTTATATATCCAGTCACCTACATCTTGGTTGCACAAGGACATCTCGGTTGCTTCCAAGTTTCAGCAATCATGAATAAAGTTGCTATAAACATTCATGGGCGGGTTTTTGCATGGATATAAGTTTTTAACCCATTTGAGTAAATACCAAGGAGTGTGATTGCTGGATGGGATGGTAGGAGTATGCTTAGTTTTGTGAGATACTTCCCAACTGTCTTCCACAGTGGCTGCATTCTCATCAGCAATGAATGAGAGCTCCTGTTGCCTCACATCCTCACCAGCACTGGATGTTGTTGGTGTTCTGGATTTTGGCTGTTCTCATAGGTGTGCAGTGGCATTGGTGTTTTAATTTGCATTTCCCTGTAACATATGATGTGGAGCATCTTTTCATGTTTATTTTGCATCTGTATAACTTCTTTGGTGAGGCGTCTATAAAGGTCTCTGGTCCACTGTAAAATCACGTTGTCTGTTTTCTCATTGTTGAGTTTTTGTTTTTGTTTTGAGATGGGGTCTTGCTCTGTCACCCAGGCTGGAGTGCAGTGGCATAATCACAGCTCGCTGCAGACTTGACCTCCTGAGCTCAAGCTATCCTCCCACCTCAGCCTCTCAAGTAACTGGGACTACAGGCATGCGCCACCATGCCTTGCTAATTTTTTATTTTTTGTAGAGATGAGGTCTCCTTCTGTTGCCCGGGCTGGATTCTTGAGTTGTAAGTTCTCTGTATATTTTGGAACTACGGTGTATATTACTATACTGGTGGACACATATTAGAAATGGGTGCAAACCCATAGACTACGCAACACCAAGAGTGAACCCTAATGTAAACTGAGTGACAGTGGACTCTGAGTGATTATAACGTGTCAGTGTAGGTTCACCATTTGCAACAAATGTACCGCTCTGGTGGGAGTGTTAATAATGAGGGCTGCGAAGCATGCATGGGCTCAGGGAGGATGTGGGGAATCTCCGTATTTTCTGCTCAATTTTACTGTGAATTTAAAACTGCTCTAAAAAATAAACTGTATTAAAACAGAAAAAAATAATTTAGGATTAATCAACGTGTAAGTTCCTGGTCATTGAAGTCAGAACCTCACCTCATTTGGAAGCAGGAAATCCCTTCTTTACTCACCGTGTGCATGGGACACACTGACCAAAAGCCCCTGCCCATTGGCCTTCCTGGGCCTGAAGTGGCACTTCATGCTTGCCCTCCACTTGCCTGTCGCCACATGCATGCCAGGGTGGCCTCAGCCCTGCCTTACCCTTTGCAGGCCCAAGTCAGCGGGGTCATCCCCAGAAAGGACTTGGTGTCATTTCTGGAACAAGTCATTTCTGGGGGTGCCCCTGCTGTCACTTCCCTCTGCTCCAGGGAACCCTCTCCTAGGCCCTGCCAGGGTGTGGGACTTCTTGCTGACCCCAGTCCTTGGCTCATCTCCCTCTTTCTTCTCCCAGGGTCGTTGAAGAGGGAGCCTATTCCTTCCAAGCCTTAAAGCCACCCTCCTTGGCTTTAAGTTACAGCCAACATTCTGGCAGTCGTAGGATCCACCAGCAGAAGCTATGTTCTCCTGCTTGGTCTATGGGTGAATCTCCGCAGGGCCCTCTGTTCCCCACTCGGTCCCCACTGTGAGGCCCCGCCTGGCCCCTCTAGGTTCTCTGCCCCCAACTGGTCCTGCCCACTTCTGCTCTCTCCTTCCCTTCTCCTCAATCATCACGCCCTTGTTCTCAGGCCTCAGTGCCCCAGCACTTAGCACAGAGGATCAGGAACTTCCACAGTGATCCTAAATCTCCCTGTTCTTTTTAAATTTACTTTATTTTTTAGAGCAGTGTTGGGTTCACAGTAGTTTTTGCTTCCGTCAAAAAATGCTTGTTGACTCGGAACCTCTTCCTTGGAAATTTCAACTGCAAATCTGAGAGCTGCTTTAGAGAACCCTCTGTGGGAGAGTGCCTGCCACCTGTTGCTCCAGTTTTCTGTACATAATCTATGATCCTCCTGGCAATCCCATGATGTGGGCATTGTTATTCCTGCGTTATAATCGAGGATGTTCAGGACAGAGCCTATCTAGGTGGGAAGTGGCATGGCCAGGATATGCCCCTTGGGTGCCCTAGGACCAGCTCTGTTCCCATCTCTGAGCTCCCTCTGCCCATCGGGTAAGGTCTGGTCACTTCCATACTGTTTTCAATCTACTCTGTGCCAGGCAGGGGGTCAATCACTGAGATTTGTAAGGTACATGGGTGGGGCTGGAGGTTAGAAGAGAGTTTTCAAATCACTTTCAGCCTAGTGGGGAAGGCAGGCCCATCACCAAGGCAGTCCACCAACAAGGCTAGAGGGAGCTGTGCTTAGCCTGAGGGAAGAGCCCCATTTCTGTGGCATTATGGGTGACATTTGAACAACTAACCACTCATTTCATTACCCAGGGTCAAACTTCGCCCCAGGGATATTCATTAGTAAGATGAAGAGGCTTACTGTTTGCTGTGGTCCTAATGTCTGTGTCCCCCAAAATTCGTATGTTGAAATCTTAACCCTCAAGTCGATGATATTAGGAGGTAGGGTTTTGGGGAGAAGATTGGGCCATAAGGAGTGAAGTTCCATGAATGGGATTAATGCCCTTATGAAACAGGCCCCAGAGAGAACCATCGTTTCTTTTGCCATGTGAGGTTACAGTGAGAAGTCGCTGGCTAGGCGTTGATGGCTCTTGCCTGTAATCCCAGCACTTTGGGAGGCCAAGGTGGGAGGATCACTTGAGGTCAGGAGTTCGAGACCATCCTGGGCAACATAGGGAAACCACGTCTCTACAAAAAACACAAAAATTAGGCCAGGCACAATGGCTCACGCCTGTGATCCCAGCATTTTGGGAGGCTGAGGCAGGCAGATCACTTGAGGTCAGGAGTTCAAGACCAGCCTGGCCAACACAGTGAAATCCCAACTCCACTAAAAATACAAAAACTAGCTGGATGTGGTGGTGCGCACTTGTAGTCCCAGCTACCTGGGAGGCTGAGACAGGAGAATTGCTTGAACCTGGGAAGCGGAGGTTGCTGGGAGCCGAGATCGTGCCACTGCACTCCAGCCTGGACAACAGCATGAGACTCCATCTTTAAAAAAAAATTAGCCTGGTGTGGTGGTGTGTGCCTGTAGGTCCAGCTACTCAAGAGGCTGGGAGGATTGCTTGAGCCTAGGAGTTTGAGGTTGCAGTGAACTATGACCGCACCACTGCACTCCAGCCTGGGCAACAAAGAAAGACCCTGTCTTTAAAATAAAATAATAATAATAATAATAATAATAATAATAAAAGAAAGGCCATTTATGACCCAGAAATCAGGCCCTTACTAGATACCAGATCTACCAGCACCTTGATCTTGGACTTCCCAGCCTCCAGAACTGTGAGCTGTACATTTCTATTTTTTAAAAGCCAACCAGTTTATGGTATTTTTGTTATAGCAGCCTGAATGGACACAGTTAAACCTGACTCCAGAAAGTAAAGCAGGCCCCTGTGAAGGAAGGAAGAGGGAGGAAGGAGGAAGGAAGAAGGGGGAGGGAGGAAGGAAGAGGGAAGGAGGGAGAAGGGCGGTGGCCGCACACCCCCACATCTCATCCGCCCCTGGTGGGCAGCCTCCCCAAGGGATTGATTCCTTCCTCAGCAACAGTTGCTCAGAGTTGAGCACAGGAACTTGCCTTTTTCCAAGTAGCAGACACAGGCCGAGGCACAGAGTGGGGCTGAGGAAATGTGCCGTGAATGGATGGTGAACAGGAAGGGACACTGAAGAAGGAGGCGGTACTGAGAGCAGCCATCTTGGAGCTTGGAAACGGAGACGCATGTGAAGCCGTTTGCACAGTATTTTTCCCTTAAAATATGGGTGGGGAACAAGGGGCTGTCATTTGTCTTTTTCTTTGGGATGGTGAGCAGTGAGCAGGGCACGCCGCGAGGAGCAAACTGCAGCCCAAGCACACGCGGTCAGCACGCGGAGCACAGGTGGGGAGAAGCGGCTGACGGTGGCGTGGCCCCGCGTACCTGGGTGTGGACGCCCCGCCGCCCCGCAGGGGAAAGCTCCTGGAGTCTGGGGTCTGCTGCCCCGAGCTCTGGGTGTCCAGGTAGGAAACAGGTAGAGAGTATCCGGGTTTCCTACCCCTCCGCCGGGGTGGCTGTGCCTCCCCATCCTCCTGCTCCCCTCCTTCCCTCCCTCCGCAGGGGAGGGCAAACCCAACCCCCAGGTGAGGGTCTGTTCTGCGGGAGTGGGAAACAGCTGGCACAGGCTCAGGCGGCAGGTGGTGGCCCTGCTCCTGCTGTGAGAGATGGAAGCCAGGAGGCGGCGGGCGGGCCGTGCTCAGGAGACCCATGCCCCACCCAGCCTGAGACTCTGTCATTCCCTTCCACTGGGCTCCCCATGAGAAGCCCCAAAGCAAAGTGGGTGTGGCTGGTCAGGGTGAGTAGGGCAGGCCGGAACGGACCCGGACCCAGAACGGAGGAGGGTGGTGTGGACCAGGTGGGCCGCGGAAGGCACCTAGCCTAACAGGAGAGGGACAGGCGCACCCCCAGACGGTGGGAAAGCGCCCTCTGCCTCCAGCTGGGCTCGGCCCAGACCCTCCACTTCCCAGCCCCTTGCTTCTCTGTGCCTTGGAGGTTTCAGGGTGGGCTGGTGGGTGGGAGGACATGTGAGAGTTCCTGTGTCAGGAGTTGAAGCCCATCTTGGCCACTTGCCTGCCGGGGCCCTGTAGAAACCCCTGAAGCTATAAACAGGTGCTCGTCAAAGTTGATTCCAGGGGAGGGTGGCAGGAGCAGTGGCGGGTGGTGTGGGAAGAGAAGGACTGCTCTCTAGAGAGCTGATGGCACCAGGCCGTCACCACCGTGGTGACAGCACACACACATCCACACACACATGCACACACGCACGCACACACGTGCACACACGACACATGCACACACATGCAAGCACACATGCACTTGCACGCACACGTACACGCGCACACGCATGCACGCACGCACACGCACATGCATGACACACATGCACACACACATGCCCCACTCCTCTACTGGGACCAGCACAGCCCCTCCGTTCCTGCTCGCCCGGAAGGAGGGCGCCCAGCCAGGTTTCCTCCCCATGAATTGAGCGCCAGAGACCAACAGTGACCTGTGGTGGTTTTTCCAATTCTCTTCCCATTCTGTCAAGGACAGAGGAGATGCTTTGTGATACAAGGGGAAAAAAAGGAAGGTGGAAAGGGAAGAAAGGGAAGGGAGGGAAGTCCCCCCCAGAGCAGCCTGGGGAGGGGTCTGGGACCAGGCCTAGGCCCAGGCACTTCCTGAAGAGATCAGGTGACGGCCTCCCCGGCCTGCAGACCTCAAGGCGGCCCAGGCCTCCTCTGCGCTCCCTACGCGTTGCTCTGGTGCTGACATCCCTGGCTATGCTCTCCATGTAGATGTTCCTTTTAGCCTCTGCCTCAACTGAAATCTGAAGATCAGGCCAATTTCGTGGTCTCTCAGACGTCGGTAAACAAGAGGCCTTGGCTCCTCAGGAGACCGAGAGTCTCTCACTGTACTTCCTTCTCTTGGCTCCAAGGACATAGAACGGTTGCTATGGGGATTCCTTCATTTGTAAAGTAAGTTTTCAGAAAAAATAATGACTCACAAGTCCTTTAAGCAGGAACAAAGTCAATCCTTGGGGACGATATGATCTAATAGGGTTTAAAAGAGGAACTGTGACGGGCTGCAGTTGGCGGGCTTTTCTTCTTTTCCTCTTTGATCCTCACGCGTGGACGAAACCCACCAGTGGCTCAGGTGCCCTGGCACCACCATTTGCTTCTTTGTGACATCTGAGGACAGGTGTTAAAAATAACTTAGAAATGGCTAACTAAGGCCTGACACACTGGCTCACATCTGCAATCCCAGCACTTTGAGAGGCTGAGGTGGGAGAATTACTTGAACCCAGGAGTTTGAGACCAGCCTGAGTAACGTAGTGAAACCTTGTTTCCACAAATAATTAAAACAAAAAAACTAGCCAGGTGTGGTGGTGCATGCCTGTAGTCCCAGCTACTCGGGAGGTTGAGGCTGGAGGATCACTTGAGCCCAGGCGGTTGAGGCTGCAGTAAGCCATGATTGTGCCACTGCACTCTAGCCTGGGAGACAGAATGAGATCTTCTCTTAGAAAAAAAAAGAAAGAAAAAAAGAAAAGAAAAGAAAAGAAAAGGTATGTCTAGCTAGGCTAACCTGGAGAGTTACTGTCAGAGTTTCCAAAAGGGTCTTCATGGCCACTTCTGGGCCTCGCTGGCTGGGTGAAGTTATTAGTCCAAGAGTGCCACATGGCCTTTGCACATTCATCTGTATTATGCCTGGCGAGGCAGAGGGCTTTCCCTGCATTGATTCTCCTGGAAGCCTGGGGTTAGCAGTATAGACTGGAAAGTAAGGTACACAGAGTGGAGGGACTGAACCAGGTCCCCTTATATGTGAGTACATACAGTTACTTAGGCCGGGAAGCCAGGTCTTCTAAGCAGCTAGGGCCAACAGAGCAGGAGCCAGGAGGAATACTTTTATGAACAAACTTATTTTCCAACATCAGAAAAAAGAAAGTTGGCTGTTGGGAGTGACAAGGAGAAAGAATGATGAGGAGCTCAAATCAGGTGGACACCTGATTGAGATGATCCTTCTTTTGTTTAGAAAAGAGTACCACACTGGCTGTCAGCTGTGTGACCTTGAGAAAGTCACTCTCTCTCTCAACTTTCTCATCTGCCAGGTAAAAGGGCTGAGCTTGAATGAGCTTGGGTCCCTTCCAGCAATGATGCTTGTGTACTGCACCTGTGCTAGGAATACCAGTAAGGGGCTCTCCATGCTAAAATCAGCGTTCCAGGATTCCACGTGGCCCACAGCACCAAGCCCAGCCTTCTCAGCTTTGAGCTGAAGGCTCCGGGTAACCTGATCCCAGCCCAACGGTTCTGTGTTATCTCCCTCTCACCATTTCCTGTGGATTACTTATTGTTCTATCCTCCCAGCCGCCAGGGCCTTGTTCGCACCTGCTACCAGCAAAGAATACCCCTCCTACCCCAGTGCCCTGGCCTGAAGACGTCCTGTTAGTCTTTCAGCTGTCAATGAAGATGGCCCCCTTTTCAAGAACCCTTCCTGGAATCCTGAGTTTGGGGGTCGTGATCTTTCCAATCCCGTATCCACGGTCACTGCCTTCACCTGAATGCGATTGCAATTCGCTAGCCCTTCAATTCAACAAATATTCTGGAATGATTAGCGTGTGCTGTGACAATGACAAATTCCGATACGGGAAGACATGAATTAAATGATCACGTTCACCCACGCGTGATTAGAAACAGGGAAGGGTAAAGAAGGAAGAGAAAACGGCTTCCTGAGAGCTTGCCTGGGGTCTGGAAGGATGAACACGGAGCTGGGGGCATGGAAGGGAGCTGTTCCCAGGAGAGTTGAGTGGGCTGGGCTGGCCTCTTGAGGCTGGGAGAGGTAGACGGTGTGTCTTGATCAGAGGAGCCATCTGGGAATCCTTTGAGGGTTTAAAAAGGGGAGTAACAGATCCAATTTTTATTTCAGGACAATCATGCTGGCTGTTAGTGAAGAATGGCCTGGAGCACTGGGTCTCCGCCCCAGCTGCCTGGGAGAAACTGTGTTGAAGGAGCCATACCCCCTGGCCTCCCCTCCAGACTCCAGACAACCCCAGTCAGCTGGCTGGGAGGGAGGCAGAAGAGAAACAGGGGTGCACCTGGGGCTCCTGCAGGGGTCCAGCCAGGAGATGGGGGCAACTTGGACAGGGACGGTGAGAGAGGAATGGGCTCGGGGGGCATTTGGGAGATGAAAAGGGCAAGGCTTGGCCATGAATTCCCATGGGATGAAAGAGAAGGAATTGTCAGGATTGAGTCCCAAGTTTCTAGCTCATGCAAATAAACAAACGGGGCATCCGCTGAGCTCAAGAGCATGGGGAAGGGGTGTTGGAGACTCTCCCGGGGACCCCTGCAGACTTCTGTAACCCCTTTGAGTTCTCGCAGGCAGAGGCCACGGTGGGTGGGGAGCAGGCCTTGGCAGGGTACCCGCCCCCCACCAGGCACCCTCCATCCTAGTAGCCCTTGGGGAGACATACTGTGGCCAGAGGAAGGGTACGGAGAGGTAGAGGAAGCCAACCGGTGTTCCCGGGCAGCCACCATGTGGTCAAAGGACCAGGCAGCTTGTTTGGAAGCGTCTCTGAGGCACAAAGTGCCAGGACCCAGTGCTCCCTGAGCCCTCCCAGCAGGAAAATGAAAACTCAGCAATGGGCTCCCAGGGAGGCGGGACTGGGGGTGCCTTCCATTTATGAGAGGCCCGCAGAGCAATTCCTGCCGCAGGGGTTTCTGATCAGTCAGAACATCTGCCCACGTTGATGTCTTCCAGCCACCTGATGCAGTGGCTTGGGCCTGTGGGTTGGGGGGAGTGGGATCTTAGGCCTGTTTTTTGGGTTAATAAATTTTGTGACCTTGGATGACATGTCACTTATCTCACAGATCCTGGGAAGGGCAGGAGGAGGAGTGAGACCTGGCCTGCCCTCTCCCTAGAGGCTCATCAGCTCCCTGGAGACAGACACGCCCTGGGTAAAGAACAGATCCCACTCAGCCAGGCAGAGTTTCCTGGAGGAGGAGGAGGGAGAGAAAGAGGGCAGGAAGAAGAGGGGAGGGTGCAGAGGGGGAGAAAGAAAGGAGGGGAGGAGGTGAAGAGAAAAGGGAGGAGGAGAAAGGAAAAGGAGAAAACCTGTTTTCTGTCTTTAACTGTCCTTCCCCTCAACTGGGACCCTGTGCTCCTCCTCCTCAGTCAGAACTCCCCCCTCAGGTCCCCCCACTTCACGTCCCTCCACACTTCCTGTCCCTCCCCCACTCATGTCCCTCTCCCCTTATGTCCCTCCCCCTATTGTGTCCCTCCTCCCCTTGTGTCCCTCCTCCCCTTGTGTCCCTCCCCCTCTCAGGTCCCTCCCCCTCCTCATGTCCCTCCCCATCACAGGTCCCTCCCCTCCTCATGTCCCTCCCCATCACAGGTCCCTCCCCTCCTCATGTCCCTCCCCATCTCAGGTCCCTCCCCGCCTCGTGTCTTCCTCCCCCTCAGGTCCCTCCCAACCTCCTATCCCTCCTCAGCTTGTGTTCCCCCACCGCTGTGTCCCTCACCCCCTCATGTCCCTCCCCCCTCAGGTCCCTCCCCCTCTCAGGTCCCTCCTATCCTCGTGTCCCTCCCTCCCTCAGGTCCCTCCCCCACTCAGGTTCCTCCCTCCCTCCTGTCCCTCCCCCGCTCAGGTCCCTCCTCCCCTCACATTCTTCTGTCTTCATTTACAGGCAGGAGAAATTTCAAAGTGTGTTTGTACCACAATTACTTTAAAACTCTAAAGTTGACCTTTAACGGTTTGTGGATGTTTTAATTTTACTTTTACGTGATAACCTGCAATAACTACACAGATGCATGCATTTTTGTGCTTATTTGTAAGTGCTTTCTTTAAAACTGCTTTTTTCTTACATCCTTTCAGTTCCTTTCCCTATGCCTGGAGCCTGGGTACCAGCTATTGAAAACTGCTTTTCTCCTTGTTCATTCAAACATATTCACACATAAAGGTTGTCATTCCTTTTTGTCACTATTTGACAAAAATTGGATCATACCGTATACAATTCTCTGCTATTTGTTTTGCTCACCTAACAATAAATACACTGTGAAAAATACCTTCAGATGAGTAGATATCAATCTTGTTCATTCTTTTTTTTTTTTTTTTTTGAGACAGGGTCTCACTCCCTTGCCCAGGTTGGAGTGCAGTGGTTCAGTCACAGCTCACTGCAGCCTCGCCTCCCAGGCTCAATCGATCCTTTCACCTCAGCCTCTCGAGTAGATGGAACTACAGGCATGCACCACTGAACCTGGCGAATTTTCATATTTTTTTGTAGAGATGGGGTTTTGACATGTTGCCTAGGCTGGTCTTAAATTCCTAAGCTCAAGAGATCCGCCTACTTCAGCCTCCGAAAGTGCTGGGATTACAGGCCTGGGCCACCTTGCCCTGCCTCTTACTCATTTTTTTATTCCAGGTTGCAGGGTTTTATTTCAGCAACACAGAGACAGTCAAGCACAGCCATACAGCAGGGGCATCCACAGCTGCCTCAGGAGGCGGCAGCGGTGGCCTCTTTTGCAGCTTTTCTCTCTTCCAGCATCCTCTGCTTGTGTTTGGCCCGGCACTTCCTGGCAGAATGGTGGGCCCCCAGGTCCTGATAGCGGTCCTGGTAAGCCTTGGCCACCTGGGTGAATGCTCCACTTCCTTGGCCCAGTTCTACCTGTAGTTGTCTTCTTCCCACTACTGACAGGTCTTGAGCCGCTCCTGGATAATATTGACGATTTCTTGATCGACTTTGTAGTCCCTCCTCCACTGCATTTCGGCTTCATATATGCACAGTGTTTCACGTGTCCATGTGAAGACACGTGAGACCACCAAGCAGGCTTTGTGTGAGCAACAAGCCTGTTTATTTCACCTGGGCGCAGGGGGCTGAGTCCTAAAAGAAAGCCAGCAAAGGGTGGTGGATTATCATTAGTTCTTACAGGTTTTGGGATAGGCGGTGGAGTTTGGAGCGATGTTTTGCTGGCAGGGGCTGGATCTCACAAAGTACATTCTCAAGGGTGGGGAGAGAATTGCAAAGAACCTTCTTCAGGGTGGGGGAGATTACAAAGTACATTGATCAGTTAGGGTGGGGCAGAAACAAATCACAATGGTGGAGTGTCATCAGTTAAGGCTATTTTCACTTCTTTTGTGGATCTTTAGTTGCTTCAGGCCATCTGGATGTGTACGTGCCAGTCACAGGGGATATGATGGCTCAGCTTGGGCTCAGAGGCCTGACACACAAGATGTTCTTCTCCTTGCGCTCAGTGATGCCCAGCACGCGGCAGTACTGCCGGTGGTAGTAGTAATACCTGTTCTTTGCGTGCTGCCACTCTATAAACTCTCACGAGGGTCGCCGGTCGGTCCACTAGGAGGTCGAAGGCCTTCATCAGGTAGACGACGGGGTTGGGCAGCCAAGTCTGCGATGACAGTGCTGGCATGTGGCGCGGGGGCGCAGGGTACACATCCTTGTCTCAGCTGTCCCACATGGCAGCAGTGAGCGCGGACTTCGCTCCTGGATGCGCTGCCCTGGCCTCCACCTCGGTCCCGGTCCCTACTGATTCTTTGTAATGGTTGTGTAATATTACATGGTGTGGACTTAATAAAGGACCCCTACGCAGCCAAGAGAGTTTTTTTCCCCAATGGGAAAACAGATTTTTTTTTTTTAATGTTTGAGATTTTAGTGAATTCTTTTTACCTGGCAAGGAGCTGAACTACCTGTACTGTTCAGAAGCCAAGTTCAGCAGTCTTGTATGTGGGATGTCTGTAAAGATTAAGAAAGGGGGCGGGCGTGGTGGTTCATGCCTGTAATCCCAGCACTTTGGGAGGCCGAGGTGGGTGGATCACGAGGTCAGGAGTTCGAGACCAGCCTGGCCAACAAAGGGAAACCCCCGTCTCTACTAAAAATACAAAAACTATCCGTGCGAGGTGGTGGGTGCCTGTAATCCCAGCTACTTGGGAGGCTGAGGCAGGAGAATTGCTTGAACCCGGGAGGTGGAGGCTACAGTAAGCGAAGATCGTGCCACTGCACTCCAGCCTGGCGACAAAGCAAGAGTCTCTCTCAAAAAAAAAAAAAAAAAAAAAAAAAAAAAAAAAGAATAAGAAATGGACTCTGCCCCAAGGAGTCTGTGCTCTTACCAGGGGGCAGAGCCACACGTGGCCATGAGACAGCTGCCCCTGGCAGCTGCACGGAGGAGAGCTTGACCGAGCATGCGGGAGGGAGGGCTTGAGGCTGGCCCGCTGGGAGGGGACAGCTCTGGCAGGAATCCTGGAAGGGCAGGTGTGGAGTCAGACATGATCTGATGTTCTGTGTGGCCAAGGCAGAAGGCCAGGCAGGAAAAACCCGGTTACTAAGAAGATTGGTTGAGCAGCCATCTCCCTCCCACTGACCGCCCCCCAGGAATCTGTATAACTTCAGCTTATTTTCAGCCTTTAGTTTCCCCTCGTTGGAGGTTGAGTGCCTGGTCTCTTGATTTTCTAACTGAAGAAGGGATGAAAGTCTGAGATTTCAATCAAAAGCTTAAGAAAATAATAATCCTTGGTTGCCCCAATTCTTTCCTGAAAATACCTCACACTAAGAGAAATTGCCTTTAAGCCCCTTTTCTTTTCTTTCATGCTTTAAATTTCTTTCTTAATTAAAAAGAGTTGTTTACTTGATGTGGGCTCCAAAGTGCTTATTTATTTTAACGTATCTTGTTTCTTTTTTCCTTATCTTCATGACTTGATAACTCTATAACTCTCTCTTCTTGTGTCTTAAAATGCCGGTCGTGTCTGTCACTGACATGTGATAAGGAACTTCATAATCAGCCCTTTTCTATTCTCACAGAATAGAAGTTGTGTCAATAACAAATGGAAATCACTGAGCTCCAAAATTCAGCTGCCCTAACCTGGCTGCTTGTCCCTATCAGAGATTTTAGAATGTTTTCCCCTTCAGATGAATTTCAGTTTCACTCAATCCTACCAGTGTTTGATGACAACACTCATGGAAAACTAATGGTAAATTAATGTCTGCCTTCCAAAGTACGTGGTTGAGTTCACTGTGTAAAAAAATAATGATAATAATACTAAAGGCAGCCAAACTGCTGATTGGCAGAATTTTTTCCCATCACTTAAGGCATTTGAGTTGCAGTACGCAGTCTGAGAATCCCTCAGAGACACACCACCCAGGGACTTGGATCCTTGATCTCAGAAAGATTGTGATCGAATTAAGTCTGACTCAACAAATAAGGTCGCTGGGAAGAAGTGCTGGCATTAAATTTACCGTTAACGCCAGGGTCAATTTACTAAACAGTCATCGACGTGTGGTTCCACAAGACCTCTGGGTAAATTCCAGAAACTGACTGGGAGGAAGATAGCTTGCGCATGAAGTCACTGAATCCTGGTCAGTGTGACTCTTGATGATCATCTCTCAGTACACCAGAAAGCATTTCCAAAGACAGGACGCCACTTGGCGTGGAAAGCCTTTGGAAGCTATGGAAGGTGACTTCTTAAGTTAAGTCTAGAAACGGGATGGCAGGAGGACAAGAAACTGGGACTCTGGTGCCGGGAGCCTGGAGTCCTCATTCCACTACAGATGTTAACTGGGCTCAGCTATTCAGGTCACTCAGTGGTTCATCTTAGAGTTGTTTCTAGACTAGATATTTATTGCCCTGCATTACAAAGACGGGAAAGTAAGAGTTCTGTCCATCAGCCAGTTGTCAGGCGTAAATGATGTCTTTCCCTCGCTTCCTGCGCCGCAGTTTGCTTATCTGTCAGATGGAGACGCTACTTACTTACTTATCTACTCATCACCTCCAGGACTGTTCACATGAATAAGAAGAGAATATAGATATGCATTTGGCATACAGAGGGAAAAGTTCCACACAAATAGAAAACACTAGCGGAAATAATTTCTAGATTCTTCCTGGTGAAGCTTTTCAACTACTTCCAAAACACATCATTGCTGAGCCTGTGCAAATTCAAATGGCACAACCCGAAGAGTCAGTGGCATGGCCTCTTCTCTGGCCAGAGCCTTGGGGGCCATCAGCCTGCACCTGCCTGTTTGTTCTGCCATTGCCTCATGTTCTCTTCCTCAGACACCGGGGAAGCCAGGATCACAGAGGCACTTGTCAGCTTCCTTCTGAAACAGCCCTCCTCAGCTTCTCTGCTGTGTCTCCCGGGTCTTCTCACAGAATTCTTGGCCGGGAAGCCACCTTCCTTAAAGGAAATCAAGTCTCCCGATTTCCTAGAGCCAGAGTAGCATAGGGGGCAGCTGTGGGGCTTGGAGCCAGACAGAGCCTTATTAATTATCCATGGATCTTGCTGAGCCTTGGTTTCTCATCTGTAAAATGAGGGTAATAAAGCTACTTTCCTGGTCATCTATGAGTTTGAAATAAAAGAATATGGGGGCCAGGTGCAGTGGCTCTTGCCTTTAATCCCAGCACTTTGGGAGGCTGAGGCAGGTGGATTACCTGAGGTCAGGAGTTCAAGACCACCCTGGCCAACATAGTGAAACCCTGTCTCTACTAAAAATACAAAAATTAGCCAAGTGTGGTGGAGGGTGCCTGTAATCCCAGCTACACGGGAGACTGAGTCAGGAGAATCACTTGAACACAGGAGGTGGAGGTTGCAGTGAGCTGAGATGGCGCCACTGCACTTCAACCTCATTGACAGAGCAAGACTCCATCTCAAAATGAAGACAAAAACAAAGAAGAGTATGGGTGAAAGGGCCTGGTGTGTCACGGGAGTTGAATGTGTGTCCTTTTCCTTTTTCCCCTGTTCCTTCCCTGTGCAGCTGCCTACCAGGCACTGTCTCCTCTCTCCTGGGGAGGCGCTGCATTTTTTCCCTGCAAAGGAGGTCCAGAAAGCAGACCCAGCCCAATGTCTGTGCATCTGCCTGGAGAAGGCCTCCTGAGGAGCACACCAACACTCTCCCCTTCCATGTTGGCCTTCTCTGCACTATTCAGGTTCTTGCCTCTTTGGAATTGTGTGTATGTGGAGGGAACATCTGGAGGTGTCACTTAATTTTTCATGTTACATCTGGACCTGTCACATAGCCACAACCGTAACTGTACATGGAGAATCATGTCGTGTGTGCTGTGGACAAGCCAAGAGGTGGCTTTGTGTGCTCTTCTGCCACACAGAAGAGCTGGGTGCTGCCCAGCGCGGGTGCTGGGTGACCCCGGAGGAAAGAGTCATTCCGAGGGCCTGAAGAAGGGAGGAATCGGTGGCTTGTAAGGTGCACTCCCACTTCCTGTGGTTTTCACAGGCGATGACATGAGGACTGGAGATGAAATGAAGCAAAACCTTCTGGGGTCACTTGAGCTATTTCTTTTGAGTCCACGTCTCTGGGATGGCATGGCCTGTCAGCCACACCCGTTTCTCTCCTGTTGGCAGCTCCATTCTGCAGGGGAGCAAGTGTCCAGTCCTGGGAGCACTGGCAGCAGGGATGCTCGGAATGCCCAACCTGTCCTGGGGCCTGCCTTCGCCTCTGCCCCTCAGCTGCCTTGCCATCTCTCTTCCTCCTCTTTATTTTTGTCTGTCCCTATGGCTGTCAGTGGGGTCTTGAGTCACCTATGTCATCATATCAGGAACATTGTGTGTTCCAAAGTGTGCTTGGTGGAACACTTGTTACTTGAAACAGTGCTTTGTAAAATGGATCCTGGGGCTAGCAGCTGGAGATGCCGCATCCTCTATCTCCTTCTCGTGGATTTGCAATTCAGATTCTCTCTATTAACCCTGAAGAATCCCACAATAAATGGTTTAATTTTGCTTAGTAGTTTCGCCCAAACGTTTTTGATCACGGATCCTTTCGTATGAACTCCCAAGAAACACTTATTAGCAGTGTTTGGTGAATCACACTCTGGGTAAAGCGGGCATGAACAACATATTATTCGTAGGAATGCTGTGACGTCAAACTCACCAGTGAAAAATCTGGCATCAGAGGGTTATGGAAAAATGCGTGTGCTTTTTTTTTTTAATACAAATATGACATTGGTGCAGATCAGACGTTCCCACCCCTCTCACCACAAAAAGAACCTTTTTAGTCCTTTCCTCAAGGGATTCCATGTTTTAAAGGCTTTTAACTACCTAACAAACTACAATTTATTGAATAATAATTTATTTCTTTGAGTTTTATTTATCAAAGACATCCAACGGCCAATTAGGGCTTCTGATCAGTCAAGATAACCATAGTTGCCACACTGAGTTGATATGACTCCAGCCCAAAGCAAATAAACTTAATGTTTTATTTAGTCTGGGAACGTCATTGAGGTAAATGTATGGTTTCCTCTGGGCTTTTTGATATCTTGAAAATAGCTTGCAGACCCCCCTTGCTGCCTTCATGGAGTGCAGGATAGGTGGGAAGCAGGACCATGGATGGAAATGCAGAGGACGCACAGCTGTTAGGAGGGCGGGAGGGACGGGGGGAGGGGGTGGTGACTGGGGCTACACCAGGACACTGGATAGTAGAGACTAAGTGGCCACAGCCACTGTGAAGACTGGGGGTCCATGGGTTGGGGTGTCCAGATCCTGGTGAACAAGCAAGAAGCCACTAGCCAAAGGCACATTCATGGTGCACCCTTAATGTGGGCAAAACCTGGGCACAGCACCTTCCCTCTGTACGCTGGCTGCATTGCACCCACCCTTCCCCCAGCACCCAGAAGAGGCCCAGGGAGGAGGACAGGGCAAAGGGGAGTGAGGCAGGCTTCTTTGACGGGATACTTTCCCCAGACCTCCCTGATGCATTTTTCAATCACGAGCTACTATGAGGTGGATGTATTGCCATGGCCACCTTCAGTGTCAGTAGAGCCCCTGGGAGATTAAGGCCCCTGAGGATTCTGCGGTCGGCTTGCTCCTCACCTCGAAGGAGAGACCTCTGCCCAGGGAGCTCATCCTTGCTTAGCAGAACCTGTGCCACTGTTCATATGGAAAGGATGAGGCACTAGAGCCACATTCAGGCTCATCAAGCAGTTCTGTCTCAGATGATGGAGAGCCATGCGCTCCCTAAATAGAGGGTTTCCTGGTGCATTGGAGATGGGATTCGACATCCTGTAATCCACTTTCCACCTGACTTTACAGAAGAGCTGTTACTCGAAGTAAGAGAGAGGGCTCCTCCGCAGGAGAAAAGTGCTCAGGCCATGCCCTTTGCAGCCCCATTCAGCCTCCATGGGCTGGGTCCTAAGCCCCTCCTGGACCCCCAGTTACTCTCACAGCCCCAGACCCCTGCTTAGCAATGGCCTTGAACTAGAACGCATGATCCTACTTTTTGCCTCCCCTCCCTCATTAGTCAGGACAGCATTTTCCCAAAAGATACAATCTGTGTCTGGCGGAAGCCTACTTGCAAAAATAAATTCTTCCCTGAACATTTTCCAGGCCCATTTTAGAAATAAATCTGGGTGATGCCTTTTACTCATTTCCAAAGCCAAACAACCTGAACCCCGAGGCCTTGTTCTGCAGTGTAAATGTTACGAGGAGGAGGGAATCAGGATCGGCTCCTCAGAAGAACCCATCTCCACCTCTAGCAGGGAGGCTGAGCAGTCCCCACAGCTGTACCCACCGCAAACCACTGCTGCTCAGATCTGGGGACACAGGTGGATGGAGCTCACAGCCTGGGTCCCAGGACAGCACAGCCGCACCCATCCCTCTCACCCTGCCAGGCTCTCCCGCAGCAGGGAGCCTTCCTCTGGTTTCTGGGTGCACTGACGGCTGCAGCAGCTACAATCTCCCTGATACCCATTCATTCATTCACTCACTCACTAAATATTTCTGCTGAGCGCCTGTTATGTGTCAGGCACCGTGCTAAGAGCTAGAAATACAGCAGTGAGCAAGTGCCCACGGGGCCTGGCATATATGGGGCACTCTACTCACAGCACAATGACCAAGTGCATGAGCTGGAAGGCAGGAGGAAGGGAGAAAAGGAAGCGTCTGTGCAGTCAGCTCCCTCTGCTTTTGTGTGCACCGTCTCATTGAATCTTCCCAACCGCATTCCGTGATTAGAAGGTGTCCCCATCCCCATATTCACAGAAAAACAGCCAAGTTCCAAAGGAAAGGGGAGAGGTGGATTGATACAGTTTGTCTGATTTCAGAGCTCCGAACTCTCTCATCCACGCACACTACAAAGGCACTCACAAGCTCACAAACACACAGGGACACATATTCACCCCCACACATACCTGGACTGTGCCTCCCTCCTCCGGGGGTACCCAGTGATTGAGCCATGCGTTAACATTCTACTTTTCTTTCTTTTTCTTTTTTTTTAGACAGAGTCTCACTCTGTCGCCCAGGCTGGAGTACAGTGGTGCGATCTTGGCTCACTGCAACCTCTGCCTCCTGGGCTCCAGCGATTCTCCTGTCTCAGCCTCCCGAGTAGTTGAGATTACAGGCATGTGCCACCTCGCCTGGCTAATTTTTGTATTTTTTAGAATAGAGACAGGGTTTCACCATGTTGATCAGGCTGGTCTCAAACTCCTGACCTCAGGTGATCCGCCCGCCTCGGCCTCCCAAAGTGTTGGGATTATAGGCGTAAGCCACTGTGCCCGGCCAACATTCTACTTTTTTTCATCATAACCATGTTCTGAGCACCCGCTCCGGCTCCTGTATGCTCCTGTCTGGGCCCAGGAACCCAGAGCAACAGGGGAGACTGAGTCCCTGCCCTTCAGTCATGTGCTGTCTAGAAGGAAGCCACTGGCTGTGGCTACTAAACGTGTGAATTGTGGTTAACTCTACATTGACATGTGCTGTGAGTGTGAAATACACACTGAGTTTCTAAGACTTAGTAAGAAGAAAAGAATGCAAAATATTCCATACTTTAACCAGGTTGAGTACCCCTTATCTGAAATGCTTCAGACCAGAAGTGTTTTGGATTTCGCATTTGTTCTGTTTTTGGAATACTATTTGTGTATACATAAGTGAGATATCTTGGGGATGGGACCTAAGTTTAAACATGAAATTCATATATGTTTTTTATACACCGTATATACATAGCCTGAAGGTAACTTCATATAAAATTTTAAATAATTTTGTTCATGAAACAGAAGTTTTGGCTGCATGTTGACTGTGACCTGGAACATGAGGTCAGGGGTGGAACTCTCCTTTTGCGGTGTCATGTCAGCACTCAAACGCTTTCGGATTCTGGAGAATTTCAAAGCTCAGATTTTTTAATTCGGGATGCTCAACCTGTCTTGATCACATGTTGAAATTATACATTTTTTGGATATATTGGGTTAAAGATAAAGTATGTAAAAGATAATTTTCCATGCTTCTTTTAAAAAAATGTGGTGGCTACTTACCTGTTTGAGCTTGCAGGAGCGTATTTTAAAAACGTGGCTACTAAAATATGTAAGGTCACATATGAGGCTCACGTGTGTGCTCACATGATATTGCTTAGGGACAGTGTGGCTGGAGATGGAAAGACAAACCATAAGCAAGCGTACGCATGCGGAACAAGGGTGCCTGCGAGTGGGGGTACAGGTCAGGGAGGAAGCAGTACAGGGCGGGTGGATGCCAGCAGTCAGGATGGGTGGCCTCATGGGTGGAGGGGAAGCCAGGAGAGGGAGGAGCCGGGAGTGAGCCCAGTATGAGTCATTTCTTATCCTGCGAGGGACTGGGGCCTGGGTCCTGAAGGAAGGAAGGAAGGAGATCCAGGGAGCTGTATAGGCGCCTGCCTTTATTCTTTCCCCGACTGAGTGAGGGGTCCTGGCGCTGCAGGGGCCCTCTGGAGGTCACCACCTCCATCCAGCCTCTCAGTTTCATAGGGTCAGTGTCTGCCACGGTCCTGATCTCGGGTTGGCAAACGGTCCTCAGGCCCTGCCCTCGCGGGTGCTCACTCCACAGGTGCATTAATCCAGTGCCTGTGATAGTCCAAGCCTGCTCTAAGCGCTGCGGAGGTGGTGGTGACCAATCAAAGTGCCCACTCCAGGGCAGCTCACAGCAAGGGTGGGGTGGCTGGAGACAGACAACAGGCAAAGGAACAACTACATGTGTCAGGTGTGGTCGGTGAAAAGAAACATCAAGAGGGAGCATGGATGGGTGGGAGCTGTGTTAGAGAGAAGGTGACATTTCAGGAGGGACCTGAATGAATTCAGGGATGGAGCCATGAGCACACCAAGAGGAAGAGCATCCCAGGGAGCTGGAACAGCAGGTGTGAGGTAGGAGCAAGCCAAGGACAGCATCAGGCCCACTAGTGGGACACACTGGGTGAGGGGAGAGTAGCCGAGGTGAGGTCGGGGAGCCTCCATGTCAGGGTGAGGCCAGGCAGACGAGAGTCTCATGAGTGTCCTCCATAAGCGGCAGTTATGGTTATCACTATTATTAGGTTCTAGAAGGCCACACATTCCCTGGAAAGATGACAACTACCACCACCCTCAGAATCCTCCAAGCAGAGGGGTGGTGCCTCTGGCCTCACGGCTTGGTGCATAAAAAATGGGACAGCCACACGCTTTCTTCTGCTTAGCGTATGCTAGCAGTTGATGAGACATTTGGACCGTGTGGCCTGTGGGGGTGGCAGGTGGGAGCTATCAGAGAGGCAGGAGGAGGCTCAAGTGACCTCAAGACTCAGCAGTTTCCTGCACTTAGGGAGTCAGGGCCCCAGCACCTTGTGACATTCTGCTCTACCGTTCTCCCTCTGCTCTCCAGCCCTGCTTTATCATGCCCCTCCTCCACTCAAGAACCCACAGTGGCTCCCTATTACCTATTATTCTTCAGCCGACCTTTGCCACAGTGACCATCTGTGCACCTCAGGTGTCTCTGTTTAATGGTTATTTGCCCCCAAATCCCAGCTCAGACTGCTGGAGGAAATTACTTGTCTCTGTTTTTTTTGCCAAGAGGGAAAGACTTCCTTTGATAAATACTTTTTTTCCCCAAGGAAATGAGTGTCGACTTTTCTCCGAACCACAAAGCCAGTGCTACCTGCGCTTGGTCTTCACTGTGAGAGCGCCTCACAGTCCCATGGGGTGTGGCTGCACTGCTGGTCTCTCGGGACATCTGCACTCACTCAACTGGCCTGGAGGCAAGAGCCTGCCACAGAAGGCCAACTGTCTAGTCCTGCACAGGCTTCTTCCAATGCAGCAGGATGTATTCAAAGAACACCAGACTCCCACTTCAACTGCACTCGCTCAGCCATTTATGGAGGGGCTACCACATGCCTGCCACGGTGCTGTGGCCTGACCTCCTGAAAGAGGTCCCCGTGGGAGGGGACTGATTCCAAATAGGCTTTTTTTTTTTTTTTTTTTTTTTTGAGACAGGGTTGCCCTCCTGTCGCCGAGGCTGGAGTGCAGTGGCACGATCTCAGCTTACTGCAACCCGCACCTCCCGGGTTTAAGTGATTCTCCTGCCTCAGCCTCCCTAGTAGCTGGGACTACAGGCATGCGCCACCACACCCAGCTAATTTTTGTTTTTTTAGTAAAGACGGAGTTTCACTGTGATGGACAGGCTGGTCTCAAACTCCTGACCTCAAGTGATCCACCCACCTTGGCCTCCCAAAGTATTGATGTTACAGGTGTGAGCCACCGCAACTGGCCCCAAATACACTTCTGTTAAAGAATGGGTATTACTACTTTTCAAATTGTTATGTGACAAGAGAGAAAACTATTCTTTTGAATCCAATAACCATAGCCCTCCAAGCTTATGAAAAACTTCTCCTATTCGATTGTATCTTATAATGCGTGCTCTGTTTTCCTGAGGAGGTCCAGGGTCTGGATCCTTATATCGGTTCCTTATCAAGAAGATGCGTGTTATTACGTAGCAATTTGCCAGTGAGACTCAGGAGGGCTGTGACTTTCTTGAGACCAAATGGCCATGTGATCTGGAACCAGGTGGAACCTCCATGCCTGAATCTAAAGGGTTCTCCAATCTGGCTGCATGAGAATCACCAGGGGAACTTTCACCACCACCAGCCTTCCAAGCACCACCCCCAGAGAGTCATTCCACTGGTGGGGATCCCAGGTGATTGTAATGGCCCGGGAGTTGGGAACCACTGCTCGGAAGCCAGATTGCAAGCCCTCTCTGGCCTGGGGGCAGAGGAGCCTCCTGGCTCTGCCGGTTACTCGCTGTGTGATTTGAGGTACATCTCTGGTCTTCAGTTTCTTCATTTGCAAGAAGAGAGATCCCTTCCAAGGTCTATTTCTATATGGGATCTGTGAGTTACTCGGCATCGAGAAGATGTTTGGGAAGGCCTCCTGGAGGAGCAGCATGAACATGGACTTGGACTGTGGCCCTTCCCATATCGGGCTACAGGGAGGGAGGGCAAGACCCTGCACCAGGTACCTAGTCAACGGTCGCTGTCCTCTGCACTCCACAGTCCTAGGGGTACTCTTGCTGGGGTGGAAGTCGCGACCTCCTCTGAGGGTGAATGGGCAGGGCCCACGTCTGCACCTCTCTTAACAGCCCTTTTAGGCCAAGGGGGCTGCAAATGCCTGAGGCTGTTAGGTCTTCAGGGCCAGCCTTGGGCTTCTGTGGCTCAGGAGCAGGGAGAGGGCGGCCCCAGCCCTCCGGGCTCAGCTCTGGAGGGGCTGAAAGATGGGAGCCCTGAGCTGGCAGGACCTGGAAGATGGTGTCCTCTCCATAAAACAATTCCCAAAGCCTTTCTTTGTCTTCATTTCCTGATCATGAAAAATACGTTACAGAACAAATAGAACTATGTTTATACTTCCCAAATTATGAAGGTGATTTCACGTTTTTTGGTGGGTTTTTGGTGTGCGATGGAGTTTGTTTTTCTTCTGGGACATTTTGGGCCTCGCTGCAACATGAAGGTGGGATGTTGGGGGCACCGGAGGATTTACCCTCTCTAGGCTGTGCTGGTTACTATAGTGGAGGGTCTCAGAGAGCTCCAGGCTGGGGCAGGAGGAGGGTGATTATGGCTCTGAGAATAAGAGAACAGGTGAGCCAAGCCATGGAGAAAAACTGAAGTCCTCACCTGCCAGGAGAGAAGCCATGGTGGGCACCTGCTGATTGTGGCCTGAGGGGCCGCCCTCCACAGTTCCCGTGAGCCTTGTGTGGTCAGGCGTCCCCTGACCTTTCTAACTGAAACCAGGGGAAAGCTGTTCCCCGGCGGAGCAGCAGGCGTCCCTGTCAGAGCCACCGGCTTTCTCCCTGTGACTCACGGCTGCTTCCTCCTGGTCATCTGGTCCAGGGCAGGCCTAGAGGATGTGTGTTGACTGACCATGTTCCTGCTAAAAATATGGGTCCTGGAGTCAGAATTTCTTGCTGTGAAAAGCACTTCCTGCAGGCAGGGTGCCTCAGGAAGCAGGTCATAACATTGTTTTTCTGAGCCTTTCTCTTCTTGTGTGGGGTCTCTATATTCAGAGTCTATAAACATGAACAAATGTATGTACGGTGGCCAGGAAAGCGGGAAACAGGTGGCGGTGCTCACGGGGCAGCACTGGACTGGGGAATGCTTTCAGCAGCTCCCCCCGTGGGCGTGTCAGTGTGGACTCCCTCCAAGACACTCTGGCGCAAGGGCCATTGATTTTCTTTTTCTTTGTTTCTTTGTTTCTTTTTTCTTTTTTTTTTTTTGTAAGACAGAGTCTCACTCTGTCGCCCAGGCTGGAGTGCAGTGGTGCAATCTCAGCTCACTGCAATCTCTGCCTCCCAGGTTCAGAGATTCTCATGCCTCAGCCACCCAAGTAGTTGGGATTACAGGTGCATGCCACCATGCCCAGCTAATTTTTGTATTTTTAATACAGACAGGGTTTCACCATGTTGGCCAGGCTGGTCTCAAATGCCTGACTTCAAGTGATCCGCCCGCCTCGGCCTCCCGAAGTGCTGGGATTACAGGCGTGAGCCAACACACCTGGCCTTCTTTGGTTTTCTAGCTCCCATCTACTCAGCATGGGCGGAAATCCAATTTGTTGTGCTTCCTGGCTTCTGGGGTCCTGTGGACCTGACAGGGTCTTGCACCATTCAGAGAACTGGCTCTCCGGGCCTCAGGACGCCCTGAGCACTGCTCAGAGGTTCACTCTTCAGTCACTGTGGTCCCCGGGAGCAGTGCTGATGAGTTGAAGCTCAGCCTCTGGGTATTCATGCTCCACCCCCTGAGCAGCCTTGGACACCCTTCCCCCTCACTCCTCACCATTTGCTGAGACCACCACCCCTGCCCCCCTATCTATCCCAGCCTCTTCAACTAAAGCTGCCAATCTCACGCCCTGCTCCTCTGGGACCACCTCTCCCCACACCCCATGGGCCTGAAACATAAGAGTTCTTTACTTGGGGGGTTGGGGGTGGGTGAGAACACTCAGCCCTTCAGAAACACACAGCAGCCTCTTCTCCCCAGAATCAGGAGGGGAAGGGAGAAAGGGGAAGGAAGATGCTTGATATAGTTTGGATATTTGTCCTCGCCCAAATCTCAGGTTGCATTGTGATCCCCAGTGATGGAGGTGGGATCTGGTGGGAGGTGTTGGGATCATGGGAGCCGATCCCTCATGGCTTGGTGCTGTCCTCATCATAGTGAGTGAATTCTTGTGAGACCTGGTCATTGAAGAGTCTGTGGCACCCCCCACCACCAGCTGTCTCTCTTGTTCCTGCTTTTGCCATGTGGCGTGCCTGCTCCCCCTTCACCTTCTGCCATGATCATAAGCTTCCTGAGGCCTCCTCAGAAGATGAGCAGATGTTGGGGCCATGCTTCCTTACAGCCTGGAGAACTGTGAGCCAATTAAACCTCTTTTCTAGCCAGGCACGGTGGCTCATGCCCGTAATCCCAGCACTTTGGGAGGCCAAGGCAGGCGGATCCCCTGAGGTTGGGAGTTTGAGACCAGTCTGACCAACATGGAGAAACTCTGTCTCTACTAAAAATACGAAATTAGCCGGGCATGGTGGCCCATGCCTGTAATCCCAGCTACTCAGGAGGCTGAGGCAGGAGAATTGCTTGAACCTGGGAGGCAGAGGTTGCAGTGAGCCAAGATCTCACCATTGCACTCCAGCCTGGGCAATAAGAGTGAAACTCTGTCTCAAAACAAACCAAAAACAAAAGAACTTCTCTTTTCTTATAAATTACCCAGTCTCAGGTATTCCTTTATAGTAATGCAAGAACAGCCTCTTACGCTTCATTTGTCTCTGGGAATATAGAGTAAAACAGCAGCCAAATAACACTCCAAAACAAAACAAAACAAAACATCCCAGAAGACGAATTGTAGTTTAGTTTTTTTTTTTTTGTTTTACTAAGTAGCTCCCCTTGTTACGTTAGCCTCGTTTTACAGACGAAGAACCCAGGGCTAAGAGGGTTCCTTGGGCTGCCATGTGGCACTGGGTGGGGGTTTATGGAGGTCATGGCCCCATGTCTATGCTCTCAATCTGACCAGCGTAGGCATCAGGGTGGGCACTGCCCTGCACAGAGGCCCAAGGGTGGTCCTGACCATGTTGCCCAGGATGGTCTCAACTCATCTGCTGAGAGATGGCCTCCATCACAACCTTAGCCTCTGCTGGCAAACAGGTGGAAAGGAACCAAAAGACAAGTAAATCCCAGCCATTAAAGGTAGAGCTGGCTGAGCCTCCTTCAGAGAATGCATGATGGTGACACACACCTCCACAACACCCAGGCTTGATTTATGGACGCAGATGTGCATATATCACCTCCTGTAATCCTCACAAGAATCCTATTATTTCCATTCTCCAGATCATAAAATGGGCATGCAGATGTTGAGTAACTTTACCAAATCCTATAACTAGTAAGTTGCCGAAAATGGGATCTGAACCCAAATCCCTTAAGTCCAGTGTTCTTTCCATAATATATCAGTGAATATAGCTGAGATTTCATTTTTTAGACAGATAAAAATCAAGAGAGGTGAGTACCAACGTTTGCACTTTTCATTTGACAATAATAGACAACAAGGAAACCAATTTGAAATTTCAGTCTCTCTTTAGGAACTTAAAGATGAAGAAAAACTAGGAGAGTGGTTATTCTACAAAGTACCATCAGGTGGCACCATTGCACAGCGGCTGCATATCCCCAAGGTTCAACTCAACAGAAGGGCCAGCTCAGTCTGGCCAGCTGCGACCCCACCCTGGCCATGGCATGTCCCCGCCCCACACCTTTACTAATATGATGTCAAGATCTGATGTGTGAATAAGAAACGTAGCATCCCATGTCTCAGTTAGCTGCTGTCCATGTACTAGTCCATCTATTTTTGTCTGGTAACTATTTTAAGTTATCTTGACCTTGTTAAATGTTTTAACAGGATCTGATCTGTCTCTGAAAACATTGCACTCTCTTGTCTGGAGGTGCAGGGACAGGAAGGAAACCTTTAATCAAGGTCCCCCTTGGCCTGAGATGATGGTGGGATAGGTGTGGGGTCTAGATTGAAGGTGGAGGGGTCAGAAGTCATGCAAGGGCAGTGGTGGGTTTGACTGGACGTTTGGGGCCAGGCAGGCAGCTTTGCACAGTGCATCCTTTGCCTCTGTATGGGGTCGGGAGCTTGGAAAGCTTTGGGGGTGGGGGTGGGTGGGTAATGAACACTTCTCACACTGTTTTCTGTTTTGTTTTTGTTTTGTTTTGTTTTGTTTTGAGACAGGGTCTCGCTGTGTCACCCAGCTGGAATGCAGTGGCACAATCCTGGCTCACTGCAACCTCTGCCTCCCGTGTTCAAGTGATCCTCCTGTGTCAGCCTCCTGAGTAGCTGGGACCACAGGCGTGCACCACCATGTCTGGCTAATTTTGTTTTGTTTTGTATTTTTTGTAGAGACGGGGTTTTGCCATGTTGCCCAGGATGGTCTCAAACTCCTGGGCTTAAGCAGTCTGCCCGCCTTGGCCTCCCAAAGTGTTGAGATTACAGGCATGAGCCAGTGTCCCCAGCCCCAGTTAGTTTTATAATGCTGCATGAAATCTAGATTATTTGAAAATACCACATAAAAATAATTGCTATGACATTTAAATATAGTGACAATGAAGTTCATAACAGAATTTGTATTAGAGTATTATTATTGCATAACACAAAAATTTGCCTTCTGTACAATCTCTTACACGGAAACATAAAATGTCAAGAATTTTCTGTAAGGAAACATAAAAGTAGATTAGCTACAAGTAAGACTAATAAACATAGCATACCTTTTATACATTGTAGAAATAGTTATTTTTTATTCAATAATTTGAATGTAAAGGGCTTTGAATTGTTTTTGTTTTGTATGTTACCAATAACTTGAAGCTGTTTCAAGCTGTTAAATCTAAATTCTAGTCTCTGTAGAGATTATACCGGTTCCCACATGTGTCATGGGATGCCTTGTGCCCCTCCAAAATTCATATGTTCAAGTCCCAACCCCCAGTACCTCCGAATGTGACTGTATTTGGTGCTAGGTTCTTTAAAGAAATAATTAACCCTTTTCCTGTTTAGGAAAAAAAAAAGTGCAGCCCACTGCCAGCATTTTTTTTTTTTTTTGAGACAGAGTCTTGCTCTGTTGCCCAGGTTGGGGTTCCATGGCACAATCTTGGCTCACTGCAACCTCTGCCCCTCAAGTTCAAATGATTCTCCTGCCTCAGCTTCCTGAGAAGCTGGGACCACAGGCATGCACCACCACATCTGGCTAATATATATGTATTTTTTGTAGAGACGGGGTTTCGCCATGCTGCCCAGGCTGGTGTCAAACTCCTGACCTCAAGTGATCTGTCCACCTCAGCCTCCCAAAGTGCTGGGATTATAGGCATGAGCCACCGTGCTTGGCCAGAGCTCATTTAATTTTACATAAACCAACCTGACTGATTTTCAATGTGAAAGTAAAATTTAAAAACTGTTCTTGGAGTTATGTGTAAACAGAACTAACATCAAAATCATCTCAATCATCAGAATCGTCTATTTCAGAAAAATAGGATTAATCAAATGAATCTTTGGCCAACAACTCTTTGAGAATGATCACATAGGAATGCTATGTTTTCTCGGATTTGACATTTTCAGCGATCGAGAATTACTATATTTTCTAAATGGAAATGCCACTACTAAAGACAGAACGCTATACCTAGAATGATGTCTTATACGTAGAATGATGTCTTTTGTTTCCAAAGTTGATACACTAAAGCAAAGTGAAAATAATAAAAGGGAGATGTTTTGTGACCAAATTACTTTGGGGTAAACGCTGCAGCCGCAAGAGCTGCTGGTGAGTGTTCTTGGGGCAAACAGGAAAAGAGTTAAGGGAAAAATTTAGGTCCTGTGGATGGGCTCTAATCCAATATGATTGGTGTCCTTATAAGAAGAGGAGATCAGGGCACAACGCACAGACAGCGGGGACCACGTGAAGACACAGGGAGAAGACTGCATCTACAAGCCAAGGAGAGACCAACCCCGGCGGCCCCTGATCTCAGACTTGTGGCCTCCAGCACTGGTGCTCAGCCACCCCGGCTGTTCCCTCATGACGGCAGCCCCAGCAGATGAATACCCTGAGTTGTGCAGGCTGACAGGGAAGAGGCAATGAGGAGAGAGGGAGCTAAGACAGCTTCTTTCAATGATAAATCCCTTTTCCCAGAATAATCTGTACCTGTCTTCTTAAAGTAGCTCTTTGCACCAAAAGGGAGGATAATGAATTTTCAAATTGCAAACAGGTTCATTTGTTTCTACAAAACTGTATGTGGCCTAAAAGTGACAGTCATCCTCCTGAGAGAGTCCCCCGTCTTCTAGACAGGACTGGCCCGTGCTAACCAAAGCTGGGCTCTGGCAGGGACTCCAATTTGGGAAGATAAATGAGCAGGCGTGGCTGGCCCCTGAGCCACAGCTGAGCTCTCATGGAAGCGTCAGAAACAAGTACAGGCAACCCCAGGGACTTGGGCAAGGCCAGCCAGATGGTGAGGTGACCCCCAGGGCCCTGCAGCCACAGTGAAATTGACAAGGACCTGGAGCAGGGACTGAAGACCCCTGTGGGCAGGAACAAATGCTGCAGCTGGGCAGGGGATGGGGCAGGCCTGTAGGAAGCCAGATCCCACCTGGGCTCCCCACTCAGAGATGGATCAGAGGCCAGGCTGACCCGTGACCTCACACGGGAGGCCACACTTGGCCCGTGCTCTAATTTGTATTTATTTTTTATTGTTGTGGCGATGGGGTTTGCTGTGTTTCCCAGGCTAATCTCAGACTCCTGGACTCAAACAATCTGCCCACTTTGGCCTCCCAAAAGTGTTGGGATTACAGGCGTGAGCCGCCGAGCCCAGTCCAGTGCTCTATTTTGAAAACAATAGTTAACTACTAACTGTTTTTAAATAAATAGTTGATGGACTGAATAGCACTTTTTCAAAAATTGGCTTTATGTAGACTAGATTCTAACATGCAAAGAAAATATTTTGGGCGGTGGGGGTGGGGGGACCTCTAGAATTTATAGCTCTAAATGTATTAGGTTCTCAGGCCAGGGAGAAAAATTCACTGTTTTAGAGCAATATTACTTGGCAGGCAATGTTCTACTGGCATCACTGCATACGGGTACCTCAACTTCTCCTACAATAAAACCTTATTAATTTGATATCAAAGAACAAAAAGAAAAATTCTCCAACCCCCGCTGGTCTTTGCATTTACCAGGTCCGGCTTATCTCGGCACTTTCATTAAACAGTAATAAGGTGCCTCGTTGGTTGGGGACTAGCGGTAGCTTTGAAATAGTTGCTATTTTTGGCCAGGCACAGTGGCTTACGCCTGTAATCCCAGCACTCTGGGAGGCCAAGGCGCGCAGATCACCTGAGTTCAGGAGTTTGAGACCAGCTTGGCCAACATGGAGAAACCCTGTCTCTACTGAAAATCCAAAAATTAGCCAGGCATGGTGGCAGGCACCTGTAATCTCAGCTATTCTGGAGGCTGAGGCAGGAGAATCGCTTGAACCCGGGAGGTGGAGGTTGCAGTGAGCCGAGATTGCACCATTGCACTCCAGCCTGGGCGACAAGAGCAAAACTCCGTCTCAAAAAGAAAAAAAAGAAATAGTTGCTACTTTACTTTAAATTAACCAACATTGAAATAATGAGGTTCTAGTGTAATTTGCTATGATTTAATTAACTCCAACTTTGTGTTGGGCCTTAAACCTCTTCACCCCAATCAAGAAATCCTAGGCTGCCTGCTTGCTTCCTGAGACAGTGGGGCCTTTCTGAAAACCCACCTTGTTTTGCTTCTTTGGGCAGCTGTGGTGACCTCACTTTTGCTCAGAGCTCAGCAGTGTATGGGGTAGCCTTTTTTAGAAAACATTATTTTTATTTTTATTTATTTTTTGAGACAGGGTCTCACTCTGTTGCCCAGGCTGGAGTACAGTGGCCCGATCATAGCTCACTACAGCCTTGAACTCCTGGGTACAAGTGATCCTCCTGTCTCAGCCTCCCAAGTAGCTGCGACTACAGGCTTGTGCCACCATGCCCAGTTAATTAAAAAAAAAAAAATTTAGTAGAGACAAAGTCTCACTATGTTGCCCAGACCAGTCTTGAACTCCCAAACTCAAGCAATCCTCCTGCCTCGGGCTTCAAAAGTGCTGAGATTACCACCGAGACCAGTTTATTTTTATTTTTTGAGAAAAGGTCTCGCTCTGTCACCCAGACTGGATTGCGGCAGCATGATCCCGGCTCACTGTAGCCTCAACCTCCTGGGTTCAAGTGATCCTCCCTCCCCGGCCTCCCAAAATGCTGAGATTGCAGGTGTGAGCCACTGCGGCCAGCTGGTAACCTTTTCGTTTTTTTGGTTTTTTGCTTGCCATTACCATCAACTCACCCTGTCTAAAAAGCAGCTGTCACTCTCCTCCCCTACTGCGTCCCCTGCCTGACATCCAGACTCCAGACCCCCAGGCTCAGAACTGCTCTGTTATCTTGGCTTCTCCTTTTCTCCTCAAACTGCCCAAATGCTGCTTCCTCTTCCTTCTCAAGGTGGCTCCATATCTGTGGTCCAGGCTCTCACGCTTGTGTCTGTCTCCCTGCCCCATTACTCTCCTGCAGAAAACCCTTCCCTAGCTCCCCATCGCCCACCAGCAGTTGTCACTGTTCCACAGGGCTAGGAGCTGGGGAAAGCCATTGCAGGAAGCTGTGGGGTGACGAAGAGGAGATGAGGGTTCCTGGGCCAGTGACTTTGTCCTCACCTCTGCTGTGACCAGCACTGTCCTGCTTTTCTCGGATTCATCCAGGAAGCTTCTGGGTAATATTTGATGTGGAAACAAAAGGTCTCTGTAGCTAAAAATACCTTAGAAAACGACAGAACTTCTATAGGGCCAGTGCTATCCAGCTTAACAATCAAGACCCGGATCAACAAGACAAAGGCCACCTCTGCCTTCCTCTGCTTCTCCTTCACTCCAAACCCTCTCACCTGTGGGGCCCTGAAACACCTTGTCATGTCCCACCCTTGTGCTTGGAGTAGAAAGCGCTCTTCTCTTTCTGATTCCCTGTGGTTGAAGGCCTGGCTCAGACCCCACCACCTCTGATGTGGCTGTGTTCACCCTGACTGTTCATGCTGGAAGGTTCTCCTTCCTTTTTTTTTTCTTTTGGAGATGGAGTCTCGCTCTGTCACCCAGGCTGGAGTGCAGTAGCGAGATCTCAGCTCACTGCAACCTCTGCCTCTCGGGTTCAAGCAATTCTCCTGCCTCAGCCTCCTGAGTAGCTGGGACTACAGGCGCCTGCCGCCACATCCGGCTAATTTTTTTGTATTTTTTGGTAGAGTTGGGGTTTCTCTGTGTTGCCCAGGCTCGTTTTGAACTCCTGAGCTCAGGCAATCCGCCCGCCTCAGCCTTCCAAAGTGCTAGGATTACAGGCGTGAGCCACCACGTCCGGCTGGTTCTCCCTCCTTCTACAGGCTCCTACTCTTCTCCCTGGCCACAGCTAACCGAACCAAGGGACCCCGATCAAGCAGAACCCCTCAAAGGTCTTTTGGGGCCTGGTGCGGAAACCCGTGCTTACTGCAGAATCTGGAATTGAGACATGGAGGCTGCACCATTGGCTGAGGGCGGCTGGTGCTGGGGGGCAAGGGCCAGGCCAAGTCACAGTCACTTGTCAGTCAGAATCTGGGGTGGGGGGCAGGGGCTGGGGGAAAACTGAGGAAGCTAGGCAGCAGAGGAAAGAGAGTGAGGGGGACAAACAAGGTAGAGAGAGACCCTGCTCCTGAGGACGGCCTGGTTTCCATCAGGTCCTCACTTGTGAGACCCCCTGGGCGACTTCACAGCAAACCTTCCCTTGTACCTGAGCTGCTGGAGAGGCCTCTGTTCCTGCCAGCGGAAACTCCAGGCCATGTCTCCTGGACTGACCTCGAGCTCCTCAAGGGCAGGGATTGTGCCTTACTCAGCTTTGATTCCCTGCAGCACCAACAGGGTAGGGACCGTGCTTGTATGAGTGTGTTTGTGTGTGTGTGTGTGTGAGTGTGAAAGTGTGTGTGAGAGGTGACAGTGTGTGTGTAAGTTTTCCCTCTCTAGTAGCAGGTGGAGGCCAGAGCTACCTGCCTTGAAAATACTGTGTATTTGAGCTATACTCTTGTGCGTGCGCAGCTTGAGCTTGGGTAGGCAATGATTCAAAAACCATGGGTACCACCAGGAGGACTGTAATCAAAATGACAACAATAACAAGTGTTGGCACAGATGTGGAGAAATCGGGACCCACTTACAGTGCTGGTAGGAATAGAAAATGGGGCAGCCGCTGTGGAATGCAGCCTGACACTTCCTCAAAACATTAAGCATAGAGCTGCCATATGAACCAGAAGTTCCACGCCAGGGGCTGTGCCCGAGAGAAATGATGACACACATCCACACAAGCACTTGTACACAAAAGTTCATAGCAGTGTTATTCACAGTAGCCAGAAGCAGAAACAACCCAAATGACCATTGCTGATGGATGGATAAACCAACTGTGGTCAATCCACACAATTGACTATTATTTGGCAATAAAAACAGATGAGGTACTGATTCATGCTACCACATCAGTGAATCTTGAAGACACTATACTAAATGAAAGGAGCCAGCCACGAAAGACCACAAATGATTCCTTTTATATGAAAATTTCAGAATAGGAAAATCTATAGAGACAGAAAGTAGATTAGTGGTTGCCAGGGCCTGGGAAGAGGGGAGGTTAAGGCATGATGCCAACAGAGTTTCTTTTGAGGGTGATGAAAATGTTCTGGAGTTAGATGGTAATGATGGTTGTACAACCTTGTGAATATACTTTGAAAACCACTGAACTGTATACTTTACAATGGTGAATTTTATAGTGTATGCATTACATTTTACCTTTAAACACAAAAAACCAAGGGCAGCTCCTATGAGTTAAGGATCTAGGCAGTAAGCAGCAACCACCACTAACATGGTAAACAGAGACACGGGAACATGCTGTGACTCTTGTTGAGGAACAGACCCACCTAGGGAGACTGGCCTAAAAAGTGAACCTGACTGTAGTCAGGCCCCTAGCTCCAGTACAAATGTACAGGAAGGACAGAGGCACAGCAATGGGCTAAATGACACCATGGGGATGCAGTCCAAACTGCAGGGAATTCCATTCTACAAACCACCCAGTTACTTTAACAGATTCCAAAGTAAAAGAAAACCAAAAAAACCAAGGGGAAAACCTATGGATTCAAAGAGACTTCAGAGATACACCAACCAATTGCTGTATGTGGACCTTCTTTGATCTGGAGTCCAATAATCCGTTAAAAAAATAATTTTGGCTTTTGACAAATTTGGAGATTTGAACACTAGCTGGATATTTGATAATACTGAAACATTATTGTTAATTTATTTTTATTGTGTTTTCTTTAAAAAAACCACAGTCCTTATCTTTTAGAATTACTGAAATAAAGAAAAAAATGATCTGATGCTTGGAATTGATTTCCAAATAATCATGATGAAGGGAAATGGGTGGAGAAATAGAAAAAAATGACATTTGCTGTAAGTAGACAATTGAAGCTGGGTCACAGGTATATGGATTTTTTGTATGTTCTATCTACTTTTGTATATGTTTGAAATTTTCCATAGCTCCATATTTACTTCTTATTGGAAAATAAACAAGAAGAGAAGAATTGGAAGAGAGAAATCATGGGCAAAGTAGTAGTCTGAGATGGGGTGTCAGGCCTAATGTCCATCAGCTATTGCCCCACAGGCCTGCATTGCTAATCTGCCATCTGCCTCACGGCACCCTCCCCAGCCATCCTGTTGGCCCCTCCCATGAGGGAGTGCTCTCCATGGCTGTGCCCTCTTGGGCCTGACCTCACAACTGTTTCTGGAGGCACAAATTTGTCTCCTGTGGCTCAAGACACGAAGAATGGATGATCACATATGGTCACCAAACTTTGTGGAACAGTGATTCCAAACTATGGTCCTTCCGACAGCAGAGCAACACAAGAAGCAAACAGCTGAGGTGTTTGAGAAAGGTCAGGGAAAAAAAGCCTTCTTTTTTTTTTTTTTTTTTTTTTTTTTGAGACAGAGTCTCGCTCTATTGGCAGGCTGGAGTGCAGTGGCGCGATCTTGGCTCACTATAACCTCTGCCTGCTGGATTCAAGCAATTCTTCTGCCTCAGCCTCCCTAGTAGCTGGGACTACAGGTGCACACCACCACGCCCAGCTAATTTTTGTATTTTTAGTAGAGATAGGGTTTCACCATGTTGGCCAGGATGGTCTCGATCTCCTGACCTTGTGATCTGCCCGCCTCGGCCTCCCAAAGTGCTGGGATTACAAGGGTGAGCCACTGCGCCTGGCCGAAAAAGCCTTCTTGACTGAGAGCATGCTGCGGGTTAGGGAAGGGAGAGGTTACCTCTGGATCAGAGGTTGGAGAAGAATATAATTAAAGGAGTTTAAACTGAACTGGAGTGACACATAAATCATGCGAAATATATGTGAATGTGTTTCTTAAGTAAAATTAAAAAGTCCTCCAGGGGGATGTGCTTCTCCCATGCTCAAAGCTGACAAATCTTGGAGATGCCTGGTGCCCCAACCAAAGGTCATTTCCCAGCCTTTCTCTGAGAACAGAGAACACATTTCTCACGGAAGCAACATTATAAGTGGTGGTTGGGTTCCCAAGATCCCCATCAAAAGTTTATTTGCCCAGTTTAAAGGCTGCGCATTTGCACCTGAAGTAGGTAGGGCCCTTGCAAAGGCTAGCAGTTGGATAACATTAAGTTACATGTCAAGCCAGTCAAGATATGTGCCCTGCAATCCTCAGGAGTTGCTTGTGGAATTCAGAGGAGGAAGGGAGCATCTTCCAGTTAGGTGGCTAGGGAAGCAGTGGGATTTGAGCTGGGCTTGGAGTGGTGGATACATTTCAGTGACAGTAACAACCCCTCTGTCCTTCTTACTCAACTTTGCTAAGAAAAATTCTGAACTTTACAAATTATCCTTGAATCAGGCCCAGTGAGTTATGCGGAAATGTTAGAGCAAGCCCAAACCAGCTGGGACAGACGTAAATGTGTTCTGGATGTGCTGACTTGATCATAAGGTCCTCAGGTCTTCAGGATCCTGTAAGATGACCATCACCACACCACACTTCAGATTCCAGGGCCTTGCCTCCCTAGCCTGACATCTCACCTCCACCTCTGTCAAAATTTCAGAATCAGGTTGGGTCTTATCTTTGTTCTTATTTTTGATGTCCCATATAAACCCTTCTTCAACTGATCTTTTCCACCAGGCCCATAACTTCTTTCTTTGTTTTTTTTTTTTTTTTTTTAGACGGAGTCTCGCTCTATCACCAGGATGGAGTGCAGTGGCACGATCTTGGCTCACTGCAACCTCCACCTTCCGGGTTCAAGCAATTCTCCTGCCTCAGCCTCCTGAGTAGCTGGGACTACAGGAACCAGCCACCACACCCAGCCAATTTTTTGTATTTTAGTAGATACAGGGTTTCACCATGTTGGCCAGGATGGTCTCAATATCTTGACCTCATGATCCACCCACCTTGGCCTCCCAAAGTGCTGGGATTACAGGCGTGAGCCACCGTGCCCAGCCTCTTTCTAAGCCAGCATCCAGAACACAGATACAAGACTCATTAGGTAGGTTCAAAAAACAGGTCTCCAATGGCTTCCTTATTTCAGGAAGCACTGAATTAATTATTTCCACTCAGGAAAAGACTATGTTGGAGTCCATTGCTGCTTCTCGATCCCAAGTGAACTCCAGGAAGAAGCAAATGAAAAGCAATCATAGGCCGGGTGCGGTGGCTCGTACCTGTAATCACAGCACTTTGGGAGGCCAAGGCAGATGGATCACCTGATGTCAGGAGTTCAAGACCAGCCTGGCCAACATGGAGAAATCCCATCTCTACTAAAAATACAAAAATTAGCCGGGTATGGTGGCAAGTGCCTGTAATTCCAGCTACTTGGGAGACTGAGGCGAGAGAATCACTTGAACCCGGGAGGCGGATGTTATAGTGAGCTGAGATCGTGCCACTGCACTCCAGCCTGGGAGACAAGAGTGAAACTCTGTCTCAATAAAAAAAAAAGAAAGAAAAGAAAGAAAATAAAAGCATCGATAGTGTATATAGATCAAAGGAGGAAGGGACATTTTCCTTAGAATAAAACTTTAATAACGAAAACAATAAACTCCCTCCTTTCCACTCGTAGAATAGTCAAGCACTCATTTCTCATTTGCTTCTCAGCCATCAGCTGTCCTAATCTGTTATCTATTACGCTGTGTAACGAAACTCGTCCCAATCTAGTAGCTGAAAGCAACAACCATTTATTATGGCACATGTCTACATGGTGGCTGGGTGGTTTTGGTGATTTGGGCCCAGGCTGGCTGAATCCAGGTGGGCTTGTTCAGTGGTCCCTGGCAGTTGGGTTGGGGGCTGGCCTGTCTAGCATGGCCTCAGGTAGGAAGAGTTGGCTCTGCTCCACAGACTGACCCGTGCCTGTTCTCTTCCTCTGGCAGGTTAGTCCAGGCTTGTTCTCTCAGTGGAGACAGGGGTCCTACGAGAAGAGCAGAAGCAGTAAAGGCCTCATGAGGCCTGGACTTAAAGGACACATTGCCAGTTCCGCTATATTCTGTTGGCCAAAGCAGGCCAGCCAAGATACAAGCGGGGGGAGAAAATATGCTCTACCTTTTAATGAGGCATTGCAAACTCACATTGCCAAGGGTGTGGATACAGAAGGTCACTAGTTGTGGCCATGAATGCCATCCATCTATCAGACCTGCCAACGTAGTTTTTCTTTTAGGGGCGGACTTAGTCCGATTTCAGACATTAGTAAAACTGATTCGGATTCCATTTCCAAATTCCTAATTCCAAGAGAACTGGAAAAGCAGAGCGTGCCAACCTCTTATAATCCTTCTTAATGTGACAAATGTTTCTACAGCGTCCACTGAGCCAGGCTCAGTAGGTCCCTGGGACATATATGAAACAACAGTTCTCCTGCCCTCCAGGTGCTCAGCACAGCAGGAGAATCCCGGCTGGGAACAGAGAGCAAAGCGACCACATAGCTCTAGTGGGAATCCTGGGGAAGTGGTATGTGGTCTTGAATAGTGACTTAGAGTTTTCCAGAAAGAGAAGGAAGGGGAGTTCATTCTAGAGGCCTGGAGGATGTAAAGATGGTTGTGTTTTCATGAAACCGAGCTGTGGACACAAAGGGCAAGGCCAAGGTTGCAAGGGGCCTTGCCCGACTCTCTGTGGAGAGAGGATTTTATTGTGAAGGGTCCACGAAGTCACCGCAGGGCTTCAGCTGGATGAGTGTGCTCTGCTTGGCCTGTTGGAAAGATTGCTGGGGCAGCAGGGAGGTGAAGAGGAAGCTAAAGATAGGGTGACCAGTTGGGAGACTATTTCCAGTCCAAATACATCCTCTTGGGTTTGAGTTTCTGTGACCGTCCTCCTGCTGGCTGGAACTGGGAGGTCCTCTGGGGTCTCTAAACGCTCTCAGTTGCTTGCCTAGAGTTATGCAAGCGGGCGTGGGGTCGGGGCAGGACCAGGAAGCTTTGCGCTTTCTGCTCTTGGCTGATTTCATAACAGGTTAGCTTTTAAACTTCTGGCTCATTCCAGACACTATGCCTCTGGCCCTGGGAGAGAACTTGGTCTCCCAGACCGCGCATAACATTTCCACTTTCCGGCAAACACAGTCTGTGCGTGATCAGGTGAGGCTGGCGCACACAAATCCTTGATGTCTAGACCGCCTTTCTCCAGCTGCTGTGTTTACTGCAGAAAGGTTCCATCCTGGGATGATCGCCTGGGGGGAGTTTTCTTCTTGCGACACCTAGTTCAGCTCTGCTGAGCTTTTGGATTCCCAGCCTTTCTCCCACCACAACCCGGTGGTCATGAAGTCTCACAGGAAGTGTGGTAGGCACAATAATGGTCCCCAAGGATGTCTAGGCCCCCATCCCTGCAACCTGTAAGTGTGTTGTTACACGGCCAAGGGGATTGAATTAACAGATGGAATGAAGGTTGCTAATCAGCTGACTTTAATACAGGGAAATGAGCCTGGATTATCCAGGTGGGGCCAATATCATCATCAAGGTCCTTAATAGTGGAAGAGGAGGCAGCAGAGGAGCGCAGAGTGTTGCTTTGTGAGAAGGACCCGCCCAGCGTTGCTGGCCTTTAAGATGGAGGAAGGGGGCCGTGTGGTAGGAGTGTGGGGGCCTCAGGAGGGAAGGAAATTGGCTCTCCCAGGAGCTTCCAGAAAGGAATGCACCCCTGCTGACACTTTGATTTTGGCCCCAGTGAGCCTCGTGTTGGACTCCTGGACTACGGAGCTGTAAGATAATAAATGTGTGCTGTTTTAAGCCAGTAGCTTTGTGGTAATTGGTTACAGCAGGCATGGGAAAGCAGTGCAGGGTGTGTGAGCTGAACCCTTGAAGACGGGGTTCTCCACTACGTCCCCAGTGTGGAGCACAAGCTGGCTCTATGCCCGGTGCTCGGAAGCATTTTCAGAATGAACAGGACTGACTGAGATGAAGCCGCAGACATCTGCTCTCTCCAGGCCCCTATCTGGCTGTGTGACCATAGGTGGGTCCCTTCACTTTCAGTGACTATGTTCCCATGTCTCTTAAGGCAGTTGATGACCTCAAGGGTGGGTGACTTTTGAAGTGACTCTCAGATGTGTTACCACTGGAGCCACCGCCAGATCTCCTGACTCTCCTCTCTCTGACTGGTCTCATTCTTAGTCTAATACCATCATTCTCCAATGCTAAGGTCATTAATTAGCACCCCAGGCCCTCACTGACTCTGCTCTCACCCTGTCTCTGGGGCTCCCTGCCTACAGGTTCACTGCGGAGGTCATGGTAGACGTTGCTGCCCAGAACCTCCAACCGTAGGAAACCTCTCCTCCTTATTCTCAGCCATGAAGTGTGGGAGCAAAACTGCTACACAGTTTTGCTCAGGGTCAGACGCTGGGACATCCCCAGGGCCTGTAATGCTGGTCTCACCAGAGCTTTGACTGTGAATGCTGCTTTTCCTCATAGCAGTGTGTGGCCCCTAAGGTCCCCTATTCAATGACCAGGGACAATCATCAAATCAATGCAAAGAGAAAATGAAGCCTTGTGTTTCTATCTAACGGGTGAGCTACACTGGAAGTATAAGAAGTACTTATGGGGAAATCTGCTTTCCTGACTCTTACTTCTGTTTCCAGAGGGTGATATAATGTGTGTAAATGCAGATTCAGCTTCGAGGAAACTTTCGTCTAATAATGAACTGAACCACATTATGGCATGCTATCTCCAAGGTATGATAGTATCTGTTATACTCATGGGGTCCAAATTTTCTTTAGCTTAGAGGTTATTCTACTTTAGAGCAGGAGTTCTCTATTTTGGCCACCCACTAAGAATCACTCGAGGGGAGTATTTAAAAATCCAAGCCAGGCTGCACTCTAGAGCCACAGAATCACTGGGCTGAAACAGTTCCCCAGGTGACGCTGATGTGCAGCGCGGGTTGAGAACCACTCCACTGCCTTAGCTAACACTGGCTACTCTTGCCTTTGCCTTTGCTATTTACAAAAACAATTATTTTTTAGTATCTAAAGGCCAACATCAATAAACCCTTACTTGTTATACTAGAAGATGCTCTGTCCTCATTGACCTGAGTCCCATCTTAGTGGGGCTTATTATAATGACCCAGGCACGTGAGTCTCATGCAAACCAGTGGGGCAGGCTCTTGGGAGCAGTGGCTTCTGCATTATGCCTGGAATGCAGGAATACATGGGGATCAGTCCGACTGACAAATGCAACTCACCCAAAGTGACTATGAATGACTGCAAGGGCATCTGGGTACAGCAGTGGGACTGTAGTTCAGGTCAGGGATCTGGTCTCTGGTGTTGGCCCTGGGCAGGGAGGGAGCTCTAACAGGAACCGAGGCACCCAGTGTGGTACCTGCAGTTTCCCTGACCCCCACTGCAATCCTTCACCCCCGGGCTCCCCTTGGTTTCCCTGCCTCACCCACAGTCATTGGCCTCAGCTGGTAAAGGGCAGCTTGAGCCAGTGCGTCCTCGGAGCGTTAGTCCCAGCCAGTTTTTGCTGACTCCTCTCCCTTCCCAGCTGCCATGGCAAGTGGGTGCCCAGTCCCACAGCAGCCTCTCTTTCCTAAGTAAAATCCCACGCCCCGTGGCTAACTGTTCACAACCTGAAGGAAGAAATGTTCTACTTTCAAAGGAAAAACAGCCCTCCTTCCATGTAGCTCGCCAGCTGCCCACCGCTAGCCAGGTGTCGCTTGCAATCCATGGACACCGTTCCCGTAGCAACCCCAGGTGACTGTCACAGCTGCCCCTGACACAAACTGCTTTAGCAAAGGGGTGTCAAAAAATATTTTAAAAACAAGTTTTAAACACAATTTTTAGGGAGAAATCAAGAGGGTTCTCAACTGAGGTAATTGACCGACTTGGTGGGGGTTCAGTCCATGAATGTAGCTTCACTCTTGTGGCTATTAATGGCAGGGAGGTGGGGGGACAGTTGGTATAAAGGCAATGAGACTACATATCAAGATGGAAGGGGGCATCCTAGGCTTGGCATGGTATTTGGAAACCTTGACTAGCCTTTTATGCCCAATGCTGTTTGGAAATCTTGCTGGGAATCACAGAAGCTATAGATGCTTAATGGTGTCAGCACTGATATGCGCCACCATCAGCTTGAATTACATATTAACCACCCATCTGCATTTAATCCCTATACCTGGCCATCTTCTGATGAGACGAGCTATTTCCTCTCTCTCCTCTCTTGTACTCTCCAGTGGATAAGTGAGTTTCTCTCCATGCCTTCTCTGGAGTGGGCTGTTTCGCCCACTGGAGGGGGATTCTCAAGGTCTCCACCACTCCTTGGAAAAATGGGGTGAGGACTCCAGGGCTGGGAAAGGGAAAGTGTAAGATGATCCTGAACCAGCTTATGGTGCCTGGAAGTAAGGAAATGCTAGAAAAATGGTGAGAACATGTCAGAAGATCACAGGAGCCAGCTTGAAAGGGCTCAAAACAGCCAAACCTAGGGAATCTGAGCAATAAGAGAAATAATAACAGTGGATTGTGACCTGTAGAGTACAATGGATGTATTCTGCTAAGTGAGAGAAGCCAGACCCCAAAGTCTACATACTCAAATCCACTTATATGACATTCTGGAAAAGGCAAAACTATAAGGACAAAAACCAGATCAGTGGTTGCCAAAAATAGGAGGTGTGGGGGGGTTGATTAAGCTGTATGAGGGATTTTGGGGGCTGATGCAGCTGTTCTGTTGCATGACTGTGGTGTAGATACATGACTCTACATTGTCAAAACTCATAGAACTGCAAACTACAGAGAGTGAATTTTACTGAATGTAAATTTTAAAAAATTAAGATGTTTGGGAGCCCCAAATGGAACCCAATTACAAATAAACCCAACCAGGCTGGGCATGGTGGCTCACACAGGTAATCCTAGCACTTTGGGAGGCCGAGGTGGGCAGATTGCCTGAGCCCAGGAGTTTGAGACCAGCCTGGGGAACATAGCAAAATCCCGTCTCTACAAAAAATACAAAATTAGCCAGGCATGGTGGCGCATGCCTGCAGTCCTAGCTACTCAGGGACTGAGGCGAGAGGATCACTTAAGCCTAGGAGATTGAGGCTGCAATGAGCTGAGATCATGCCACTACATTCCATACATTCCAGCCTCAATGACAGAGTGAGTCCCTGTCTCTTAGAAATAAAAAAAAACAAAAGAACCCAACCATAATACAGATGAATAACATAACCACACTGAAGGGGGTAGGGAAGAAAAGAACCAACCTGAGTACCCAGGGAAAATAGGGTTTTGACTTGATACACAAATACTGTATGGTTAATACACTTCTCATGGGCGGGGGGTGGAGGTTAGGAATTCTGCAACTACTTTCTGTGTATACTAAAGCTGAAAAAATAGGTACAGCTGACCCTTCAACAACACAAGCTTAAACTTCAAGGGTGCACTTATCCAAGGATTGTCTTTCACTTCTGCCACCCTCGAGGTAGCAAGACCAACCCCTCTTCTTTCTCCTCCTCAGCCTACTCAGTGTAAAGACGATGAGGATGAAGACCTTTAGGATGACCACCTTCTACTTAATGAACAGTAAATATATTTTCTCTTTTTTATGATTTTCTTAAGAACATTTCATTTTCTCTAACTGTATTTTAAGAATATGTAATAAATACATGCAAATCAACTTATCAGTAAGGCTTCTAGTCAACAGTATGCTATTAGTATTAATAGTTAAGTTTATGGGGAGTCAAAAGTTATATGTAGATTTTTAGCCAGGTGTGGTGGTGCGTGCCTATAGTCCTATCTACTGGGAGGCTGAAGCAGGAGGATTGCTTAAGCTGAGGAGTTTGAGGCTGCCATGAGCTATGATTGTGCCACTGCACTCCAGCCTGGACAACAGTGCAAGACTCTATTAAAAATTTTTTTTTAAATTATCTGTGGTTTTTTGATTCCACATAGGAGTGGCATCCCAACCCTCACATTATTCAAGGGTCATCTGTAAATGCATTAAAGATGTTGAGAGCCAGGTTTCTCACCGCCAAAGAAGTTACAAATAAGAGGAAGGGGGGCTACAATGAACCCTGTCATGTTGGATTGGAATCTGAGCTATCACAGTATGAATTTGTTTTTTAACATTTTATGTATATACAGTTACAGAAATATAGATGTGCATGGCTTAGTATACATATGTATTATTTCAAGCTCTGTTCTCTATGAGGCCCTAGAAGCAATGACATCCAGTGACAATAAACACACTCAGTGCCCAGATTTTTGTTTCTAAATAAAAGGAACCAGGCCTCCCTGGAGCAGTGATTGATTCCAGGCTCCTAGGCAGGGAAAACACAAGAAGAGCCTGGAACATCTTGAAATGCAAGAAAGTAAGGAAGTGCTCATGAAAGGATGGGGCAGGTCACAAGTGTGCAGGAGCCAACCTGAAAGAGCTCCCCGTGGCCAAGCTGGGACAATTTGAGCAATAAAATAATGATGGTATTATAATCCATAAAATAAATATCCATGAGTCCATACTCATATAAACAAGCAAACAAATAGATGAGAAAGGACAGTAATTCTCCAGATAGAATTTCAATTACTTATAATAATAAATGAGGAAATCATGATAATTAATGAGGGAAATAAAAAATCACCATTAGGCAAACACTACAGTAATAATTATTACAGGCACAATCTACTAATAGATGTTAAGATGACTGGGCAAAAATTTGAGGTGAATCAGGATATTTGCATAGCCTTAAACTATCTCTCCCAAGATATTTATTAATTACAAAGGTAAAAATAGTAACTTTACAGTGAAGAAACCCAGCAGACACAACTTTAACCAGGCGACCAAGGTTAACATCACCAGTGGCAGGACATAGCAGCATCCTATCCCACTAACAATATGCATTGAGGGTTTATTACCTTGGTGATATTCTTCGAAGGATGGATAACCTACATTTAATCTTGAGAAAACATCAGATAAACTCCAAATGAGGGAGATTCTACAAAGTAACTGACCAGTACTCCTCAAAAATGTCAAGATCATGAAAGACAAGGAAAGATAGAGGAACTATCACAGATGGGAGAAGACCACAGACCTGACCACTAAGTGCAGTGTGGGATCCTGAGTGGCTCCTGAAGAAGAAAGCAGAAGTTAGATAACTAGATAGACAATTAGTGACAATTTAATAAGCTCTGTCAGTTATATAGTAGTATTGCCTTTATGTTAATTTCCTGATTTTTTTTTTTTTTTGAGACGGAGTCTGGCTGTTACCCAAGCTGGATGTGGTGGCACCATCTTGGCTTACTGCAACCTCCACCTCCTGAATTCAAGCGATTCTCCTGCCTCAGCCTCCCGAGTAGCTGGGATTACAGGTGCGTGCCACCATGCCCAGCTAATTTCTGTATTTTTAGTAGAGATGGGGTTTCACCCTGTTGGCCAGGCTGGTCTCAAACTCCTGATCTCAAGTGATCTGGCTGTCTTGGCCTCCCAAAGTGCTGGGATTACAGGCGTGAGCCACTGCGCCCGACCAGTTTCCTGATTTTGATCTTTGTACTTTGGGTGATGTAAGATGTCAACACTTGGGAGATTTGGGTGAAGGATTATGGGAATTCTTTATACTACTTTTCCAAATTTTTTTCAAGTCTGAAATCATTTCAAGATGAAAAGTTGAAAAAAATCGAGGGTCAGAAAGTACATAGTATGCTTCTTTTCCATAAGAATATTAGAGAAATAAGTATTTATATTTTATTTTAATTTGCTTGTATTTGCTTACAAAAGCACTGGAAAGATAAATGAGAAATTAATAAAAACTGTTACTTATGGGCGACCAGATGAGGAATGGGTGGATGGGGCAGAGTGAGAGTGAGGCTTCTCTGTGTACACCTTTTTAAATTATGTAAATGTACTATCTATCCTCTGTCTCAAAAACCAAAACCCCAAAAAACTAAATCACCTTATAGTTCATAAAGGCAAAGATATTTTATTTCATAGTTTCTCACAATGAAATAAATAGTAATTATCCTATGAGGTAGTTACTATTATTATATCATTACCATTTTAGACATGAGTAAATGAGGGCATATATGTATAAATAACTTATTCAAAGTCATTAGCTAATGAGGCCGGGCACAGTGGCTCAGGCCTGTAATCCTAGCACTTTGGGAGGCCGAGGTGGGCAGATCACTTGAGGACAGAAGTTTGAGACCAGCCTGGGCAATATGATGAAACCTAGTCTCTACTAAAAATACAAAATTAGCTGGGCATGATGGCAGGTGCCTGTAATCCCAGCTACTTGGAAGGCTGAGGCAGGAGAATCGCTTGAACCTGGGAGATGGAAGATGGAGGTTGCACTGAGCCGAGATTGTGCATTGCACTCTAACCTGGGCAGCAGAGCAAAACTTCCTCTCAGAAAACAAAAACAAAAAAACAGTCATTAGCTAATGAGACCCCAGAACCTGCACAGGGAGATTACCAACAGGGAAAGCAGATTTCAGAAAATGCAGCCTGGCCAACATGGTGAAACCTCATCTCTACTAAAAATACAAAAATTAGCTGGGTGTGGTGGTGTGTGTGCCTGTAGTCCCAGCTACTTGGGAGGCTGAGGCAGGAGCATCGCTTGAACCTGGGAGGCAGAGGTTGCAGTGGGCTGAGATGGCGCCACTGCACTCTAGCCTGGGTGACAGAACTTTTGGGAGGCCAAAGTGGGCAGATCACTTGAGGTCAGGAGTTAGAGACCAGCCTGGGCAACATGGTGAAACCCCATCTCTACTAAAATACAAAAATTAGCCGGGTGTGGTGGCACTGGCATGCAATCCCAGCTACTCGGGAAGCTGAAGCAGGATAATTGCTTGAACTTGGGAGGTGGAGGTTGCAGTGAGCCAAGATTGCATCATTGCACTCCAGCCTGGGAGGCAGAGCGAGACTCTGTCTCCAAAAAAAAAAAAAAAAAAAAAAAAAATTCAGAAAATGGTATGGAAAAGAAAGGCATGGTCCTATGGCCAGAGACTTGAAAGGGAGTTCCAGAAGAAAGAAAACTTCCCACTGTCTTAGTCAGCTTAAGACTTTGTGGCTTAAACAACAGACATTTATTTCTCATGCTTCTGGAACCTGGGAAGTCCAAGACCAGGGTGCTGGAAGACTCAATCCTTGATAAGGTCCCACTTTTTGGCTTTTAGTCAGCTGCGTTCTTGCTGTATCCTCATGTGACTCAGACACTGGTTTCCTCTTCTTATAAGGACACTAATCCCATCATGAGGGCCCTACCCTCATGACCTCATCGAAACCTAAGGACCTCCCAAAGGCCCTGCCTCTTAATCCTATCTCATTGAAGGTTAGGCCTTCAACAGATGAATTTTTGGAGGACACATTCAGTCCATAACACTTCCCACCCCCCAACACACAAACTTTTAAAAATCTGTGTTAAGTATGTACTTTGTGCTGTAAAGTGCTATGGGTTTTTTGTTTTTGTTTCATTTCTGTTATCCAGGCTGAAGGCAGTGGCACTATCTCACCTCACTGCAACCTCTGCCTCCTAGGTTCAAGCAATTTTCCCACCTCAGCCTCCTGAGTAGCTGGGACTACAGGCACGCACCACCATGCCTGGCTAATTTTTTGTATTTTTAGTAGAGACAGGGTTTCGCCATGTTGGTCAGGCTGGTCTCAAATTCCTGACCTCAGGTGATTGGCCCGCCTCGGCCTCCCAAAGTGCTGGGATTACAGGTGTGATCCCTCATGCCAGGCCAAACCATGAATCTTTTATCTTTCTCTATAGTTTTGTCTTTTCTAGAATGACACATTATTGAAGCCATACGATTTGTAGTCTTTTCAGGCTGGCTTCTTTCACTTAGCGACATGCATCTAAGGTTCCTTTATGTCTTTTCCATAGTTTGATGGCTCATTTATTTTTAATGCTGAATAATATTACATTGTATGGACATGCCATACCATAGTTCATTTGTGTTTTATTTTATTTATATATATATATTTTTTGAGACAGAGGCTCACTCTGTCACCCAGGCTGGAGTGCAGTGGCGCGATCTTTTTTTTTTTTGAGACAGAGGGCACGATCTCGACTCACTGCAACCTCTGCCTCCTGGGTTCAAGTGATTCTCCTGTCTCAATTCCCCAAGTAGCTGGGATTACAGGAGCATGCCACCATGCCCGGCTAATTTTTATATTTTTAATAGAGATGGGGTTTTGCCATGTTGCCCAGGCTGGTCTTGAACTCCTGGCCTCAAGTAATCCACCTGCCTTGGCCTCCCAAAGTGTTGGGATTACAGGCATGAGCCACTGCACCCGGCCTTAGATTACTTTTATAATAAAAAAATAAATGCATTATATGCACAAGAATCGTGCTTGAACCTGGGAGGCAGAGGTTGCAGTGAGCTGAGATCACGCCACTGCACTCCAGCGTGTGTGACAGACCAAGACTCTGTCTCAAAAACAAAAACAAACAAACAGAAAACCAACTATGAAAAAGAGAGTTAGCCCTATAGGCATGTGTGATATATCGCAATGCATAAGCATACAGGCTCTGGAATTGGACAAACCTAGATTTGAATAGTAGCCCTGTCACTTATTAGCCGTGGGCAAATTCTATAATCTCGATGTGCCACTCTCCTCCTTGCACCATGGGTTTAACCACATTGCCTGGGCTACTGTGCGGATTGGATGAGATGATGCATGTGGAGTCAGCAAGATGCCTGTCACTCCCCCTCCCTCCCAGGTCTTCACTGATGAAAGCAGGTATCAAAGTCAAGCAGATGGAAATGAAACTGGCAATTTTATTATTGGTGGAGTTATTGGAGAACAATAGGAATATTTCAAAAAAAATGATGCCTGCGTCAACATAAAAGCATTTTCAACAAATTGTGTTATAATATCCAGGTCTGCATAAGAAGTTTTTTTTAACCTACATGTATCTTAATACTTCTTTGTTGGTGCCTCTCCATTAGTTCATTTGAATAAGAGAAAAATGTCAAAATATTTTGGTAATTTTTATAGATTTCATAAGGGGAGTTTGTCATTAGTTTGTGTGGATTTTTTTTTTTTTTTTCTGGCTGTGGATGCTTTGAATGGTAGAAGACTGAAGGGAAGGGAAGTGTGGTGAGGTGGGGCTTGAACAAGATACTACATGTTATAAGTGATTTTCTGAATTTCTTTTTTTAAAATAAGCTAATTTGTAATATTTTATAACTAGATGGTTTTATTAGATGCTCATAAGGTCTCAAACGTGCACTAATGCTCAGATTTTACATTTCCATCAGCCAGAAACCTGTTTTTTATTTTTTTATTTTTGGACAGAGTCTTGCTCTGTGGCCCAGGCTGGAGTATAGTGGCGTGATCTCAGCTTACTGCAACCTCCACCTCCTGGGTTCAAGCGATTCTTCTGCCTCAGCCTCCCAAGTAGCTGGAATTATAGGCACGTGCCACCACGCCTGGCTAATTTTTGTATTTTTAGTAGAGACGAGATTTCACCATCTTGGCCAGGCTGGACTTGAACTCCTGACCTCGTGATCTGCCTGCCTCGGCCTCCCAAAGTGTTGGGATTACAGGCGTGAGCTACTGCGCCCGGCCTAGAAAACTTTTTTTAATAAAAATAAATAATCTCCTTTCTTCCTTTTGTCATATGTATGTGTACACACATAAAATCAAAATCATAACCACAATGTTTTTCTTTTCATTTTTTGTTTTTCTCTACAACCTGGGCCCAGGAGCTCCTTCATCTTTTTTTTTTTTTTTAATTGTGGTAAAATCTGCATAACATAAAATGTACCAGCTAATCTATTATTAAGCATACAGTTCAGTGCATTGAGTACATTTACAGCGTTGTGTAACCACCATCACCATCCATCTCCAGAAAGATTTCATCAACACACCATGTTTCAAACTTCTCGATTTTATAAAGTGCCTCTCATTCAAATAGTAACAGCTGAAGAAAAAAATGCAGGTACCATGCAACATCTGACTTCTCAGCTGCCACACTCAGAAGTAACAAAGAACCCCCTTTTGAAAATCTCTTCCCATTTTATCTTTCTTTACAACTCCATAGCAATGTTGTTTTATGCAAACAAAATGTAAAACAGAGAACAAATAGTTTGTCCCCTGCTGCTATATAAAAACCAAAGTTTGTAACAAGGTAACTATTTTATAGCCCTCCAAGCTCAATAAAAGTACATTCTTCCTGTTGTGTTCTATCTTTTGGGCAGGTATGTAATTAAGATAGATGGTGTGTGATCCTAAGAACTCCCTTACCGGAGCATGTTCTGGCCAAATTCAGTGTGTTACATTATACTGTTCCTTTATATGTCCCTTAGTATTATACTTCTTAGCTGTCCACATCATATCCAATATAGGTCACTTTCCTTCCTAAAATGTTTTCTACCATTTTTATATCTACTGAGGGCGTTATAATTCTGAGATATCTGAATTTTATTGCTGAATGGTTAAATCTTTTTCTGGTGTGAATTCATTAAGGTGCTGAAACATAAATTGTACTATGTTTGTGGGAGTTATCTTTCACTTTTTCTTTGTTTTCTGCAAATTTTTTAATCCTCTGAAAATAGGCCAGGCCACCTTATCAGTGCGAGGTATCCAGAGCTCCACTCTCTTCTGAGCTTAAGAATGTTCTAGAATATTGTAAGGGGGGAATGGAGTACTCAGGAGCAGGAGAGAGGGAATGTGCAAAATCTCTGGGCACAAGTGGGTGTTCCCCTCCCAGCTGGTAACCAGGTGATGGGCTGACTGCAGGGAAGGGAAGGCCTCGTCCAGGAAGGGACAGCTGGTGCAGCCTGCGGCAGTCTAGTAGAGGCCACGGGCTCCTACTTGCGCCTTCGTGCTGGGAAACCGGATTTTTTTCCTTCTTCATGTTTTAAGGGCTTCTTCAGCACAGCTTTGCCCCACCACCTCCACAGTCTTCTCTCCCCCTAGTCTGGAATAAGATGTTCTAGTCCCTCAAATCAAATCCCACATGTAAGCCTCACATTTCCCCAACTTTTACCTAGGACTGCAGACCTCCAAGCCCAGAGGCTTTGGAAACAATCTTCAACTGCTTTCTCTCTGCTTTCCACCCTGTGTCCCCCTGCAGGCAGCTTGCAAAGAGCAGAGGCTTGGAAAGGAGAAGTGGGGCAGGAAGCGCAGAAAGTGCAGGATTCTGCGGTTAGCATTTCAAAAACATTGCCCTTCTCTGATATAAAGAAGTGGATTTTCTCTGATAGAAAGAAAACACAGTCAAGTCCTATGCTTGGAATATTGATCTGTAGAACAGTGGCCCATCTCCAGCCTCAAAGGCTAGTCTTAAAAGAAAAAGGAGAAAAAAAAAGCAATAGGAGAGTTTGCTGCTGCGAAGCTTAAGGTCCTATGAGGAAAATACTATTAGAGCCAGGAGCACAATTCTGGCTGCAATTAGAGTCACCTGGGAGAACTTTAAAAAAATGCCAAAAATAGAATGCCTGGGCCTCGCCCCTGGAGACTTTGATTTAATTGGTCTTGAGTGGGCCCCCAAGCAAAGCTTTTTTTTTTTTTTTTTTTTTGAGACGGAGTCTCACTCTGTCGCCCAGGCTGGAGTGCGTTGGCGCGATCTCGGCTCACTGCAAGCTCCGCCTTCCGGGTTCACGCCATTCTCCTGCCTCAGCCTCCCGAGTAGCTGGGACTACAGGCTCCCACCACCACGCCCGGCTAATTTTTTGTATTTTTAGTAGAGACGGGGTTTCACTGTGTTAGCCAGGATGGTCTGATCTCCTGACCTTGTGATCCGCCCGCCTCGGCCTCCAAAAGTGCTGGGATTACAGGCGTAAGCCACCGCGCCCAGCCCAGCAAAGCTATTTTTAAACGTTCCCCAGGTACTGAGTGTAGGGCAGAAACCCACGTTATGTTAGCAGGGCCCACTCATCCTATAGGCATAGCAGGCACAGCACTTGGGCCCACCATACTTCCAGGACCCACAGAAAAGTTCAATTTCTTTTAGAATCAGAAGAAAAAGAATAAACTTTTAGGTGGAAGAAAATGACTTCATATATAATATTAACATGTATTTCTTTATATCAATGAATTCATAAAATACAATTTTGGGGGCTAGGTTTGGTGGCTCATCCCTGTAATCCCAGGATTTTAGGAGGCCAAGGAAGGAGGATTGCTTGAGGCCAGAAGTTTGAGACCCACCTGGGTAACATAGCGACACCCCGTCTCTAAAAAATAAATTTAAAAATAAAATAAAATTACAATTTTTTTTAAATGGGGAAAGAGATCCACAAGTCAGAAGTGCATACGGCCTACAAAAGCCATAATGCAGCCCTATATAAAAGAGACACGTGGAGGCCAGGTGCATGTGGCTCATGCCTGTAATCCCAGCACTTTGGGAAGCCAAGGTGAGCAGACACTTGAGGTCAGGAGTTGGAGACCAGCCTGGCCAACATGGTGAAACCCTGTCTCTACTAAAAATACAAAAATTAGTCGGGCATGGTGGCGTGTGCCTTTAATCCTAGCTATGTGGGAGGCTAAGGCAGGAGAATTGCTTGAACCCAGAAGGCAGAGTTTGTAGTGAGCCGAGATAGTGTCACTGCACTCCAGCTTGGGCAATAGAGTGAGACTCCATCTCAAAAAAAAAAATAAAGAAAGAAAGAAAAAAGCCCGGTCGCGGTGGCTCATGCCTGTAATCCCAGCACTTTGGGAGGCTGAGGTGGGCGGATCACCTGAGGTCAGGAGTTCAAGACCCGCCTGACCAATATGGTGAAACCCCGTTTCTACTAAAATACAAAAATTAGCTGGGCACGGTGGCAGGCGCCTGTAGTCCCAGCTACTTGGGAGGCTGAGGCAGGAGAATTGCTCGAACCCGGGAGGTGGAGGTTGCAGTGAGCCTGGGATCGTGCCATTGCACTCCAGCCTGGGCAACAGAGCGAGACTCGGTCTCAAAAGAAAAAAACAAAAACAAAAAACACATGTAAGGGTACATCTTTGAATATTACTAAAAATAATTATTCAGTTCACATTAACACAGCATTGAAATACACCAATGATGTGTACACCTTGCGCTGGCAATGATTCCTAATTTTTCCCTTATCATTCCCCTATCCACTGCAAGTGGTTCAAGGTAGGCTCCATCCTGCTTCAATAAGCTACTTATAAATTTTGCTGTGTTGCCAACTCAGACGTTTTTGAGCGTCTAGTCTTTCATCCAAACACACAGTGCCTTTCTTTTCATTTTTGTTTTGTTTTTGTTTTTTAGAGATGGGAGGGTCTTGCTTTGTCACCCAGGCAGGAATGCGGTGGTACCATTTTGGCTCACTGCAGCCTTGAATTCCTGGCTCAAGGGATCCTCCCACTTCAGCCTCCTGAGTAGCTGGGATGAAAGGCACGCACCAGCATGCTCAGTTAATTTTAAAAGTTTTTTTTTTTTTTTTTTTTTTTTTGTAGAGACAGGGTCTCGCTTTGTTCCCCAGGCTGATCTTGAACTCCTGGGCTCAAGTGAACCTCCTGCCTCAGCCTCCCAAAGTGCTGGGATTACAGGCGTGAGCCGCCATGCCTAGCCTCTGGTGGCTTTCTAATGTTTGATTCCGAGATGCTCACCTCAGTTCCTGAGATTTCAGAGACACAGTGGATTGGAGGCCTCAGAGAAAAGGAAGCATTGGCCCTAAGAGGTATGGAGCGAATCCAGAGCCTCCTCAATGTGAGCCTTTTCCCCTGGGCTTTGCTGGCCTCTGTCGCCCCAGCTCAGTTCCCTCCTGGCTCCTCTGGCAGGCAGAGCTTCCTAAGGTTGAGTTACAAAAACCACCGTGGTCACTCTCACTTTTCCCCTTTTCCAAACAGATACCCATATTTGAAAAGTCATCTTCTTCATATTGGCACAAACTCCAGAGTTCTCCTGGCAAGGGAAAGGCATGTGGACGCCAATCTCCATGTCCTTGAATTTCATGGAAGGGAACTCATGTTGAGGGAGACTGAGGTATCAGGCAGGAAAGAACAGGTCAATACTCATTCCACCGGCACCGGGTGGGGCTTGGAAAAGCCAGTCACCTGCACTTGCTGGTTGCAAGACTAAAGCACACAGATGGAGACTCACAGGAAAATCACTCATCTGAAAACTCTCTGTGGCTGCCAGAGGCTCTGATGTCCCTTGGCTCCGGGTAGGAGCTGTCAAGGAGAAAGCCAACTGTGGTCTGAAATGAGGGAAGCAAGGCTTGGGATAATGATCCCTTAGATGCCTTCTGGTTTGAGGTCTTATGACTCTTCAGCAAAGCTCTGGTTCTGACAGACCCAGGTCTCAATCTCTGCTTCTCTATTTATTTATCAAGAATAAATAAATTTATACATTTTATTTATCCGTAAATTGGAGATAAGAACATGTACCTCATGGGTTGTTCTGAAATTTATTTTTATTTTTTAAATTAATTTATTTTTGAGATGGGGTCTCAGTTCTGTCTCCTAGGCCGGAGTGCAGCAGTGTGATCATAGCCCACTGCAACCTCCACCTCCTGGGCTCAAGCAAGCCTCCCACTTCAGCCTCCTGGGTAGCTGGGACCACAGGTGTGTACCACAAGCCTGGCTAATTTTTGTATTTTTTGTAGAGATGGGGTTTCACCGTGTTGCTCAGGCTTGTTCTGAAATTTAAATGTTGAGTGTGGAATTCTTCAAATTGCCCAAGAAATCCAAGTTCCCTCTTGTAATCACTGTCACCTTGACTGTAGGGCTAAAAGCGGAAGGAATCGCCAGTTTGTTGACTTCAGCCTGCTCTTGGGCAGACCAGCTCAAAAACCCTTACATGAAAGTTTTATGAAAATAAATTGTACTACTTCTGCAAGACTAAATTTGAGTTTTCATTATTTCAGCCCTGCCACCAAATAGTCCCAGCTTGCTACTTTTGCTTTAGACATATCCAAGAAAAATGTGTTCTGAAAGGTGAAATCCCTTGCTAGAAGGCTTTGGCAGTCAGAAATGAGCAAAAATGCAGAATTTTTTTTTTTTTTTTTTTTTGAGACGGAGTATTGTTCTGTCACCCAGGCTGGAGTGCAGTGGTGTGATCTCGGCTCACCACAATCTCTGTTTCCCAGGTTCAAGCAATCCTCCTCCCTCAGCCTCCTGAGTAGCTGGGATTACAGGCGCGTGCCACCACACCCAGCTAATTTTTGTATTTTTAGTAAAGATGGGGTTTCGCCATGTTGGCCAGGCTGGTCTTGAACTCCTGACTTCAGGTGATCTGCCCACCTCGGCCTCCCAGAGTGCTGGGATTACAGGCATGAGCCACCGTGCCCGGCCTAAAAATGCAGAATTTTAAAACATTTGTACTGGTGTTTTTTGGTCTCATTTGTTGCCCAATTGGTCTGAATATAATCTGACAATATGTCACTCAAGATCAACTATAACCAAATAATTCAAGCCAAAGAATGGTTGATTAATTTGCTACAAATAAAATGTGGTCCACAGAGTCAAAACTTTTTAAATGTTTCAAGGTTTTTTTTTTTTTTTAAATTTCTTTTTTTCTGAGACAGGGTCTCGCTCTGTCGTCCAGGCTGGAATGCAGTGACACAATCATAGTTTATTGTAGCCCCGACCTTATGGGCTCAGGTCATCTTCCCACCTCAGCCTCCTGAGTAGCTGGGACTACAGGCGCGAGCCATCATGCCTGACAAATTTTTTTGTATTTTCTGTAGAGATGAGGTTTCACTATCTTGCCCAAGCTGGTCCTAAACTCCTGAGCTCAAGTGATCTGCCCTCCTCGGCCTCCCAAAGTGCTGAGATTATAGGCGTGAACCACTGTGCCTGGCTAAGGTTTTGTTTTTAATCTTGGAATTGGAGCTATCCTGACTTTGCCCAAAGCATGGTTCGAAAGGGACTTTTCGATTTGGAGTTGTTTCAACATAATCAAGGACACATTCCCAATAACATTTAGTACATGCATGTTTATTGAATTAGTATTAGTTGGTGTTTTGGGGATGGCTGAGGGGATGGTGAGTGTAAACTTGCCTTGTTTCTGGAAAATTCCTCCTTCCACTGGTCAGCAGAGCTTTGACATTCCTACACTAAGTTCTTCAGTCTCCAAGACAGGCAGTCCAAGCTTCTAGAAACTCAAGCCATGCTTGGATCCAACCAGGGTCCAACCGACCACAAAATGTATCTAAAATACTTTTGACTATGCTGGATCCCTCTAATGTTGCTATTGGTTCTCTCTTGATTTTTCATTTACCTTGCACGTTGAAGTAACTGTGGGAAGAAATCTGTGTTCCCCTTAGGGGAAATACTGGAGGATTAGCATGGAGTCAAACTCAAGCTATTAGATGTTTTTCTCTTACTGAGAAACTTCACTCCTCTATCAACATTTCCACCATATAATGGGGTATACTACCTTTAGAGCGAATTAAAAAAAGTAATAGTTTATCTTCTTGTCTCTCCCATGGAATAAGGATGTGCAATAGCATACTGGGTTTCATTGCCTTCCTCCATACTATACACATACACAGTGACTTTTCCAAAGGCTACTTAGGACCATTTATTTTGTTTTGTTTTGTTTTTTTTATTTTGTTTTGTTTTGTTTTTTTTAGATGGAGTTTCACTCTGTCACCCAGGCTGGAGTGCAATGGTGCGATCTCAGCTCACTGCAACCTCTGTCTCCCGGGTTCAAGTGATTCTCCTGCCTCAGCCTCCTGAGTAGCTGGGATTCAGGCACATGCCACCATGCCCGGCTAATTTTGTATTTGTAGTAGAGATGGGGTTTCACCATGTTGGCCAGACTGGTCTCAAACTCCTGACCTCAGGTGATCTGCCCGCCTCGGCCTCCCAAAGTGCTGGGATTACAGGCAGGAGCCACCGTGCCCTGCCGAACCATTTACTGTTTTTTGTTTTGTTTTGTTTTGTTTGGTGAGATGGAGATTTACTCTTGTTGCCCAGGCTGGAGTGCAATGGCGCGATCTCGGCTCACCGCATGCTCCGCCTCCCAGGTTCAAGCGATTCTGCTGCCTCAGCCTCCCGAGTAGCTGGGATTAAATCATGTGTCACCACGCCCGGCTAATTTTGTATTTTTAGTAGAGACGGGGTTTCACCATGTTGCCCAGGCTGATCTCAAACTCCTGACCTCAGGTGGTCTGCCCGCCTCGGCCTCCCAAAGTGCTGGGATTACAGGCGTGAGCCACTGCGCCCTGTCATTTATTGTTAATTAGGTCTCACCTCTTCTGCTATGAGGTCAATAAATATCACCTGTCTTTGCAGGTCCAGGGATCCAGGCTACACGTTACTAGTCAAAGGCCATGGGGCAAGTCTTTATTGGAGATCAGATGGGCTGGGTCAGTCTGGCCTGGCCACAAGAAGTGAGCCTCACCTCAAAACCTGTTCCACAATGGCATTTCCTGACTGGCTATGTGTGTGTGCACTGACTAGCATGTGCTCATTCATTCATCAAACATTTACTGAACACCTGCTATGTGCTAGTGGCTAGAGACTCAGGGAGGAATCTGACCCATTCCCTTCAGTTAAGAAACTCAGTGTGTGGGAGGGCTGAATTATAAGTAAGTAGGTGCTATGATAAAACACCCCACAAGGCAGAAAGGGAGGATGAAGGAGGAGGATTTCTTAGAGGAGGAGGGACTTAAGCTAAACCTTGAAAGAGCAAGACGGAAGGGTGTTTTAGATGAAGGAACCTTGACAGCAGGCCCAGAGTGTGGATGGCTGGCTAGGGGCATAGCCCTCTCATTGACTTATCTGCCAGTCAGGGCCAGATTTTGAGGGCTTGCCACACCTTGCCAAGGGGTTTGATTCTTTTTCCGTAGGCCTAGCAAGTTTGCCTGCCCAAGGGGCTCTAGAAGTTCAAACGGAAACTTAATATGATTGTTTGATGTATTAAGTCTCTTCCCTCAACACTTGTAGGAGTGAACACTTTGAAAAGTGAACAGTTTAAGACTGAGATTCTTCACTTCATGTGGGAAGTGTGCAAAGTCCAAAAATGAGATTGAGCACCCAAGGAATTAGTCTCCCCTCTGCTCCTGCTCAGAGCCAGACCTTGTTGGAGAGGACACAGCTGGGTCTCACTGGAGGGGAAAGAAGTTTCTATGGCGTCATGCCCATGGAACCTACTGGTAATCTGACCTCTGGGGTTCTGGGGAAAGCTGTTTATGGGGAAGCAGAGTTTTGGTAGAGTTGCTCCACCACACAACAGCTTGGAGTAGAGGGATAGTGCCAGGAGAGGCTGCTGGCTGTGGAATGATGTAGGCACCAGGTCCTGAAGGAGTCCTGGCACAGCAGGGGCAGAGCTTGAAACCATGTGCACTGCAGCAGCCGGGAGGTGCAGAAGCTATAGGTGCTGGGAGAGCTCCCTGGAAGCTCAGATCAACTTTGTGCTGACAGCTTTCCATCACAAGTGAGCACTTTTGTTCCAAGGAGCCCTCTCAGCATGGGAGGTGGGTAGCCTAGAAGTAGGGGTAAGGCATGTAGGAGCGGTCTTTGCTGGAGACTTGGAAAAATACTCCAGCTACCTGAGCTTCAGGTTGTCAATTCTGGGGGGCATTCAGCATCTTCCCAGGAGGTCCCAGGGGAATCAGGCCCCCTGCATATAGCACCAGTCTCATTAACACACCCTAATACTGGCCTTTCCTCCTTGCCTGTCGCACTCTTCCTGCTTCCTCTCTCCGGCTTCTAGGGATCACCCTAAATACACCACCAGCAGGCAAGTCTTGTCACAGGCTCCTCCTTCAGGGCAACCCGTATTAAGGCAGCCTGTTTCCCAATGACTCCAAGCAAAAGCCCTCTTCCCAGGTGCCCTTCCCAATCCCATCTTGCTTCACAAGCGGAATAGCTTTTCCACTTCAATCAAATAAACCGTGTATTATTTTTTGTTTTGTTCACTTCCTCCTGTTTCCCTGTCTCGGGTGTATGACCACACCTTCCAGAAATGCCCTCCGCACTCTTTCTGTTATCCATGTGCATTACATCTTCTTCTTTTTCTTTTTTCTTTTCTTTTTTTTTTTTTTTTTGAGATGAAGTCTCACTCTGTCACTCAGGCTGGAGTGCGATCACGTGATCTTGGCTCACTGCAACCTCCGCCTCCTGGGTTCAAGTGATTCTCCTGTCTCTGCCTCCCGAGTAGCTGGGATTACAGGCGTGCACCACCACGCCCGGCTAATTTTTTTGTATTTTTAGTACAGATAGGGTTTTACCATGTTGGCCAGGGTAATCTCAAACTCCTGACCTCAAGTGATCCACCCATCTTGGCCTTCCAAAGTGCTGGGATTACATGTGTGATCCACCACGCCTGGCCTTGCATTACGTCTTCCAAGTGCACGCCATAAGACCTATTCCATGCTGCAGCCTCCCTTCTGTCACTCTTCCTATATTCTGTGTCACTACTCAAATGTCATTTATACTGTAGCACTTATGTGAATATTTTTGTATCATGTATTTTATGTACAGAAAATTTGGAGGAGAAAAGAGGTGATTTTTCTCTACTCATCCTCCTGGAAACTTCTCTTTGGCAAGTTGCTGCCACTGACCCCGCTCTTCCTCCCCTTAATCGTTCTACTGGCTCAAAAACCATAATTAAGGGAGCCAGACTTACATTAAATAAAAAAAAAGACAAAAATGTTTTTCAGAAGCATTCCCTGGAAATGTTTGCTTTAAGTTGAGGTTGGTGGGGCTTGAGCATTCATCTTGACAATAAGAGCAACGAAAGCAGTATCTCTGGTAGCTGATCTCTCTCACCTCTGTCTTTACCTCCAATGACTCCTCTTATTTTTGTCATCAGCAAAATATCTGTATGGGAGGGGAAATTGCTGATGAAATGCTTTTTTGACAGTTAACAAATATTTCCTGAGTGCACACTCTCTACAGATCCTTGGAAGGGCCCATGTGAGAAGTGGATTCGTGACATTCGGCACTGCCCTCTCCTTCAGGAGTCCCTCACCCTTGGGCTTCCGTCAAAGACTCCTGGGTTCTTCCCAACAGCTCTCAGTTACCCTCCTCTTTCTCCCTTGGGTGATGCCCTCTGCTTCCTCCACCCTCAGTGAAGGCACTGCACTCTCCTTTCCTGGCTCCTGGTCCTCACTCTCCCCTCACCCTCCACATGGATGCTGCCCAGAGACACTCCTCCACTTCCCAGCTGCCTGCTGGGGCATTTCCACTGAAAAGTTCCACCATTACTTCATGCTCCATGGAACCTTCAGGAGCTCTCCTGAAAAGCAGCCTCTTTCCATATTGTTCCTATTTCTGATGCTCCAAGGCACCCAGCCTGGAAGCCTCAGCTTTGCCTTTGCCAGTTCCACTCCCTCATTGCACACATCTGGTCACCAAGACATCTGGTCTTCCAAACAAGAGCCCTTCCCTTCCCTTTTCCCTTCCCTTCCCTTCCCTTTTCCCTTCCCTTCCCCTTTTCCTTCCCTGTGCTTCCCTTCCCCTTCTCCTTCCCTTCCCCTTCTCCTGCCTTCCCTCCCTCCCTCCTTTCTCTTTTTCTTCCCTTCCCTTTTTCCTTCCCTTCCTTTTCCCTCCCTTCCCCGTTTCCTTCCCTTCCCTTCCCTTTTTCCTTCCCTTCCCCTTTTTCTTCCCTTCCCCTTTTCCTTACCTTCTGCTTTTCCTTCCCTTCCCCTTCTCTCTCTCCTTCCTTCCTTCATTAGTTCCTTCCTTCCTTCCTTCCCTCCCTCCCTTCCTTCCTTCTCTCCCTCCCTCCCTCCCTCTCTCCTTTCTCTCTTTCTTTTCTTTTCTTTCTTTTTTTGAGACAATTTCATTCTGTTGCCCAGGCTGGAGTCCACTGGGGCAGTCACAGCTCACTGCAACCTCAACCTCCCAGGATCAGTTGATCCTCCCACCTCAGCCTCCTGAGTAGCTGGAACTACAGGCACATGCTACCATGCCTGGCTAATTTGTGTGTGTGTGTGTGTGTGTGTGTGTGTGTGTGTGTGTGTGTGTGTGTGTGTATGCGCTTTTTTTCTTTTTCTTTTTCTTTTTTTTTTGGTAGAGACAGTTTTCGCCATGTTGCCCAGGCTGGTCTTGAATTCCTGTGCTCAGGTGATCCACTGCCTTGGCCTCCCAAAGTGTTGGGATTACAGGCATAAGCCACTGCACCCAGTTGGAAAATTCTTTCCTGTCCCTCCCTGCTGCAACTCCCCATCTACCCCATGACTCTGCTGGTTCCTAGGCCATGGGTCTCCCCCATCTGGTTCCCAGGGCCATTTAGGTGCCCTCTATTGCATGCAGGTTCCATTCTAGTCATTTTGAGGTGTCCAAGTACTGTTTGGTTGCCTTGAGCCCCCTCACTTTGGCATTTGATGCCTTTTCCACCCTCTGACCCCATCCACCTTTCTAGTATGCCTCATCCCATTTTCTAGCATGTGTGTCCTGCCCCAGGCAGCCTCTGCTCAGGAAAGCTGGTCCACCCTCTGGGCACTGTTCACACACCCCATCACCTTGGCTGTCTTCCCCAACCTAGACCTGCTAACTCTGGAATAGTGCAATACCGCTTCCTCCAAAAAGACTCCCTTGACCATGCTGCCCACTTGGGATAAGTAGCATCTTTTTTTTTTTTTCTTTCTTTCCTGGCAATGAATCACTATTATTAGGTCGGAGCAAAAGTAACTGTGGCTTTTCCCATTGAAAGTAATAGCAAAACTGCAATTACTTTTGCACCAACCTATTACTTTTTCAAGTCCTTTTATATTGTTTTGAATTGTTAAGTTTTCAAGGGTCTATTTCATTCAATATGTCAGCAAACATGTATTAAGTACAGGTTGGGCAGGGCGCAGTGGCTCACATCTGTAATCCCAGCACTTTGGGAGGCCGAGGCGGGTAGATTACTTAAGGTCAGGAGTTCGAGACCAGCCTGACCAACGTGGTGAAACCCCGTCTCTACTAAAAACACAAAAATTAGCCGCGCGTAGTGGTGGCCACCTGTAGTCCCAGCTACTCGGGAGGCTGAGGCACGAGAATCGCTTGAACCCGGGAGGCAGAGGCAATGAGCCGAGATCGCGCTACTGCACTCCAGCCTGGGCAAAACAGCAAGACTCCATCTCCAAAAAAAAAAAAAAAAAAAAAAAGTACAGGTTGTTGTTTTCTCAGGGAATCCTCATAGCTGGTGAAGTATCCAGCTTTTCATTTTACGGATGAGTGAACTGGGGTTTAGAACTGATAACATTTTGCCCAAGTTCTCACAGCTAGCGAGAGGCGTGCCGCAGTTTATCGTGGGGTGGGTCTAAACAAGGACCTAAAAACTGTATTCGAATCCCAGCCCTACTACCGCCAGCTGTGTGACCTTACGAGGCGCCTCACTTTACTGTTTCTCCAACAGAGACAGACATTTCTTGTTACCGCGCAAGTGGGATAACCTCCCCACCAGTGTCTAGACACAGTAGGTGCTCAATAAATAGGTGTGGGTTTGCGGTGGCAGAAGAGCGCTATCCCTTAAGTTTCTGACAGTGAGGGGGAAAAAGGCTAAGCAGGGAAAGGAAGGGAAAGGGGTAAACTGAGCTCGGCGCAGTCGAGAGCGCGAAATAGGGAGGGCTTCCTGCAGGCCAGGAATTTGGAGAGGCCGAGGCTGGGAGAAGAAAAATGCCCGGTGACGGCGGAGGGGAGGTGGAAGGACGAACGGCTCCGGGAAGGGGTGAGGTCTAAGCGCAGCCCCGGGCCCAGCGGAGCCGAGGGCGGGTGGTGCGGGGGTTCCTGGGTAGGTTCGTCCCGACGGGCCGCGGGCGGATTGAAGGGAGGGTTGGGCCCGCCGGCAGCCCCGGCGGGTCCAGGCCCCCGGCCAGCCCCTGCCCCTCCTCCCAGGAGGGCGGGCGGCGACTGCGGGGCGGGGCGCGGGCTCGCTCGGCCTCCCGGCGGCGCCGCGGCCCTTGCACTCCGGCCGGGCTCTGCTGGCTGCGGCGGGAGCTGGACGCGGGAGGAGGCGGCGGCGGCGGTGAGTGAGCTCCGGGCTGGAGCGGGGCGGGGTGTGCGCCGGCAGCCGGGTTTCGGGGTGCTAGGGGCCGCCCAGGGCGGCGGGACCCCCAGGGGTTCGGGCTCAGCCAGGTGCACTGTGCTCAGTCCGCGCGTCCACTCTCGGTGACCCGCGCCGCGCGTGTCCTGGGGCTCGAAGATGCGACCCGGACTCCCGCGCCGCGCCCCGCCGAGGGCAGGCGCAGAACAGATGCGGGCGATCCCTGGGGAACCCGCTTCGGGGCGGGGTGGGAGGGAGGAGGCCCTGCAGAACCTCCCTTTAGTGAAGAGGGACTTTCTGCCTTCGCACCCCTGCCTGGACCCTCCGGCTCTAGTGACAGCTGGGAGAGACTCACACGAAGCAGTTTCTGACCTATCCTGTCGTACACAAGTCCTCGGCGTGCTCGGCCGGACCATCCCCTGGAAAGAAAGGGGCGTGTGACCTTTCTCTCCCCGATCCTCCAGACCACTGCGCCGCCCAGGGAGGTCATCCCCGAGAGAGCCCCCGCCTCACTCGGAGCACACATTCTAGCTCTCCCCGGGACTTTTCCAAGTTGCATCACTGTTTGGCCTCTAGACAGGTACTTGGCTGTCATGTTGGAGTTAGTTACACAGGATTTTTGAAACTTTGTATATTTGCTTTGTGTGTTCTTCACCCTAAGGCCGCTGCCCTCCCGACTCTGCTTATGCCGCTCAAAACGTTGCTCAAAGCTCGCTGGGAATGCTTTTGCGGGCATTGGTTCTCAAACTTGGCCCCACATCTGGAGAGTTTTAAAAAATACTGGTGCCTGTGTCCCACTCCCAGAGATCTGGATTCGGCTTGCCTGGGTTGCAGCCTGGACAATGGAATTTTTAAGACGCCGCAGGTGATTCTAATGTGCAGGCAAGTTTGAAAACCTCTGCTTTGAGAGTTGCTCCCACCAGCCACTCTTCGGACGGCTCAAGATCAGTCCTGATCTAGAACTCATCTCAGGTCCTCATAGCTCTTCCCTAATCCACCTCTCCACCTGAAGAACCTGTTGATTGGTGCTTTCCAACTTTAGACAGTAGATGGTGCCTTTACTGAAGATCCCTTTGTTTCTACCTCTCTGTTTACAGTCAATACTGCCAGGGCACTTTCTGCCAAGGAGGTGGGAGTGTAGGCATTAGAACCGAGCAGTCCTTGTCAGGGTCAAGGTTATAATACAGGGTTGTCCTATTCAGGGAAAACCAAGTGATAATTTGACTTGTCATATTCGGGAATGATTTCAGATTAAAAGGAGAAAAAATACTTTAGGGTTTGGTCAGCTTTTGGAGACCCTCCGGAGACTCCCCCACGTAGATAATGGAGTTGCATAAATGTGGAGAATTTTCCTTCAAAAAGCCAAAGCTAACAACATCCTTAAGGTTTTGTGGTTGATATTTGTGTTAACATAAGTCCATTTTTGTAGATTAAACTTATTCTGGAAGTATGATGAAGCCCTGCAGACAGAACACAGTGTATAACATGGCACATCTGAGATGACACCTGAGACACCTGTCACATGGTCTTAAAAATGATAGAGAAGTAGGACTAAGGAAAATGTAACCATGCTTATATTGGCTAAATTAGGTCATATATTTTATCAAGAAAATGTGTTTTCACTGCCCTTTTTAGTAATGTGATAGTCTCCGGGGATCTTGGTTAATTTACTTTTGTACCCCAAATATGATGTTTGCATTAAAATTTCCACCCTGATGTTGCTACCTGACCACAAATCAGTGGTTTTAAGTTTTTCTTAGGGGGTGGCCCTCTATGTGTTTTTTTTTTTTTTTTTTTTTTTTTTTTTTTTTTTGAGACAGAGTTTTGCTCTTGTCGCCCAGGCTGGAGTGCAATGGTGCAATCTCAGCTTACGGCAGCCTCGGCCTCCCTGGTTCAAATGATTCTCCTGCCTCAGCCTCCCAAGTAGCTGGGATTACAGGCACCCGCTACCATGCTCGGCTACTTTTTTGTATTTTTAGTAGAGACAGGGTTTCGCCATGTTGTCCAGGCTGTTCTCAAACTCCTGACCTCAGGTGATCTGCCCACCTCGGCCTCTCAAAGTGCTGGGATTACAGGCATGAGCCACCGTGCCCCGCCTGTATTTTTATTAACAGTGGGATGACATCCTTCCAAGAATGCCTTGCTGAAGTGAAAGAACATTTACATTCATTTCTAGCTGCTAATGTAAGTCCAAAGAACATTCATTTTGAAAAATACAAAAATGACATAATTTTGCCCACTTGGTTTTCTCGCTTTTCCCCAACTTCCACGACCATGCTCTGCTGCTACTACTGTATTCACTTGCTGGAGGTGTGCACCCTGTGGGAGCCGTCTTCATTGTCTTGGCTTTGGCTTGAAATGGAGGTTACATGCAGCGCATTGTCTTACAGGGTGTCCCCTGACCCGAATCATCACCCTTTGGGGAGCAAGACTATATGGAAAGTGTTTTCCTACTGTTTTTTTTGTGTGTGTGTGTGTGAGTGAGTGAGACCATGCCAACAAAATGAAGCCATATTATTAAATGGTTTGTTAACTTCCAAATCTTGTCTCAATTGGGAAAAGAAAAATGCTTATTCGAGGATGCTGTTGAATTCATGGTGTCTGAAAAGTCACCCCTGAACAGCAATAGTTACACTGTGAATATAATAATACACTCTACCCCCCCAAAAAGAAAAGTTTATGTAAATGTGGGCCTAAGCACATTTATTGCAATTTCTCACTTTGGAGTAGCAGCTCTAATATCCTAAAGTGATTAGAAGAAAGTAAGTGAAGAAAAATATGAAGAAAGGGTTAGTGAGATACTTTTTCATTTAGGGAAAGGGGATACAGCAACTAGAAAAGGCCTTGGGTTTGTGTTAAGAATTTATTGCCCTGGTGGCTTCCTTTTTTTCTTTGTTTAATTTGCTTGTGCTGATGGGTGAGGGAGAGTTAAAGAAATTTAATGGCCTCCTAACTCTCTTTCCCCGTGAAACCCATTTATCTAAGAGATGCCATTGGCCTTTTAAAAATATCCAACTGATTTTATGCTTTTCCTTTCTTTTCATCTTCTGATCTCGGCACTAAAGGGCGGTGGCATGGCTGAGAGGTTGGCATCAGAGCAGGAAAACAAAGTTCAAGGGGAAACCAAAAATTGGGTAATTTTCTCTGAATGACCAAGTGCTTACTTTTTTCAGGCATGTGACATTGCTGTTATCAAGAAACCAGTTATGACATGAAAATCCTGAAAATGGAAAAGGAAAAAAGAAAAAAAAAGGGAATGGGGTGGGGGATGGAAATAGCACCAGGGTTGACTGACCTTTACCGAGGAGGGAAGGCTTAGTGTTTTCAGCCTGGTGTCCCCCGTGTCCCGATTGCAGCCCCCTGTACTTCTCTCCTCATGCACCCTCCTGCATCCCTCAAGCCAATATCCTTGGGGGAGATAGTGCTTCATCTTAAATTCACACTAAGGTGTCTTTTTGTTTTTGTTATTTGAGACTCTGCTCTGTCACCCAGGCTGGAGTGCAGTGATGTGATCTCAGCTCACTGCAACCTCCGCCTCCCGGGTTAAAGCAATCCTCCCTGCCTCAGCCTCCTGAGTAGCTGGAATTACAGGCATGCGCCACCATACCCCGCTTATTTTTGTATTTTTAGTAGAGATGGGGTTTCACCATGTTGGCCAGGCTGGTCTCGAACTCCTGACCTCAGGTGATCCACCTGCCTCGGCCTCCCAAAGTGCTCCGATTACAGGCATGAGCCACTGTGCCCAGCTGTTAGTAGCCCCTGTTACTAGCAAAAGCTATGTATTACCCAGAGTTGTTGGTAAACAGGATAAGGTTCCTGCCTTAAGGGGCCTGAGTCAGGTGGGGATGTAAACCCTGGGTTGCAATAAGTTAGGAACTTTTCTAATCAAGAGGAACACAGTGGCCCGTGGGGTACTGTGGGGCACCTGGCTAGCCTCGCCTGGGTAGATGCCTCCTCAATTCATTGGCACAGGAGGCATAAGACATGCTTTACTTGGGTTTACATTAAAGCTTATTCTATTAGGCCCGTACCCCAAATGACTGATTTTGGAAATGTCCGACTCCAGGAGCGAGAAGGGTGCAGGTATCCATCATGCAAAGGGGAGGTGGGAGGTGGAGGAAGAGAACAGATTCTGGCAGGTGTCTTTTGCTTCTGGAGTCTACTGAACAGGGGTACTTCCTGGGAGTGGGAAGCTCATGGAGAATGTGGCTGGATCCATTTTTGGCACATTAGTAACTGGTAAAGTAAGCTTAGTAGCGGCTACCTCCGCAACAGAGCTGAAAGGAGAATGCAAAGTGCAGTGTGAAAGCCGCAGCTGCAGCACTTTTTGGAGCAAGTGGTTGGGTTTGTATCTATGGCTCCTGCCAATGGGCAGACATTGGTTCCTCATCATACCATGGTTGCTGTAGCTCAGGCTTCCTTGGGCAGGCTGAAAACTGGACTTCACACTGTTTTTCCCTTGGGTAGGTGGTTTCCAAATAGCTGACCCATAGGGCTAATAACCTCATGGTTATAATAGTTACTATTTGTTTATTGACTGCCTTTCAAGTGCCAGGTAGCATGCTCAGCACTTTTCGTTCATTACTGTAAACCCTTTACATTCCTGAGAGGCAGGTGGCAGTGACCTCATTTTACATATGAGGAAACTGAGGCCCAAGGAGGTGCTGAATCCTGCAAAGGTGCATAGTAGTTGACAGTGGCAAAGTTCTCATGCCTGTAATCCCAGCACTTTGGGAGGCCGAGGCAGGTGGATCCCTTGAGCCCAGGAGGTCAATACCAGCCTGGACAACATGCTGAAATACCGCCTCTACAAAAAAATACAGAAATTAGCCTGGTGTGGTGGTGCGTGCCTGTGGTCCCAGCTACTCTGGAGGTCGAGATGGGAGGATGGCTTGAGCCTAGGAGGTTGAGGCTGCGGTGAACCATGATCATGCCACTGCACTCCAGCCTGAGTCACAGAGTGAGACCCTGTCTTAAAAACAAACAACAAAAATAAAATGGCAGAGTTGAAGTTCGAGAGTACTCTGGTCTGTCTGAATACAAAGCTAAGTTCTCTCTACTGTTTCTCGCTCCTCTTAAGCTGAGCTGATTAAGAAATTGTGTTCTCAGTGCCTTGTTTATTTTTTAACATCACAGTCTCCTTAGGTCTGAACTGATTTACTATTTTCCTCTACCTCGTGTAAATAGGAATTTTACTATTTTCCTCTACGTGAGGTAGAGGAAAATAGTAAATCAGTTCAGACCTAAAGAGAAAGTATTCCGCTAAAGGCCACTGCGACCTTGTGATCCCAAGGGAAATTTATGGACTGCTGCTTTTCTAGGTGTCTTAAAGAAGAGGGTAGATTAGGCTGTGCAGAAAGTCTCTGAACGGGTCCCACATCCTAGGTTAGAGAGACGTGATTTCCACCCTTCTTCAAGTTCTGCAAACCTCTGAGTTTCTGTAGATAATTGGTTGTTGGGTAAGAGATTAAAAACAAAATTCAGCGTTGGGCATTCTAGAATAAAACGAAGCTGTGCACATCCAATTCCTGTTTATGTGGTACTCGCGACAAAAACAAAACTTTGCTGCATAGTAATTACCTCAAGCTCTTAAAATTACAGGTAGTAAGGGCTTAGAGGCCATATGGAGTTATAATTAGAGATGAGTTTAAAAAAGGGCTAGTGAATGAATGTTCATTACTACAATGAGCACTAGCTGAATATTTCAACCCGAGAAGGATCAGCTCCAAGGAACATTTCCAGGGAGTTAGCGGAGGGTCGTCATGGAGTTAGAGTGTTTGGGATTAGTGCACAGAGCATTTGTTATGAACGTGCAATATTTCTGCCAGCCTGGCCAGAAGCCTCTTTGTTTACAGGGCAGGGTTTCTTCCCTGCTGCCCAATCACAGGGATTTCTGCTTTGCTTTGGTAGAGTACGTAATCGTTCAGGTGATTGCTTTGTAGTGTGTTAGGTCTGTAAAGCTCCTCGACTGTTAATAATCTTTTCCTGTTACTTATCTCTTTGCTGGAAGATTGAGGTAAGATGACCTCTAGTTTTGGCCTCAAGAATTCTCTTGTTTTTGACCTTTTCCCTTAGTTTTCTATCTTTGTGTTTCATTGCATTCAAAACAGGCCCTCTGTTTTCCCTTGCAAATTTATAGTCCACATAGGGAAGAGGAACGACTGTGACCAGGACTATCCAGGAATCCTGTGATGGGAGTGTTGTTAGTCCCATTTTCCAAGTGAGGACCCCTTCCTCTCTAAGGCTGGGAGTTTGGGTATTCCAACTAGGACTGTTAAACTTTCAACAATGGGGCTCTTTTGACTTGATTACAAAAGAAAAGGAAATGGCCCAGTTTTCAAAGTCATGAAGAGGTTCTAGTATATCTTATGAACTAATATATATCCTTGAACTCTTTTGTAGCTGACAGTATTAAAAAAGGTTTGATTCCCCACCTTTTTTGCCTGTGTGGTTTTTATCTTCCTTTCTATAAACAATGACTTACTCAGAATTATACAGCAGCAGCTGAAAAGTTGATTAGCCTCCGTCCTTGCCCTAATCAAGTATCAAAAACCTGGAATGTTCACTTAGAGTGGTGATTACTGTGAAAGCTTTAGGTGCTGGAGAGGACCTGATAAAGAATGGAGTGAGAGATAAGAGAGAGAGAGAAAATAGCTTGCAAAGGGATTGCAGGGTGGAGTTTAACAAACTTAAGATTTCTTTCTTCCTTTTTTTTTTTTTGTTTTTTTGATACAGAGTTGCCCAGCCTTGTTGCCCAGGCTGGAGTGCAATGGCACAATCTCAGCTCACCACAACCTCCGCCTCCTGCATTCAAGCCATTCTCCTGCCTCAGCCTACTGAGTAGCTGGGACTACAGGCACGTGCCACGACGCCCGGCTAATTTTTTGTATTTTTAGTAGAGATGGGGTTTCACCATGTTAGCCAGGATGGTCTCTATCTCCTGACCTCGTGATCCGCCTGCCTCAGCCTCCCAAAGTGCTGGGATTACAGGCGTGAGCCACCACATCTGCCTTTTCTTTTCTTTTCTTTTCTTTTCTTTTCTTTTCTTTTTTTTTTTGAGATAATCTCACTCTGTTGGCCAGGCTGGAGTGCAGTGGTGTGATCACAGTTCACTGCAGCCTCAACCTCCCAGACTCAGGCTCAAGTGATTCTCCCACCTCAGCCTCCCGAGGAGCTGGGACCACAGATGCAGGCTACTATGCCTGGCTAATTTTTATGTGTGTGTGTGTGTTTTGTAGAAATGGGGTTTTGCCATGTTGCCCAGGCAGGTCTCTAATTCCTGAGCTCAAGCCATCCACCCACCTAGGCCTCCCGAAGTGCTGAGATTACAGGCGTGAGCCACCGTGCCCAGCCCAAACTTAAGATTTCTTTTACTTGTGAGTTTCAGGTTTGGGGCTTAAATGCATTTGGTCTGGTTGTGGCCAGACTAGCTCAGCCCTAACAGTCTGTGCTGCCTTGGGCCACCTATAAGCTTTGGGGAGTGGGGTGGGTGGGTTGGGAGGAGAAGGTAGGGTGAAGGGAGAGGGGAAATAGTGGGTAGGAGATAAGACCCACCAGTTAGCTGATTCTCCAGGCCTGGCTTGCTCATGGCATGACTGCTTCTCCCTGCAGGCCTGAGTCCAACTTTCTGGGTGTGAGGCAGCTGGATGGGGTACAAAAGAGGGAGAGAGTTGCCAGACACTTTCCAGGAGACCTGCCCAAGATCAGTAATTCTCATAATAGCAAATGCTCCCATAGCATTTGCCTCCAGCCCCATCCTAGAGCTTTTACTATAGCAATTCTATGGGATAGGTGCTATCATAAACCCATTTTACAGGCGATAGAAACAAGGCCACGGGAAATTGGGTAACTTGTCAAAGTGCTGAAATCCAGGGTTGAAACCCTTGCTGTCCGGCTCTGAGCTATGCTAACAACTACCACCTCATTAGGCATAGAGGCCTGGATGCTGCACCTGCTCTTCATTCATTCCTTGAACTCACCCACGTATTTCTTCAACAAATTATTGATAGCCTGTATATGCCTTTATCTTGGCAATGAGAACAACATAAGTGCTCTTTGTTTATGTGTCTGAATTCCCATAAACTTTATTTTCTTTCTTTTTTAAAAAAATTGCCATAAACTTTCAAACAAACCTTTAAAGAGACGAGACCTCTTTACTGACCTTGTATACCTGGTGTCTGGTAGAAAATAGGTGCTCAATAAAGCTTTGTGGAAGAAGGAAGAAAGACAGTGTTTTGAAACTTGACATCCTTGTATTTCCTCTGTCTCTAGCAGCCACAGTGATATCTAAACAGAAAAACAGACAAGCCTTAAGTAAAGTGAGAGTGTGTGGGGAGTGTTTTGCAAAAATAACAGGAGAGAATTTTTGATAAAAGCATGCTGTCTTGTATGCATTTCAAGTTCTCATGGTGAATCATTTTTTGCTTGTTTGCTTAAAGCATTTCTTATCTGAAGGGCATCCCGACACCCAGCTTGCAGACTACTGAGTGAATCAGGGAGGCCCTTCAGACTTCCATGCATTGTTCGGGGCTGCTCTTGTCATCAGGGTCTGCAGAATATATTTTCTTTGCAGTTGAGGACCAAATACCTGGTAAGGTTCAAGTCCACCATCCATTTTCCTGTTTAACATTTAAATGCATGAGCTAGTAGAAAGTAGTTTCACCTTGGGCTGGGTGAAGTGGCTCACGCCTATAATGCTAGCAGTTTTGGAGTCTGAGGCAGGCCGATCAGTTGGGATCAGGAGTTCAAGACCAGCCTAGCCAACATGGTGAAACCCTGTCCCTGCTAAAAATACAAAAAATTAGCTGGGCGTGGGGGCGCATGCCTGCATTCCCAGCTTGGCTTGAACCCAGGAGGCGGAGATTGCAGTGAGCTGAGATTGTGCCACTGCACTCCAGCCTGGGTGACAGAGAAAAATAAAGTAGTTTCATCTCCTGTATTTTCATTCCTTCTTCACACTGTGGGGCAAAGAAAGGTCTCATTCACTTGGATTGGAAGCTCTATTTGACGATCACTAGGAGTGATGGCTCTTTGGTTCCTCTTCCATTTCAGGTTTGTTTCCTCCTCTGTAAAATAGATGTAATGCCTACCCCATACAGTCAAGCCATATCTCTTTGACATAGTACAGTGGTTCTCAAACAGGGTCCCCCCAACCTCCCCACCCGGGGGTACATTTGACAATATCTGGGGGCATTCTTGGTAGTTATGACTGGGGTGGTGATGGCTCCTGGCATCTAATGGGCCAAGGCCAAGGATGCTGCTAAATATCCTTTGATTCAAAGGACAGTCCCCCACGGGAATTATCTGGCTTAAAATGTCAGTAGAGCCAAGGCTAAGAAACCCTGACAAAGTGGAACCTCAAACAACGGTAGCTCTTTTTAACATCTCTGATCCAAGGGAGCTATTGGCCAGGGACAAAGATCCCTCCTTTCTTAAGTAGGGTGGAAAGAATGGAATTTAACGTTTTATTGATGCCTCTGGGTTTCCCCACAGGTGCCCCTGAGGTGGGAACACCTCCTTTTCTCTCCATTAAACATGACTTAACTTCATTTGAAACTTGCTTGCATCGTTTACATATAAATAGCCATGCTAAAACCAGTGAAACCACTTAGCCTGTGGGGTGGTTAAACCCATTCCCTGCAGAGGACATTGGTGGAGTGGGGCCTGTGCTGCTACAGGCTTGTGAGCCTCGCTTTTCTCCCCTGTTAAAGGGCAGATAGGTAATTGTGTCACCCTCCCATCTCGTCATGTTGCTCTGACTCTGCACGTGTGAAACTAGCTCTACGTATGTGAATGTGCTGTGTGATTCCTAAGGTATGCCTTTTGAAGGCATTTTTCACGGGATCCGTTTCAGTCAAGGACACTAAAATGGTTGGGGCTCAACAAAGAATATCTGTGTTACGGGCATAGTAGGAGGCCCCCCAAATAGTTCCTGCAGCAGGGTGTGTGATTCGGGAAGCAGTGTGGCCCAGTGGTTGACAGCATGAGGTCAGCCACTCACAGGCTGCTCTGTGTACAACCTTTGGCTTTTCCCGTGCTTGTTGTGTGACCCTGGGTTAGCTACTTCACCTCGTTGCACCTCAGTTTCCTCACCTGTAAAATGAGGATAACGACAGTGACGACGATAACACCCAGCTGAAGATGGGTGCGAGGCTTCAGCGACTGGTCCTTGTGAGGTGTGCGGTGAAGATGGGAGCTTAGCTCAATAAATGAGTTGCTGTTAGTAAAATACTATTTGATGTTGGCTTGTAGCTTGTGTATTTTTACTCAGATGAAGAGCTTGCTCCTGATTTAGGAGCTGAAAAAGGATCTTTCTGGTTCTTGGTATTTTTTTTGGTGGCAAAATACAGCATAAAATCTCCATTTTAACCAATTTAAAGTGTACAGTGCAGTGGCATTAAGTACACTCACAATGTTGTGCAACCATCACCACTATCTAATTCCAAAACTTTTTCATCCCCCTGAAAGGAAACCCTGGACCCGTAGAGCAGTCACTCCACGTTCCTCCCTTCCCCCAGCCACTCCCTCCCTGCGAGCCCGCTCATCTATTTTCTGTTTCTGTGGAACTGCCTAGTCTAGATATTTCATATAAATGTATTTCATGCAATAGATGGCCTTTTGCATCTGGCTTCTTTCACTTAGCATAATGTTTTCAAGGTGCCATCTGTGTATTGTAACATGCACCAGCACTTCACCACTTTTTACCTGGTGTCTTTTTTGCAGAGCACCCCAAGCCTCAGTGTCATCAGGCCTGTGGTTCTCTGAAGTCATGCCCTGTTTTCAAGTTTTAAACTGTCTTTCTTCATTGATTTTGATCCTTCTTGGCCAGCCTTATTTTTTCCACTTTTCCCATCCAGTACTTCTAATGACCCTTGAAATGAATGTGGAATGAAGCCCTCATGCCAGGTTCTTGGTGCTGGGGAATAGGTCTTATTAGGTATCTTACTTCTGTGAAAGAATTAGCAGCAGGAGCACACATAGGGGCCCTGAGTGGTGCTTCATTTCCCCATGACTCTGCGTGACAGGTTTTAAAAACAAGTGTCTGGAAAACACCACCAGGCCCCTTTTATTCATCAGTTTAAAAGCTTCCCACAATGAGAAGTGGCCCTCAATTAAGTCGTTTAATAAAAACCTCCCCCTGTTTTAAAGCATTCTTGGGAAGTGTTTACATTTGACGCCACTGCAGGCTTCTAAATGAGGAGCTGTGGAGTGAGTGATCCTTAACCTGTGACTTTAATAATATCCTTTGCTTTAGATTTCCAGGTGGAGGCCTGGGCCAGATTTGTAGCTTGTCATTGACCCAGACTGGGTTCAGAGATGGGGGCTGGGCAGGGGGTGGAGGACATTCTTGGCTATCCTGCCCCCCTCAGCTGCCACTAGTAGAAGATTCAGAAAGGCTGAAAGCCACATAGATATGTAAAACCAGCTCCTTGGAGAGAGACTGGACTGGAAGGAGGTGAAGCATTTCCCTACCTGGGAAGGGCAGTTACCCTGCCCCACTTCTGACCTTATCTGCAGTGTCGGGGGGCTTCAGTGGGCAGAGATTAAAGCATTTAGGAGAGCAGTGCCAGGCTCCTGAGATTCTGGGGCCTTAGGGTCTGAGAGCTGGAGGAGGCTCTACTTTTTTCTCTGATTCTGGAGAGGTGAGTAGGCCCCGAGAAGAGGAAGCAGGCTGCTTTAGCTTCAGGGAAAACTCCGGAGTTGTCATTAGAGGAGTCCTGGGAAAAGCTAAAATAAAGAAAATTCTAGGGTGGTCTTTCCTTTGTGCTGGACGAAGACAGGAGGGTGAGGGGAGCCCGGAGCTGCTGACACGCACTGGTGATTTGTAGAGGTTGCCAAGGTGGGCAGTTAGCAGTCTGGATTCTGGGCCTGGACTGCCCGGATCTGAATCCTCCCTCCGGGGTTCTGTTCTATGAATTCTTGTGTGTCCAGTGCTCAGAGCAGTGTCTGCAGAGGTAGCTGTAGATATGTGTGCTCGCACGACTGTACTGACACTTCACTTTGGTGAGTTTCTGGTTAGAATCATAGAAATGCTTCTTGTTATCAGAGCTAATTTGCCTGCATACCTGGCAGCCTTGTGCAGTCCATGGGACAGGGTGATGTTACTGGACTCTGAAGAAAACATGACTCGCAGATGGAGAAATTATGCTTGGCAAATCTATTAAAGTTCTCCGAGGGAGAGAATAAATGTGGGAAGAAGGACAAACCAGTGGATCTAGATTTTATTTAGACTTCCAAAAGATTGTTGGAAAGACTTCATGGCAAAGGCTATTAGATGTGGGAGTCTCCCATGACTTTCTGAGTGGAGGTGAATGGAAGAAGGAGTCTGGCTGAAATTTGTCTTTTTCCATTGTCCTTTAGAGGAGGAATCTTCACATTTGCAGATGAAATAAAATTCTAAAGGTAAAAATGAAGACTTCGGAGTCAAACTATAGAGAGGTGTTTTTTTTTTCTTTTTAAATTTAAATTTTGGGCACGAGGGGATGTCAACTACCCTTTAAAATAATTCGTGATCAGTGGCTGCACCTGGGCAGCTGGGCTTTGGAACTAGGAATGATGTGTGTGCTGCTTTCTAGCAAAGTTAAAAATCATGTGCCTGGGGCATCAGAGTGCTCAGGAAATAAATGAAGATTAGTGGAACCAAGGAGTTCATTAAAAATGATTCAAGTTCCACTCCAGCCTGGGCAAAAAGAACAAAACTCCATCTCAAAAAACAAAAAACAAACCAAAAAAACCTGTAGTTTCCAACTGTCTTTTAAGTGAATAGTACATTTGTAGAAAAAGTAGATTCTGCTATCAACAAATGTAAGAGTTCACTTAAATGCACAGATGTTGAATTTCATGCCTTTTGTGTTTTAACCCAGGATAGTAAATGAATGAATGAAATGAGCAGACACTTTTTCAACACAGACCCTTCCCTCTCGCCCAATAGGATTTAGGAAGCTTGGAGTTACGCTTGACCAAAAAGACACGTGCAGGAGTTAGTTACCTTTGTGTTTTTCTTTTTACTCAGTGTCCTGTGGGCCTTGCCTGGTGCCTTATGTATAGGAGTGCTCTGTATGTGTTTGAATGATAAATGGACTCAGATTTCCTTAACATAAGCGTAAATATTTTATCATCGTGTGTCATTATGTGCCAGGCAAACTTAGTTATATTTGCTCTTACAATGGTTGTATTGGATATTGCTGCTTAATATTGCCGTGTAACAAGCAATCCCAGATCTCAGTTTTTTGTTTTTGTTTTTTTTTGAGATGGAGTCTCACTCTGTTGCCCAGGCTGGAGTACAGTGGTGCCACCTTGGCTCACTGCAACCTCCCACCTCCTGGGTCCAAGCGATTCTTCTATCTCAGCCTCCCAAGGAGCTGGGATTACAGGCACGTGCCACCACACCCAGCTAATTGTTATATTTTTAGTAGAGACAGGGTTTTGCCATGTTGGCCGGGCTGGTCTCGAACTCCTGACCTTGGGTGATCCACCTGCCTTGGCCTTCCAAAGTGCTGGGATTACAGGTGTGAGCCACCGCACCTGGCCCCAGATCCCAGTTCTTTATGACCACAAAGGTTCATTTTCCCCTCGCTCAGCTGTTGGTTGGGTGTGGTTTGGTTGAGCCAGGCTGTGCTTCACTTGGCCAAGCCAGACTCCAGGCTTCCATCTGGGTTGAGGTCTATTCCACATGTGTTTTATTCAGCAGCCCAGGCTGCAGGGGCAACAAATATGCAGGGCCAGCTTGCCTTGGGCAGATTACAGAGGCATAAGAAGGCAAGCAGAAATGCTGGAAGCCTCTTAAAGCTTTGGTCTATAAGCAGCCCACTGTCAGTTCTGCCAAGATTCCCTTGGCCAACACAAATTGCATTGTCAAGCCCCACATCAGCAGGGTGAGGAAGTATACCTGGCCAGTTCTAGTAGGAGGTAACTCGAAGTCATATGGCAAAGAAGGTAGATGTATATGGAGGAGCAAAGCACTGAGAACAATAATTTCATTCACAATGGTAGAGAATGAATAAGACGGAAGAGAGCAGTTTGGGCCAAACTAGCCTTTTGGGAGCTTGCGAGACCTAGGCTGACTGGGTGAAAAATCATATGCATTTGGTGCAGGTACCAGCCCAGGCCTTGGCATTTCCTGTACATTCGCTGGCATGCGCTGCCTCTCGGCTGGCTGGACATTGATCATATCCTTTCACTGCGATGGGGCTCGTGGGAGTGCTGCCTATCTGTGGGAGGAGCAGAAGGATGGGCCTGATTTTCTTCGGGTTAGCCATCATGACCTGACAGGCTGCCAGCTGTGGTGGCAGGAGTGTGACAAGCTGAGAGGGCAAAGAGGACAAAGAAGGACCACAGTGTTGAAGGAGGCCAGGGGCTTGCCTCAGCCTAAGTCCCACCTGTAATAGTCAGTGACAGGTTAGCATCAGTGCCTGTGTGTACCATGTCCCAATCTTCATAAGGATCCTAGGCTGTAGCTTCCAGACCCTGCCTTTTACATCCAAAGAAACAGGCTTCAGGAGGTGAGGTGACTTGTCTTCAGCCAACCAGCTCAAAAATGGCAGATGAGAGCCAGGCCACCCTGTTCCCAGTCTAGGGTCTGTCTTTCCACACCCTGTGGTTGTCATAGTCTAGCAGAGTCCGGACTGGTGTTGTGTGTTATAGTATATTCTGGCCCTGTGATGACAGAGTCTGCTTTGGAAGAAGCCATGTGAGCCTCGTGCCCATAAGGGATGACATAGGCGAAGCAGAATGAGTGAAATACTGGCCAATGATAAGCAGCCTTGCTGTTACTGCTTTGCAATGGGCCATTTCTTTAGTGAAGAGCTGCTAGACTTTGAGGAAGAAAAGGCTCTAGCCACTTGTGAAAATGAACCAGGAATAGATGGGGACCAAAACCTTGTAAAGCCAAGGGTGTGAGGAGACAGACACTCTCACATGTGCTGAGTGTGGGATTATAAATTCACTGGGCTTCTATCTAGAGAGCAGTTTGGCAATGGGGCTGCTTTTACTTGCAAGTAAACAAAACTCAGTTGAAGGTGGTTTACATAAGAATAAAAACAGCAAAAAGTGGTTAAAAAGTGGTTTAAATAAGACATTTCAAAATGACATTTGTTACCTCATGTAAACAAGAAGTCCAAAGTCTGGGCTGTTGGGGGAGTTAGTTTGAAGACCCAGGCTTATTTCCTCTTTCCTCGCCTCAGTGTTTGATGTTTGCCTTCAAGCTTGTTTCCTCATGATCTCAGTGTGGCTGTTGCTGCTCCACCCATCGTATCCTTATTCCATATCCTTATTCAGAGTGATGTCCACAGGCAGGAAAAGAGGAAAGAACAGAAAAGATGCAAATCAGCATGTATTCTGAGATCCCATTTTTTTGTTCGCAAAAATAAACACCTTCACATTTTTCTTTCCCCCCCCTCACCTGACACCATCACAATAAAAGTCTTAATTTTTTCAGCACCATAAGATGGTGAAAAAAAAGTCTTAATTTTTGATTGTGAATATCAATTTCTGGAACCAAGAATTTTGGTTATTTCTGGGCCATGGGATGGTGCTGTGGTTTTGTTTTCCATTTCATGCCCTTCTTGGCTGTTTGAATTTTATAAATATCACTGCATGTATTACCTTTATAATACAAAAGAAAGTGATAGGTGTTTTCTTAGTAGGGGTGGGAGATATTAAAGAGAGGAAACCAAGGCCCTAACAGGGGCATTATCTGAGACATGATGTGATAGGATAGGAGTGCATTTAGCTGTGTGTGATCAGCCTAGAGGGAGGTTGGGGAAGGGGAAAAGTCCAGGAGTGAAATAAGGTCATTTTAAATCTCTTTTGGTACCTGGCACAGTGTCTTCTACCTAGTAGAGACAAAAACTCATTTGAAGTATGAATGAATGTTTAGGTCAAGACCTAACACAACTTTATGAGGGGCTGAAACCCAACCAAGCAGCTCAAGTCAGCAAGAAAGTACATTCTGCTGGAAATTTATCTTGCAAAGAAGTATGACTGTCATTTCCTACCTTTTCCTTGAGCTCCCAGAATCTAATTCATTGCTAAGGAAACAGTGTAAGTATGAGACCTTCTGTTCATCATCTGTCTCCTACTGAAGGCTATTGTCCCAGGATCTGGATAATAAAGCTGTATAAGGTTTTTACAACTGAGGGTAGAGCAAAGGCAAGAAACCACCATCTCATGTTAACTGTGTTAATAGTCTGTGGCTTGAATGGAGTCTAGATGTTTAAAGTCTACTAAGTGTAGAATGAACAGTCATTTTTTTTTAAAGGAAAAATAAAGTTCTTTGATACCCTGGACTAATACATAAAAAATTGTTATCTTAATGATGTGACACAGATAACAGTTGTGAGATAGGGATTTTCAACCTGATTGGCCAGTATTAGTAGAAGAGTGTGAATATGCCTGTTGGTGAGATGAAAGAATTATATGTAGTGGTATTTTCAAGTCTAATTCTCTTCCATATACAAAAATAAAATGGGTATTGAAGGCCTTTTTAATGGCAAGGGTGGAAGGAGGGGAGGTAGAGTACTACCCTTACATTGTGCCATAGTCTTAATTCCCTTGCTCCAGGGTTCTAAGTTTGATGCTCATAAATCAAAAGAAAGAATGTTGTAACTGACATTTCTATTGAGTTACTTTTAACTTTTGTACCCTTGGGTTTTAGCATTGAGGCCTTCTGCAATGGCCACCGGATACCCACTTTATTCAGACAATGATAATATCGTTGAGCTATGGTAAGATCATTTCCTTTGGAACAAAATGAAAAGCTTTCAGTGTTCACAATTGGAGGAAAATGTAAAAGCTTAGTAGGCCTCCTCTGCTGCAGGGTGAAGAGTTTGTGTTTGAACACCATCCACTTTGCTCCTCAAATGTGCAGTGGAATGATTCCAGTGTGCTTTTGAAATACAGAAAACAAGTGTACCTTTTCAGTGTGTGTGTGTATTTATGCATGTGTGTGTTTAATGGGTTCTTGGAAATACTTGGAAGAAAAGTAATATTTAACATCTTTTTTTGGGATCATTTTGGGATCCAAAGAATCTGAGATCATTGGTACGTTATGTTCCAGAGTAGCCCCGAGTTAAATTTCTTGAGAGAGAGAGAAAGTGCATGTGTTTGTGTGTGTGCATAAGTATTACTCTAAAGACCAAATGTCATGCTTACTTGACATGATCTTAGTATATATCCTTATCTGCTTCTCAGTCTATATTATATCTGCAGATTTTGTGACTAAGTGGTGTAATTTTACATGAATTCTGCATCTGCATCAGAAAGTATGATAACAATTAATGATACTAACACTTCTATGTCACTAAACAGTGCTTGATACTGTTCTAAGTACTTAACATGTATTAACTTTTTTTTTTTTTTTTTTTAAAGCCAAAGCCTTTTGTCACCCAGGCTGGAGTGCCATGGCACGATCATGGTTCACTGCAGCCTCAGCCTCCTAGGCTCAAGCCATCCTCCCATCTCAACCTCCCGAGTAGCTAGGACCACAGGCACGCACCACCAAACCAGGGTAATTTCTGTTTGTTTTTTTTTTTTTTTTTGAGATGGAGTTTCGCTCTTCTTGTCCAGGCTGGAGTACAAGCTCATGTTGCCCAGGCTGGAGTACAATGGCGTGATCTTGGCTCACGGCAACCTCCACCTCCCGGGTTCAAGCGATTCTCCTGCCTGAGTAGCTGGGATTATAGGCATGTGCCATCAAGCCCAGCTAATTTTTTGTATTTTTAGTAGAGATGGGGTTTCTCCATGTTGGTCAGGCTGCTCTCGAACTCCCGACTTCAGGTGATCCACCTGCCTCAGCCTCCCAAAGTGCTGGGATTACAGGCGTGAACCACCATGCCCGGCTTATTTGGTTTTTATAGTAACGCTATTGATTCCATTTTTACCAAGGAACTGAGATACAGAGAGATTTAGTAACTTGCCCAAGGTGACATAACTAGTAAATGGTGGGGGTAGGTTCAAAATCAGGCAGTTTGCTATTTCTTATTTAAAGCCACAATTCATGAGAATTGAGCCATTCTCAAATGTACAGGTTATTCTTGTAAATTGGAGACTATTGTATCAGTGTTACAAATGACCTATTGTAATCTCCCATCCAAGAACTAACCATTTCTGACCCTGCTTAGTGTCAATAGTCAGGTGCATTCAGGGTGGTGTGGCTGGAGATGATCTTATATGATCTGAGCCCCTTGCTTCATGAACAATATTTTCAGTTACTTTACACAGTAAGCACGTACTTAAACAATTATTTGGCTGGGCGCAGTGGCTCATGCCTGTAATCCCAGTACTTTGGGAGGCTGAGATGGGAGGCTCACTTGAGGTTAGGAGTTCGAGACCAGCCTGGCCAACATGGTGAAACCCTGTCTCTACTAAAAATACAAAAATTAGCTGTGCATGGTGGCATACGCCTGTAGTCCCAGCTACCTGGGGGTTGAAGCAGGAAAACTGCTTGAACCTGGGAGGCGGAGGTTGCGGTGAGCTGAGATCATGCCACTGCACTCCAGCCTGGATGACAGAGTGAGACTCCGTCTCAAATAAACAAACAAACAAAAACCCCACCAAACCAAAAAACCCAATTATTTTAATTATAAATCTGAACTGCATTAAAAGATAGTAAATTTAGCTAGTCAACTTGAATAACTTTTAACAGAGAGTTAGTTGTCTCTTCTGTTTCCTTAGGGAAGAAAGATGAGTTCCTTCAGTTCCCAAATGAGTCCTCAATTCAACATGAGTGATTTCACCAGAATAAAATCTTCTTACTTCTGCAAAAAGCAGCTAATGCTTTCGGAAGCTAAATAATCCCAATGTGTGACTCCTGCCAGTTTCTTTTCTTTGAAACCTCAGCAGCAGCATAACTAGTGATTCACCCTTCTTGAAATGAATGCTGTGATTCGCGTTATGCACAGATGGCTACTGAATGCCCAGGTCACAGCCTTTGCGTCTGGCCTTGACTCGTTAATAAGAACAGGAACTGGGCATGGTGTATTGCACAGTGATTAAGGGCTTAAAGCTAAGAGCAGTGCCTGGCCCCAAGTAAGACATGAGTAGAACTTTGCTGCTGCTATTTTTGCTGTTGTATATTGGGCTCTACCTTGTGCTGGGCACTACGTTAAGCACGCTATGTGCATTGCCTAATTGAATTCTCATCACATTCCCATGAAGTAGTTGATGGTTTTGTTTTTATCTTCATTTTCAAATGTAGAAACTGAAGCTTAAGGTTATGACATTTGCCCAAGACCATGCAGCTGGTAAGTGGTTAGCGCCATGGTACGAACCAAGTTAAAAAACATTTTTTTTAATTCATAAATTATAATGTACAGAATCTTCTAGAAGCTTTCTTGTGCCTCCTCCTGATTGTTATTTTTCAACAAAGTTGCCTACTATTCTATCACCACAGAAAAGCTTTGACTGTTCTTGAACTTCATAAAAACAGAATCATATTCATACAGTATGTACTCTTTGTATTTGGCTTTTTTTACTTAGTATTATGTTTGTGAAATTCATCCATTGATGTGAAATACATGGATTTGCATGTAGCGATAATTTGTTTTTCCTCATTGCTAAATATATTGCTACATTTCTTATTGTATAGTTTAATGTACAAATATGCCTCACTGTTGATCTCTTCTACTGTTGATGGACTTTGGTTGTTTTTAGTTCTTGGTTGTTATTTATTGTGCTACTTACTTTCTTTCTTTGTTTTTTTTTTTTTTTTTGGAAACAGTCTCCTCTGTTGCCCAGGCTGGAGTACAGTGATGTGATCTCAGCTCACTGCAACCTCCACCTCTGGGTTCAGGTGATTCTTCTGCCTCAGCCTCCCAAGTAGCTGGGGCTACAGGTGCATGCCACCATGCCTGGCTAATTTTTAATTTTTAAAAGAGACAGGGTTTCGCCATGTTGGCCAGGCTGGTCTTGAGCTCCTAACCTCAAGTGATCTTCCTGCCTTGGCCTCCCAAAGTGCTGGGATTATAGGTGTGAGCCACCATGCCTGGCCTAATTGTGTTCATTCTTGTACATGATTTGTATACGTATACGGCTCTTTGAGTACATTTCTAGGTCAGCACTGCTGGGTCTTAATAGGTGTGGAGCTGTATTCTATACTGTGAAACTGTTTTCTACACTCCCACCTAGCAGAGGGTTCAGTGGTTCTGTCCTAACACTGTAATGACTATCATCATTCTGGTGGGTGTGTAGTAGAATCCATATCAAACTTGATATGGATTTTGACTCCATAGCCTATGGACTTACCTGGTAAGAACAATTTTAACAATTATAGCGCTCTTGCTATACGGAAGGTGTTGTGCTGATATGTAATAATGAATATAACTTGATTTCTGCCCTCTAGGAGTTTATAGTCCAGTGGAAGAGAAAGACTCAGAAATCACATAATCATAGTCCAACACAGAATCCATGCATAGGGCACTGTTGGAGCACTGGGAGAGTCTACTTCAATCTGTGGGTTCAGGACGGGGTCGCTAAAGTCTTGCAGAAAGAAGTCAGTCTTCTGGGATATGGCTTCTTCGGGAAGGTGACATTTAACCTGAGGCTGGGGGGGATGAAAATAGAGTCATGTGAAGAGGAATGGATCAGAAGCCTGTGTAGCCACAGGGAGGAAGTGAACAGGTGATGGTAGGCTGAGGTCAAAGAGCCCTGGAGTCCATGGCATTTGTAAACCATTGCTGGCCTTGAAGTAGAGAGCCAATGTTGCTATGAAGCAGTCAAAACGGTTCTCCTTCATCAGCCTGTGACCCACAGGGGACCCGCAGGCCTTTGTGGAGGCTGCCTCCATTTGGCGGAGTGGTGGTGTTGGAGAAAATGGCCTTACTGACTCCTGAACTAGGAAGCTCCTGATCCTAACTCTCTTAGTATCTCATCTTGCGAATTACTAAGACAGGGTCTTTAAGATGTCTTATTTATTTTTTGATGTACATTTTGTAAATTAATTTTTATAATGCTTCAAAAGCTAATTTTTAAATTATAAAAGTAATAGAATCACATTACAGAAGCCAGAAAATGGAGAAAAAACCCCCACTATCATTTTATTATATAGTTTTTCCCATCGTTTTAATTGTAGGGTATAGATTATTTTATGTTATCCCCGTGTCCTTTGACATGTGACGAGCCTTTTTTCTTGATTATGTAGTCTTCATTACTATTTTATTATTGTAGAATATGAAGTGGAACACCTTGTACCACTTAAATTTCCTCTTTTTTTTTTTTTGGAGATGGAGTCTCTCTCTGTCGCCCATGCTGGAGTGCAGTGGTGTGATCTCAGCTCACTGCAATCTCCACCTCCTGGGTTCAAGCCATTCTCCTGTCTCAGCCTCCCGAGTAGCTGGGATTATAGGTGCGTGCCACCACACCATGCTAATTTTTGTATTTTCAGTAGAGATGGGGTTTCTTCATGTTGGTCAGGCTGGTCTTGAACTCCTGACCTCGAGATGCGCCTGCCTCAGCTTCCCAAAGTGCTGGGATTACAGGCGTGAGCCACCATACCCAGCACCATTTAAATTTCAATCTTTCTTTCACTTTTAATTGTAATGAGAAAAAACCAATAGATGCTTATTGTAAAGCATTTGGAAAATACAGAAAAGTATAAGATGAAAATTAAAAACTTTTCAGTTCTACCATGAAGATAAACACATGTTAATATTTGGGTATATTTCTTTTTTCCCCTCTGCTTTTATTTACATATATGTATGCTTTTCTTTCCTTTTTTGTTTTTTTGAATACAAATTGGGGTTTTTTTTCCTGCAAGCAAGATACTGTTAATGGGGATTTTGGATGGCCATATAATGAAATAGGAAAACGATTAATGGAAGCCCAGGAGGAAAGACTTGGTGTTATTATAGGTTTGTATCATATCACCATTTTCCTGTTCTATTTGGAGGAAGAGGGAAAGGGGAAAGGAAGCCAGCCCTTATTGTGTGCCTGCCACGCACCTGGTCCTGCAGTGCTGGGAAGCACTGTGAGCTCTGACTCCCAGAAAAGTAGACGCTGGCACTGTGGGAAAGTGGGACCCTCATGGCAGCGTGTTGTTTGAAAAACCAGTCTTTCAAACATAATAACTGAGCATGTTGGAAAACCAGGCTGGCGTCATGGTGTAAATTGAGTTTACTCAAACCGGCAGGTTGTTGGGAAGGTACACATACCTCTATTGTTTTAACCCACTTGAAGATTAAAATGTGGGAAGAGCATTTTGAATAGAGAACACCGTACTTTATCATTTGGTGCAGAGGCCTTGTATTTTTAACAAAAATTGCCCCAAAGTTTCCTCCAAATGCATTAAATCCATGTTTTTGTTGTTTAACCATGAATATTTTGAAAAAATTTATTATTTTGAAAATCCAGGCCCTTTAAATTTTATTTTTGCTCTCACAAATCCTTCTTTCCTTTTGAGTTGGCACATAATTGTACATACTTATGAGAAAACAAAGTGATATTTTGATACATGTATACAATGTGTGATGAACATTAATAGAGGATTGGCTAAATTATGATATATATAAAGTGCTCAGAGAGGTGGAGGAGGTAATAAGATAGAAGGTGGACTTTTTAGGGAAGTCCTTTAGAGTAATTAGTATATTCATCACCTCAAACATTTGTCAGTCCTTTGCATTGTGAACATTTGAAATCCTATCTTCTAGCTATCTGAAAATGTACAATAAATTAACTTATTTCTCCTATCTAGCTGTAACTTTGACCTGTTCACCAACTTCTTTCTATCCTACCCTCTTCTCTACCTTTCCTAGCCTCTAATAACCATGATTCCACTCTCTACTTCTTCAATATTTAATTTAATCCCCAAATTCTAATTGTAGTCCATATTTGAATACTTCATATTATTGGTCACAATTTTGGGCTTTGTATTATTGGTCACAATTTTGGTTGATTATTTTTTGAAAAGTAGAATCTTGTTTTTTGAAGCCAGGCTTAATCACCTGAAGACCCAGGACATCTATAGTTGTTTTTTTTTTTTTTCCTAACAAAATTCTGTATGCGGAAAATAGGAAAAATAATACAAGAAAGACACAAGAAATGGACAGTGCTACATTTCTGATTTTACATCTTCATGACAATGAGTAAAGATCTCTGAGTTTTGTCTTCGGAGCGGAGTATGGAATCTGTCCATTGAGGATTGCAGGTCGAGTGCAGGGGCTCATGCCTGTAATCCTAGCACTCTGGGCGGGGAGCCTCCAGCACTGAGGCTGGAGGATTGCTTCAGCCCAGGAGTTTGAGACCAGCCTGGGCAACATGGTGAGACCCCATCTCCATGAAAACTTAGACACTAAATAAAACTCACTATTTTCATTCTTATTAATCTTATTTATTACTTGGAGATATCCTTAGAGGCTCTAGGTGTGTAAGTCTCCTTGTTCCTACCCTAAATAGCTATAGAAATTGCTGTATTTCTAATACCTTTTTTTTTTTTTTTAATGGGGTCTCACTGTGTCACCAAAGTGGTGGTGCAGTGGCATAATCAAAGCTCACTGCAGCTTCAAACTCCTGGGCTCAAGTGATCTTCCTACCTAAGCCTCTCGAGTAGTTGGGAGTAGAGATGTGCACCATCATGCCTAGCCAAGTTTTAAATTTTTTTGTTTGTAGAGATGGGGGTCTTGCTATGTTGGCCAGGCTGGTCTTGAACTCCTGACCTCAGGCCCGCCTCGGCCTCCCAAAGTGCTGGGATTATAGGCGTGAGCCATTGCACCCAGCCTCTTCTCATTCTTAGGTCTGCCTTTTGTGGTTCTTCTGTCACTTTCTGTAACTGATACTGTTAGCAGCTTATGCTTTTGTTGCTTCTACTTGGCTTTGGGCTAAGGATTGTAACTTCCATCTGTGTCAAGTTGTGTGTGAAGGAGGCTGAGTTTGAATTGTGTTTTATGCTGGGTGCTGTGCTTGAGGCAGCTTGTTGCCTAAAAAGAAAATGGTGGGCTTCACAGCACACACAGCTTTGGATGCTCAAAGCCCATTTGAGCTTCCATTCACTTATTTTCTTTCTTATTGTAAAAACAATACATGTTTGTGCGGGCATGGTGGCTCATGCCTGTAATCTCAGCATTTTGGGAGGCCAAGGCGGGCGGATCATCTGAGGTCGGGAGTTGGAGACCAGCCTGGCTAACCTGGTGAAACCCTGTCTCTACTAAAAATACAAAATTTAGCTAGGCTTGGTGGCGCCTGCCTGTAATCCCAGTTACTTGGGAGGCTGAGGCAGGAGAATCGCCTGAACCTAGGAGGTAGAGTTTGCAGTGAGCCAGGATTGCACCGTTGCACTCCAGCCTAGGCGACAGAATGAGACCCTGTCTCAAATTAAAAAAAAAAAAAAAAAAAAAAAAGGCATGTTTGCAATGAAAATTGAAGCATTACAAAAATGTGTTATTTAAATGAAAGGTACCCTGTTTTATCATCTCTAGTCATAACTACGCTTTAAGGATTTGATAATTTTTTTTTAGATTTTTCTGTAACTTTATATTTTTTACAGAGATGGGGTTACTCTATGTTATTTTGGTACTGATTTTTGTATTTTTAAAAATATATTTGTATACTTTCTATGGCTGTGTATATAAATTTTTGTTGGTTGTTTTTAATAGCTTCCTGGTGTTCCTTGGTATAGATATATCGTAATTTAGCCAATCTTCTATTAATGGATATTTGGACTATTATAAATACCTCATATATAAGTATTTGTACTCTCTGAAGTGTTTGTATAATTCTTCTGTTCAGAGTTAATTACTGGAAATAGGGTTGGACGGTGTATACATTGAGCCAGTGCGCCCAGCTGCTTTTTTCTTTTTTAAATGCAGAATTTTAAGCCTCAACTCCAAACCGTCCGTCAGAATTTCCAAGAATGGGTCTCAGGGATTTGAATTTTTAAAAAGTTCCCAAGTGATTCTGCTGGTGCCCGAGTTCTAGCATGCCTAAGACATTTCCTTACCAGCTCGAGTGTTTCATAAAATATGTTCAATTCAAAGGTGGATGGTTGTGGAAAATTATTCAAAACAGCTTCAACCTGATGAAGTGTTTAGTTGTCCTTGAAGAATCATTTCATTTGAGCCTTCATGCTTTAATACCTATCCTTTTTTCTACTACCAATTCTTCTGAACTTAGTAGCACTCCAAATTGGCTCATTCTCAAATTTCCTTATGACGCATTCTGTGGTAAAGACTGCTAATTTTATATCCAGCAGTCTTTATATTCTCCTCTTCTTCAGTAACCAAAAACTTGATTTTTTTGGAGGGTGTACAGTGTGCCATGCCAAAAGACAGTATTTCCCAGCCTCCCCTTCTCCTGTTGATGGGCTAGTGAGTTAAGCTCTAGTAAGTGAAATGTGAAGGCTTGTGGAAAGGTTCTAGGGACTGACTTCTATGGACAATGTACCCTTTTTCTTTTTCTCTGTCCTTCTACATACTGCTTGGAACATGGACACAATGGCTGAAGTCCAGCAGCCATCTTGGATTGTGAGGTAACGATGAAGATGGAAGCCATGTGATATGGCTTGGATGTTTTGTCCCCTGTAAATCTCATGTTGAATTGTAATCCCCCATGTTAGAGGTGGGGCCTGGTGGGAGGTGTTTGGGTCATGGGAGTAGATCCCTCATGAATGGCTTGGTGCTCTCCCCATAGTGAGTGAGTGAGTTCTTGTTCTATTTCATGTGAGAGCTGGTTGCTTAAAAGGGTCTGGCACCTCTGTTGCTCCTGCTCTTGCCATGTGGCATGCCTACTCCATCTTTACCTTCTGCCATGAGTAAAAGCTTCCTGAGGCCTCACTAGAAGCTGAGCAGATGCTGGTGCCATGCTTGCACAGCCTGCAGAACCGTGAGCCAAGTAAACCTCTTTTCTTTATAAATTACACAGCCTCAGGTATTCCTTTACACCAATGCCAAATGGACTAGCACACCATGCTCTAAGTAGGGCATAAAGAAAGGAGCCTGGATCCCTAATGACTGCAGAGCCATGATCCCAGCCCTGGACTGCTTGCCTCCACACTTCTGTCTTATTGGTTAAGCCAAAATTATTTTGGGTTTTCCGTTACATGCTGCAGAACCTAACCTAATGAATACCCCTGCTCTCTGTTGGTTTCACAGTGTGTCTCCAACACCATCTTGAAGGTGCAGTGACTTGCATATAGTAGGTGCTTGGTAAGTGTTTGACAAGTTAAGTACCCAATGGCATTGAGGTAAAGAGTTCAAAGGCTTCAGCTGCTCTGACCTGTCCCCTTTTCTGCTTTAGATTAAGTTATTCATGGGGACCTTTTGTTTTTTGCCATCTCACCCCCCAGGAAGGTATTTCCCAGCCCTCAGTGCAGGGCTTTAGGGCTACAGGCTTGAATCATTTTGACAAGACAGCAGGCAGAAGACATTGGAGATTCTAACTGCACATATGCGTAATTCCAAATGAAAATATAAGGGGTGGGCACTTTTCTGAATCTCCTAGAGAAACTGGAGGTGGTGGTTCAAATGATGTCAGAAAAGGCCACCATTGAATCCTTTGCTATCATTTGGAGGCTGTACTTTCCACAATGCTTGCCAGGACTTGATGTCAGGGAAGACTTTCAAGGAGCCTTGATTGCCAGCTATTGACGAAGGGGTCTGTCTGCTCAGTGGCAACCTCCATGGTGGTCTTGGCCAGACCAGCCTGCCCCTGACTCATGCTGAGCTTTGTCAGCCAGGTTGAAACGCCCCTCTTTGGGGCCCAGGACAACATGCTGGTTTCCCGGAAGCATCTGGGCCAAGACTCTGCTGCTAAGAAAATGATATTGTTTTTGCAAGCATGGGAGTGTGTTTAAAATGCTTCCCCTTTCCCCCCAACAACATTAAACCTCCATGCAAAGAAACACGAGGTTAAAAACCATCTCCCAAACCCAGAAAACAGAATGCAAAACCTGGGAGGTGAATTAACTCTTTACTGATGCCAAGGAGTTTATTTCAAAACAGGATTCATCGACTACAGGGATTTGCAGTCTGCCCTCCTGTGTGCCCACTGAGAGCAATGGGCAGAGGCTGACCCGCAGCCCTTTGTGGGGAAAAGTAAATTCCATGGCAGACCTCAGTGGCTGAAGATTATTTGCTTCTCCTGGAAATAATTAGAAAAATACTTACTCTTTGAAAGGCAACATCTGGCTGGCTAGAGGCAGGCTGGAAAATACTCAATCTAAATAGATGGAGGTGACGTTGTGCAGAAGGAAAGAAACATCCCGAGGGAGTGTCCAGTGGGTTTTAATGGCCGTGTCTAGAGAGGCACTCCTGCTCTGTACAAGGGCTGGCTTCTTCCCTGGATCTAGGGGTTGCCCCTGCCTTTTAGAAGACAGATGCACAGCCCCAGAGCCTAGTTGCCTCCCCTGACCCCCTCCAAGCCTTCCATAGAGGAAAGGGGCCTCCCATAGCACTGGCTGATGCTCAGAGCCAAGAGTTTGCTGCCCAGGGAGTACCTTGAGCTAGTGCTGGGTGTCAGACTTGACTTTCCAACTACTTCCAGTGCAATTCAAGGTGTTGATTTTGACTGCTGGAACTGTCTCTTCCTTCTCAGCCCTTTCTCAAGGCTGCCTGTGTGCTTGTTCTTATTAACCAAGCCCAGAAGCCAGGGATCTGGAAGCCTGGCAGTATTTCCAGGAAAGTAGCTTATTTCTCTCACTTGCTTCTCCCTGCTGAGCTTAGAACGGCCCAGCTTTGGACCTCTTGAAACATCAGGGCAAATTTTTCCCCCTCTTTCAATTTGCATCTACCTGCTGGTGAAAAAAGCAGAACAGCATCTTCATGGATTTATGAACGCTCAGAGTTTTTAAAATGTTTTATAGCTTGTAAGATATTTTCAAGTGAAGAATGCAGTTCTAATAAATCCAATGAACCTGTCACAGATTTTCTGAAACCAAGTGTCTATGAAAAACTATGGTGATGACATGTTGAAGGTGCTTATTGAAAAATATGGATCCTTGTAGCGAACATTTTTGCAAAGGGTGCATTTTCACATAAAAATGCTTTTAGTAGTGGCTTCGTTTAGTTATTCTGCAGCTACTTGGCTGTGGGTTCCCAGAGAGCCCTGAGGCAACCTTTATAAAAGGCCTAGGTTTGACTTCTCTTTGGTCACTTCAGCTTTAGAGCACCCTAAGAAGGCTCAGAGAACCCCAAATTTCTTCCCAGTAAAGAGGTCATGGAATAAATCTGGAGGAACTCAAGAGGGGCGCCTGCTTTTGAACAGTCATTAGCCAAACATGGGTAGATTCCTATTAATCATGTCAAGAGGGTACTTGGGAATCAAGTTCATGTGGAATTGGGAGATTAAAAGGGTTAGGAGTCCTTGGAGCCGTAAGACCCCTGAAGTTCCAACTATGCTACTTGCTTTCTGTGTAATCTTGGATAAGAAATCACTTGACCTTTCTGAGCCTTGATTTCCTTACCTGTAAAATGGGAATGCTAATCATTGTACTGCCCACCATACTGTCTTTTTATGTGAATCAACAAAGCCACATTTGTATTGGTGCTTTCTTTCCTTTCTTTTTTTTGAAATATGAGATGCTTCATGAATTTGCATATCATCTTTGTGCAAGGGACATGCTAATCTCTATTGTTTTAATTTTAGTATATGTGCTGCTGAAGTGAGCCCATATTGGCACTTTCTAAAGTGTAAGGTGCTGCGTCCACATTAGGCATTAAGATGATGGCTGCCTTTTTCACTTCACCCACCCCATTGCCTCCATTGTCAATGATGACGTTAACATATCATTGTTTCCCTACTCTTGAGCGGGGCTGCTTTCTATCTCACACTCTGACTCGGGTGTCTGATTTCTCCCATCACTCTGGCATTGACTCTGGGCTACCCTTAGGTGCTGCTCCCGATTTGGGAGCTGTGTGTGACCTTTGCTTTTCCTGCCTTCAGGTAAGATTTTCTCTTTCCAAACCTTTGTGCTGTGATACTGTCTAGGTTCCTGAATTTCTGTGACATCCTTTGATCTGTCATTTGCAATCTCCAGCTCTTTCCTACCTTTCAAGGGTGTGTGGTAAGCTTGGTGAGTGGGGAGCAGAGTGGAGCTGGGGATCCTGAGAAGGCAGTTCATTCATAGGGCTCTTTCTGTGCCTTCTTATGTCCTCCTCCCTCAGCCCAGACTCTGAGCCTTTCCCCAGGGCTCTAAGAAGATAGAAAAACTCGCAGAAGGTGTGGACCTTTTCTTTCTTTTCCTTTTTCTTTTTCTTTCTTTCTTTCTCTTTCTTTCTTTCTTTCTTTCTTTCTTTCTTTCTTTCCTTCTTTCTTTCTTTCTTTTTCTTTCTTTTCTTTTTCTTTCTTTTCTTTTTCTTTCTGTCTGTCCGTCTGTCTGTCTCTCTCTGTTTCTTTTTTTCCTAGTGGGGCTACAACTTATGCTTAATACAAATAAATGCCTTTTATTCATTTAATACAGATATTTACCAAGTACCCCCTGTGGGTCAGGCCCTACTCTCACCCTAAGGATACAGCAGGAAGCAAAGCAGAGGTGGAGAAGATCCCACTAAACACACAGGCAAGGCACATCAGTGGGTGATGAGCGCTAAGAGGAAGTATGGCCAGATGAGGTAGAGGGTGAGGATGGGGCGGAGAGAATCCTACCTGTTGGCAAAGCCTTTTCTACCAGATGGTCCAGGAAGATTTATCTGATAAGCAACAGGAGGGTGAGACCTGAAGGAGCCTCCAGATCAGGGCTGCCTGGGGGAAGGGCACTGTGAAGAGGGGACAGGGACGCTGAAGGCCCTAAGGCATGAAGCATAAGAGCAGGAGGCTGCTGGGTGTGTTCTGGGAACAGCAAGGAGGCCACAGTAGCTAGAGGGAGGGAGTGAGGGTGGGGGTTCTAAGAGAAGGAGGGCAGAGCATTCTGAACTTTACAGGCTGGCATAAGGGTTTTCATCTGATGGGAGTTAGAAGCCAGTTAAGGGTTCTGAGAAGGGTGGAGGCGAGTGGCTCAGCTAGGAGCCTAGTGAAGTAGCCTAGAACTTTCTGTGGAATTTGTTCTGCAATCATGCGAAGTGGCAGTGGCATGGTAACATGGGTAAGTGGTAGTGACTAGATCCTGAGATGGGAACTGAAAGCCTGGAGTGAATGTCTCAGGAAACCCGACACCCGTCTGGCCCAGAGGGTCCTTATTTCAAAACTGTGTTTAAAATGGCAAACACATGAGATCATGGTAATCAAACTTACATAAGTACTGTGCAAATCCAGAAAATTTGTAGTGAGTGTACTGAATTATTTGCCAATGATCAATAGTGCTGGGCTCTGAATGCAATCTGAAATAAAAATTGTTTTCCTGAATGTATTTATCAAAATACTGAGTGCTTACCAAATACTGGTGCTTACTGTACTAGTTGACCCGTACAATCAGTTTAAGTAAGCTAACTTAAATTTATGACTTTTGACTTATTCCTGATCTATTCACAGGCCGCTTGGAATGTTGGGCCATCTGTCCTTTTGACATGAATTTTCCCTGTAATGGGGGTAGAGCTGGTAACTGTTGGATCATCTGATTATTGGAGACAGAAGTCCTGTCACTTGCCCCTGCTGTTAGGAGGTGGGCTTCCTGAATGGCTTTCTGTATACATGAAGAATTTCAAGACCTTCCGTTAAGGTGGTCAGAGCTAAGTTTCAGCGTTTACAAGAGGTCTCTTGGCTGACTTGCTATAACTTACAGCAACCTGATGTTTGGACACCTTTTCCTTTTTTTGTTTTTAGTAAATATGATGAGAAAAAAGACTCCTCATCTGTTTTGTTTTATTTTGTGAATTACTTCTATTCTTACCACTCAAAAAAATGTTTAAATAAGTAATTGCGAAAAAATAGGGGGTTTTGCCAGGCACAGTGGCTCATGCCTGTAATTCCAGCACTTTGGAAGGATTCCCTCAATTTTTAGAGGGAAGGACTGCTTGAGACCAGGAGTTTGAGACCAGCCTGGGCAACATAGTGACAACCTGTCTCAACAAAAAAAATTTAAAAATAACCGGGCGTGGTGTGCATGCTTGTGGTCCCAGCTACTTGAGAGGCTGAGGCAGGAGGGTCACTTGACCTTGGGAAATTGAGGCTACCGTGAACTGTGATTGTGCCACCACACTACTTTGGCCTGGGCGACAGAGTGAGACCCTGTCTCAGAAAAAAGGCAGGGTGGTGGGGCTTGACAATTTGTTTAATATCTGAAAGTATTAGAAAAAATTATTCTCAATTTTTTTTTTTTTTTTTTGAGGCAGAGTTTCACTCTTTTTGCCTAGGCTGGAGTACAGTGGCATGATCTCGGCTCACTGCAACCTCCGTCTCCTGGGTTCAAGTGATTCTCCTGCCCCCGCCTCCTGAGTAGCTGGGATTACAGATGCCCACCACCACGCCTGGCTAATTTTTACATTTTTATTAGAGATGGGGTTTCACCATGTTGGACAGGGTGGTCTTGAACTCCTGACCTAAGGTGATCCACCTGTCTCAGCCTCCCAAAGTGCTGGCATTAGAGGTGTGAGCCACCGTTACCAGCAGAAAAAAAATTATTCTCTTTGGTATTTTCAAAATATGTGGCAGTGAGAGGGTGCAGTAAGTTAGGAGTTAAGTGACCTGACTAAATATCTGTGTTCTGCTGAAATCTTGCAGAAAGTGGGATGCTCAGGAAGAAAATAGTCTATCCCACGAAGCCATTTCCCACAAGCAGCTGAAGGCAGGGCACACCGTTATGTTTATTTTGGTAAAGGGAAAACAGAGTTAAGTTTCTCAGGGGCCCCAAACCTCAAGGATGATGAACACACACATTCATACACAGAAGTGACTTGCGTTGATAGACATCCTTATCTTGAATGCCTCACTCAGAGACAAATCTTTCCACAAATGTGCACTGCCCAGGTGAGCCTTTTGGAATCGGAGAATCAATTATTCAAGAATGTGACTTTTAAGCCCCAAAGCAAAGTTTGGACAGTTTTCCCAGAGCCAAACCTCTGGATATTAGTCCACTTTTCCGGGATAATATAATTTAATTTTAGTTTAGTTTTTTAGAGATGAGGTCTCCCTTTGTTGCCCAGGCTGGTCTTAAACTCCTGGCCTCAAGCAGTCCTTCCACCTTGGCCTCCTGAGCAGCTGGGACTACAGGCACACAGACCGCACCCAGCTCATTAGTGTCCTTTTCTGTCAATGAGCATAGGGGTTCGTAGACGCCCTTTTTATAAAGAGATACGTTCTTGAAATTGCCTTTAGGCCAGACACAGTGGCTCATGCCTGTAATCCCAGCACTTTGGGAGGCCGAGGCAGCGGGATGGATCACTTGAGGTCAGGAGTTTGAGACCAGCCTGGCCAACATGGCGAAACCTCATCTCTACTAAAAATACAAAAAAATTAGCCAGGCATGGTGGTGTGCGCCTGTAATCCAGCTACTCAGAAGGCTGAGGCAGGAGAATCGCTTGAACTCGGGAGGTGGAGGTTGCAGTGAGCCGAAATGGCACCACTGCACTCCAGCCTGGGTGAGACAGTGAGACTCTGTCACACACACACACACACACACACACACACACACACATTGCCTTTTGACTTCCTACCCTCAGGCATGTGTGCATTAATTGAGGACATTAGGAACTAACCACGTGCACACGCGTGTGTGCTGAGGGAACAAAAGGTCTGAAATCTGGTCCAGGGGAGAGTTGGCAAGGTAAGGCCTGGGGAAAGCAGGCTGGCAAGCTCAGGAAGCAGAGGGGCGCCATGCATTTGGAGACGTGTGAGTAGGTGCAGAGCCTGCGCAGGGGAGGCACATGGGCTGGAGATGTCTGGGGCCTGGTCTTGAATTCCATGCTGAGGAGATTGTGTTTTTATGCTGAAAGCAAAAGAAGAAACAAATCACTGAGTAATTTTTAGGCTGAAGTACAAATTTGAAAAGATGACGGTGGCCATGGGGAGAACAGGTTGGAGGAAAACAAGCCTGAAGACTGAGGATCAACTTAGAAGGCCACAGCTGTAATCCAATAGAGATATGCATATAGCTCTAATTAGGGCCATGGTGTCGGGATGGAGAAGTATGGCTGAGAGGTTTCAGGAGGCAGGGTCAACAGGAAGAAATCACTAACTGATGTTGTGTGAAAGGGGGAGGGAGAAGGTAGGATGCTTGCAGGTCCCGAGAGGGCGTGGAGTTGACTGATGCCATGTTCCATGTAAGTCAGGAGCTGTTAGGAAGAGTCAAGTCGGGCTGGGACTGATAGGACTTTTAGACATTTAGAAGCTGCTAAAACAAGAATAGAAGTTCTAAGTTGAGTCTAACCAGGGAGTTGTTCTTACCAGAAAAAAATAGAGAAATAAGTCCAATAAAACCACTGCTTGGTTTGAAAAATCAAGTGGGAAGGGAATGAAGAACAGGAATTTCTCTGCAGAGCATCTTCATCTGATGCCTCGTGTGAGGATCTCGCCCTTTCTGAGCCTGAGAGATGGCAACGATCCTTCTGTTCTGGAAGATTAAAGGCACAAGCCGTTAGCCCAGAAGGTACTTCAGCTGAGATGGTTTGGGGTTCTGACCAGTGAGGACTCACCACTTCAAGGAAGTGGAATCCTGTCTTAGTTCAGGGGATCATTTGCAGTGTGAGGGTCAGGCCCGAGGTAGCCTGGCCTAGGAAAGGAGGCAAGAGAGGACTGTGGAGTGAGACAGACTCCGTCAGGATCCTAGGTCTGTCAGTTGTCAGCTTCACAATCAAATTACTTGAAGTCATTGTCCTTCAGTTTTCTCATTTTACATGTCGTTAAGTAGATTAAATGTGAACCTAGGCAAAGTGCACAAAACAGTACCTGACTCATGATAGTTCCTCAGTAAACCCTAGTTCCTTAGTTGATATGGAGGATGGTTTATACCACCATTGGGCTGTATTTCCTACCCTTGGCCTTTTGACCTAAATGAGGCTTGATCCCTGGGGCTGACTGCCATCATCTCTCCTCTCTTCTATTCCATGTCGCTGGCTATGTCAGCAGATGGGAGAGTGTTCTGGAAGCTTTCCCATCACCACCTCTCTCTTTCTAGGCAGGCATTTTGGCTGTGTCTGTGTGGTCCCAACATGTGTACGTGTGTGTAGCAGGGAGGGAGGAGTGAGTATGAAGAGGTCCAATAACAACAATTGAGAAAGATAAAATAAATTCTTTCCACAATATCGGAGGCTATATTATCTGCTAAACTAGTTTTTCAAAATGCTAAACTTTTGCCTCTTAATTTTCTCATGCTTATGAGGAGTGCCCTTCAAATCTTGTATTAGTCAGGATGTAATTGTATCGCTTTAGCTTCTTTTCTCTCTTGCTAAAAAAATAAAATGCAATCCTTAATAAGAGACTGAAGTTCGTAACGTTTGTGTCTTGTCAGATTCAGTGGGGAAAAATCAGATTTGCTTGAAAACAAGATGATAAATATGTGGTGTTGGTGTTTTCATACAAGAATCTAAAGATAAGCTGTAACAGCTTAGAGAACATAATTGTTACTGTACCACAAAGACCAAGTTTTTTAAAAAATAACTTTTGAAGGTCTTACTAAAATTTATCACATTTATACCATGTTGGATGGTGATATTGGCCATGTTTTCTTAATATCAAAATATGACTAAAGAGTGTCATATGTTGGACTCCATCCACAGACACAGAGACTTTTCTGACATGAGCCGGTCTCTGAGTCTTCCTTTTTAGAATACGAGCTTATTTTCTCCAGAATCATCACAGCTGTCTAGAGCCTTCCTGTTCCTCCTTTCTTGGAGTCACTGCTGGCTTCATATTTGTTCACTTGGACGTTCTCTTGTATACCAACTGTGATCTCTCTGGGGAGTCAAAACCAGATCTGGTTTTCCTTGTCCTCAGGGAACTTGCAGTTTAGCTGTTCTGATATTTGTGCCATGCACTGTCCAGATGCCACTAGTTTTCTTTTTTTCTTTTTCTTTTTTTTTTTTTTGAGACAGAGCCTTGCTCTGTCACCCAGGCTGGAGTGCAATGGCGCAATCTCAGCTCACTGCAACCTCCACCTACCAGGTTCAAGCAATTCTCATGCTTCACCCTCCCAAGTATCTGGGATTACAGGTGTCCGCCACCATGCCAGGCTAATTTTTTGTATTTTTGGTAGAGATGAGGTTTCACCATTTTGGCCAGGCTGGTCTCCAACTCTTGACTTCAGGTGATCCACCCACCTCAGCCTCCCAAAGTGCTGGGATTACAGCATGAGCCACCGCACCTGGCCCAGATCTCACTAGTTTTTTTTTTTTCTTCCCCAATTCTCTTTTGATGTGGATAATTCCACTGGCCTTTGGCTCAGCTGCTGTATAGAGCTTCTTAATATCTTAAAAAACCTCACTGAGAGCCTTGGTGCTGTCTTCCACCCCTTTCCTAGTCCTGGAAGTTTACTTATTTTAAACAAGAGCATCAAATGCTTCTTGGAAAATTCCATCAGCGCTCATATTTTCTGTGTTTGCTGTCGATTATCTAGCATTCAAAGCCCCGCTAACGTTCAGAGCTTCTTGTTGTGTGACATTCGCAGGTTTCCTTTTGGGACAGGTTTGGATTGACTTCCTTCCTCTGCCAAGAGGGCAACCAGCTGATGACAGTTTGGAGAGTTTGTGTTGGCATCAGACGGGTGCTGGTGATGTGCCTGAAAGTCACTCCTGAGATTCTCGTTTATTTCTGTCCCAGGCTGGAGTTTCACAGGCAGTGGATGTTAGTGGGTGGCCCGAACCACCCTCATCCTAGCTGTAGACAGAGGCAGCTTCACTCAGCAGGGAGCCTTTTATCCTCAAGACCTTTTCTGTACAGATAAAACGCTCAGATAAGATCTGGAGAAAACCCTTTGTTCTTTGGTGGCTCTGCATCCTCTTTTCTCTTAAATGCTGTTCCTTACTCTGCTCTCCTCTGGCCTCTTTGGTGTGATTATCTTGATGTTCTCTGTATCTGTTAAGGGATGATTGTTGTCTGAGTAAATATGAGATGGCATCTTTGATTATCACATTTCCCAGGAACCTGGCTGATGCGGGACTCCTTTCTCAAACCTGCTTGTGAATGGATAGCCAGGCCCTGTTTGCCTTCCTCCACCTCATGGGGAACTCATTGTCTCCTGAAACAGCCTAGTTTATCTTGACGCATCTCTGTGAGAAAGCTCATTTCCCCCTTTCGATTGAAGTGGAGTTTGTGTCCCTGGCACATCTACTCTTTATTGGTTGTTCTAACCTTTGGAGCCACACAGACCAAGTTTAATCTTCTTTTCACATGACAACCATTCTGGTATTCATATGTGATGAGAGTTGATCATGCTTCCAGCTCTACTCCCCTCCTTCTGTACCCAGTGCCATCTCTTAGTATCTCAGTTTCTTTTTTTTTCTTTTTGAGACGGAATCTCACTGTCACCCAGGCTGGAGTACAGTGGCGCGATCTCGGCTCACTGCAACTTCTGCCTCCTGGGTTCAAGGGATTTCTCCTGCCTCAGCCTCCTGAGTAGCTGGGATGACAGGTGCGTGCCACCATGCCCGACTAATTTTTGTAGTTTTAGTAGAGATGGGGTTTCACCATGTTGGCCAGGCTGGTCTTGAACTCCTGACCCCGTGATCCACTCACCTTGGCCTCCCAAAGTGCTGGGATTAGGGCGTGAGCCACCACACCCGGCCTTCTTCTCCTTCTTTCTTTCTTTCTTTCTCTCTTTCTCTTTCTCTCTTTCTCTCTTCCTCTCTTCCTCCCTCCCTCCCTCCCTCCCTTCTTCCCTCCCTCCATTCCTCCTTCCCTCCTTCCTTCCTTCCTTTTGAGACAGGGTCTTGCTCTGTGGCCTATGCTGGAGTGCAGTGGCATGGTCAATCATGGCTCACTGCAGCCACAACCTCCTGGGCTCAAGCCATCCTCCGAGCTCAGCCTCCTGAGTAGCTGAGACTACAAGGTGCGCACCGCCATGCCTGGCAAATTTTTGTGAAGATGGGGGTTTTGCCCAGGGGTTGTCCCTAGGGGTTGCCCAGGCTAGTCTGGAACTTCTGGGCTCAGGCCATCCATCCCCCTCAGCCTCCCAAAGTGTTGGGATTATAGGCATGAGCCACCATGCCCGGCCAGCATCTCAGTAGGGAAACCACTCCTTCCTGGCCGCTCTTTTTTCTCTTTTCTTTTAAAAAATTAATCAACAGACATTTTATTTAGAAGATAAGCATAGCTAACTAGATTTCTTCCCATACCCACATTCAGTGATAAAAAGTAGATCAAATGCTTTTTGGATCCCTTTTGACCTTTTTGACAACAATGTTGCTGGGTAGATTTTTGTGGGAGTTCTCTACCATCGGGCACGCTTGGCTGCCACAGGGCAACTGCTTGGCCTTTTCATCCCCCAGTGTCGGCATCAGTTTTACAGGGAACATTCTGTGGCTCTTTCAAGGAGATGCCTCCAGAGCCCCATTTGCAGTCATATAAGTTGTGTTGTAGTACCCGGGGCTATGGATCTCATGAAGTTATTTGTAATATTCTAACAGAAATGAAAAGTCTTAAAGCCTCAAGTGACTTGAAGGCACTATGTGAAGAGAAGGTTTACTAAAGTGATCTGGATGTAATATAATCTGGCTGCTGTTTTTTGTAAACCAGACTCTTGGTGATCAGCCTCAAGCAGAGGGGGCTGCCTACATCAGCTGGGCATGGAGCTGATAGCAGCATCAGCAGGTTCCCTTTGCTAAGGGGGCTGCTGGGCTGGTGGCCCCTTCATCCTTTGGGCTCCCTGCATGTTCCTCAGAGGCTCCGAAGAAGGCAGACGGGGCTGGCCGTCCATCACAGGCAGATTTGAACAGGGAATCTAATGTCAGCCCCACAATAAGAGCAGGTTTCTTCCAAATCTGAGAGTCGAGGATCCCATCTTGTATTTACTCAGTAACAGTCATCCCTTTATGTATACACAGAAAATCAAGATAATCGCACCAAAGATAAGCATAGAGGTGAGTGCAGTGAGGAACAGTACTTGTGTGAAGAGACAGACTTTTGAGATAGCTGTGTGGAGTTGTTCTGGGTTCAAGGGGAGTCTGCAGTGTGGTTAACTGCCCTGCCCTGTTGAAACTAGATATATCATTTCCAGAGGTCACCGTGGTGTTTGCCAATTATCTCACAGTGAATTTGTCACCTGTGTTCCTCACACTTTTTTAAAACCAAAACAACAACAACAACAACAAACCAACAAAAACAATCCACCAAAACCAAGATTTGCTTTCACGTCTCATCCACCCTACAATCAAATGATTGGTTTCTTAGGCCGAGGTTAGGGTTAGGGGCTTCAAATTCTCCTTATTAAACCTCATTTTTGTTAGACTTGATCCATGATTCCAGCCTGCTGATCTGTTTGGCTCCTGAACTCTCATATATTGCATTGTCTATGTTTCCGAAGTTGTAGTGGTTAAGGACACAGGCTTTGGGGGTGAGAGAGAATGGGCATAAATCCCATTCCACCACTTAGTGGGTTGTGTGGTTTTGGGTAAAGGCACAATGAAGAATCTTCTGGGGCATTTCACGGAGCAGATGAATGGTGTCTTATGGAACCCATGGCAGGAGGCAGCAGCCTTGGGAAGGTAGAACTCGGACAACTGAGATCAAATACATCTCCTTATCTCATCTCAGCTTCGGTCTGAACATTTAAGTCCTTTTTCTTTTCTTCCTGGAGGCTGACTCTTCCATCTGCATGATAGGCATAACAGTGTCTCTCCAAAGATGCCCAATTCCTAATCCTGGAATCTGTGACTATGCCATCTTGCACAGCAAAAAGGATATGCTTAATTTAAGGACCTTGAGCTGGGGAGATTATCCTGCATTATTTAGGATAATCACAAGAGTCCTTATATGGGAGACAGGGAGGCAGGAAAGTTGGAATCCAAGAAGGAGATGTGACAATGGAAGCAAAGCCAGAGAAGATGCTACGCTGCTGGCGTTGAAGATGGAGGAAGGGACCAAGAGCTGAGAAATGCAGGTGGCCTCTAGAAGCAGGAAGAGGCAAGGAGACAGAGTCTCCCTAAAATGAGGAATGCAGCCCTGTTGCCCCTTGATTATTTGAATCATTTTAAGCCACTAAATTGCCAAAAGATTCCTTCCCTTAAAAGTCTTCCAGATTCTACCCACCCTCTTGCAGTAATGAGCTCCCCACCTATCTCTGAGCCCCATTTGGAGGCAGGGTTGTTCCTGCTTTCACATGTCCTCCATCACTCTTGTCTCCCTCAGTGCCTGGCACGGGCCCAACGTAGAGCATGTTCTTGGTAAATGTCTGTGGAACCAAAGCCCCCAAGGGAAAGCTGATGATGCCTTTCAGAAATCCAGCTGCATGATTACAGTTCTTTGGGCTCCTTCTGTAGTAGCTCTGCCAGAAAAGGGAACAAGGTTAGTTTCTCCTGATTTTTTCCCAGCGAACCTCCAGTGGGATTAGAGATGGCGGCTGCTTCCCTGAGTTTCCCTTTGCCGGCCGTGGGATCCCTGCTCTGGGGCCTCCGTGTTGTGAATGCACCTCCTCTCTGAGACTGAACCGCTGTCTCTGTAGTCCTCAAATATCAGAGGTTGGGTTGAAAAAACCCACAGAAATACAGTTTTGAGGCCTTCTAGTTCTTGAGTGTACTACAATTGAAAAGGTACTTCCACATTGCTGATCCCTTTTAGTCCCTGTGGTAGCCCCTTGAAGCAGCCACCCTCTTTTCGATTTGCTCAGTGTTTTTTTTTTTTTTTTTTAAATTGTAAGGATGAGTGTAACAACTTCTAGCCTCTTTACATGTAGGGTTGGAAACCGACCATTCCTTTATTTTTTGTTCAGAGTTGCAGGTTGGTAACTTGCCCAAAGTCTCACTGCTTGTTTAGGCAGAAGAGGTTTCTGTTCCCAGTGCTGTTGGAACCTCAGCTCACCACCTCTTCAAAGTCGTCAGGAACATTCTCATTTTCCTCTAAGATCCCTGGCTAGACCTTTGCATCCTGCTCTTCCTTCTACTTAAGCCAGCATCCTCTCCTGACCCCTCTATCCCTGCTGTTAAGATAGCCTTCTTGGTGTCAGGGCCTACAGCTGCCTGCAGCCATCTTGCTTCTGTTTTGAATTTGTGTTGCTCCAGGAAGGCCTCCAGATTGGCATGCTGCTCTCAGAAGGCACTTGGTATCACAGTGTCCTAGGAACTTGTCTCTACTGCTGGGGTGCACACACAGATGCTTTAGTCAGTGCTGGAGTGTTGGTTACCTGGAAACTGCATCCTCAGCCTTCTTTCTCTTCATAATCCTCTACAGGTGGTCCCCAACCTACAAACCAGATGAGTTCTAACAGCTTATTTTGCAGTTAGTTGATTGTTTGGAGTTAGGCTGCATCTTCCTGAGGATTCAGTGTCATGAATGGTGGTTAGGTTCTAGGCCCCCAACCAACATCTATTCCAGAGTTCAGCTACAATAGTAGCTGTTGTATAGCTGAACTCTGGAGTCATGAAGAGAATGGTCTTTGGACTCAGACAGGCCTTGATGACTTCTGATTCTGCTCTATCTGGGTGACCCTGGGCAAGTGATTTAACCACTGAGCCTCAGTTGCTTCACCTGCAAAATGGTGTTAATTAATACTTACCTGGCGGGGTTGCTGAACAGTGAATATAAGGTGTTTAACATAGTACTTAGCACTTGGTAAATGCTCAGTATTATTTATTACTGCACTATTACGTATCTAGTTTGTTTAATAGCACTAAATACCTAATTGTTTATACTGCCCTTTCTTCCTTTCCTTTCCTTTCTTTTCTTTCTTTCTTTCTTACAGAGTCTTACCCAGGCTGGAGTGCAGTGGTGGGATCTTAGCTCACTGCAGCCTCCATCTCCTGGGTTCAAGCAATTCTCATGCCTCAGCCTCCCGAGTAGCTGGGATTACAGGCGTGTGCCACCACACCCAGCTAATTTTTGTATTTTTAGTAGAGATGGGGTTTTGCCATGTTGGCCAGGCTGGTCTTGAACTCCTGGCCTCAGGTGATCCACCTGCCTTGGCCTCCTAAAATGCTGGGATTTTAGGCATGAGCCACTGCACCCAGCCTATTGTGCCATTTCTGTGGGTAAACTGACTCCAAGGTCAAATGCTACATTAGTCACTCAGAATTGAAATAGTGCTTTTTTTTTTTTTTCCTTCTGGGGATTTCAGATTGCTGGGGAAAAGGAGTCTCTCTCGTTCATTTATTCATTCAATTCATAAGCAATTGCATTATGCCAGATATACTGGGGGGAAAAGGTGAGCAAAAGCCAATATAGCCCCTGTTCTCATGGATGTTACAGATGGATGATGGAGACAAATATTAATTAAAACAAAAATCATCTAAATGTGAAAATACAGCTGCTGTGAAGGAGAGGTGATGGGAAAGGGTCTAGGGAGGTGTTTCCTGGGTATTTGATGGATCTCTGGATTGGTTCTTTGTCATTGGGTGGCAGACACTGTCTTCAGCTAAGTGGCTCAGAGCTTTGACAGCATTGACTTTGCATACGAACAGGGGTGGAGGTGGCTTGAGCCTTTGGGGGTTGGTAGTAGAAGCAGCAGTCCAAGTTGTCTGAGATGTTGGGGACACCATCAGGGACACCTAAGTGGCGGGTTAAGGGGGAAGCATTTACAAGAGAGGAGTAGCTGGGAAGAGGCATTGCTGGGGAGGAGAGGAGGCTTCTTGTCTGTGGATCAGGGATGCTGGGTTCTCAGGTGGTGCTTATTAAGGAGTGTTTTAACTTGGCTACCCCTTGTTTTCAGCCAAAATAACACCCCAGTCCATATTTCCTGCCACTGTGGCTTCCTATGGCTAAACAAGCGTAATGAATATCTTGTTCCATATAATTGCCTCCATCTCATGCCTCATTTTTTGGTACTCATTTCTTGCTCTCAATTCCTTTCTGTTTCTCTTTTTTTCTCTCCTATTCGGTTTCTCCCGTTCTGCTCTGTGATTAATCAGTTCGGTTTTTCATCCAATTATCATGTCTGTCTTGGAGAAGCATGTTTCCTGGGGAAGGTTGGTCTACCATGGTTGCCCAGCTCTCTGCCTGCTCCTTCTTCCTTCTGTAAGATGGCAGTTTGCTGTATTTTTAGCCCTCTAGTTCTACTCTTTGGCTTGTGGGAAACTGTCCACAGCTCATAAATTATCACCACATTGCTCATAATCACACCCTACCTTGTCTAGTCCCCTGAGCTTGGAGACTTACTGGGCTTCTCTTTATGTACCTGTGATGTGATGCTGTGTGTTCACGGGCCCAGGGAGATGTTTGCCCTGTTCTTCCTGGCAGAAGAAGAGCAGTGTTCTGAGACCTGACCAGCATGTGTGCCCGGTGACCTATTGAATGATGTGAGTTTCTCTGCGCTGGCCGTCCGACATGCCAGAGCTGGCGGGTGAGTCGGGAGTTGGACATGCAGCCCTGGAGTGACCACACTGACTGCGTCAGTGGGTTTCACTGCCTGGTGCCTTTTTTTTTTTTGAGACAGAGTCTTGCTCTGTCGCTCAGGCTGGTGTGCAGTGGCGCAATCTCGGCTCACTGCAACCTCCGCCTCCCGGATTCAAGCAATTCTCCTTCCTGCCTCAGCCTCCTGAGTAACTGGGATTACAGGCATGCGCCACCACGCCCGGCTAATTTTTGTATTTTTAGTAGAGACGGGGTTTCACCATGTTGGTCAGGCTGGTCTCAAATTCCTGACCTTGTGATCCACCTGCCTCGGCCTCCCAAAGTGCTGACAGTAAGGCGTGAGCCACCGCGCCTGGCCTCCCTTTTCTTGACATTGCTTTAAAAAAAACCCTTTAATTTTAGAATAGCTTTAGACTGATAAGGAAATTGCAAAGATCATACAGAAACTACACCCAATTTCCCCTATTATCAATATCATGCAATTGGTTTGCCATAATTAATGAAACATTTTTGATAAATTATTATTAGCTAGAGTCCACACTTTATCCCGATTTTCTTAGTTTTATTTAATGTCCTTTTTCTGTTGCCTGATCCCATCCAGGATACTACATTTAGTTGTCATGTCTTGGCTGTGATGCTTTGAGATATTCCTTGTTTTTGATGACCTTGACAGTTTTGAAGGGTATTGGTTGGGTATTTGCTAGGATTGGAATTTGTCTGATATTTTTCTCATGATTAGACTGCGATTAGGAAGTCCCATTATGGGGCTTCTATGTGGGAGGAAGACCACAGAGATAAAGCACCCTTCTCATCAAAGGACATATCAACATGATTTATCACTACTGATATTGATCTTGATAAAGCATGTGCTTGGCTCAATCAGTGTCTGCCAGGTTTCTCCACTGTGAAGTTATTCTTTTCCCCCTCTTTCTATACTCTAGCTTCTGTGAGGAAGTCACTATGTGCAGCCCACACATAAGAAGTGAGGAGTTATGTTCCCTGTCCTCTGGGGCAGGTTATCTAAATAAATTATTTGGAATTCTGCATGGGTGAGTTGTCTGCTCTTCCCCATTTATGTATTTATTTAGTTATAAGTGTGGATTCATGGATATTTATTTTATACTTTGAGTTATCCAACACTATTTTTTGGGCCATTGGGAGATCTTTTAGTTGGCTCCTGTGTCCCTTTGATATACCTTAATCATTGTGGGTAATTTTGGTTCCTTTTTTAAGTACTTGTTTAATTTCTGGCACTGTAGGATACTCCAGGCTCATCTTGTATATTTCCTGCCCTAGTCTTAGAAGAATAAGCCATTTATTCAAAGAACCCTGCTTCCTTTTATTGGAGAACTTGTTGGTATTAGAGACCAAGATCTGGGTGCTAGGTACTCATTGATACTGGAGTACTGTTGTTTCTAGGTGCTCTCAGCCAAAAGAGCAAGAAAACATAGATGTGTACACTAGCCTGTGTATATAGACATGTTTATAAATATTCCTATATGTAACCATCTACAAATCAGGTGAAACATGAGTTCATACTGATGTCTCCACTTTCATCAATTAACCACATGGGTCATTCTAACCTCCTCCCCTTGCATGTCTATAACTTCTCACTCCAGCAGTAAGCAGACTCCCACCACCTGGCATCTATTTACTTAATTGTTCAATTCCACTATACACATATAGTGGTTTCGGAATCGTTAATGCATTCCTCTATGGGAAACAACTTTATCAACTATAGTAAAATACTTATGTACAGTACCTTTGCCTTTGGTCTTACAGATTCCACTCATTTCTGGAGTTATTTAGTTCAGCATGTTTTTCTATCACCTCCTTCTGTGAAGTTGTTTCATATAATTTTTAATGCAGTTAGATTCTTTTTAGTCTGATGACTCTTGAAAAGAGATAAATGAGCAGGAAGATAAAGACTCAGCCATTAGGGAACTAAGTTAGAAAAAGCTTGTGAACAATTCGTTTTCTATCTGCTGAATGTTTGGTGGCTCCATGCTGCTGGATGATGATATTGTACTATTTTCCCATCCCCTTGCTTTTATTCCCATCCATTTGCTATGGGCTGAATGTGTCCTCACAAAATTCATATTAGAGGTTAAAATCCTAACTCCCAAGGTTACGGTATTTGAAGATGGGATCTTTGGGAGGTAATTAGGGTTAGATTAGGTCATGAGGATGGGGCCCTTAAAATGAGATTATTGGCTTTATAAGAAGAGGAAGAGTGAGAGAGATTATCTGTGTGCTCTTACCAAGGAAAGGCCGTGTGAGAACATAGCAAGAAGACAGCTACCTGCAAGCCAGGAAGAGAGCCCTCACCAGGAACTGAATTGACTGGCACCTTGGTCTTGGACTTCTTACCTCAAGAACTGTGAGAAATATATTTCTGTTGTTTAAGCCACTCAGTCTGTGGTATTTTGTCATAGCAGCCCAAGCTGACTGATACACCATTATATATAGAAAAAGTATAGACATCCCTGTGCTGTGGAGAGGCTCTTAAACCAAATTTCCTAATTCGTTTTCTACCCTTAAACACCGAAAGGAACCCTCTTTCCTCCTGGCTTAGGAGATCCTGGGCTTAGGAGATCTGTTCAGGTAATGTTCTTGGTGGTGCATTTAGATGTAAGAGCTCCAGGTTAAGGGTCTGACAAGACACTTTTGGCTAAAACAAGCGTTAGGATTGGGAGAATGTTTCTCAGTGGAAACAGTATAATCACCTAACTGAAGGAAAAAATGGCCCCTTTCCCCAAATATTCTGAGCCTGCTTTAGAGCAGGAGAGCCCACTTTTACAGCAGGAAACACCCTGAGAAGGAAGTAGAGAATGGTGACGTCAGTGGCCCTGGATCTGGGTCCCGTCCCTGCTCTTCAGTATGCAGAGCTGTCAGGCGTCGTGTGCTCCTGTGTAGAGTGTCAGGGGTCGTGTGCTCCTGTGTGGACAGGGACAGCAGCAGGGTCCTGCCTGAGATCATGAATATGGATGTGAGTGATTGTTCCCAGGCCTAAGTGAAAGGCTTTCTTGAGGCAGATTTTTCTCTGGGATGCTGATTGTGAGTTTTTAATGTCTCCCCTTTCGTTATTCAGTGTTCTTGGCTTCTTTAGATTGATCATCATGTCTTCTGCCTACAAATATCTGCTCATATTTTACAAGCAGAGAAGTGACTGGAGCTGTAACCAGCCTAGCTGACCAAATGAAGTCCATGTGGGGCCCTGTCATTTATATGGGTGATTAAAACAAAAACAAAAAACCCTTAAACCCTGCCAGAGGGTAATTTTTCATGGTCTGCCTTTTATGTTTCTTCCTTTTTTCTCTTCAGTTTTTTTCTCCTTTCCTTGCAGTTATTTTTTTTTTTTCTTTTATTGCCTGTTTCATTTCACAACCTGGCACTATTCTGGTAGAAATGTCTGCTTCCTGCCACCCTCAGGAAGTCAGAGAACAGGGTAAATTTGTCCAGGGCTTCACCCCATGATTTCTAATGGTGTGACTCAAGGCTCCCATGGGAGAGATCTACCCAGGAAAATAAATTGTGTGTTGGTTTTTAATACAAGAACCTTCATAAACTGAGCTCCTAGGAGAAAATGAAGACATTTAAATACTCTTCTCTTTTTGCAGTTTGCTCTGTGGTCATCAGTTAACCACCCAAATGGAAGTGCATGTGTTAATGTTCAACAGTGGGTTAATGTCTGGAGGATGGTTTTGGACAGCATAGTTCGGAGCAGGTTAATGTTTAATGTAAAAGTACTTAGATGAGTACTTGGTACATAGTAAGAGTGTTTAAGAGTTAATTACATTATTATTATTATTGCAAACTAAAAATTGCTCCCAGGTTGCATGTTGTGAGATAGTAAGGCGAAGGTGAGGCACCTAGTGTCAGTATTGGCTTTAGGTGGAAGAAAATAAACTGGAATTGCTATTGTTGCATTACTGGTGTAAGAAAAGTGGTGATGGACATGGAAATAGATCCCAGAGCAGAGGTTTGGGCCTGAAAATTTGGAACTAGGAAGTTTGAAAGTGACTCATCTAAGGGAAGGCAGGGGTGTGTTAGATGGTCCCCAAAAGCCTTTTTGCCTTGAGAATGTGATTTTATGTAAGTTCCCCTCCACCTGGAGTAGTTTGGGGGTAGAAGGTAGGCATGAATGGCTATGGGGGTTCTGTAGAGGAGAGGGAGAAGAAGTGACTCTTTTTGTCTGGTTTGGATTCTCTTATCAATGTTTTTGCCGGCATTCCCAGGATAAGGAGGTATTTCCATATGCTTCTGCAACTGGTTTTTGTTAAACACAGACCATACCTCTTCAGCTGATCGTGTCACACCCTTAGGGGCTCAGCTGAACTCAGACAACAGGCAACAGCCAGAGGAAGGAAAAAAGTAATAGTCCATAAAATTAGGTAATGGTCCTGCTCAGAAATATTTGAGCATAAATACCAGGTTATATCTTTTTATTTGTACCCCCAACCCCCATGGCTGTAAACACATCCCTGGAGAGAGGAAATAAATGTAGCAGATTTCATACTGGGCTGAAGGGGAAGAGTGTGGGATGGGTATCTGTTTTATGAGACAGCCTTTTTTTTAACGTTAATTTCTGCATGATTAACATCCCTTGAAAGAGTTATTTTTCCTCCATTCTTTTGTTAGCCCATTCTGGTCCAGCTTCCATGCCTTCCACTCTGACATCAAAGTTCTTGCTAAGGTCATGTTCCATCTGCATCCCGTCTTGTGCAATGATGCTCCAGTCTTTGCCTGCTTAATGGTAGCCTTTGGCTTACCTGACCCCTCCTTCCTTCTTGCATCCCCAGCTTCTCTGGGCTTCTGGGATGCCAGGCTCTCCAGATTTCCTCGCATCCCCCTGGTCGCTCCTTCTCAGTTGTCTGTGTCTGCTTCTCCTCTTTTCCCTGTCTTCTTAGTGTTGGCCTGCTAGAGCATAGATCCTCATTCTGAATGTGGGAAAAGCAGATGATGATTCATTGGATCTCGGGTGGAATCCACGATTCTGCATCTCTCATGTGCTGCCAGGCGATGCTGTTGCTGCGGGGCTGCAGAGCCACCGCAGCTCGGTGCTGGAGCTCCATCCTCGCTTCTCCATCTATGTGACTTCCTAGCTGAGCTCCTCCAGTCCCCGGCTTTAAGTCACACCTCGAATCTTATTGGTGACTTCTCGCCCCACTTGGGTCAAAACCCAGAGTTATATTCAGGCCCACGACACCCTGTGGGTTTGGCTCCTGCCCACTCCTCTGCCCTTAGCTGCTCTGCCCTCCGCGTCTCCCACTGGGCTCTGGCCAAGTCTGCCTTCCCACTGATTCTTCGATTTGTCTAGCACGTTTCTCCTTCCTGAGCTCTAAACTTGTTGTTCTCTCTACCTGGCACTCACACGGCTTAGATCTCATCTTCTCTTTCAAAGCAAATATTCCCTTCCCAGCGAGGGCTTCCTTAACTGTCTATCTAGAATGGACCTTCACTACCACCACCATCACCTCGCTGTCACCTACCCCAGTTCATTTTCTTACCATGCTATGTGAGTTTCTTATTCATCCTCACTCTCCCTACCAGAGTGTGGGTTCTGTGGGAAAAAGGACCTTGTCTCCCCATCTAACTGCTGTAGAAGAGTGACTAGCATAGTAATAGGATCTTGGTAAGAACTTGTTAGTAATTACATAAAGCATTAGTATCAGCATGTCCCAGATGAGCTGATGAGCACAGATACTACCACGCCATTCCAGTGTCTGTGTTTTTAATGGTTTGGGTATCGGGTTATATTATTGTAAGTATCATGAACTAGTGGAAAGAACCAAGATGGACAGAACACATAAACGATGCCCTTACACCCCATGAAGACCCAACAGTTTTATGGCAAACTAGAGAAATGAAGGTTTCATAGTTGTTTGAATAAAAAAAGGTGGTAGAAAATTGAGGCATCTCATTGTACAAGGTAGGTAACATCTGTGCAATGAAATCATGACTTGCACTATTGAAGTCCCTGTTCACACCATATAAGGTGATACAGTTTCAGCAAAATGATCATCCTACATATTAATGTTGTGAATTGGAATTATATTGGCTTTGTAATTGCATTTGTATTTAATGTGCAGATGTTTTGGTATTGATGGTAATATAAGAACTATAATCGTTTTATATTTGTACATTTTATGAGAAACATTAAGTGAACACTAAGAATCGTTGAGATTTTTTTTTCTTTAGAGGCATCTTTACATTATACAGGCTTGTGAAAGACTAAAATAGGAACTAAGCAAGATTGAAGGTGTGGCTGAGGACAGGGAAAGGAAAAAGTTTTAAATTCCAAAACTGCTTGTAGGAAGCTATTTTTAACAAAATAAGAATAATAGGCTGGGCGTGGTGGCTCGTGCTTATAGTCCCACCTACTTGGGAGCCTGAGGCAGGAGGATCCCTTGAGCCCAGGAGTTGGAGGTTGCAGTGAGCTATGATCTCACCAGTGCATTCCCACCTGGGTGATGGAGCAATACCCTGTCTCAAAAATAAAAATAAGAAAAAAATAAAAAGACGCTGAGTGGGCTATCAAATTTTAGCATGCTTTCAAGAGAGTGAAATTTTAAAATATCTACATTCAGGCCAGGTGCACTGGCTCACGCCTTGTAATCTCAGCACTTTGGGAGGCCAAGGTGGGCGGATCACTTGAGGTCAGGAGTTTGAGATCAGCCTGGCCAACATGGTGAAACCATCTCTACTAAAAATACAAAAATTAGCCAGGCATGGTGGCATGTGCCTGTAGTCCCAGCTACTTGGGAGGCTGAGGTGGGAGAATCGCTTGAACCTGGGAGATAGAGATTGCAATGAGCTGAGGCTGTGCCACTGCACTCTAGCCTGGGTGACAGAGCAAGAGCCTGTCTCAAAAAAAAAAAAAAAAAAATCCGCATTCATATGAATACACAAGTTGTACTGACAAACCCTAAAAGGTTAAAATATATTATCCTTTTTTTGTTTATATAATTAAAACTTCAATTTTGGATTACCAGTCTAATTTCTGGTTATTGAAAAATGTAAATTGTGAAACTTTTCTTGCTGGAGACATCTATATATTATAAAATATTTAAATATAAAAATAATGGAGTAATGGAGTAGATGGCCTTTACTCACCAATTCTAGGGCCTGGCTTAGGAAGGTATGTAGGCAGGGACCCCCCTCCCCCGCCACAATTCTAACTTGTGCCCCAGGCCCTCCTCCTTTCTTCTGGCTCCTGGAGATCAGAGAGGAAGGGATTCTGCACTTAAGAAATGGCGCTAAGAAGAAGAAGACACATTCTTTTTTTTTTTGAGACAGGGTCTTGCTCTGTCACCCAGACTGGAGTACAGGGGCATGATCTCGGCTCACTGCAACCTCTGCCTCCCAGGTTCAAGGGATTCTCCTGCCTCAGCCTCCTGAGTAGCTGGGATTACAGGTGCACACTGCTATGCCTGGCTAATTTTTGTATTTTTAGTAGAGACAGGGTTTCACCATGTTGAACAGGCTGGTCTTGAACTCCTGACCTCAAGTGATCCACCTGCCTAGGCCTCCCAAAGCGCTGGGATTACAGGCATGAGCCACCACACCAGGCCACATTTTTTTTTTTTTTTTAAAGACAGGTTCTCTCTCTGTTGCCCAGGCTGGATTATAGTAGTGCAATCATGGCTCACTGCAGCCTCAACCTCCCAGGCTCAGGTGATCCTCCCACCTCAGCTTCCTGAATAGCTGAGACTACAGGCATGTGTCTCCATGCTTGGCTATTTTTTTTTTTTTTTTTTGTATTTTTTGTAGAGACAAGGTTTTGCCATGTTGCCCAGGCTGGTCTTGAACTCCTGGGGTAAAGTGATCCGCCTGCCTCAGCCTCCCAAAGTGTTGGGATTACAGGGATGAGATACAGCTACTGGCCAGGAGACACATTCATGCTTTGAAAGGAGACATGAATGGTCCTTCTCCCTCACACATTTCCTTTGAGTGTATGTGTTTGTTTCTACCCAGTTCATTTCCACATATAATTTGAGGCTAACAGAGCCATCTATATAGATCTGTGATGCCAGGGAGCCTGGGGCAGAAGATGAAGGCTGGAATGGGGTGAGGGTGCTTTAGGAAGGAGAGAGGGAGCTAAGGGCCACAGCACTGCTTGCAGTGTCTAAATGAATGGCCGTTCTGCAAGTACCTGAGGGGCTGGTGAGAGCAAGGCACAGCGTGTTTGGGGTGACTTTAGGATTTGGGTTTGGGTAGTCCCCCTTCCCCTGCTGCCCATCTGAGAGAATTCTGGGGAGGAAGGTCTTACTGGGGCATGAGGTCCCTGGTGTCATCAACTTTGCAGGTAACAGCTGTCTTGAACAACAACAGAGAACCTGAATTTATACATGTAGCAAGCTGCTAGGTTTCTAAAAATATTTCAGAAGGTTTATTTTGATTTTATTTTTAAACATTTTGGGTGCCTACACAGTGTTATCTTCCATGTTTTTAATAGCCACACTATACAATACAGAGTAGGTTTCTGTGGACAAATACAGGTGCCTATCATTTATAGCACAGTCTCTCTGGGACCCGTGCAAACAACTGACTCATGCGTTTATGAGACTGGGTTGGTTTGTGAATCGATGACGCCCAGGGAGCTGGGAAGGCTGCATGGCATGGACGCTTCCCCAGTGGCTCTGGATTTTGCAATCATTTGGCTAAATTTGCTCATGATGCACATTCCCTCACCCCTTTCCCTGATGAGGACAAAGATGGCTAATTTTCCCTGATTGGATCTGTTGTTTTGAGTGACCGAGAAGAAAGAGATACTTTGCTGAAAGCACAACATATTCCGAGGGAGAATACTGAGCTTTGGAATTCACTTTGCAGACATCTGCGAGGATGTTCCGGGAGCCAGGCTTGTTATAGCTGGCATTGCTGGAATTCCACACCCCCCCATGCCTCCCTTAAGAGATACTTGATAACCCCAGGGCCTAATTTCTACTTTTGGAACATACATACCTTGTGAAGTGGAGGCTGGAGGTGGGAAGGAAAGCCCCCTTGAGGCTGTGGATCTGGTTCTCATGTTTTAAACAGTTTTAAATATTGGGGCTGGAGATGCCTGAAGGATGGGTATTTGTTATGGAAAACCTTGACTTTTTTTTTTTTCTTTTACATTGTTCACATTTTAAAACAAAGTTCAGAGAGCTGTGTACATTGAGCATGCTTTATTAGTTCATTCATTTATGTGTGAAACACTGTTCTGGATGCCAGAAATGTGGCAAGGAGGAAGGCCTGGCCGAGGAGTGACACTTCCACTGAGCTCTGACAGATGAGAGCTTGTCTTGGTGGCACACCAGTGCCGCGGGACATGGTGACATGCTGTGGTCCACAGCCCTCCAGTGACCATGTGAGCATAATTAAATACAAACTGTGGGAGGCAGAAAAGTGAAAATGTGGTCTCTGCTCAAGAAAGAGTGCAGGTCTTAGAGACAAAGTCTGGGTCTAAATCTTGGTGCTGCCCCTGGCCCAGGTGTAAGGCCTCAGAGGAAATTACCTGCCAGAGTTTACACATCTCTAAAGTGGAGAGAAGAGGTGCTGTGAGGATCTCATCAGACAAGATGGTACAAAGAAATCACCGGGGCTGGCCTCGTGGAGGGATGATGTGTGTGTCTGACTCAGAATCAGTAGAAAAAGCTTAAAATGTGGTTGCTGGGACAAAACTAATCTACCAGAGAAGCCGTGGCTGGAGAGCCTGTGTTGAGCTGTGTGGTGCTGGTCTGTGCTGGAATGCCAAGGAAGAGGCAGGAGCTGCCTCCAGTAGGTGAGCCTCGAAGAAAGAACAGGATTTTCATAGGTGAAGGGAGACAGATTTTTACTGGAGGAAAAAAAAATGTCTAAAGTAAAGGTCATAAAAACAGACTGTGGGCCGGGCGTAGTGGCTCATGCCTGTATTCCCAGCACTTTTGGAGGCCGAGGTGGGTGGATCATGAGGTCAGGAGATCGAGACCATCCTGGCCAACATGGTGAAACCCTGTCTGTACTAAAAATACAAAAATTAGCTGGGTGTGGCGACATGTGCCTGTAATCCCAGCTACTCCGGAGGCTGAGGCAGGAGAATTGCTTGAACCCAGGAGGCAGAGGTTGCAGTGAGCCGAGATTGCGCCACTGCACTCCAGCCTGGCGACAGAACTAGGCTCCATCTCAAAACAACAACAGCAATAAAAAAAAAAAAAGTGCAGCTGCACAGTTTAAGAACAGAAGCTTCTTTTGTTGGGTACTTGCAAAAATATTCCCTTCCTCTTGGTAGCGTGGTCTAATGGTATTAATGCCAACAGTGTGAACCTGAGCATAAGGTATGCCCTGAGTTTGAGTAGCTTTTCAGTGCTGAGTTGACTACACAATTACCAGTGACAACACTGAGAAATCTAAGAAGACTCCACTTGACTTGGGGGGTGGGTAATTTATTTCTTGGACATTTTGGCTTCAGTGTAGGTTTAGGTAAGTATCATATGTCAGGGATGGCAAGTGCATTTTATTTTGTGTCTGCACTAACCAACCAATTGGTAGTGACTGCAGGGGTGCAGTGATGAGGAGGATTCTGAAGCCAGATTTGCGCTTAGAGAGAAAACGATAATAACCCTTTATTGATATAATTTGGACTTAGGCTTCGTAGAGGAAACTGTAGCACAAACGGTGTGGATCTGTTATCTCTGGTTGGGAGGTTTTCTATGTACATGACAGTATGAAGATGTTCATTTATTCACCCAACAAATATTTATTAAATCTCCGCTATGGACATAGCATTGTACTTTAGATTCTTAGCCCTCTGGCTTCTTCATTAGTTAATAAATTATTTCAGGATATTGGTGGTTAATGCTGCTTGGTTAATTAGTGGGGGTTTTTAGTCTTTTTCTCATAAGTGTTTCAAAACATTTTATGAACAAAGCCAGCTTTCTTGTGCCCATAAATGCTACATTGAAATCTTTCTCAGATCCCTCTTATTTTTTGAGACAGGGTCTCTCAGTCTATCACCCAGGCTGGCATGGGGTGGCATGATCATAGCTCCCTGCAGCCTTGACCTCTCTGGGCTCAGCTGATCCTCCTATCTCAGCCGCCTGAGTAGCTGGGACTACAGGTGCGCACCACCACACTCAGCTAATTTTTGTATTTTTCATAGAGATGGGGTCTCCCTGTGTTGCCCAGGCTGGTCTGAGACTCTTGGGCTCAAGTGACCCACCTGCCTCAGCCTCCCAAAGTGCTGGGGTGACTGGCGTGAGCCACTGCCCGGCTGATCTTCGTCATTTCATTTAGCATACAATATGTGATTTTCCTAATTACTTTATGAAGTCATCACTGACAGTCTGACTTTAGAGACAGGAAAACAGAGAAATTAAAGAACTTCTCCAGAGCCAATATTGGACTTGAGCCGCATGTCAGAAATATTTCCTGCTTCTGCATCTCGGAGTCAGGTGCCATTACTTGTCTTCAGAACCTTAAACTTTCGTAGCTTAGCTCTGCCCTGGTAGGAGAAACTTTCAGAAATCATTTTAAGCCTCAAGAGGTGAAAAGGATGAATGACTTATCTAACACTTTTTTTGGGACATGAATTCTGTATTTTTTTCAGTAACCATGAAGAATATAAAATACGAACCACTGAATTTATTAAAGTAATACAAATTAAAAAGTAAAAGTTAAATTGATAACATATGGACACCGTAAATTAAGTGGTGATATATGTGCTAATCAGTTAAGAGAAGTGGGCAAGGGAAGTGGGACCCATCCACAGGGAAACGAGGCGGGTAGACTTCCAGGGGGAAGTGGGGGCTTCTTGGGGGAGAGCCACTTGGTGCCCATGCTCTCAGGGCCAGGCCATGTGGATCAGATGAGTTGAGTCCCAGTGACTCCACATTTTCTTTTTTGAGATGGAGTCTCACTCTGTTGCCCAGGCTGGAGTGCAGTGGTGCAATCTTGGCTCACTGCAACCTCCACCCCCAGGGTTCAAGTGATTCTCCCTGCCTCAGCCTCCCAAGTAGCTGGGATTATAGGTGACCGCCACCATGGCCGGCTCATGTTTTATATTTTTAGTAAAGATGGGATTTTGCTATGTTGGCCAGGCTGGTATCGAATTCCTGGCCGCAGGTGATCAACCTGCCTCAGCCTCCCAAAGTGCTGGGATTACAGGCGTGAGCCAGTGCGCCTGGCCAACTCCAGATTTTCAGACTCCTGGTTGATTCTCCTAGGTCTCCAACCCTAGTAAAAGGAGCCTTTTTACAGGCTTTTCTTTTTTGCCATCTTCCTTTTTGTACAAGGTGGGTTTAGGGGGAAGCTGTAGCACTCAATGTTATAAGTTTATTTTTTCCCCCCAAATAGAAAAGTTTTAGTTGTCAGGTTCATTTGAAGACATTCGAACCATCCTGAACTGTGTGAAACAGAGAGCAACTCTGCTTTCATTTCCAAACCTCAAGTTTATTTTTGAAATTGTTTTCCCAGGGAGTTCTGAAGGGTTGACTGTATACAAAGACACTTCCTTTAAAATCTGAAGAGTTTGGTCAGTTTCCTACATTTGCACTACAAAACACGTAGAGAGAAAACATAAAGCTCAGTTTAGGTAAGGCTGCCTCTTTCTGTCATGTTAGGGAATACATTGAAACTAATATGTGTTTTGCTAATCTTGGCTTTCCACACCCTGATCTTTCAATTTCATCTGGTTGAGGTTCTAGTGTGAATATCCCCATACAAAATTCTGTCTTCCCACTAGTTCCACAGACACATCCTTTAGGAGTAAATGTGTTAACCACTGTTTAGCAAGCTTGTCCAACCTGCGGCCCGTGGGCTGCCTGTGGCCCAGGATGGCTTTGAATGCGCCCAAAGCAAATTCGTAAACATTCTTAAAACATTTTGAGTTTTTTTTGTAATTTTTTTTTTAAACCTCATCAGCTATCATTAGTGTTAGTGCATTTTATGTGTGGCCCAAGACAATTGGTCTTCTTCCAATGTGGCCCAGGGAAGCCAAAAGATTGGCCACCCCGGATTTAGAGGTTTTAGCTCATGTTTATCATCAGCCTGGTAGTATCTTCTCTTTAAATGAGGCAGTCACAGGATCCCACTCAGGGGAAATTACTTTTTGGTTGGTGGGTCAATTCTTATTTCCTAGAATTAAGCTCAAGACTGCACTGAGACTCATCACCTCTCTACCCACTGTATTAGATGCTCTTTTAAGTGATTTGTATGGTAAAATAGAATTACTTGTTCAAAGCAAACATACCTAGAGTCTCTGCCCCATGCTAGGTACTATGCCGATTGCTTGGGCCAGCCTGGCTTGACTGATGGGGACTCTTGTCCTTGGAGGCAAGGGCCAGCCACAGCATAAAGGTGAAGGTTTCAGATTGCCTGGTTGCATTTCCTCCGTAGCCACAGGGCCCCTGGAATGGCTGGTGAATATGCATGCAGGTCCTGGAGGTGCCACTGAGAATTAGAGTTGTGGGGCGGGGATGTGTGGACCAGCATTACGTGACTAATCTCCATGCTCAGCTGATAACATGTGATGGCCCAGAGAGAGGAAATGTTTCTATCTGGCATATGTTCATAGTTCTTCCAAGAGCTAAGCCCTTTGTTCTTACAAACACACTCGCTGATCTCGCTAACTAAAGCAATTATCATCATTTAGCAGTCTTTTCATAAAGTATTATTTCCACTCCAAAACACCACTTTTATTTGCCAAGTGCCACAATGTTGCATCCTGGCGATTGATCAGCGTTTACTGCCAAATTATGTAAGCCTTTGGTTAGGCTTAGTCCCCGACGGCGCAAGCGTGTCTGTGGTGTGCATTAGGATTGTAAACGTGGCCCAGTGCCTGGAAGTGGAGAACAGCTGTCCCTAAATTCATTAATTAATTCAGTGTTTACACTTTGATTGGGAAGGAAATCCACATTTGCTTAAGACACCAGTGCCCAGCTGAGAAATGTTGTTCCATGAAATTATTGGATTGAGGTTTGTTGTCAAGGAAATGTAAATTGTGGATGTTTCATGAAATTTAAATATGTGGATTAATTGACCAACAGGGAGCTAAGATTGTAATAAGCCAAGGTGGCTTTATTCAAAGATTGAAATGTAATTAGTGTTGACTGTAGTAGGAATAGCTATTTGAATGGACCATAAATCCTGCACAAGAATTTTACTAATAAAAGAGGAAATATTTTCATTGAAAAGTCAGTGTCAGCATAAGAACTGATTTTTCTTACAACACTTATTGGTGAGTAGAATAACCCCATTTAGTAAATACCACACACAAAAAATTTCTTCTGTTTAAAAAGATTATTAGAAACTTTAACAAATATGAAGACTTCTAGAGATGCAGAATAAAATATGCCAATGCTGCTCAGAAAAAAGGGGTTAAGACACACCTGGTTATTTTGGTGTCAGCCCTCACGCATCACTTCATTAGTCTAAGGCAAGCTCGCTGTACTTGTCCTTAGTATTGAGTTGTTTTATGATATTAGTAGCCTTGTCAAACCAGATAAGTTTAGAAGTTCTTCTCCTTTTCAAAATTCCACTCAAATGGTAGTAAGGGGAGAAAAAATGTTTAAACCTGCAAGAGGCAAAAAATGGCAGTGGAGGCTTTGGTGGCAACTCCTGCAATGATGCAGGGGTGATCCCCGGGCTGGCTGAGGGTTAGACCCCTCCACCCAAAGTGCCCACATTGCTGAAATGAGGTGCTTTGCCTGCAGAACCACAGAGAGGCTCAGAAGTGGGAAGGCATTGTTACCATAGTAGGCCAGAGAGATTGGCCAAATATAGGGAGTTATTAAAACCAGCATAATTAGACCCTACACCCTGTCCCTGTCTCCCTTCCCCACCCCAGCAGCAGCCTGGAGGTCTGTTCTCTGGAGAAATGGAACTGGAATGGTGTTGGGGTGTTGGTGGGGGTGACTAAAAAGAGAGACTGATGACAGCTGGGAGCTTGGTCACTCTTCTGCTCTGTCCATGATGGCAGCAGCCAGGCGTGTGCAGCCCCAGCAATGAAGTGGAAGACTTTCCTTGAGAAATTGAACAACTCCAGAAAAAAATGCCCCCAGATAACTGAAATGTATGGGTTCTTCAGTGGAATACTTTTTTCTTTCACATTAATTGACACTCACCAACTAATAGTCTTCTCCACACTTGCAGAGCCACCAATCTGCTTTGGTCCTTCATTCTTAAATAGGATCAGGCAGTCAGGGTTCATCAGGTGTATTACCAAAGCCTTCAATATGAAAAGTAGGGGCCAAAACAGGAAAAGAACAACCTTGCAGAAGATGGTGTTGTTGCAGAAAGCAGAGAAAACGTGTTTTTAGAAGAAAGTTACAGTTTTCCTTGCAGAGAGAAGTTATTTCATATCCAAAATAATAATAACATTTATGAAAGAGGAGCAATTAGAGAACAAGAAAGAGCTATTGAGTATTACAAATTAAATACTGGAATTTAAAAAATGTTGAAGTTGTATCTCTGAAAAGTAGAGTAAAAAAGATGGAGTTAAAAAGCAGGAGAGAAAAGAAATATGAAAAATTAAAATGTGATCTAAAAAATTCAACATTGCTATTATAGTAGATGCAGAAACCAAGAACAAAATAAAATAGTAATCTGAACATTATCACAGAAAGAATGCAAAAATATTTTATAGAACTAAAGACATGAATTTCCAAATTGAAAGAATATATATATTATGTGCTCATGTTTTATAAAAGAGTCCACTTTCCCCAATTTTATAAAACCCACCCCTGGGTATGCCATTATGAAATTTCAGAATACCAGTGATAAAAGGTCCTAAAAGCTTTAAGGGGAACGTAAACAGGTCACACACAAAGGAAAGGGTACAATGAGCTTCAGAATTCTTAAAAACATCCTTGGAAGCTAGAAGATAATGAAGTTTGCAAAGCTTTAAAAAATACGATGGAAATTATTTCTAACCTGGCTTCTATGTCCAGCTAGACCACCAATCAAAAGTAAGCATAGAATAAAGACATTTTTCAAAATACAAGGAGTCAAATTTTTTTTCCATAGGACTTTTTCTTAGAAAACTACTGGAAGTGTCTTCTATCAGACCAATTGGGTAAACTAACAAAGAGGAAGACATGAAACCCAGAAAATAATATAACACAAAAGGAAGAGAGCAATGAGACCCTAATATAGGGTAGGAGGAGGGAAGACTGTAAAAAAGAGGTCACCAAATTACCTGATATTTTGATCATTTGGAAATTAATACCGATAAGCATCTCACAGATGTAATGTAGTTGAGGGAAAGATTTAAGGATAGGTGTATAGAAAAGACAAGTAAAACAGTAATCGATCATTAACGCTAGAAAAGTAAAAATTTTATAAGAAAAGTTCTGTAAGACCATAGTATATAATTTTTTAGTGAATATTTATATTGTCATAATAATGTAAATAGTTGACTCTTGATTTTATTATTGGTAGGTTAGCCAAGTGAGAGACTTGTATGTATGGTGTGGTATCCACCCTATGTAGAACCAATAAGTTAAGGAATCACAGTCAGGAATATTGTTTAGCAAAAGGGAGGTAAGTATTAGAAGAAATAGCTGAAATTTGCAGGTTTTTTTGTTTTTTTTTTTTTCCTCCTGGGCAGTGTGTTCAGGATCAGGGAAGGGAAGCTGAAGAATGTAGGTTTTCACTTATTTTACTTTGATTAAAAAATAAATTATTTAAAAATACTAGTATAACTGAAAATGAAAGTTGACAATGAAATATTTGGAATTGGTGAGATAATGATAAATATTACAGATGAATGTACCTCTCTGAGTTGTTCCTATCTTTAAAGTGGTAAATGATAGTAGCTAAAATGTTTGAGATTTAAAAGAATTATCACCAAGCAAAACTGACAACACTATGCTACTGGTAGGAAACTGAATATATTCAGAAAGCCCCAAGACAGAACAGAGAGACAAAACAAGTAAAGATGTGCTAGAGCCAAACAACATAATTATTAAGGTTGTACAGATGGATAGATTTTGAATGTTATCCCTTAAAATGGAGACTACACCTAGTACCTGTGAAGCATTGACAAACATTATCCGTATATTTGCTCACAGAGGGAAGCTCAATATATTTAAAAAGGAAGAAATGGTAGAGACTTCATTTTCTGACCACAATACAGGTAGAGATTAGCAACATTTACAAATAAAGACCCTCCAAACAAAAACAGCACAGCAACAAAATACTACATATGCAACAACTTTCTCAGAATCAAATCTTGGGTCAAAGCAGAAATCAAAACCCCAAAGAGAAACTATCTAGAAAATAGTAATAGAAACATTACTGTGGTGGAAACTGTTTACTGCCTTTCTAAAGTCCATTCTCCTCTCTCTTTTTACTAACAGAACATTGATTTTGTTGCATGTTGATGACCAGCTTAAGTACCCTATTTTCCAGTCTCCCTTGCGGCTGGGGGTGGCCATATGATTAAGTTCTCACTAATAAGATATAAGGGATTATTGTTAGGTGGGGATTCCAGGAAAGCTATTTAAAAAGAAGGTTGAGTCACTTGGCCTAAGCTTTTGGGCTATGTGATGCTGGATCAGCTATCTTGTAATCATAATCATAAGCTATCTTTAATCACATGTTAAAGACAGATGAGTGGAAAGATAGAAGGGGTGCTCCTTATCCCAGGGTCTCTTTCAGTCCTAGACTTCCTATCTCTGGGGAAAAGTTCCTGTCTTAAGCTGCTATGTGGGGAGTCTATTAGTAGGAACTGACATAATTTTTAAGTGACATAGTTACAAACCACAATTTATGTGATTAAAGAATGAAAATAAACAAGTAAAGCGTCCAAGTCAAGGAGTCAGAAATAGAACAACAAAATAAAACAAAGGAAAGTGGAAGGAAATAATAAAAATCAAACTAGAACTCAGTAAAGTTGAAAATTAAAGAAAAAAATGCTTGATAAATCCAGGAGCTAGTTCTTTAGGGAAACAATTTAAAAAAATACATACACATATATATTCTACCAGTGTAATCAAGAAATAGAAGAAAACACAACATTAGATAATAAATGATTTATCCTACCCAAATTCTGCAAATAAATTTGAAAATTGGATGGAATAGATGATTTTCTTGGAAAATGTGCTAGTAGATTGACTCTAGAATAGAAAGAAAACTCAAAAAGTCTCTCAAAAGTGGAAAAAAAAAAAGACAACTGTTATTTGTGACCAGTTGCTACTGTTCTTCCTGGAGTCCCTTTGCCATTGCTGTTTTGCAAAGTGTTAGAAGTGAATTTCTGGTGAGGAACCTCGGAGTGTGAGGCAGGGTGAGCATCCTGCTTGGTGAGCTCTCTGCAGTCATCTGGCAAGGTTGGCCACACACCAGAAAGGCAACGGCAACTATTCTTGGCATCAGGACCCATCACAAAACACAGAGCCCTGAGTGTTCTTCATTTTTTAAATAATATTTTCCAGATCAATATGCTATTGAACTTTTTTGCTAAGAAGAAAAGATTGAAAATGATTTATAATCATTTAATTTCACTGTCAGTCTCACAAACAACTGATTCCTTATGGTAAAAGTGTTGGAAACATTATATTCAAATAGTAGTGTTAAAGATTTTGCAGCAAGATTGTGGGTAAAAAAGGCTGAAAGTGTTTTGAGAGGAAAATGAACTGCAGAGTAACAAAGAAAAATGGTGAGCGTCAGAATTCCTTAGCTCTTAATTATTTTCATGGAAAAGTACCTAGTTCTCAAATGCTGGTAACTGGAACATCCTATTGGTTAAAAATAAACAGCATAAAGTTTCAGGAAACCAACTAAACAGCAAAAAAAAAAAAAAAAAAAAAAAAAAAAAAGGCAACCAGAACAGCCCAAAACAGAATAACAAAGTCAGAATAATGAAGCTACGCCAAAAGTGTCAGGTCATTACACGGGTTGTCTGCCCTCAGGCCAGGGTTCAAACCCAGTGGTGACAAACTCAGTGGCCACGTGGGCTGAAGGGCATCCAGAAAGTCCTGCTGGGTCACCAGAGGGCTGCCCTTCAGCACTTGGTTCTGAGGTGTCTTTGCTGTTTAAAATGTCTTGTTTTCTTTGAACTTTGAAGTTTCCCCTTCCTAATTATTTCAGTCTTCATTTAAACAGATGTAATTCTAACCTAATGTCCTCTTTTTACCCCATCTCTCCCTGGTAGCTGGAACAGTGAACCATGGAGCTGTATTTCGGTGAATATCAACATGTGCAGCAGGAATATGGGGTCCATCTGAGACTCGCAAGTGATGATACCCAAAAATCAAGGAGTTCCCAGAACTCCAAGGCAGGCTCCTACGGTGTCAGTATTCGGGTCCAGGGAATTGATGGTCACCCCTATATTGTCCTGAATAACACAGAACGGTGCCTAGCAGGCACATCGTTTTCTGAAAATGGGCCACCCTTTCCACCTCCAGTGATAAATAACCTGCCTCTACATTCCAGCAATGGTTCTGTGCCAAAGGAGAACAGTGAAGAACTTCAGCTTCCAGAAAACCCATACGCCCAGCCTAGCCCAATAAGAAACCTGAAACAGCCCCTGCTCCATGAGGGCAAGAATGGAGTTCTAGATCGCAAAGACGGGTCTGTGAAGCCATCTCACCTGCTGAACTTTCAGAGGCATCCAGAGCTTTTGCAACCCTATGACCCTGAAAAGAATGAGTTGAATTTACAAAATCACCAGCCTTCTGAGAGTAATTGGCTAAAAACGTTGACAGAAGAAGGCATCAACAATAAGAAGCCTTGGACTTGCTTTCCCAAACCTAGCAATTCCCAGCCTACCAGTCCCTCCTTGGAAGACCCGGCCAAATCTGGTGTGACAGCTATTCGTTTATGCAGCTCCGTGGTCATAGAGGACCCCAAAAAGCAGACCTCAGTGTGTGTAAACGTTCAGAGCTGCACCAAGGAGAGGGTGGGAGAGGAGGCCCTTTTCACTAGCGGGAGGCCCCTGACTGCCCACAGCCCACATGCCCACCCTGAAACCAAGAAAACCAGGCCAGATGTTCTTCCCTTCCGGCGACAGGATTCAGCGGGACCCGTCCTGGATGGAGCTCGGTCCCGGAGGTCCTCCTCGTCATCCACAACTCCCACGTCAGCCAACTCTTTGTACAGGTTTTTACTGGATGATCAGGAATGTGCCATCCATGCCGACAACGTCAATCGTCATGAAAACAGAAGGTATATTCCCTTCCTGCCAGGAACTGGACGGGATATTGATACAGGATCAATTCCTGGTGTGGATCAGTTAATTGAAAAATTTGATCAAAAACCTGGGCTTCAGAGAAGAGGAAGGTCTGGGAAGCGAAACAGAATTAATACAGATGACAGGAAAAGATCCAGAAGCGTGGATAGCGCCTTTCCTTTTGGCCTCCAAGGGAACTCGGAGTACCTGATTGAATTCAGTAGGAACTTGGGCAAGTCAAGCGAACACCTCCTCCGGCCTTCCCAGGTGTGCCCGCAGCGGCCACTGTCTCAGGAGCGCCGTGGGAAACAGAGCGTGGGCCGCACCTTTGCAAAGCTGCAGGGAGCAGCGCACGGGGCTTCATGTGCCCACTCCAGGCCTCCCCAGCCGAACATAGATGGGAAAGTTCTGGAAACCGAAGGTAGTCAGGAAAGTACAGTGATCCGTGCGCCCTCCCTTGGTGCACAGAGTAAAAAGGAGGAGGAGGTGAAAACAGCCACCGCTACGCTGATGTTACAGAACCGGGCAACAGCAACTTCGCCTGATTCTGGTGCCAAGAAAATTTCCGTGAAGACATTTCCTTCGGCCTCAAATACTCAGGTAACACTAGTGCGATTCCTGTTTGGTTTTTTTTCTCTTCCTTCTAAATAATGTAATGATGTACTTATGCTGCAGGAGGCCATAGGAATTACACATCCTCAATCTTGTATCAGGAATCACACAGCTGATCTGTTTCAGGATCCAGTTGTGTCCTACTGACGATGTCCTACTGCCAATTGTATAGTTTTCTGGGTTCTTTGAAGTTCAGCTGGATTCCCATTGTGATCTCTCTGTAAAGTAACTTGGCAGACGCTACAGAGAGGCTCAATTGTTCTGTTTGTGTATGCATGAAATCTGAAAGTATGCAGAATTTGTTTCTACACAGAGGCTGAATAGTTAGGTTTGTGTAGGTATATTAATTTTCCTCATAAAATTGAGTGACTGGGTTAATTTCTAGCCTGAAAAATTAGGTTAATTTTCATTTAGGTTAATTGTCAAGTGAGAATCTAAGTGGCACATTTAGTGTTTTGATAGTAACAATAAAAAATAATGATATTGATAAAATGGTAAAAAAAAAAAAAAAGTAGCTAAGTGCTAGGCACTGTTTGTTATATATTACAGGATTGCACCAACCCTGTGCAGGTAGTACCTATTAACCTCAATTTACAGGTGAGAAAATTGAGGCGAGGAGAAGTTAAGTAACTTCCCCAAGATTATGAAGCTGGTAAATGTTGTAACTGGCTCTAAGAAGGATGCTCACTGGAGGAATTGTTTGGTGTTTGGAAGCCTCTGGGAACTTCATCCTCATGGTCTAACAACAGGCCTTATGTTCCAGGCCACACCGGATCTCTTAAAGGGCCAGCAAGAGCTCACTCAGCAAACCAATGAGGAGACAGCTAAGCAGATTCTCTACAATTACCTCAAAGAAGGGTTAGTGATTTTCCCTCTGAAAGAGCAAAGTATTGTTGTTTCTGGTGGGACTCTTAATTTCCTTTTCCGAGGCTTTAATGGTTACCTTCCTTTCTTGCCCTGTGCCAGCCGTTGGAGGGTTAAAACTCAATGGCTGGGGTTTTCGTGACGGCATTTGTCTTGTGTGGTATGGGGTGGGGGCTTTGGGAGGGGTGTGTAGGAAAGGACACCATACTTTAAAAATTAAAATGAATACATTTTTAAAGTGACCCTTTACTATTTCAAAAGCAAATTCAAAGATAGGAGGAGTTTCTACTCTTCAGGTTTGAATGGAGTCCGCCATCACCTTGAGTTCTTCCGTGCAATGTGGTAGTCCTTTAGAAGTTACAAATAAAAACACCTCCCCTCCCCAGAGTTAACATTGGCCAAGAGCCCCTGCTTCCATTATTTTTAAAGCATGTGTGAGTCATTTAAAAGCAGTGCTTTCCATGCTTATCTTGGTGGTTGAGGTGGAATAATCAGGGTTTCAGCCCTTACTTAGATACTAACTGTGCTGGAACTTGAGCAAGGAATTTGAGGTTTCTGTTTCAGTTCTCTCAACAGATGTGATTAAGAGGAAGGACAAAAAAAAAAAAAAAAGCTTTACAGCCTACATGACTGAAAACCAGCCACTTGGCAAATCCTCATTGGTATCAAAATACTGTATATTTTTGTATTGTGCCTTACAATTATTTGTCAGTTTTAGAGCTAACAACATAGTAAGGCTCAAAATATAAAACAGGGGATCTTTTGAAAGGGGGAAAAAAAAAGTAACCTGAAAGATTAATCTAGCTAAGAACTGGTTATTAGTATCTCCCTGTGGAAGACTTTACCATGTTAAGATTAAGGTAGAAGAAATCTTGACTTTTAAAATTCATTATTTTTTTTTTATTTTTTGGGACAGAGTCTCACTCTGTCATCCAGGCTGGAATGCGGTGGCATGATCTTGGCTCACTGCAACCCCCACCTCCCAGGTTCAAGAGATTCTCCTGCCTCAGCCACCTGAGTAGCTGGGATTATAGGTGTGCGCCACCATGTCTGGCTAATTTTTGTATTTTTAGTAGAGACACAGTTTCATCATATTGGCAAGGATAATCTCAAACTCCTGACCTCAAGTGATCCACCAGCATCTGCCTCCCAAAGTGCTGAGATGACAGACGTGAGCCACCGCACCTGGCCAAAATTCATTAAATTCTTTTATGTATGTATTTTTTGGCACATGATTTATTGAGACATTGGTAAGACAGACTTTAGTGGGAGGTGCCTGTTGAAGGAAGTTTATTTTAAATCTTTTTCTTCTAATTGCTGACGGTGTGGTAGAAGTTAATAAAACTTAGTATCTCCGTGTTACCTGTGAAAGCCCAGACAAAGGGCTGCCATGCTGATAATCTTGGCTTAGGGGTTTTATTTTTTTAAACATAGGTTAAACAAATTAAGATCATTGTAGATCATTCTTAGTGTAAGATTCAGATGTACAGCATGTTTGTGTGTGTGAGAGAGATATACACATACGCACTTCAAAGAAAAGGAGAATTCTTTTTGGAATGGACATGAGCATTTGAATCAAACAACAAATTACTAAATGTTCACTGGGTGTCTTCTCCAAGCTTACTGAGGATGTGTTTATGTGCCTCTCACATATTTGCAAGTGGGAACCCTGTCCCAAATTGAGTGGTAACACATCATTTATTTGAAAAAAAAAAAAAAAAAAAAAGACACCATCCATCCTACTCTCACACTGATTTTGTCTGAGGCTTTAATTAATTCACAGCTCCTGCAAATTATCTCCTTAAAGGACCTGTTGGGTGTGTGTCATGACATATAAATTGTTCTGAGACCAGTGGTTGTGTCCCTCATTGTTTTCTCTGCTGTCCCTTTTTCAGAAGCACTGATAATGACGATGCTACTAAAAGGAAAGTCAACTTGGTCTTTGAGAAAATCCAGACCTTAAAGTCTCGAGCAGCTGGGAGCGCCCAAGGAAATAACCAAGTAAATGGAAGTTTTGTATTTTGTAGAGTGCATTTAGCATGGAATGTGGTAAACAACTTGCTGTTTCTTCAGTCTGTATGTTTGTTTATAGCAGTAAGTGGGAAGTTGCCTGAGTAGTGAGGAGTACTCTTCATGTTTTACATGTTGCAGCAACATTTTATTGAGACAGAGTCTCTGTCACCCTGGCTGGAGTGTAGTGGTATGATCTTGGCTCACTGCAACCTCTGCCTCCTGAGCTCAAGCCATCCTCCTACCTCAGCCTCCCAAGCAGCTGGAACTACAGGCATGTGCCACCACACCCGGCTAATTTTTGTGTTTTTAGTAGGGTGAGGGTTTCACCATGTTGCTCAGGCTGGTCTCGAACGTCTGGGCTCAAGCAATCCACTCACGTTGGCCTCCCAAAGTGCTAGGATTACAGGCGTAAGCCACCATGCTTGGCCTTTCCCAGCCTTTTTTCCAGAAAAGTTTAAAGATATTTTATTTAAAAATACATAGACTATAACAGGATGATACAAACAGATGGCGAGATTTAGAAGAGGAAAATAAGAATAGGAAGACTAGCATTGTCATAGGCAAACATGGAAGGTAAGTGTGAACAGGCTTGGACCCAAGCTCTGGAGCTTCAGGTGTGAAAGAGAATGGGACTAGAGACTGGTGACACTGATCAGCTGTGGTGCAGGGGACAGGAAAGAGCCCAGTGGTGCCAAGTTAGTTTTTAAATAACTGCCTGTCTGATTGATTGTGCTGAATTTGAGTGGGGACATAGAGATTTTTTTGGTTAAGGAAGGAGCCCTCTCACATTTGATAAACAACTACTCTATGTCAGACACACCTGGTGCCCTGGAAGGAAGCCACTCGTAAGAGAGTACGGCTAAACACTCGTTCCTCAATCTTCCACCGCCTTGTGTGGAACTCATTTCTTGCTTGTCCATCTTCCTTTCCCCTCCCAGGGGAGTTCTGCATGGGAAGGAAAGAGGAAGACACCTGGAGGCAGGTAACAGGAAACTTGTCTGTAGCTTCTTTCTAACTTGGGAAGCGTACATACAGGGGATAATTTTAGGCGTCAACCTACCATCTTTACTACTTGTTATTCCCCCAGCACTCAGCTAACCCATGACTGCTGCTGTGGCCTCAAATAGAACAATGCCGTACACACACATACGCAATTCCCACTGGGGAATCTTTACACCATAGTCCTTGCGTATTACACCATAGTCCTTGCATATACATAGCCTTGAGGAGCTCTACATAGTTCTTAAAGTCAGTCCAGTATTTGTTTGCTAAAACTCTGAAGTCCAAATTATCAACACGATTCTTGTTTTTTTGTATACCTGCATACAGGCTATGCAGGGAGTGCGGGTTGGAATCTCACCGGCTGTTACAGAGCAATATAAAGGGTCTTGAACACAGGGGCTTTGGGTATAACTTAGCTAACAGATGAGTCTTCAACAAATATCCTTTTTATATTGTTTTATTGGGGTATAACTTATATAAAGTAAATTACACAAATTGTATCTGTACAGTTCATTGAATTTTTAACATAGTTTTGCATCCATGCAAATCTCAACCAGATCAAGATGCAGAACACTCCCATCACCCAGGTTTCCTGGGTTTCTTCCCCCATCAGTTACACCCCATTCTTCTGGAGGTAATCATATCCTGACTTCTATCACCTAGAGTCGTTTTGCCTTTCTTGACTTTTATATAAATTTTCACAATATGTATTCTTGTGTGTGTAGCTGCATTTCCTCAACATTATATCATCAAGATTCATTAGTGTTGCATGTACTCGTAGTTTTTTTTGGTATCGAAATGTAATTTTCCATTGTATCTGTATAACATAGTGTGTATTCTTGGTGTACATTTCTGGTTTGGGGCTATTAGGAATAAAGCTACTGTGAACATTATTGTACTTGTTTGGGGAGGGGAGTAAACACATTCACTCATTTCTCTTGAGAATATACCTAGAAGTAAAATTGCTGAGTTGTGAGTTAGGCATGTGTTTAACTCGTAAATTATACCTGTTTGTTCTTAGAGTGAGCGCAGTCTTTGGCCTTGATGTTGAGATTGTCCTTGTGGGTCACAGACTAGGGGTGAACAGCCTGAACTGGGTAAGTCAGGGTAGCCCTTCTAGGGACAGTGACACTAATGGTGCCCCAAGAGATCATAGAATTATTTGTGAGAAGAAGGGAAGCTGGGGTGTTCTAAGTTAAGTGACTAGCACAGACAAATATAAAGAGGCATGGGTTGCCATGTTAGAGGGAATTTAGTGTAGTGGGAACACAGAGCCAGGATGGGCTGAGGAAGAGCCTGGTAGCAAGGACATTGGAAGTTGGAAGTTATGTAAGAAGTTTCCATTTCGGGCTGGGAAGGGGATGGGTTACCATTGTTGGATTTTAAACAGATGTGAATACCATTGTGTTTGTGAAAGTTTATTCCTTTTGTGGCTTTTGGAAAGAGGTAAGATTAGAGGAAGAGAGACCAATGAAAAGCTAATGCCTGTCTAGGTGTGGTCCCTCACACCTGTAACCCCGGCACTTTGGGAGGCTGTGGAGGGAGGGTTTCTTGAGGCCAAGAGTTTGAGACCAGCCTGGGCAATGTAGTGAGACCCTGTCTCTAGAAAAATTAAAAAATTAGCCAGGCGAGGTGGCACATGCCTGTAGCCCCAGCTACTCAGGAAGCTGAGGCAGAAGTCACTTGAGACCAGGAGGTGGAGGCTGCAGTGAGCTATGATTGTGCCACTGTACTCCAGCCTGGGTGACAGAATGAGTCATTGTCTCTTAAAAACAACAACAAAAGAAGCTGCCAAATCAAGAGATGATGAGAAAATGAACCAAGACTTTTAGACTTCAGGTTCCTATTACAGCTCCATGACTGTTTAATTGCCACGTTTTCCTACTCCTCTTCCCTCCCTCTTAGGTTTGGAATCTGATTACTTGCTGGCAAAGGTTTTAGAGTTTTATCTTTGCGGTGTCACTTAAGTGATTAGGAGAGAATGTAAGAACCCTCTCCCTTAGGGACGGAGACCATACTGGAAAACAGCAAAGCAGGTAGAGATTTTGTATGGGAAAGAACAATGTATAATTTCCCTCACTGGGTTGGATTTCTGTTTCTAAAATGGATTGTTATTTTGCCTAAGAAAATTGGAAGTTGTGTGTTTGTGTTTCTAATCATCTTCACAGGAGTAGGTAGGGAAGTACCTCATTCCAAGTTTATCACACACAACTTGCACCTGGATTCAGGGATGTGTGAGCCAAGATGCCGCCGTTTCTAGCTTTGATTCCTACTTTTATTTCTTCCCCTCAGCTATTTGTAGTTTTCTAACCACTTTACTGTAGGATTTTAGCCAAATCCTTTTGAGAGAATCATCATGTTATTTTCATGGAAGAAGAAGAAGAAAAAAAGATCCATTAATATTCATACTCAGATCAGAGAGATAATATTTTGTAATAGACTCTCTTCAATCAGATCCCTCTTCATTATGGAAATGTAACATCTAAAAGGAGAAAGCCAATTTAGCTAACATACACTTATTTACTACTTGCATACAGGCTATGCAGAGAGGGATGGAATCTCACTGGCGGTGACTCAGCAATAATCTCTAGTGTAATGTAGATTACACTGTAACAAATATATGTATAAAGGGTCTTGGGAACACAGAGGCAGGGGCTTTGGGTATAACTTAGCAAACAGATAAGTCTTCAACAAATATCTGTTTTTATATTGTTTTATTGGGGTATAACTTATATAAAGTAAATTACACAAATTCCATCTATACAGTTCATTGAATTTTTAACATAGGTTTGCTTCCATGCAAATACCATCTAGATCAAGATATAGAACACTCCCATCACCCAGGTTTCCTGGGTTTCCTGTGTTCCTTCCCCATAAATTGTCCCCCTTCCTTCTGGGGGTGATCATATCGTGACTTCTATCACCTAGAGTAGTTTTGCCTTTCTTGAATTTTACATACATAAAATTTTACAATATGTATTATAATAAGTATTCTCGTGTGTCCGGCTTCATTTCCTCAACATTATATCAGCAGGATTCATTAATGTTGCATATACTGGTAGCTATTTTGTATTGAAATGTAGTTTTCTGTTGTAATCAGTCAACATAGTGTATACTCTTAGTGGTCATTTCTGGTATTTAGCTGCTAGGTGTAATGCCAAACTGAACATTACTTTTTTTTTTTTTTTTTTTGTAAACACACTCACTCATTTCTCTTGAGAATATATCTGAGAGTATAATTTGTGGGTTGTAAATTAGGTGTACTTTTAACTGTTAAATGTTCCCAAATGATTTTACACAGTGATTGAAACAATTTACACTCCTGGTAGTGCAGCATGCCAGTTCCAGTGGCTATATATCCTCTGTAATACTTAGACTCTTTTCCATTACTTTGGTCTACTTGTCTCTCCTTACACTACTATCGTACGGTTTAAATACTGCCACTTTAGTAAGCCTTCAGATCTGGTAGCTTTATTCTTCTCCGAGATTATCTTAGCTATTCTAGGTCTTTTGCCTTTCCATATAAACTTTTATCAGCTTGTCAGCTTCCACCAAGAAAAGCCTCTAGGAATTTTGATTGGGATTATACCAAATGCATAGATAAATTTGGTGGAACTGACGTCTTAATATTATTGGTGTTCTTATTTGTGAACATGAACTTTGTCCCCACTTATTTATGTCTTAGCATCTCTCAGCAGCGTTCCGTCATTTTTGTTAGAGAGGTCTCGCACATCTTTCATTTAGATGTAGTCCCTTTCCAGTGCTGTTCATTCCTTTCTGTACTTCTGTGTTTCCATCTCGGACTGGTTTCCTTCAGCCTGGAGAACTATTTTTTGAATATCCTCTAGTACTTTTCGTGGGCATTGTTTGAGAATAGCTGTCATTCACTCTCAGTTTTCAGGAACTCTAGTGTGGCAAGTATTGTTTTGCTTCATGAATTTAAAGACGTTATTCGTCTTTTGACCTCAGTTGGCTCCATTGGAAAGCCAGCCATCATTCTTAGTGTTATTCTCTTGAAAGTGATGTGTCTTTTCCCTCTGGGTGCTTTTAATAATTTATCTTTATTGTCAATTGTTAGATTTTGACTATGACGTGCCTAAGAGTGGTTTTTCTTTTATTTATTTTTCTTGGGGTTCAATGAGCTCTCGACTTGATAGGTTCATCAGATTTGAAAAATTCTTGGCTATTATTTATTTGAATATTGCTTCTTTCACATTCGGTCTCTCCCAGCTCTTCTCAGACTCCAATTACATGTATCTTAGAAATTTTGATGGTGTTCCTCATATCTCTTGTGCTCTATTCTCTCTCTTTTCGTGTGTGTGTGTGTGTGTGTGTGTGTGTGTGTGTGTGTGTATGTTGTATGTTTGGGGCATCAGATATTCTGGATATTTTCTATTGACCTTTCAAATTCATTAGTCTTGTTTTCTGGCTACGTCAATCTTACTTTAAGACTTTCTCTTTTAAGATGTCTTTAAAAGAATGTTTTTCTTCATCCTTCATTTAAAGGATGGTTCTTTTAAGAACTTTTCTTTGGCCAGGTGCAGTGGTTCATGCCTGTAATCCTGGGAGTTTGGGAGGCCGAGGTGGGAGGATTGTTTGAGGCCAGGAGTTTGAGACCAGCCTGAGCAACATAGTGAGATCCCATCTCTACAAAAACCATATTTAAAAATTGCCAGGCATGGTGGCTCATGCTTGTAGTCATAACTGCTCAGGAGGCTGAGGTAGGAGGATCACTTGAGCTTAGAAGTTTGAGATTACAGTGAGCTGTGATCCAGTGAGTTCTTAACTTTCAGATATTGTGTACTGCTGTTTTAGAGTGTCTACTTGGTTATATTTTTATAGAATCTATCTCTGGAACTTGATTAAAAAAAAAGGGCCAGGCATGGTGGTTCATGCCTGTAATCCCAGAACTTTGGGAGGCCAAGGTGGGTGGATCACCTGAGATCGGGAGTTCCAGATCATCCTGGTCAACATGGTGAAACCCTGTCTCTACTAAAAATACAAAATTAACCAGGTGTGATGGTGCGCACCTGTAACCCCAGCTATTTGGGAGGCTGAGGCAGGAGAATTGTTTGAACCCAGAAGATAGAGGTTGCAGTGAGCCAAGATCTGGCCAATGCACTCCAGCCTGGATGACAGAGCAAGACTCTGTCTCAAAAGAAAAAAAAAACAAAAACCCTTTGTCCATAATTGTTTCTATTTTAAAAATATTAGTTATAGTTAATTTGTAGTCCTTATCTGTTAACTTTAACATCTGGGTCATCTCTATGTCTGTTGTTTATTTTATTTAGTTACTGGTTAGTTCTTCCTACTTCTTTGCATGTCTAAGGATTTTTTTTTTTAATTGTATGCTAGACCGAGTGGGTGATGAGTTATAGATGTTCTGGAATGTGTTATCTCCCCCTGAAGAATGTTAAGTTTTGTTTTGACAGACAGTTAAATTACTTACAGATTACCTTGATTCTATATGGTTGGTTGTTCTAGGCATTATTAGGGAGTGTCTATTTAAGTTTTTGCCCTTACTCTTAAGACATGACCCATGTTCCTTTCTTGGATTTCAAATGAATGCCAGAATGTCCACCAAGGTTTCTCTATTTTGGTTGAGTTGGAACCCTAGTGTCTCCCTAGCATTGGGCAACCTGTGAAGTTTCTGTTGGGTTCTTTGCCTCCTAATAGGTCTTCTCTGCAGTCCTCTTGAACTCTTGCTCTGCTCATATACAGCTTAGGATATCATCCAAGAATCCAGGGAGTATTTATTGTAGGTTCTTGGAACTTCTTCTGTGGACCTCTCTCCTCTCTCATACCCTGACCTTGAAATCCCTGTTGCTTACTATCTCTAAACTCTAATCTCTATTTCTTTCATCAGTGAGTTGCCACTCTGGACACTTTTCTCACTTAAATTAACAAACCTTATTTTTCAGAATAGTTTTAGGTTCTCAGTGAAATTGAGTGGAAAGTGCAGACAGTTCCCGTTTACTGTCCTGTCCCCACATACGCCCTCCACCACTGTTAGCATCCTATAGCATGGAGCGCACCTCTCACAATCAGGGGACCTACACTGGCACATCATTATCACTCAAAGACGTCCATAGTTTACGTTAGTGTTCACTCTTGGTGTTGCACATTCTACAGGCTTCTGACAAATGAACAATGACATGTATCTATCATTTAGTATCATAAAGAATAGTTTCACTGCCCTAAAAATCCTGTGTGTTCTGCCTGTTTGTTCCTTTCTCTCCCCTAACCTCTGGCAACCCGTAATCTTTTTATGGTTTCCAAGGTTTTATTTTTTCTGGAGTGTTCTGTAGTTGGAATCACACAGTATATCACCTTTTCAGTTTGGCTCATTTCCCTTAGTAGTGTGCATTTTTTCCCATGCGTTTTGATGGATTGGTAGTTCATTTCATTTTAGTATTGAGTATTAATATTCCATTGTCTGATATACCACAATTTATACATTCACCTTTTAAGGGCATCTTGATTGCTTCCAAGTTTTGTTAGTTATGAATAAGGCTGCTTTAAACGTTCACGTACAGGTTTTTGTGTGGACATGAGACTTCAACTAATTTGGGTAAACACCCAGAGGGCAGCTTCTGGGTTGTATGGTAAGAGCATGTTTAGTTTTGTAGGAAACAACCATACCATTTTCTAAATTATCTGTATCATGTTGCATTCCCACAAGCAAAGAATGAGTTTCTGTTACTCCACATCCTTGCCACCATTTGGTGTTGCCAGTGTTTTGAATTTTGGCCATCCTAATTCGTATATATTGGTATCTCGTTGGTTTGTCTGTTTGTTTTTTGAGATGGAGTCTTGCCCTGTCACCCAGTCTGGAGTGCAGTAGCATGATCTTGGCTCACTGCAACCTCCACTTCGTGGGTTCAAGCGATTCTTCTGCCTCAGCCTCCTGAGTAGCTGGGACTACAGACGTGTGCCACTACGCCCGGCTAATTTTTGTATTTTTAGCAGAGATGGGGTTTCACCACGTTGGCCAGGCTGGTCTCAGACTCCTGACCTCAGGTGATCGTTCTGCCTCGGCCTCCCAAAGTACTGGGATTACTGCATGAGCCGCCCCACCCAGCCTCATTGTTGTTTTAATTTGCAATTTCCTAATGACATTGTCTGTGCTTATAAAATTTTATTGTGCTGTGGTTTGGAAATGGAGTCATGGAGAACCCAGGGTGAATGTGGGGCTACCTCCTGTCTTTTCCTTTGTAAGGATCATAACTCTGTGTTGCTTGCTTTTCAGTGCCTGTCAACAATTGTTTTATATATTTTTGTCTAGCTTTCATAGTTTTTGCTGGGAGGGTAAATCTGATATTTGCTACTCTATCATGGCAAAACCAGAATTCTAACAATCATTTACTGAGATTTGATTAAATTTATGAGATACATTGGGTTCTGTAGATACAGAGGTGCATAAAACCTGGTCCCTGCCCCATAAAAGTTCATAATCTCCTGATGTAGTAATTCTCAAACCACTCTTAAGAAACACTAAAGCTAAACTGTATTCTGCCATTAAAATAGAAAAAATGACTGTCTTTACTTACAAAAAGATTTTGTTGCTGATTTTTTGCTAACCATTGATTTCCATGCTCTGGAATATAGAATTTATTATGGAGAGGCTTTTTAAGTTTTATTATCCTAAATTTAATGCATTGCTATTTTATAATATTCTACAGAATACATTACGGACTTCTAACAAATATGCCATGTATGCAAGTTTTAGTCATATTGGACTAGTGTTGATATACCTGATGAAACAATACCTGTGATTGGTAAATGCTGTAGAATAAAGTTCACTGGAGTCCCAAGGCAGGCAGTAACATTAACTCTGCCCACCAAGTCAGGGAAGGTTCCCTGAAGGGGTTGATGTTTGAATTGGGTCTTAAAATGTTTAGTGTTATGCCTCATCTGTTACTGCACTGATTATATTTGGAGGGGGAAGATAATTAAAATAAAGCACCCTGAACATTTAAATTAGTATATCTTTGCAATTAATTATAGGCTTGTAATTCCACATCTGAAGTCAAAGATCTATTGGAACAGAAAAGCAAGTTGACCATAGAAGTGGCTGAACTTCAGAGACAGCTTCAACTGGAAGTCAAGGTATCTGGTTTTTCCTTTATGTTATTTTTTCCATTTCTGTCTTGGTTGATAAAGAATATTTTACATGCATTGGGATAACCAGAGTGAAAGCCAATTTTTTTTCCCCCAAAAGAAACATTCCTCTAATCACTGAATAAATTCCTGTGTATTTGGCTGCTGCTGTCCAAAGAATTTTTTTTTTTAATGTAACCAAAGCCTATAGAGACTGTTTGCTTAGACAGAGTAAAAGAAACCCTGTTGGATTTAGGCAGGCCAATGGGAAACTAAATGTATATAAAACATCTGAACTAAATCATAGAAATAGCAGAATGAGGTTTGGCTGTGTTTGTGTTTTCTTTTACAAGTATTACAGTTCATTAAATATAAATGTTTGATGTTCTTTCTAGTTAAGAACTCCTGTGCCTTAATTATATAGTTTGATTAAGTTGTTTAATAATGTAAGTGCAAAGATATGGAGTCTGCTTGTTGAGAAGTAGGCTTCTGTGGGGTTACGTTAATGTACAGTGGAGGCTCTTTAAAATCACACTGATTCCTGTTAGAATCAACAGAACATTAAAGAAGAGAGAGAGAGGATGAGAGCAAACCTAGAAGAGCTCCGAAGCCAACACAACGAAAAGGTGGAGGAGAACTCCACATTGCAGCAACGACTGGAAGAAAGTGAAGGGGAGCTCCGGAAGAATCTGGAGGAGTAAGTTCTGGGCTGAGAGCCTGTTGCCCTTCCCAGGTTCTCTATGACATGTAGCTAGAAACTTTCTGTCCATTTAATACTACCCAGCCTTCCAAATATTTATAAAGGCAGCTGGCTTTTCCTTTTCTTCCTCTTATCTTTGTAAAATTATGAAGCTGGCGACACATGTAGACTGATAAACAAAAAGGTTAGTAATTCTTAACATTCTTTGTGCACCTTGAAGTATACGTTACAAAGTTTCAGTCCTTAAAGTGGACCTCCTAGCAGGTAAGTGGGAAGCAGGGAGCACTGAGCGCTGATACTGAAAGACAGAGTTCAAGGAGCCTGGGCCCAGCTTCTAAAAAGCATGTGTTACGTGGCCCCCGTGAGCTCTCAGCCTGTGCATTTTATCCTCGATGGTGCTGGTGTTTGTGATGGGTGCTTATACCTCCTCTGAGTCTACAGAGAAGGAAAGTTAGGTCCAAGATGCCCCTGCCATTGTGTTGTATTAAAAGCTGTGGCAAAGGAATCGAAAACCAAGGTCTAAGAATAAACAGTGCTATGACGTTCTGTGGACACGACAGAAGCCTTAAGTGGAAAGTCAAGTGGGAATGAAATCTAGGGGGAAGTTCAAGAAAAAGAGGACATTATATAATAAAAGCATTTGATTGTCCTTGCAGTTTTGATGGTGGTGTTTTGCGTTTAAAACAATCATAGATGCTAATTGCAGAAAAGAGTTTAGTAAGAAAAAAATCAGAAAATATAGGGTATAGTAAAAGTTTTACAAAATAAAAAGGTATAGTAGTTGTGAGTTTGGTTCAGGACAGAGTTTTGTAAACTTTTTTTTCATCAGGTGGTGATTATTTTAGGGTTTGTGGGTCATATAGTCTGTTGCACATACTCAGCTCTGCCATTGTGTCGTGAAATGAAATGGCTGCTCATAAATGAATGAGCATGACCATGTTCCAGTAAAACTTTACACTAACAGGCAGTGGGCTGAACTGGCCCACAGACCATAATTTGCCAACTCTCCTGGTCTAGAACACTGGGATAGTAGACAGTGGAAGGATGGGGTGGCTTTAGTGGGAAATTTTTCTGTTTCATTTCTTTATCTTCTGCATCCAAATTCTAGTACCCTACCATCTCCTTTTGGGGAGAAAATGTCTCCGTATAACCATACCCACTTTGTTGGTTTGAGTTCTCATTTATCCTCTTGTAAGCAATTAGACCATAGCCTAAGTTCTTCTCAGCCACCTTTTCAGGTTGGTGATCCCTTGCTCAGTGCAGAACAGAGAATGGGGAGGCTCCTTGGGGCTTTAGAGACTTGTGTAACCCTCTGAAGATCAGAAATCAGACTGGATGGAAATAAGCAGAGCCCAGAAGAGCCTGTCTAATGGGCTTCCTTCCCTGCCAGGCTATTCCAGGTGAAGATGGAACGGGAGCAGCATCAGACTGAGATCAGGGATCTCCAGGACCAGCTCTCAGAAATGCACGATGAACTGGACAGTGCAAAGCGATCGGAGGACAGGGAGAAGGGAGCTCTGATTGAGGTAAGCAGGGCTGTGGGGTCAGGTGATAAGACAGGCCCCACCTGCCTGGAAAGATGGAGTGGCTAGGGTTTGTGGACTGCAAGCCACTTTCTGATGTGCACACCTGCTCCACCTGTGCTCTTATGATCTGTGAGTCAGTGGATGCGCTTGATTCTCTCCTCTCAGCTTGGCATTTGCTAATTATTATGGGTTTTTATTATGTATTCTCTCTTCTCTAGATTATTATCTTGTTGAGGTATTAGATTCACATGTATGAAATTATTAGCAAGAATGTTGGTTTTCAATATGTACATTTTTGGGAGAGGGAATAAGTATAATTGAGGGTCAGAAAAAGACAGGACTTTTATCTCTGCACCCATTTAGGTGTTTGATGTTTGCTGTAACATTATCATCACCTGTATTCTAGCATAGTTTTGGAACCTACTTCTTTATAAGTGTGGTTTGTAGGAATAGCCCAACAAAGAGATGATAAACAATTTAGAACAAAGCCAAAAAAATTAAAAGTCAAAACATAAAGGTACTGTGTTAATATTTAATTTTCTACTTCCTCCCTCTTTGGGCTTAGGTGTTTTCTCTCTCCCTTACTTGGGGCTAGAAGCTTCTGGCTCTGAAGTCCCTGGAACACTCTTTAAGTCTCAGTTGTCTACTGTTCTGTCACTCCTTTCCTCCTCCAGTTTTGAAATAATTCCTCAGGAGAGATTTTAGGTCCTACTTTTTAGAACTTAGCCTTTCTTCACCCGATGACCTGGCAGGAGCTCAGAGATGAGTGACTCTGGTCACCCAGCCCAGGAGTTCTCATGAATCCATTTTTCACATTGGCAGAGGAGGGTGATTGCCTCTTCTCCATATATGACCATCTCTCTTTCCCTATTCAGACCTTTTCTCCTGAGAAGCCCTCAGCATTGTTCCTTACCAACTGGGATTCCTCTTTTTATCAAATGATTCCTTAAAAACCACCACATTCTTGGTATAATACTGCTTCTCATGGTGCTGTTTTCTCTCAGGGCTCAGAGTTACAAAGACAAGAAGATATATGTATTTATCACTGAAATAATATTAAAACAACATAAAACGAAAATTGAAAAAAGGGGGAGGGGGGGACGTACACATACTTTCCTAATACCTGAGCAGCCATTTTTATTTCTATAATCTCTGTTTGCCTCCCTATCTATTGATAGCTTTCATCTACCCATGTATATATAATATAAGGACAATCATAATGTCCCTACAGTTTTGATACCTGCTTTTAAAAGTTAAGATATCAAAAATGTTCTTTCTTATTATACTTTATGCTCTTTGTATTTAATTTTTAAGAAGATAAACCACAATATATTTAACCATTCTCCTACATTTTTTTTCCCTTTTTTGTAATTTTGAAACAAAGATTGTGGGGAACATTTTTTACATTTATACTTTTACTACTTTAAAAATTGTTTCTAAGAATAAGTTTCCAGAAATGATGTCAATGAACAATTTATGGCTTTCAATAAAAGTGTAGCTTCATGAACAAATTTAAATAGAAGATAAAACATTGTCATATTCTTGATTCCTTGTGTGAACATTTTATTGGTTCTAAAAGGGAAAGATGTTATCTTAGCTCTTGGGAAGTCTCTGAAGTTGCTGATTTTCCGCAGTAACTGACAGCTGTCACTGTGAGTTGCCCCCTGATATCCCCTGTCCTTTTAGTTTCTCTATTTTAACTCACTTGACGTTGCACATATTTTGTATCTTTCTTCTGCTAGCCAGCTAATTCAAGAGCAATCACTTTTGCTTCTTTCCGCATTTCACATCTAGCACAGTGCCAAGCAACAGAGCAAATGAATAAATAATTTTTCGTATTTAAATTACTTTTAAAATGTCACCATTTTTTAAAAAAGGGAATAATTCTGAAATGAACTGCATACTTCTTTTCCTCTTTAAACATGCCATACTGCATATCTATTAACTGAACATCATTAGTTTATTGATTTATTTATACTGATGATGGGATAACGATATGAGACTGTTTTGGTGATGTGTTCAGGCAGAGGCTGATAATGCGAGATACAGGAGTGGGCAATAGCACATATTTTCTTAAACCTGTTCGTGATGTTGCTGGCTTACAGGTAGTTTGTCTCTTTCCCACAACAGGAACTGTATCATTTACTGCTGCCTTTCTGCAAGATGAGTTAGAGTGTAATTAGTCTCCCTAGGCCAAAGTGGGTTTCTCTTGCTCCAGAAAATCACCCTCTGTTTTTATCAGTTTCCTTTGACTTGTCAGCAACACTTAAACTATGATCTACGGTTTCTACGTCACTAGTAAAATAGACCCTGTCTCCTTGTCACTTTCAATTTATTCTTCATATCTTAATAAAAAGTGGCCTGGGGGAATTTGATAACAGAGTATAGTTGTGGCCAAGTTTCCCATGGCAGTTAGCTTGGAACAAACTCTTAACACAATGAGCATTAAACACTTATGCTTTTGAATGTTTGAAAAAGGTTGAAGGCCCAAGTTTTGCAAGTCCTGCATAATGGACCAGATTTTGCATGAAATATCTTTTAATATGTCACTTTTTGTTAAATAACATCAGACCCCTGTATGCAGTCAGTAAAGTAACATTAAGAAGGAATAGGCTGCTCTGTCTATGGAGCAGCCATTCTTTTGTTTCTTCTCTAATAAACTGGCTTTCACTTAAAAAAAAAAATAAATAAAACAGTTTAAAAAAAAAAAGAAGGGAGAAATAGTAGAAAACACTTTCTTAGAGTAAACCATAAAATTGACCAACAAAGGGTTGACTTTGTTATTCTTAGTTAAATAGATGATTCTGAAATTTTTTTTTTTTCAGCTCAAGTTACAAAAATGATTATAGAACAGGTTTCCACCACTTCTCTGTCAGGAATGCATTACCTTCCATTCCAAGGGTGACAGGTCAACGTGAGACAGCTCGCTAAGTGCCACGATGGTGGGGTTTTCTAATTATCAAATGTCTGCTTTGATGGGAGCCTGCGGTGCTGAGAGATGGGCCTCACTCCAGCAGAGTCTTGTGGTGTTTTATCCCTGGCATTTGCCAAGATACAGGTACTTCAGTCTCATTAAAATAGTCTGGTTATAAAATTGTAGTGGTTTGAGGAGAGATTGTGTTCAGAAATTATGTCTCTAAAACTTCTTTTGTAATGATATTATTGAACATTCTACAAATTTTTATAAAAAAGGCAGCCAAAAATACCATGATTCTCACCAGCCGTGTGATGCTTCCTTGGCCATCCTGGAACAAAAAAATGACAGAATTCTTTGTCAGCTACCGTTGCTATAAAACCTTTTATTTATGCTTTCAGTGAGCATGGGCCAGAGATAGGGACCCTGTGGAACTTCTGGGAAGCACTTATGCAAAAGAGGGTCTAGACTGGTGTCTTCCTCATTTTGATGTGGCACGCTCATGCACAGGTGGTGTGTGAAGTAGAGCTTTTTGTGAGCAAATACATTGCCGTTCTCGACATCCTGGTGCCTGTTTCTCAGTGCGCATGGTCGTGGGGTGGCCACTTGCTGCTGCTGCAGAACAGCTGGTCTCATAGTGTGTTCCTTTTTCTCTCAGATCTCCTTCTACCTGTCTCTTCAGGCTCTGGTTGCTTTTCTTTGCTTTAGTTTAAGAAGGTGGACCTCCTTAAAGGGCCTTCCAGCCAAACACAGTGCTCTGTTTTGTTGGCATCTGTACTAGGCTGTTTTCATGCTGCTGATAAAGACATACCTGAGACTGGGCAACTTACACAAGAAAGGGATTTAATGTACTCACAGTTCCATGTGGCCAGGGAGGCCTCATAATCGTGGCAGAGGGTGAAAGGCACCTCTCACATGGTGGCAAACAAGAGGCGTGAGAGCCAAGTGACAGGGGTTTCCGCTTATAAAATCATCAGATCTCCTGAGACTTACTCACTACCACAAGAACAGTATGGGGGAAGCCACCCCCATGGTTCCATTATCTCCCACTGGGCTCCTCCCTCAACATGAGGGAATTATGGGAGCTACATACAATTCAAGATGAGATTTGGGTGGGGACGCAGCCAAACCATAATAGCATCTAGTGGATGAACTCCAGTGTGACTGCTTGCTTCTCAGCCTTCTTGAGTATGTGGTTTTGTGGTCAGGTCTGTACTGACCATAGTGAAGGGAAAGGGCATTAGGACCCATCTGGGTCCCATTCTTGACTCTACTGCTTATAAGGCTGTGTGGTCTTAGGCATGTTAGAATCTCAGAGCTTCGTTCGTTTATGAAGAATAGTAATCTTCATCTCCTTGAGTATCCATCTCTCTGGATTGTTAGAAATGCTCAGCACAGTTCTTATGATGTATAAGGACCAGACACAGTCAACTTTTCTAGCTCTCGCCACTCCCAGACAGCCAGTTTTCTCTTGTTTTCTTTAACTGGATTCCATAGAGAGGCAAGTTGACCTCTAATGGATGTATACTTACATTTTGAAGTTTATGTATTTTTCTCTCCCTTCTTTGATTGAAATAATTAAGCCCCGAGGTGATGGAGTGAAGTTTATGAAACATCGTGTACCTTTTAGTCTCTACTCTGGAAAACTTCAAGTGCTACTAAGTGATATGGCGAGGTGTAATCTGATTGGATTTGTGCTGCACAGTCCACTTAAGCAACAGATAACAGCATGTCGTTGCAGAATGGACCATAAAAACCTCAGTCTTGACATGCATTGGCGGCAGCACACAAAAGGCAACACAAAACATAGAGATATGCTGGAAAACATAAGTGTGGGGAGAGGAACTGTCTTATCATCCAAACAATTGAGAAACGTGTGAGAGTAAAAGCAGGAAACAGGGGTCAGAATCACAGGGCCTGCACTAAAGATGCTGGCAGGAGGTTCCAGGAAGCCCTGGGGGGTAGCCGGAAGCAACAGTAATTCAGGAGAGACTCTGATCTTCCTTAAGAAGGGGCTGGGCAGCGGCAGCAGGGCGTCCTCTTTGATAAATACGAGGACAGGGTATAATTTCATAAGATCTCTGTGTTTGGTGCTTTGAAAGAGCCAGAGCCGGCCTCGTTACCTGCATGGGTCTCTTGACATTTCTTCTGAGCTTGTCAATGCCTGCTAGTTAGATTCTTGATGGGCAAAATCTTAGTCTGTGCAATGCAGCCCCACCCTGGGATTGTAGCGGTTCCCCTGGTTCAATGGAGGTGCATGTCCTAGAGAAAATGAAAGAGATCTCGTTGTCGGTTATACTTAAATCAATAAAATGTTTCTTCCCTCATCAGAGACACAATTCTGGAATGGAAAGTAGCTTATCATCTCTGAAGCCTTGGGTCCCCCGGTGGCAACCATGCCTCTGATTACCCAGGGGTTCCAAGAAAACAGGTCGTGTTCTTATGCAGAAGCCACAAGTGAAATAACTGATGAGTTCAGAATTCTGACATCTCCAGACACCTGCTGTACTGCACTTGTTTATTTATATCTGAACAGATAAGTGCTCCCAATATTAATCTATGCATCAAAAATATAATAAATCAGATCTGTATCCTTCTTTCAACAAGGATAAGTAGGCGAGTCAAATGCAGATGAGAAAAATGATTAAAATATATAGAATGTAAAATAAAAAGTGTTAAGTACTGTGAGAAGAACAGCTAGAGTGAGATGGGTATTCAAGAGGGATATTCAAGGAAGACCTCTTGGAGGAGGTCTTACCGTATCTGGGTCTTCAAAGATTTTCTGAAAGGCAGGGAGAGATGGGCCTGAGAAGGGAGAAGGGCACTCCGGACTGAAGATGCTGCGTGGATTGCCATAGAGGCTGTAGGTGAGAGCCTGGATGCGGGGAGCAGCTGAGTGGTTATCGTAAACCACCTGCACAGGAGGTGAGGAGGGCTTTACCCAGGGAGGTGACAGAAAGGATTGAAGATGTTGCAGAACTAACTTTTTGGTTATGAGAGACTAGGACGAGAGAAAGTCAAAGTCCTGCCAAGTTTCTGAGCTTGAGTGCTGAGGGGGCAGGTGGTGCTTTTCACAAGAGCAAAGAACAAAGGAAGAAGGAAGGAAGGAGCATGATGAATTCTCTTGAAATTGTAATCTTACTGAATCTGAGGTGCCACAGGACATCCAGATGGGTTCATCTAGCAGGTCTTTGAATGTGTTAGTGCAGGTTTGAACTCAGAGAAGGGTAAGAGGTAAAGGTTTAGGAGTCATTTACATAGAATTAATAGTTGGAAAAACAAAAATGAGCTTGCTAAAAGAGAATAAAGAATGCAAAGTTGCAATCTTGGAGATCATCATAGATTTTGGGAAGAGGGAGTGAAAAGCCAGAAAAGATTATCAAAGAAGAAACAGCCTGAGGGAAGAAAACAGGAGTCTGTGTTATCTTGGCACTACAAGAAAGAAGGGCATCTTAGAGAGACAGGAAGGGAGGATGAAAGAGGGGTAAAGAAAATTGACAACTGGGAAAAGGCCATCGGATATGAGTAAAGGTCACAATGACCTTGCAGGGGACTGTCTTGGTAGAGCAGGGACAAAAATCATATAGCAAGAGATTAAGGAGTGAATGGGCAGTTGTGAAGTAGAGGCAGTGAACAGAAATTATGCTTTCAGACATTTTGGTGGTGAAGTTTGGCAGGTAGCCAAGATTCAAGAGTATGGGTAGGAACAAAATGGCAGAAAGAAAAGACAACTGTATTAGTCCATTCTCACACTGATGTAAAGATACTACCTGAGACTGGGTAATTTATAAACAAAGGAGGTTTAATTGACTCACAGTTCCGCATGGCTGGGGAGGCCTCAGGAAACTTCATGGCAGAAGGGGAAGCAGGCACCTTCTTCACAAGGCAACAGGAGAGAGAGTGAGCAAAGTGGGGAAAGCCCCTTATAAAACCATCATATCTCATGAGAACTCACTATCACAAGAGCAACATGGGGAAAACTATCCACGTGATCCAATCATCTCCCACAGTGTCCCCCCCTTGACAAGTGGGAATTATGGGAATTATAACTCAAGATGAGATTTGGGTGAGGACATAGAGCCAAACCATGTCAATAACTGATGGAGTGAAGACTGGGAGCAGGCTGGCAGGGGACAGTGCGTTCTCTGTGGAGGGACTCTGGGTGGAAGAAGGCCTGGAGTGCAGAGAGGGGTTGAGGTGGAGAGGGAGCCAAGATGCCCACATCTCTCTGGCTGAGGGAAGAGCAAAGGTGTCTGTGAGGGCGAGTCCTGAGCTGGAAAACTGAGAAGGTCTGGGACAAAAATGCTGGAGGGAAAGGAATGCCGAGCCTTTGGCAGGACACACTGGGCTCAGGTAATGTGATTTATAGTGGAGCCTGTTGCCCCAGCTTTGTGACCTTCCTCATTAATACCTGGCAGTTAAGAAGGGGAAAATATGAATATTGTGCTCTGCTCAGATGGGCAAATGAGATAGAAGAAAAACAGGCAAAGTTGTCCTGAGTACGAGGAATGTGGATGAAGGGTTTGACCACACTCAGGGTCCCAGGGGATATGAAGCAAGGTAGGCAAGCTGGCGTGCCCCCGTGAAGCAACAGCACACACAGGGCAAGAGCAAGGGCAACAGATCACTGCACAGAAGTGAAATGAGATGGAAGATACAGACGTGTTCCCCAAAGCAGTGAAATTTACATTAGTTTCCCCTTTCTCCCTCAAATTCAATCAAATCTCCAAGAAGCAGAGGCAGAGGAATCCAAGGGAATGATGGCCTCTGAGAAATGCAGGGGGAGAGGAAGAAATGGTCTAAACAGGTGTGCGGGATGTGGAAGGAGAGAGTGGCAAGGCCAGGTGAGATGGCTGTGCACATGGGGACTGAACTGGAGGGGAGATACAGGGCCTCTCAACAAGATGTTTCATTGTCACCTTCTCCCTTCGTGTTTCCTCTCTCTAGGAGCTCTTACAGGCAAAACAGGATCTTCAAGATCTGCTGATTGCCAAAGAGGAGCAAGAAGACCTCTTGAGAAAGCGAGAGCGTGAACTCACCGCCCTGAAGGGAGCCCTGAAAGAAGAGGTTTCCAGCCATGATCAGGAGATGGACAAGCTGAAGGAGCAATATGATGCTGAGTTGCAGGCCCTGAGGGAGAGTGTGGAAGAAGCAACCAAGGTGAGGGATGGGGCAGGAGAATCTGGCTTGTGAACAGATGAAAGGGTAAGACCCTCTCTCCCACACCACTGCAAATCCCCTTCATTCCTTTTAATTAGAGAGTGAATCTCAATTCATCAGATCATGGACACAGAGCTTATTAACAAAGAATAAGCTCAATGGTCCTGCTATTGACCTTTTAAAGTCTATAAACTGAAACGTTGGTAGGGACATTGGTTAAATCCTGTTGCAGAGGGGGAGATGAAGAAGCTGCATATGAACACTTGAGGTTCTGCAGCCCCTTGCAGAGTGGAGGGATGTACTCTCCCAGGCGTTCCTAACGGTCAGAGGCCGAGGGCATTGTGTGACCAAGTTAATGGGCAGAAGTGCAGACGGGACCCAGATTCCTGGAATCCTTCATCCCCCACCCTAGTCTGTTCCTTTTGATTTTGTGTAGCCTTTTGTTGGACAATTCAGGTTCTTTTCTCAGCACAGTTACAAGAGGGTTAATTGGCTGAATTGCCGAAACCCTTCCAAGATAATTTTTCTCTTAATTGAATTCTTGGCTCCTACAAATAGATTCAAAATTATGCTGAAGTCTTTTGGGGCAGACGTCATACTGGCTGTTGAAGAAGAGAAAAACAGTATTTTGAAGGGGAAAATGGTTTGAAATGTCATGCCATCTTTAGGGAAAGAGGGGAATTACAGATTATAAAATTTTCAGAGACTCTGCAATATATAGGTTAAAAATGATGAAGAAAGAATTCTTGATATTGTTTATTCTGTGATGATTACAGTGACAGCTCAGAGTTAGTAGGCCCTCTCTCCCCTAAGCCCTATGGTGATTCACTGATTTTCAATTATGGCACAGTAATTGCAAATGACAAGAAATGAAAGATGGGTTTGTTTGTTATAACAATAAAAAGTCTGGGAAATAGACTGTTTGGGGTTATTACAACTTGGAGACCGTTTTTAAAAGCCTCTTGTTGATTTCCCTGTCTTATTTTTTTTTAGATTTGACTGAATTTGAGGGAGAAAAGCGAAACCGATTTAATTTTTATTGCTTTGAGGGGACATGCCTGTTATTTGCATCTCATTTCATTTCTGTGCACCAGCCTGGTATCCTTGTGATCTATCTTTATGTGCTATTGCTTCATCAGGTACATGCCAATAGGCTACTGAGTTAAAATTTTTCTCCTTTGGACCCATATCTTTATCACCCTTAAATCTTGCCTCAAAACTTGACTTAATGTGGTGTATTCTGGGTGGCTCCTTTAAGGGCAGTTGAGAATAGTGTTGGGGGATATGTTTGTAGTGATTTAAGTATAAGGAAAATCAAACTTGTGCCTCACATGGGGTGGGGGCTATTTATTGGAAGCTTCCAGGTTCTCTACTGTCAGAGATATGTAAGTGAGGAAAGGATACATGGTAGGTGAAAGGATATCTTTGTTGTATGGAATTGAGATCATCAGTAGAGACTTATGTTACTGCATTTTGTCCTGTTCAAATGTCTGCATTATATATTAACTCATAGTATTTTCATTATGCCATTTCAAGAGCGACAACTACATTGACCCATATCAGTCTGTAAAAACGAAACAGGCGAAGTAGTCAAGACGTGTATCACTGGCAGAGAATGGACAGTTTCCAGGCACCGGGAAGCTAACACAAAGGGGTTCGCCTTAGTACCCACTGGGGTGTGGGCCAGCAAGGGCTGTTTGTTCCAGGTTGTTTTCTATACTGCTGCCAGCAACTTTCCTTACAAAACCAAATCTGATCGTGTCAGCCTTTGCTTAAGTAACTTGCTTGACTCCCCATTGCCCCAGATTTAAGCTGAAAATTGTTAGCATGGTAGGGAAGAAGTCCCTTCTCTGCCTAACCCATCTCCAGAAAACTCTGTGTCTTTCAGACCTCTCACCTCTTCATACGTGTAGAGTGACTTGCTCCTGCTTTGCCATCTGAACAGGCTGTTGTCCTCCTGCAAGAATTCCCCCAAATGTCCTCTCTTTTATGAACATGCCCTAGATACCTATACTCCCTTTGGTGGAGTTAGTTGCACCTTCCTTCACCTTCCTTAGGGTTTCTGCGGAACCCTGGCCATTCTTCTACTGTAGTTTGTATCATACCCTATTATAATTTCTCATCTTGTCTGCTTCCTCCATTAGACTCTGCACTTCTTAGGCATAGGGGGCACTTTTGTCCTTTTTTTTTTTCCTGAGAGGGAGTGACAAACTCTAGTACCTCTGGGGCCAGACAGGGAGCATAAATGAGTAAAGCACTGAGTCTGTTATTGGGATGATAGGAGGGTATGGTGGGGACTGTGACAAGCTGGCTGGAGGGCATGTCCTTTGCTGGAGCGGTCAGTGGCTTCTCTGCTCCAGCTTAGAGTTGCCAGTGAGAGAATGCTGGGCCCATGTTGCTAGATCTTTCATTTTTTTCAAGAAGCCAGATATCTGGATGTTTCTGTGAGATCTCCCAACTTTTAAGCATATCTTCAAATTACAAAATAAATAAAGAAATAAATAAAATAACATAGACCAATACACCCCATATGCAAGTCAAGAGCCTGTGCTCTTAGCCTCTTGAGCTCAGCATGGTGCCTGGGACATAGTCACATCCGTGCGGTGTCTGGCAAGTGAAAGTTAGTTTAGGACAAATTTCCTTTCTGACTGGGTTTTCAGTCCCTGCCATGTAGTTCCTGTTGAATTTTTTCAGTGGTGATGTGGGAGGTCTTTTTGGGAACTCTAGTATTATTCTTTGAATTTCTGTGCCTTGCTTTTGAATTTCTCTGCGGTTTCTTTTCCTTTCCTTTCCTTTCCTTTCCTTTCCTTTCCTTTCCTTTCCTTTCCTTTCCTTTCCTTCTTTCTTTCTTTCTCTTTCCTTCTTTTTTTTTTTTGAGATGGAGTCTTGCTCTGTCACCCTGGTTGGAGTACAATGGCACAGTCTTGGCTCACTGCAGCCTACACCTCCCAGGTTCAAGCAGTTCTCCTGCCTCAGCCTCCCAAGTAGCTGGGATTACAGGCATGTGCCACCACGCCTGGCTAGTTTTTTTGTATTTTTAGTAGAGATGGGCTTTCGTCGTGTTGACCAGGCTGGTCTCGAACACCTGGCCTCAAGTGATCTGCCCACCTCGGCCTCCCAAAGTGCTGGGATTACAGATGTGAGCCACTGTGCGCGGCTTCCTTGCAGTTTCTTAAAGAGGATCCTGATTGTGTTTTTTCACCATATTAGCTTTTGCTTCTGAAGGTGGCTGCTTAACAAATGTGATAGAGTCATATTTTATGGGGGACAAATGTGTCAATTTAGTAGATGGATGCTGTTTTTGGTTATATTATTTATGTCTTGGTATTATAGAATAGAACATTAAGATTATTAAATATTTGGAGGAGAGTGAATTAAATATAATTTTTAAATCTGGTAAATAATGTTTCTTAAATATGTGCTCTTACACTTAGATTTTTCCTGCCCCAGGGGGAGAACCCACCCACCAACCACTATGGCTAAAAACTGACTTTTTTTTTTTTTTTTTTTTTTTTTAAGATGGAGTCTCACTCTGTTGCCCAGGCTGGAGTGAAGTAAAATGATCTCGTCTCATTGCAACCTCCACCTCCTGGGTTCAAGTGATTCTCCTGCCCCAGCTTCCTGAGTAGCTGGGATTACAGGCATGCGCCACCACACCTGACTAATTTTTGTATTTTTAGTAGAGACCGGGTTTCACCATGTTGGCCAAGCTGGTCTCAAACCCCTGACCTCAGGGGATCCGTCAGCTTCAACCTCCCCAAAAAAAAAGGACATTTCTTTAAGAAATTTTATTGCATTAAAAAGTTTATTACTTCAATAGGTCTTATGAAGCAGCCCAACCTTCTGTCATCAGTTTTTCTTATTCTTACCACTGCCCCAGTGTCAAAACCCCCTAAAGTGCTATTTTATCGTTGTAAAATAACCAGCACTTTATCCTAGCTTGAGCACTAAAGGTTTTACGTTACTAGAACATTTGGTGAAAAATGTCAAATTATATTTCGAATGTTGTACAGGTATTCCAAACAGATAACTCTGTAATAGTGTATTTTGTAAACCCATCAGCCATATCTTTTAAAGAACAGTTTGATTGCTCAGTGGATGGAATTCATGAATGCCTATGTTATGTGGGGTTTCCTCACCCAGCAGAATGAATTGCATCTCACTGGCAGAGCGGTGGAGGTTTGGGTTATAATGTGCACTATTTAAGTTCTCTTCTTATAGAGAAATGGATCTTCGTAGTCTGTTAGGAGAGTATATCTACCAAACATTCTTTTAAAGGACTAAGCCCTTAAGCAACTTATTTCATAACATGCTTTTTTCTCTGTTTCTGGTCATTTTACACTTTTTTTAGTTTTAAAAAGGAAATGTCTTCTTCTTCCTTGGGTTCGTGGCCATGGCTGGAACCCTTTAGAGGAAATGGGCGCTCAATAGGGATGTGAATGACTGCCATCTGGGAGTAAAATTAACCTTGTTCACAGCCGTTGGCTTATTTTTTCCAAACCTAACCCTTCCTATCTGCAACTCTTGTGCAAAATAGAAGTACAGACAGTATAGTTTCTTGAAGTTTCTCAGAAAGTAGGTTCAGCTCAAATTCCAGCTCTTCCAGGAACTTCCCTCGCTGCCTTTTGGACCTTACAGTTTCTAGAGACCTGGTATTGTTGGCAATTTTGCTCCGGGTTTTATCTTCCCTGCCGTACTAGGTACTGTCATCATCTTCTACTTGGTAACACCATTGTGCTTGGTACTTAATAGATGTTTAGTAAATGTTTGTGGGTTAGATGAATGAATAGACAAAAAGGGAGATGTCTTTAGAGTCCTCAACAATCTGAAGACCAACCATTAGACTGTTTTGGCTTTTAATTTATAAATTCAAATTACTTCTCATGAAAATGAACAAATCTTGTTTGTTAGGAGCAGTATCATGATGTTAATGTTAATCTTCGAAGGAGTAATTTTGCATCTAAGAGTTGCAAGTATTTTGATGCTGATAAAACAGCCACTTTTATTTTTGTGCCAGATAATATGACTTTTGGGCCATTAGGCACTTTCAGAGTGTCCAACATACAGCAGTTATGCAACAAATATCTCCCAAGGGAATGGATGAGGGAGAAGAGGAGGGAGGTTGAAGACATGTGAGATACTCTTGCCATCCTTCATTTCTCCGTTTGCATTATTTTTAAATACAGCACCTTACAAACTGATTTACTGAGCAACTGCCAAGTACAGGGCATCGTGCTAAGTTCGTGAGGACTATACATATAAATCAGGTGGAATTTACCCTTCCAGGAGATTGAAGGGGAGATATGTAACTCTCAAGCTGATTATAGACAAGAGTAAATGACCCAGGTGAAGTGGAGATAAAATCATATAGGAATCCCTATAGGAGACCCCATGGCTGTGCTTAGGAGGAGGACTGCTGGCAATCACGAAAGATTTTAGGGAGGGGACAGTATTTGAGTTGGATTTTGAGTGATGTTTGGGCATGCGGGCTGAGGACATTTTGGGTACTGAGTACAGCATGAGCAATACCTTGTAGGTGGGAAAGTGAGATGTCTGGGCTGGGCTTTGTGGAGAAAATGAAGTTAAGGTGGCTACAGATTCAGAGACTTAAGGGGCGGGTGCAGAGATCCAATGAGTGGACCGTGCTCGGATCCCAACTGAAACAAACTGACTGTAAAAAACAAAAATAGCTAAAATCATTGGGAACGTTTTAACACTCTATATTAATGATATTAAGAAACTAAACAATTTTTAAGGGGTGATAATAGTGCTATTGTTTTTAAGAGTCTCTGTCTTTTTTTTTTTTTTTTTTTTGAGATGGAGTCTGACTCTTGTTGCCCAGGCTGGAGTGCAATGGTGTGATCTTGACTCACTGCAACCTCTGCCTCCTGGGTTCAAATGATTCTTGTGCCTCATCCTCCTGAGTAGCTGGGATTACAGGCGCCTGCCACCACACCCCGCTGATTTTTACGTTTTTAGTAGAGATGGGGTTTCACCATGTTGGCCAGGCTAGTCTAGAACTCCTGACCTCAGATAATTCACCCGCCTTGGCCTGGCGAAGTACTGGGATTACAGGCATGAGCCACCATGGCCGGCTAAGTCTCTGAGTTTTAAAGAAACATACTGAGGTTTTTATAGGCTGTCTGAAATTTGCTTCAAAATAATCCACTTTGTTGGGGGAAGTCAGTGGGGTATGGATGAAACAAGATCAGCCATGCATTGGTGTGTGTTAAAGCTGGGTAATGGGTAGGTGAGAGTTAATTACCTATCCTCTCTACTTGTTGCAAATGTGTGAAGTTTTTTCTTCCTTTTTTTCTTTCTTTTTCTTTTCTTTTCTTTTTCTTTTTTTTTTTTTTTTTTTTTTTTGAGACAGAGTCTGGCTCTGTCACCTAGGCTGGAGTGCAGTGGCACGATCTCAGCTCACTTCAACCTCCGCCTCCTGGGTTCAAGCCATCCTCCCACCTCAGCCTCCCAAGGAACTAGGACTACAGCTGCACGCCACCACACCTGGCTAGTTTTTGTAAAGACAGGGTTTTACCACGTTGCTCAGGCTGGTCTTGAACTCCTGAGCTCAGGCCATCTGCTCACGTCAGCCTCCCAAAATGTTGGGGTTATAGGTGTGACCCACTGCACCCAGCATTGAAGTTTTCTTTGGTAAAAAGTTTGCGTGTGTGTGTGTGTGTGTGTGTGTGTGTGTGTTAAAGAATAAACAAAAAGAGTTAAAATAGGAAAGGTGGGGTGGGGTGAGATTATGGAGACTATTTTTAGTTGGTAGTCAGTGAGGGAGCAATGATGTTTCTTTTATTAGGGACTGATATGATTTGGCTATGTCCCCACCTAAATCTCGTCTTGAATTGTACTCTCATAATTCCCACATGTTGTGGGAGGGACTGGTGGGAGATAACTGAATCATGGGGGTGGTTTCCCCCATACTGTTCTCATGGTAGTGAATAAGTCCCACGAAATCTGATGGTTTTATCAGGGATTTCCGCTTTTGCGCCTTCCTCATTCTCTCTTTGCCTGCTGCCATCCAAGACGGGACTTTTCCTCCTCGCCTTCCACCATGATTGTGAGGCTTCCCTAGCCACGTGGAACTGTAAGTCCAATTAAACCCCTTTCTTTTGTAAATTGCCCAGTCTTGGGTATGTCTTTATCAGCAGTGTGAAAATGGACTAATACAGAGACCTAATGTGGGGACATTACTTGGTGGTGGTGTGACCTGAGGCTGCAGCTGGAATGGTTAGAAGTAGAGAGTGGGGAGGAATGAGCAGGTAGTAGGGGCTGACTGAGGAGACCCCGCAGGGAGCATGAATTGGGGTGAGGAGGAAGAAGAGAGACAGCTGACCTGAGCAGGCATCGTCTCTGGGTGCCTGGAAGGGGGCTGTACTGGGAATGGAAAGGCTAATGAGTTCATCTTGAGGTCCTGGGAGCCCTCTGTGTGAACAATGAGTGAGGAGCAGGGCTGCCCTATCCATCTGGGAGTCGTTGGACGGAGTGTGAGCGAGTGACAGAGAGAGAAAGAAGCGAAGGGGGCCGAGGGCCTGAGGAGGAAGAGAAGACACAGACACAGAGACCTGAAGAGAAGCAGCCACATCCAGTGACAGGAAAGCCAGGGGAAGGGCAGTTCATTTGACTTAGTTAACAGTCTATTGGGGGAGTTTCTAAAAGAAGGCTATTTTTGCATTAGACATGTCCATACTGAGTTTCTGTACTTTTGTCTTGTCTGTTCCTCATACTGTAAATTCTTTCTGCCCATATTTTATATTGTCTAACCCTTATAAGAATTTTATTCAAATTCAATAATGTTGAAACTTTTCTCCCCCTTCACCACCACCCTCCAATTTTGGCTGTGTGTGTGTATTTTACCCAGCAATTTGGAAATGTCACTGAGTCTTACAGAAATGAATATATGTTTTGGTACCGTGTTCCCACGTCATTTCTAGTTTTGTCCCTTCCCTCTTTCCTGCCAATGTCTGAAGAGGTTCTTCCAAAGCATAAGGTCAGCAGAGGGTCAAATGGTAAAACCAGTGCTAATCTCAGGATCAGTGGAATCGCTTCCCTTAAGACATGGCTAATTCAGTGTAAAATCTCATTTCTGTCTTCTCCAAGGGAGCCAGGTTAGCTAGGGAAACAGCAAAAATTCCTCATTTCCTCTGCATTTTAACTTCAAATAATCAACTTACCCTGAATGACGGCTACTGAGAGCTGGAGAAGTGGTGGGGTTTGCAATCAGGTGCCCAGGAAAAGGAAAATATCTCTTTTCCACAGACTCAAGCCTGCCTAGAGTGACATGGAACTTTCCATAGGCAAAAGTGAAATGGGAAGATTCAAGGCTAAAAAAAGATCTCTTTTTTTTTGTCTCTCTTTTTTTTTTTTTTTGCCTGCCCCAGAAATGGCTCTTTTAATAGTTGTATAACTCTTCTGCATCTTGTATTGATTAAAAAGTATATAAATAAGAGGTCTAGAGTGGTGTCCTGGGATGTTCCTTTTGAACCCATCACAGGCCCAGTGCCCCATTCTGTGGCTGTGATCCCAGGTGCCTCCCATGTCCTGAGAGTCAGTGGCTGTCATGAAAAAACTCTGGGGGGCTGGGTAATGGACAGATCTCTTAGCGGGCCTCCATGAGGGATAAACAGAGCATCTCTGCAAGTCACTCCTGGTGTTTTACCTGAGCTGCCTAGAGTCACTTGCTGTGGGTTAGGCTGTAGAAGACAAAGATATGCTGGTTTATCTTTAGATATGCGGATTCATTTGCCATCAAATGCCTGAGTGTGTTTTCTGTGCCAGCGCGGTGCTAGTCACCAAGAATATAAAGGCAAGCAAGCTGTGGTCTCTAGCTTTGAGGATCTTATGTGGTCTTGTGGGCAGAAAGATGTGCAAGTAAAATGACAAAGTTATGGTTGCTGTGGTTGAGGTATGTGCAGAGTAGGAGATTAGGAGAGGTTTATTGCTTTAGGTGGCAAAATTCAGGTGAGAAATAGCATGTCAGTTCTGTGAGTTGACACCCTAAGTGCTTTTTATGTACCAAATACTTAAGAATTAGAAAGAAAGAAACGTTCCTCTTCGAAGAACCTCTCTAGGAGCTTTGGGACGTTGGTGTACCTCGAACTTGCTGACTTTGTACCCAACTTCTTTTAGTGAAACTCAAGAGTTAACAATTAGAATTGCTAGGAAGACAAAGAAAAAATATTGATTTGGCTGGTGAGTTAAAATACATTTCACTTATTCAGTAAATCAGCTTCCAGTTACAGTTCAGATTTCCAGAGCGTAGGAGCTCATAAACTATTTCTGAGGAGAGCCTCTACCTTTCCTGGCTAGGATGACAGAATAAAGGGCTTCTCTTTCCAGGTCTACCATTAGGGCTTTTGGCGAGTAGATTTAGCAGCTGCTATTCTGTAGAGAGGATTTTGGCTTTAGCCTCACAGTGCAGGAAGAACTGATGGAGAATTCCATTAGGAGGATCCCTCACATGGAGAGGTAGGACACTGGGTAATTTTTAATGACCCTACCTTGGTGCTTCATGAACATGTTTAAGCAGGCTGGCATTTTCTAGCAGTTCCAATAAGGAGCAGAAGGTAGGGCTGATACCCAGGGCACCTCGATGACTCAAAATCACAGCAAATTCACAGGCAGCGTGCGGAGAAAGTGACAAGACTTAGTTGGGTAGAGAAGGAGGTAATGCGCTGGAAGCACAGCTGAGGAGCTTGGTCGCGTGGTCAGGCTGCCTATGCCTAGCCTTCTGGGGGGGCCTCCTGCTCACCGATGGAGTGAGGAGGGCCCTTGCCTGTTTCCCACCTGCGATGAACAGTGATGAGGAAAATAGGCTCAAACCACTCAGATTTCGTGTTCAATAGTCAGTGTCAATGTCTAACTGTTGGGAATGGATTGTTGATACAGTTTTTGGAATATCCATCCAATAAATAGTTCATTTATGGTCATTAATTAAGCAAATATCTAAGGAGCATTTTATTTATGTCAGGCACTGCGCTGGGTTGTAGGAATAACATGGAGAAAAGGGGTGAGAAGGACGTTATTCAGATAATCACATGGATAAATGTGTGATTTTCTGGGTGTGGTTGTGCACCCTGTAGTCCTAGCTACCAGGGTGTGTGAGGCAGGAAGATCACTTGCGCCCAGGAGTTTGAGTCCAGTTGGGTAAGAGAGCAAGACCCCCATCTCAGAAAAAAGAAAAAAATATATACATGTGTAATTCAGATGTGATAAATGCTTTGAAGTTCAGGGAGGGAGAAAAAGTTTCCTTGAGGAAAACGATGATGGAAATCTGAAGGATGAATGGGAATTAACTAGATTTTTAAAAATCCAGAGACTGGTCCAAGCAGAGGAAATAGCATGTGCAAGGGGGCTTGCAGCAGAAAGGAGTGTGGTTTGTTCAAGCTGTTAAACCATGGCAAGTGAGGCTGGGCTGTGAAGGGTGGTTGAAAGTCTGGTATGAGAGGAAGTAGAAGCAGATAGGGAACAGCTCATGCAGCCTGTATGGAGCATCCGAAGGACAGATTTTTAGAGAGAGAGACAGACAGACAAGCAGGTGTGTGTGTAGTGTTTTTGTGGGGGAGTGTGAATGTTTGACACAGACAGATTACTTCCATGGAAAAGTGCCTGCTCTGGGCTTGACCAGTGAGGTGGGAGGCCCTGGGATGATTCGTTCATGCTGACACTTAGGATGGAGGCACGGGATCTTTGAGGTCTCTTCCACAATTTCATTCTATTTTTAAAGGGATTATTACCTGTCCCTGTCTCTCCTGACTCCTGTGGAGAAAGGGATGGGAATAGGATTATGTAGGGCCCCATTTTCCTTATGAGTTTTTGCTCCTTGCTAAGTGCCAGTCTGCTGAATTTATAACATGTGTCTTTGGGCAGGTGGATGAGAGATGATAGGGCTTATAGCTGAAGGCAGAAGTTTGGTATGCTGACGGAGAAGGTTTGTAGGAGGAAAGTTTTTATTTGTTTCTTGCCTAATAAGGCTTTTATAATGGGTCAGCGGTGGGAATACATTTAAACACTTACAGAAGCAGAGAAAGTAACGTAGTGGGGTGCTTGCCTATCTCCCCATGTGGAGTGGATGTTCTGAAATCTCTGAGCCATCCATGGACACTGCCCAGAGTCTGGAAGTGTGAGTAACAAAGGAGCTATGGCTACTCACTGATGGCCCTACACCAGATGCATTTCCAGATGTGGATATGGTCAAGCCACAAGAATTGGGTGGTGCAGTGAGTGGGGCTATTATAAATAGCCTGGGACAGTCACAGCCACCATAATATTGCAAACAGTTGAATCCTTAACATCTAAAGGAAAAAAGCTTTATTATTGGAAATCCTATTCAATCTATGTTATACTCTCTCTGACCCTCTAAATTCTGCCTGATGGATATTTTTCTAAAGACTTGCCAAGATCATTAAGTAGATTTTTACTTGGTGGAAAAATTTGGCGTTATGATTTGATCACTTTAAGCAGAAAATGGAATATGTCATAAACTCTAAATTCATTAGACAAGAACCAGTATGGAAACAGGAATACCTACAGTGGCAAAGTTAATCAGAGTGCATAAGGCATTTACAGTAGCCCGTTGGCCCCCAGTGACCTGAGCCTTCTGGGCCTCTTGCTCCATTATAGTCCCTTCCCATGTCGAAAAGGTCTGATTTGTGTAACTAATAGGATATTATGGAAATGATGGAGTGTGACTTCCGTTGCTTGATCATAAAGGACATGTGGCTTCCTCCTTGCTTTCTCATGGATCTCTTGCTGTGGAGGAAGCCAGCTGCCATGTTGTAAGTGCACTTAAGCAGCCTGCGAAAAACCCCATGTGGCAAAGGACTGAAGCCACCTGTCAACAGCCATGTGAGTGTGCCATCTTGGAAGTAGATCCTCTGGCCCCAGTCAAGCCTTCAGATGACTATAACCTTGACTAACATCTTGACTGCAGCCTCATCAGAAACCCTGAGCCAGAACTGCCTGATTGAGTCACTTCTTCTTCTTCTTCTTCTTCTTCTTTTTTTTTTTTTTTTTTTTTTTTTTCTGAGACAGAGTCTCACTCTGTTGCCCAGGCTGGAGTGCAGTGGTGTGATCTTGGCTCAGTTGCAACCTCTCCCTCCCGGGTTCAAGCGATTCTCCTGCCTCAGCCTCCTGCGTAGCTGGGACTACAGGTGTGTGCCACCACGCCTGGCTAATTTTTGTATTTTTGGTAGAGACGGGGTTTCACCATATTGGCCAGGCTGGTCTCGAACTCTTAACCTCAGGTGATTCACCCACCTTGGTCTCCCAAAGTTCTGGGATTACAGGTGTAAGCCACCGTGCCCAGCCTTTGAGTCACTGCTTGATTCCTTACCCTCAGAAACTTTGTGAGGTAATGTTTGTCACTTTAGGCTGCTAAGTTTTGGGACAATTTGTTATGCGGGAATAAACAACTGATAGAACATTTTGACAAACCATCTCTTTGAAGCTGCATTTTCTGATAGCCACTGGCTCTAGCAGAACCCACAGCATCCTGCCATGCCCTTGGTTTAGTCCTTGTTATGCTGGACTATATCTCTTAGGTGATATGTCATGCTCCTCATCTTGAAGGAGGGGTGTCTTGTCCTTCATATCGTCAGTACTTTGCAGAATGCCCTGTATTTGCTGTATGAGTGAATCAGAATGTGTAGAGGTAAATAAAGGACACCCGCATAGTTTAAGGACAGGTCAGGGTTTTAAACCCAGCTTTGTCATTGACTTCATAGAATTCTCCTAGTCTTTCTCTGTTTTTATTTCCTCTCTTGTAAAGGGATACTATTTGTGTTATAAAAAACATACATAATATATTGCTATACATGCATATGTGCTTGTGCACATATGGATTATTTCAAGAGGGAGATAACTAGTCAATAGTGGTTACTTCTGGGGATATGTAGGGGGATGGAGTAAGAGGAAAACTTTCAAAAAACAGTGTGTAAACCTTTCATATCTTTTGAATTTATTCCATGTACAGTGAAATAAGAGTATTGATCTGCACCTCTCCTAAGGCAGGTCAAGAAGAAGTCCTAAGTTTAGTGAAGTATTTTTAATTTTTTGTCACTGGGGGCCCCTGCCTCTGCCTTGACCTTGACCTTCACCTTCTGTCTGCTACCCAGGTCTGTGGCTTCCACATCCACAGCAGCTCAGTTCCATCCTCTGACCTCCTTTCTCACAGTTGCTGCCCTGGTTCAGGCCTCAGCAGCCATCTCCCTATTTCCCCAACTGTGTTGCCCCCTTCTGACCACACCACCTGCCGCAGGTTGGCCACCCTCACAAGTCCCTGGTGGCTTCCCTTCAGTTACAGAGTCCTGCCTGGTCTCCAAGGCCTGCACTCCACCACCTGGCTCCCACCTGCCTTTGCAACCCTGGCCCTCACTGTTGTCCCTGGTGAGCTTGGTGCCAGCCACACTAAAGGATTCCCTGTCACCTCCACAGAAGAGTGTGCCCTGTTACTCCGTATTAGCCACCTCTGGGACTTTGCTTTGCAATCCTGACCTGCAAGAAAGGACAGTCCCCACAACAGAGACATATCTGACCCAAAATGTCAATCATGTCACTCTGAGAAACTGGGATCTATGTATATACAAGTGTGGTGTGTGTGTGTGTGTGTGTGTGTGTGTGTGTGTGTGTGTGTGTTTTCTTTTCTTCTCTTTTTACATAAATGCCTGCTGTGCAACCCCAAGCCTAGTTAATGAGCAATAGATGGAGTGACTGAATACTTTTGACACACCACATCTCTGATCCCAAAGAATCTTCTTCTTGCAGTGGGGAAAATAATCCTCCCAGGGCTGTACGTATTCCAGCCTCAGACTGTCTTTTCTGACCTGCTGTCCTGTGCTCTCTCACTGGATTCTCTGCGTGTGCCCTAGTGGTCTCCCTGCTTGCTTTCTTCTTTCCCCCGGCTCATATTAGCCTGTCTGTCCCCAACATCCTTCACCAGCCCCCGAGCTATGGTCTCCGCCATTTAAAATCGTGCCATCCTTCATGGCTCAGGTCAGATGACATCTCCTTCTTGGGTCCACCCAGCAGCTGCTGTTCTTTCTCTTTGAAATCCCCAGGGTCTTTTGTCCCTCGGGTGGCATTTATTGTGTTTTGCTTTGCCTGTAGTTTTTGTTTGTTTACTCAACACATCAAGCATCATGCGAAATCTGGGGTGCAGAGATGGACAAGGTGGCCTCTGCTCTCAACTCTTCCCCAGCCTAGTAGAGACAGACAAGAAAGCTGACAGCCAGTTCGGTGTGGGGCATGAGAAGCTGGCATATGGCACGGAAAGCAGAAGTTCGGAAAAGGGTGACTTTGCTCCGTGTAGGCAGGCCAGGGCGGGTTCCTAAGAGGGAGTGAGGCTTGGGTGAGTCTTGGGGGCAGTGGGAATTAGCAAGGTGACTTATGGGTGGGCAAGGACATTCTAGACGCAGGGAACTTCTTGAACCAAAGTATGTCTTGTTCTCCTCTGAGACTTGAACACCTCTTTAGGGGTAACCATTTTCCTTATTCATTTTTATGCCTTTTATAGTTTTACCTTAGACAGCTAATAGTTTTGTTTGCATTCATGTATTTATTCATTCAACAAATATTCTTGAGTGCTTATTTACTTGAGGTACTGGATAGATGTAAATGGATTTAGGCAAATAGTTGGTGACAGAAGAATTCAGTAGAAACCATCAGAGTAGTAGGCGGCCTCTGAAGTGATTAGATGTGGTTTAGTGAGTTTTAGCTACAGAGTAAGTCATGTGTTCACGGTGACCACACGTTAGAATTCTGGAAATGTGGGCCAGAACAAGTCCAAGTTAGATGCAATGGAAAAATCCCTCTGTCCGAGTCATCTCTAGGGAACAGAACTTGTTTGAACCAGCATTATTAGTTTAGTTTCATGAAAGACAAAATAAAGGGCAAGGTGTTTGCTCCACAGGGTGACTGCAGCAGTTTTCACAGTAATGAATAAAGTAATGCTGTTTTGTCAGCAGTGAGTAGGAGTTGGGGACTGGGAGAAGCTTGTTCCATTCCTCAGGAAATTCCAAAGTCATGCACGGGCCTTATCCTTGGGGAACTTACAGATGAAGGAGAGAATATGGCCAAGCACACATATTTCTCCTTTTAACACTTCCCTTCTTTTTCTTTCTTTTTGTTTTATTTGTTAAATTTCTGCACATGTTTCTCAAGTGTGTGGTCTAGTGGGAAGGAATACTGGCAGTCTCTGGGTTTAGGGAAACATTGAGTCCCCTTACAGTTAGAAATAAAAGGCTGGACGTGCTTCAAAGACTTTTTGAAATAAGGCTGGGGACAAAGAAGTCAAGCAAATAAATGATAGAGTCCAGAGAAGGTGGCATTAGAGATAGATCTGAAAGCATTCAGGGAGACGTGGTGCAGGAGGATGGGAAAATCTTGTTTTTTCCATCCCTGAATTGTCCAAGAGCCCAAAGACATCTACTCTGCAAAGTGTTTGCTGGATGACAGTGCAACGAAGACTTAGATGCTAGCAAACTTCGTTGGAAAACACTGGGTTCTTCATGTATTTGGAGCAAGAACCAAGGCATTAGTAAACTTTGGAAAATAGGCAGTGAGGTTGTCCGATAGAGTCCATCTGGGGAAGTATTTTGAGCCAGTTGGGTTTATAACTATGACCCTAAACTTGAGTCCAGCATATGCCAAGTCCAAAGGAAAGGTATGTTCTTTGGACCCCTCATGCTCTCTGATTTACAGGGACCTCTTTCTGCCTGGTCAAGGCATTTCATGACTCTAAGCCTATGACTTTTTGTGAGAAGAAGCCTTCCATGGCTCCTTTGCTGCTTGGTTTTGGGGTTTTGGAGGCACCAGGATGCCAGGCTCCTACCCTGTGTGCAGTGCTTCCTTCTCCCCGTCCCATTGTGAACTGTTTCCCTTGCAGGTTCAACTCATTGCCACTTCCTGTAGCTGTCTTAGTGACCCTTCAGGCCAGAAGCAGATGCCTGTGCTGTGTACCATGCCCCTCCTGCTGCTGAACTGGAGAGAAAACGTGGCTGGCAGGTGGTGAACTCTCTGGCTGATTCAGGCCCAGTGGAGAAGGAGGGTTAATAATTTACTTTGCCCCTGTGTAGCCACTGGTGTTGACCTTGTCAAAACACTAGTAGAAATTAATTAGAGTCTGGCCTGTCATTTAACTAACAGGATAGTAAGGCCCCAAAATAACTTCTTGTTTTGAGGTTAATCCTGTCTCTGAGTTTACGGCTGACATTCCTGTACATCCGGCCCTGTTTGCATCCAGCAGCCAGGACCGTGGGCTCATGGTGTTCATGGGGCTCACAAAGAGGGCACACAAGGTCAGGGGCCTGTCTCTCCATGGGAGCCGCTCATTGTGGTAGGAGGACAAAGGCCACAGTGATCAAGATGCTCTGTAGGAGAGGCGGCAGAACAACATGTGGGCCTGGTAGATATTGCAGGTGAAGAGCCTCCCCATCCCCCAAGCTTCTTTCATTTTAAATTCACAGCTTTTGTTTCTTGAGAAGTTCCGAATCTTTTGCATCTGGTGCTGCGAGAAGGTTCACCTGGTTAAACATCCTCAAGTCAACAGCACAGCTCCTTCTGGAAGGCACTTTAACTGGATGGGATCCTCTCACTGTAGACATTGCTACCTCCCTTTCCTGAAATAAAGCCTGCTCCAGAGCAGTGATTGTCTTGTGGTGTGTTGTGGAAAGCTGTTAATAGCTTAAAAGGTCTCATTAGCTGCTAGATAGGCCTAGACTGTGAAAGGATACATGGTGACCCAAGGGTAGATTCTTTTTTTGAGAGTCTCGCACTGTCACCCAGGCTGTAGTGCAGTGGCATAATCATGGCTCGCTGCTGCCTCGACCTCCCAGGCTCAAGTCATCCTTCCAGCTCAGCCTACAGAGTAGCTGGGACTACAAGTGAGTGTCACTACCTCTGGCTACTTTTTGTATTTTTTTTAGAGATGGGGTTTTGCCGTGTTGCTCATGTTGGTATCGAACTCCTGGGCTCAAGTGGTTCTCCCACCTCTGCCTCCCAAAGTGCTGGGATAGCAGGTGTGAGCTACAGCTCCTGGCCCAGATTCTTACCTTATTAGGGAGTATCTAAATTAATCTGTTTATTGATCTCTTAAGTAGAATCTGATTAATTGTCCATCAATAGCTAGCTGCAAAGCACTGCAGAAGCCCACTTGCCACTCTCCTTCCCCCAGCTCTCCAGGAAGGTGCAAGGAGTTGTTTGAGATGGTTCTGACATCCAGCTTTTGGGTCCCTGGTTTATTGCCTTTTCCAGTACATTGGCTGGCACCTTTATCCAGCCAACAAATACACGCTCTGTAAACATGCATGTACTTTTGGAGAAGGCAGTTGGACCAAGGTGAGGGTGTGGAGGATGGGAGTGAAAAACAGAGTAAGCCAGAAAAAGGGGTCATGGGAAAGGAAGGGCAGGAGCTAGAGGGAAGAGGCCTGGGGACTGACTAGTGCCCAGCAATAGAAACAATCAGCATTAGAAATGGGCAAAGGGGCTGGGCATGGTGGCTCATGCCTATAATCCTAGCACTTTGGGAGGCCAAGGCGGGCAGATCTCCTGAGGTCAGGGGCTCAAGACCAGCCTGGCCAACACTGTGAAACCCTGTCTCTACTAAAAATACAAAAATTAGCTGGGCATGGTGGTGCATGCTTGTAATCCTAGCTAGTTGGGAGGCTGAGGCAGGAGAATCGCTTAAACGCAGTAGGTGGAGGTTGCAGTGAGCCGAGATTGTGCCACTGCACTTCAGCCTGGGTGATGGAATGAGACTCCTTCTCAAGAAACAAAAAACAAAACAAAATGAAACAGGCAGAGCAGTTTGAAGAAACTTCTCAAGAAACAAAAAACAAAACAAAACAGGCAGAGCAGTTTGAAGTATGATGGGAATGAGGTACAGGGGAGGCAGGAAGGAGAAAAGTGCAAAGGGATAGTGAGAAGATGGGAGGTGGTGTGGAGAGGAAGCAGGGAAGCTGGTAGCACCAAGAAGTGAAAGAGGAGTTTGAGCTAAATATCTAGAGGATAAAGGGGGAAAAGATGAGTCTGAAAGGTATGAGAGGGTGACAGCAAAGGACAGAGGAGAAGCCGTGAGCTACATATTATGCCAGGTGAGATTTCTGCTCCAGGAATTTTGGCTCACGGTTATCCCAAAGAGCTGTGGCAGCAAGTGTTGGTTTTATTGCAGTATTAGCAGTATGTGGTTACTAAATAAGTGACTTTTGAAATAAAGTGTGAACTGTGAGACTCTAGAAGAGGATAAATGAAACTTTTATCACCTGAGATGGGTAATTTTTATACCTCTTATTTCTAGGGTCTCTCTATCCACAGCATTGAGCATGGGTATGAAAATATGCATTGAGGCCAGGAGCTCACGCCTGTAATCTTAGCACTTTGGGAGGTCGAGGTGGGTGGATCACCTGAGGTCAGGAGTTTGAGACCCGCCTGGCCAACATAGTAAAACCCTGTCTCTACTTAAAATACAAAGAAATTTGTTGGGTGTGGTGGTGTACATTTGTAATCCCAGCTACTTGGGATGGTGAGGCAGGAGAATTGCTTGAACTCAGGAGGCGGAGGTTGCAGTGAGCTGAGATCCTGCCATTGCACTCCAGCCTGGACAACAGAGTGAGACTCTGTCTCAAAAAAAGAAAAAAAGAAAGAAAATATGCATTGAATGTAATACTTTAAAAAGTTACAACCATCATTTGTCTGTGGGGGAAAATACCATAGTCCAGTTAGTTGTACCTGTCTCTAGTGGTCTTTGGGCAGGAGTTTGAAGAGATCATTGGAAAGACATCAGAAGAATTTAAATGACCCATATCCCGTCTTTCAGAATGAAACTAATATTCATTAAAAAAAATTGTATGCTCTGGCTGAGAATTTATACAGCCTTCTAAAGAGGAGACAGGTATGCTTTTGGTTTCCAGTGATCAGTCTGTGAACTTGGGGCATTACTCAGTGGATCTGGAACCTTCTTACTCTCACCAGTTGGTTTAGGCCATCCCCCTTCCTCTTGAAACCAACTTTGTTTGATATGTCATTGTAGATTTTCTATTATTTCCCCCAAATCATTCCTTAATGAACAGTACACCTTAAATGCCTTCTCTTTGTATCCAGAAATTATCAGCTCAACCAATAAATAGTATGTTTGTTAGTCAAGCCAGTGATCCAGGAAAGACCTGGGGTTTTTTTTTTTTTTTTTTTTTTAAAGATGGGCAAAGTTTAAAAAAGAATTTTTAAAAAATCAAACGTTTTGAGATAGTTATAAATTTATATGCAATTGTAAAAAAAAATACAGCTAGATGCCATATACCCTTTATCCTGTTTCCCCCAAATGTAATGTATTGCAAACTATAGTACAATAGCATGACCAGGATACTGACATTGATACAGCTGAGATATAGAACATTTACATCACTCCCCGCATTCTTCATGTTGTCCTTTTATAGCCATGCCATCTCGCTTTCCCTCCCATCCCTCCTTGACCCAACTAGTGTACTTCTCTCTGGTTTTTAAATTTTATCATTTCCAGGATGGTATATAGATGGAATCATACAGAATGTAACCTTTTGGAATTGGCTTTTTTCTCTCAGCATTGTTCTCTGGAGATTCCTCCAAGCTGCTGCATGTATCAACAGGTTCTTTCCTTTTTATTGCTCAGTGGTATTCTATAGTATAGATGCACCACAGTTTGTTCAACCATTCACTCATTGAAGGACTTATGGGATGTTTCTTGTTTTGTACTATTATAATAAAGCTTCTATGAACACAGCTTTTTGTGTGAATATGTTTTAATTTTTTTCTGGGATAAATAGGAGTGTGAATATGTTTTAATTTTTTTCTTGGATAAATATCTAGGAGTGTGAATGTGATTTAATTTTTTTCTGAGATAAATATCTAGGAGTGCAATTGCTAGGATGAATGGTAATTACATGTTTAGCTTTTAAAGAACCTGCAAAACTACTCTCCAGAATGGCTGCACCATTTTGCATTCCCAACAGCAATGTATGAGTGACCCAGTTTCTCTGAATTGTTCCCAGCATTTGGCATTGTCAATATGTTGTATTTTAGCCATTCTGATAGGTATATGTGATATTATATTGTGGTTTTACGCAGTTTTCTAATGGCCAATCATGTTGAATGTCATTTCATGTGCTCTTTTGCCACGTATATCCTCTTTGGTGAAATATCTATTCATGTCTTTTGCCCATTTCCTAATTGGATTGTTTGGGGTTTGTTTTTTTTTTAAACTGTTGAGTTTTCAAAATTTTTTATGTATTCTAGATATGAGCACTTTGTCAAATATGTGGTTTGTAAAGACATTCTTCCAATCTCTAGTAAAACAAAACAAAACAAAACAAAACAAAAAACCTTTTTAACAAGGTCTTTGAAAGGTACAAGTCTTTAGTTTTGATGAAGTCCAATTTAGTTTTTCCTTCTATGGATTGTGCTTTTGGTGTCAAGTCTAAGAATTATTTTCCTACCTTAGATCCCAGAGATTTTCTTCTGTGTTTTTGTTTTCTAAAGGTTTCTTAGTTTTGCATTTTACATTTAAGCTCACAGTCCATTTTGAGTTAAATTTTGTGTAAGGTGGAAGTTTAGTTTGAGGTTTATTTATTTTGCCTGTGAATATCCAGTTGCTCCAGCGCCATTTGTTGAGAGGGTTATTCTTCCTGCAATAATTGCTTTTGAACCTCTGTAAAAGTGGGTTGGGCATTTTTGTGTTAATTTCTGGGCTCTCTATTCTGTTTCATTGACCTGTGTGTCTATCCCTCTACCAGTATCACATAGTTTTGATGACTGTGGCTATATTATGTCTTAAAATCTGGTAGACTGAATCTTCCACTTTATTCTTTTTTAAAATTGTTTTAGCTATTCTAGTTACTTTACCTTTTCTTTTCTTTTCTCTCTTTTTTTTTTTTGAGATGGAGTTTCACTCTTGTTGCCCAGACTGGAGTGCAATGGCATGATCTCTGCTCACTGCAACCTCTGCCTTCCGGATTCAAGCAATTCTTCTGCCTCAACCTCCCAAGTAGCTGGGATTACAGGCAGCCGCCACCTCGCCTGGCTAATTTTTTTGTATTTTTAATAGAGACAGGGCTTCACCACATTGCCCAGGCTGATCTTGAACTCCTGACCTCAGGTGGTCCGCCCACCGCGGCCTCCTAAAGTGCTGGGATTATAGGAGTGAGCCACTGCGCCTGGCCTACCTTTTCATATAAATGTTAGAATTACCTTGTCTGTATCTATACAAATTTTGCTGAAGTTTTGATAGGTTGAGTATGACTATGTTGAGTATTCCAGTCCATGAACATGGTCTAAGTAAATCTCCATTTATTTAGATGTTCACTGCTTTCATCATTTGATTTTGTATTTTCAAGCATACAAGTCCTGTATGTGTTGTGCTAAACTTATACCTAAGGGTTTAATGTTTTTGAGTGATTATAAATGGTATATTTTTACATTTTAGTATCCTTCTGTTCATTGCTAGTATACAGAAATGCAGTTGTATGTTTTTATTTATGTTTATTTTATATCAGGACCTTTATTTCTTTACCTTGCTGAAATCACATATTCTACAAAGTTTTCTTTTTTTTTTTTTTTTTGTGACAGGGAGGTGGTAGATTCCTTGGGATTTTTTATATAGACAATCATGTCATCTGCAAACAGGGACAGTTTTATTTCTTGCTTTCTGATGCTTTCTGATCTATATACCTTTTGCTACTTATTTCCTGCCTTATTACGCAGGCTAGAAGCTCCAATACTATGTTGAATCAGAGTGGTGGGAGCAGGTATCCCAGCCTTAGTCTCAGTCTTAGGGGGAGGTATTCAGTTTCTTACTATTAAATATAATGTTAATTATAGATCTTTTGTGAATTGGATGCTCTTTAGTTGAGAATGTTCCTCTCTATTCATAATTTGTTTGGAGCTTAAAGAAAGTTTAAATCATGAATGGATTTTGAGTTTTGTTAAATGCTTTCTCTGCATTTATTGATATGATCATGTGATTTTTCCCTCCTGATTTTAAACTATCAAACCAGCCTAGCATTCCTGGAATAAACTTCACTTGATCCTACTGTATAATTCTTTTAAAAATTGCTGACTTTTATTTGCTTGTATTTTGTTAAGGATTCTTGTGTCTATATTAATGAAATATATTGGCTTATAGTCCTTTTTTCATGTTTTCCTTTCTTTTAGGATACTATTTGGATTTTGATATTGAATAATACTGACATCATTAAATGAGCTGAGAAGGATTTCTTCCTCTTCTATTTTCTGGAAGAGATTGTGTAGAATTGATGTTTATTCTTTTTTGAACACTAGGTAGAATTCTCCACTGAAACCAGTTAGACCTGGACATTTCTTTTGGGGGAGTTTTAAAATATGAATTCAGTTTCCTTAATAGTTATGAGGCTATTCAAATTATTATATTTAATATCGCATAAGTTGTGGTAGTTTGTACTTTTTAAGGAATTGGTCTATTTCATCTAAGTTGTCAGATGTGTGTTGAGTTGTTTATAGATGTCTGCAGGGTCTGTGGTAATATATCTTGTTTAATTTCTGATATTGGTAATTTGTATTTTATCCTTTTTTTCTTTGTCAGTCTTACCAGAAGTTTGTCAATCTTACTGATTTTTTTTGTTAACATTTGATTAGTGGTTTTTAGATTTTTTATTTTTTATTTTACTTTAAGTTCTGGGATACATGTGCTGAATGTGCAGGTTTGTTACATAGGTATACATGTGCCATGGTGGTTTGCTGCACCTATCAAACCATCATCTAGGTTTTAAGCCCCGCATGCATTAGGTATTTCTTCTAATGAGCTTCCTCCCCTTACCCCCCAATCCACTGACAGGCCCCGGTGTGTGATGTTCCCCTCCCTGTGTTCTCATTGTTCAACTCCCACTTATGAGTGAGAACATGCAGTGTTTGGTTTTCTGTTCCTGTGTTAGTTTGCTGAGGATGATAGTTTCCAGCTTCATCCATGTCCCTGCAAAGGATATGAACTCATTCTTTTAAAAGAATCAGTTTCTCGTTTCATTGGGTTTTTTTTTTTCTATTTTTTTTATGTTTTCAGTTTCATTGATTTCTGTTCTTTATTATTTCTTTCCTTCTGCTTGCTTTGGGTTTATATTGCTCTTCCTTTTCCAGATTCTTGAGGTAGGAGCTTCGATTATTGAATTCAGACTTCCTTTTTTCTAGTATCAACATTTAATGCCATATATTTTATTTTAATTTCCATTCAGGTCAGTGTGTGTTTAAAACAAAATTTTCTTGAGGCTTGCTCTTTGACCCATGGATTACTTAGAAGTGTGTTGTTTAATTTCTAAGTGCTTGGGTGTTTGCCTGTTGTCTAGTTCGAGTCCATTTTGGTTAGAAAACCAGTCTGTATGATTTCAGTCCTTTTACATTTGTTGAGGTTTGTTTTATGGCTCAGGATATGGTTTATCTTGGTATATATTCTTGAAAAGATTGTATATTTTGCTAGAAAGAGATTTCAAAAATAGTAAATATGAATCAACCTGAAGGATAAAAATAAATGATTTTTCTTTCCTTTGGCAATAGAAATATTGTTACTAGTTGGACAAGTTATCTTTATTCACAGCCTGAGTTATACAAAAAATAGGAATACATCCTTTTTGGTGGTTTACAAATCTAATTATATTTTCATGTTAAAAGTAAGTGGTGGAGGATATGTGAAGTGTCATAGTATTTGCCACAGAGGCTTTTTCCCATTCAAATTGTAATTGTGTGGAATTTTTTATTTTGTAGTTGCTTTAGTAAAAACAAATGATAGAAAAAGCTTGCTTTAAATTAAATTGAACAATGCATAAGAGTATAGAGTAGAAGAAAATATATTTTGGATCATACTTTTGACACCACCTTTTTCCTCTCTCACAATACATTTGGAGGATCTTTTCAGATAGACGTACATAGAATGTCCTGTATGCCATTCTTTGATGGCAGCAGCACAGCTCTCCAGATGCTGATTTAAAAGGAGTTTAGCCACGTGCCATTTCTTTCTTCTGGTGCCCAGTCTCACTAACCTCTCCTAATAGTCTAGCATTGGCCCCTAGAGAAATTCAAAGGTCTGCCAAGGTAAGTCAGCAAACCAGTCAAGGGCCAGGAAGTCAGGAATGTGTGAGTAGCTGAGTCAGGGGTCTGGAATCAGAAGTGAGGGTGAGTCAGGAGCAGGGCCCGGGCTGACTCAGGCAGGCTGAGGTGGTGACCTGTGGAATCAGCTGCCTTACTGGTGCTCCAGGGCAGGGGCAGGCTCACCATGCTGAGGCCTGAAACTTCACTTCTTTCAGGGATCAGCTAATAGATGTGGTCAAGGAATTTGGTCCCAGTCAACCTTCCCTGCTTCTTCTGTGTTAGGTCATCTGTCAGAAAATGTTAACCAAACTTTAGGGCCACATGACTTTGTTTCTCTTTGTGGAAATGGGAATGATATCACTGCAAAGAGTCAGGGAAGAGGTCGTGGGGGGAAAGGAAGAGGGGGTCAAATAAATCAGCGAGAAAGAGAGAAACAGTTGGAAAGCCAGACAGATACTGGGCGCTTCTGCAAGAGTTATAAACTGTTCTTATCACCAAATCTGGTCCATTCTGTCACTCACATGAGTCCGTCCAGTCTTCCTCTCTCTTATTCCCAAAATTTTAGCCTTTTAACTGAAGTCCCTCCTCACAGCTGTGGATTGATTGGAGAGAATGAGTGAGAACAGCTTGTCAAGGGTGACCTTCAGCTTTTACGTTAGGTGACTGGTGAATATTGGAGGCATTGAGAAGGAACAGAGGAGGTCCATGTCTTGGAGTGGTAAGTGGGATGAGGACTTCCATTTTGTGCATGTTGAATCTGACCGTGTTGAGTTTGAGGCATCTGTGGGACACCCAAAGAGGGGTATCTGGCACAAGAGAAAGGCTAGGCTGAAGCTACTGATTTTGGTTGGGCCCAACAGCTGCTTGCAATAGTTGCATGCTCCTGAGGGGGAGGCTGTTTGCATTCTGTCCTTGTTTTACATTTCCATTGGGAGTGGTGTTTTAGAACTTCTTACAGATGTCACAATAATTGTAGACCTGGCCCTACCAGCCATGCTTGAGGTATTATGTAGATTATCTACTTCTTTGCTGCTAGTTTTCCCAGCCCAGTTCAACTATTTCCTGATGCAAATGAAGCTTCTAAGTGTACAAACTTAAAATACCTTTATTACCAGTGCAACCACACTAAACTCTAATTGCCCAGCAACTAGAAAGACTAGGAGTAGACAGTTTATTGTATGTGTGCATTTTGATGGAGGGAAGAGATGAATATTTGCAAATTCATATTATGAAGAACAAGAGTACTTCTCCTTGGGAGATGGGTTTTTCCAAGATGGTAAATGAGTTGCAAAGAACAACTTTTTCTTTCTTTTCTTGAGCTTATTCAACTTTTTTTTTAAAGCTTATTTTGACTTCAGCCAACATTACTTATTTTCAGGTATACAGAGTCAAAAAAAGGTAAAAGAGGAGGATTGGTTTATTGCTGTTTTTCTGGGCAAAAGTGATACTTAGTGGGACCATTTGGCCAGTACTGACATACTGGGTTAGGATACATATTTTTCTCAAAAGCATTTTGAGGAATTCTTAAGGGTTGGCATTCTCTGATATTGGTAATAATATAAGTGTCATTGGTTGTTACCAAATGAATCTATATACTCAGATTTTCCTTTTGTTCAGGTTATTTTATATTTTAAAAAGATCCATGTTGAGGCAGATATTTATACAGAACCAAGTGATTAGAATTGTGATGAGTTGCTAGCTTTGTAGATTGTGCTGTTATTGAGAACTTTGCCTTTACTGGTTTTTTACTTCTCTTAATGTACAGATCTGAGAAACAGAGTTGCTGTAAAAGTTCAAATGCTGCCAGATAGGCTAAGTGGGGAGAAAAAAACCTTTAGATTACCTCTCTCAAAGAGAGTCACCAATATTCTACAGTCTCTGGATATAGTTTTCGAGTATACAGAGGGTACAAGGTTTTGCATGGACGGACGTTTTCATTTCTTTGGCGTGTATACCTGGGAGTAGAGTTGCTGGGTCATAAAATAACTGAGGAATTCCCAAAATGTTTTCCAAAGTGACAGAACCATTTCTCATTCCCCTAGTAATGCCTGAGGGTCTTCATTTCTCCACATCCTCTCCCACACTTGTTATTATCTGCCTTTTTTATGATAGCCATCTTCGTGGGTGTGAAATGGTATTTCATCGTGGCTTTGATTTGCATTTCTCTGATAACTAATGATATCAAGTATCTTTTCATGTGCTTATTGGCCGTTTGTATGTCTTCTTTGGAGAGCTATCTGTTCAGATTCTCTGCCTATTTTAAAATTGGGTTGTCTTTTTATTACTGAGTTGTAATGGTTCTTTATATATTCTGGATATCAGTCTCTTAGTACATATTTAATTTGCAAAATTTTCTCCCCTTCTTCAGATTGTCTTTTCACTTTTTAAATGCTATCCTTTGAAGCGCAAAGATTTTTAATTTTCATGATGTCCAGTTTACTCTTTTTTCTGTTGGTACTTGTGTTGTATCTAAGAAACCATTTCCTCATCCAAGGTCATGAAGACCTTCTCTTCTTCTGCAGTCGAGTGAGAAGTGAGCAGAACTGGTGTAGGGACTGCTTCTACTGAAGGGGGTGCAAGAGAGAAGACTTAGCCATGTCATCCTTGATCATAAAGGTGATCAACACTGAGAAAGCCCAAGGGTACACTGGTCCCTTCAGTCAAGCTGCATTAGTTGACGGGATCCTTTACATTTCAGGAGAGCTAGGCATGAACCTTTCGAGTGCACAGCTTGTGCCAAGAGTGGGTAACAGAAGAAGCTAAACAGGCCCTTAAGAACATGGGTGATATTTTGAAAGCTGCAGGCTGTGACTTCACTAATGTGGCAAAAACAACTGTTTGGCTAGCTGACACAAATGACTTCCGGGCTGTCAATGTAATCTACAAACAGTATTTTAAGAGTGGTTTTTCTACTAGAGCTGCTTACCATGTTGCTGCTTTACCCAAAGGAGGCCAGGTTGAAATTGAAGCAGTAGCTGTTCAAGGACCTCTCACAACAGCCTGTCTATAAGTGGGCCCAGTGCTGTCTAGTCCGGAATTTTTAACGTCTTCATTGTCACAGTTGATATAACATCTTAATTAACATCTTGATTTTTATAATTGATGAAAAGTGTAAGTTTGACTAAAGTATCCAAAGTTATGGAAATACTATATAATAGAATTAAACATGAATTGAAGGTTAGATGGTGAATCCAGTTACTGATGTTACAAATTACACTTATGCACACCCATATCACTGAATGTAGGAAAGAGATACTCATTACATAGTTACTCAAATAACAGGGAAATAACATGTAGGAAAGATGAGTTGTTGTTCCTGAGAAATAATCAAGAGCATACCTAATTCCAATAAATTGAGTGATGTCATATATTTAGTTATCATGTCAGGTATGTGATTCTGGTAATTCTGCTTTTACTAGTTTAAAATTAAAATATTTAAATTTGAATGGTAGGGGTAAAGAAATAGAAAATGGACCAAAACTTTATATAGATAATATTTTTCTAATGGATAGAAAATAGACATGCAGATTTAAGCTTTACTCTTTTTCTAAGAATTTAATAGTTTTAGCTCTTACATTTAAGTCTATGACTCATTTTGAATTAAATTTTGAACATAGTATGAGGTAGGAGTCTATTTTATTCTTTTGCATGTAGATATTAGTTGTCCCATCACTGTTGGTTGAAGAGACGATTCTTGCCTCATTGAATTGTCTTAGCACTATTCTGTTCCTCTTAAGTTTTATTTTCCAGGCTCCCTACCATTCAAGTGGTTTCCCAGACATTAGTTTTGGTGCTGAAGCTTGGATATTAAAGCATCTGCTCAAAAGAGACTGTTTAGACCAGAAGTGACTGAGATACTACTAACTATTAAGTTCAAGTTAGGATTACTGCCATTGTAGGTAGATGAGAGGTTGTGAGAGAAATTAGAGAGATTGTGAGGAAAATTAAGCTGTTACTAGAAAAATAAAAACAGTAGCGTTTTCTCTGGATGTCTGGAGGTTGGGGAAGCATATTTTCAACCCTGCTTTGTGTGCAGCCTTACTGATGGTAACTTGGTCACCTGGAGAGATTTCGTGACAGACACAATTTCTCTACTGTAGACTGGACTTTTACACATGGACAACAGTAGTTACTTGAAATAGTGAAAAAAAATGAAAATAAGCAATAAAAATCAGGAATTCTCATAGTGGCTGTGTTACTCTGCTATTAAAAAGCTGTGTAACCTCAGGCAACTGCTCCAACCTTGCTTTATCTTATATTAAATGGGGATACTGGATTTATGACCTCTGGCTCTCTCTGGCATTAAAGTTCTATGACGTTGATGCATTTGAAGATGATGTTAACGTGGGCAGGCTTTGATGTTTAGAAACCACATTATAAAAACCTACCTAGCAGTGCCAGAAAGTAAGGAAGTGCTCCAAACACACACACACACGCACGCACGCGTGCGTGTGCACTCACATTGATGAGGTATGGCACAGGGACACAGGAACGAAATACAGAAGCTGCCGGTGGCCAAAGTCACAAAATAAGGTAGTATTGGATTATGACCCCAAAATAAAATAAATGCTCATGGTGTTCACACTGATGTAACAAGTAAATGAATACATAAATGGGGAATAATAGAGGACTCTACCTTCTGGAAGAGTTCCAAATAATTTATTTAGATATATTGCCTTCAAGTAGGTAGGGGCTCACACCCCATTCTTGAAGTTGGGCTGCACATAGTGAATTCCTTCCAGAGTGTACAGGATGAAGTGGGGGAGAAAAGAGTCACTTTTTCTGGTGGACTGGGGAGTCAGTAGAGAAACCTGATAAACATTACGTCAGCCACGTGATCAATTTCAGCATCAATCACATTGATAGTATCTACCCTTGATATGATATGCTGAAAATGACACTTTACCTTCATGGTCTTTCTACCCCAAACATCAGACAAATTCCAATTGAGGAACATCCTGCAAATATACCTTGCGCAGTACTCCTCAAACTGTTACAGTCATCAAAACCAGGGAGTCTGAGGAGCCGTCACAGCCAAGAGGAGCCTGAGGAGCTATGATGACCGAATGTGATGGAGTATCCTGAGTGGGATCAAGAGTCAGAAAAGGATGTTAGGTAAAAACTAAGGAAAGCTGAATAAAGTATGGACTTTGGTTAATAATAATAGATCAGGATTAGTTCATTCATTATGACACATGTACCATGTTCGTGTAAGATGCAGTAACAGGGGAAGCCGAGTGTGGGATGAAAGGGAATTTTGTATTATTTTAGCAGTTTTTCTATAATCTAAAGCTTTTCTATAGATAATTTTTCGTTTAGAAAAACCTACCTGGGGGAATATTCTAACACCCAGTTTGGTGCCTCTTCTGTGAAGTCATCCTCAAGCAGCCTCCTTCCCACAGTGCCACTGCTTTCTCCGTGGCACCAGTTGCATCTCTGTTCTGCCACTGGCACTGCAGTTAACTTCCTCTCTTGTCTGCCCTGCAAGGCTGTGAGCTCTTCATTCATCTTTATGCACAGCTTCTGGCACACAAGACGCACTCACATGTTTGTTAGCTGATACAATGAAAGAATGAGCCCTAGAACATATGTTTCCTGAATCCACTACATGTACCACTTTTTGCTTTGAGTCCCTGTACTCGAAGATGCTCACATTGTAGCTAAGAGGCAGAATAGTAACGGGATAATGATGCCCATGATGTAGGAAGAACAGATGAATCTCCGTTATAGAAGAGTTCCAAATAATTTAGGAAGAGAAAGAAATGCCTACTCTCTCTACTTTAGAGAACAGCATAAGTTTTGCAATGAGAATGTGTCAGAAAAGTGCTTTAAAAATATGTTCATCCCAAGAAAGATGCAAATAGTACTGGGACCAACTCCCCTCCTCCTCCTCCTTCCTGCAAACATACCTGGCCCAGTATATGTAACTCCTGAAACTGTTACGGTCATCAAAACCAGGGAAAGTCTGAGGAGCTGTCACAGCCAAGAGGAGCCTGAGGAGCAATGATGACTGAATGTAATGTGGTATCCTGAATGGGATCAAGAGCTGGAAAAGGACGTTAGGTAAAAACTAAGGAAAGCTCACTTCCAGATATTTCCAGTCAGAGACTTTATTACTTCATTTAAGGCTTTTAGTCTTTGAAATCCTCAGGTATGATGACTTATCTGGAGGCATACACTTGATTTATCAACTAAAGCCTTAGGTTTCTCACTCTGGTGAAGGCAGAACCTGGAGACCTGGCAATAGGAGGCACATCTTAAGGGAGGTTAGAGGATCTGATCAGTTCATTGATCCTAGAAATTGACATTCAAAAGATGAGGTGGGCCTAACTTGATTCATTTCCTCAGAGGCATCACACACATTTCAGGATTACACTCCAATCCTACCTAATAACAGTGTACAGATTAAGGAGTGCTAGGTTCTCATTTGCAAGGAAACTTTGTGAGCAATAGATTTGCAACTTTGTTTATACATTGACATTTTTCATAGGTTGAATCTGAGAATACTTACAAAAGCACATAGAGTAAAATAAAAAAGATATTTCTAAAAGATCATAGGAAATATAAATGTAAATAGAATCAATTCTGGGGATAGTGAGGACAAATAGAACCCAGCTGTGTAGTCCAATAATCTTGAAGGTGAATTAGAGATGTAGTCCTGAGACTTCTGGCAAAGTGAAAAAGGAAACACGATCAACTTCATGACTTTTGTTGTCCATAAGGAAAAAAAAAACCCAAAACATTTCCTCAGGGGAATTAAAGCTTCTCTTGACATATAATGCTGGAAGTTATACCCAAGTTTCCTTGCTAGCCTGGGGACCTGGGGACCCATGAGCAGAGAGAGGAGGTAGATGCTGAGATCCAGGCATGCACACTGTCATCTCTACATGCCTCAGGCCCACACATCACTGAAGAAGAAACAATAATTGTCCCAGAGTCTTGAATACGTCATCAGGTATGGGCATTTTATTTCCAGATTTTACTTCCTTACTGTGAAGTATGAGATAACATCTGTCCTTCTGCACGTGGGATAAGGGGACGAGTCTAGCTGCTAAATGTGAGTGTATGAGTATGATTCTGAGGTCTGGTTTGATACCAGGAGTTAATAAGATAAAGAACATAATAAATACATTAGACCAATATTAGTACTTTAGATAGTGAGTTTATGATTTCAAATTTGCAGTGAAGTTAATGCTGGTAAAGTTGAATCATATTGATCCTCTTGCCTTTCTTTTGAAGATATTAAAATTTAAGTAAGAGCTGAAGAAGATGATCCTTACAAGTCTGCAGTCATTCAGAATTACTCCACTTGTGCTCTCTTCTTTTGACAGGGTTACTAGGCAAGGAGATTTGGGCCACAGACAGATTTTGGAAGGAGCTTTCTAGTGATGGATGACAGGACTCTTGGTCCTGTCATGTTAACTTGTTTTTCATGACATAAAGACACAGAAAGCATGCTTATCAAGACTGTACGTGACCCAAAGCAGGCAGAGACAGCCCAAGTACAATATGGCAGAACCAAGATTCACAATGATCTCAATGGTCAGAAACAAGGGATTAAAAATCAACTTGATTAAACTGAAAAGAGATACATGATATCTGCTGTTTCTTTTTCTTTCCGTTTTGGGGATTAACTATAGAATGAAGACGCATGAGTTAGTAGGACTTCTGGATGATCGTAAGCTCCACTCCCTGGCAGCAGCACAGATACACTCATGTGTATAAGGAAACATGCTATCAAGTTTTAGAAACCTTTGAAGTACCATTTAGTGGATTTAGTGAGATTGCATATTCTCAGATTCGATGCTGTTCTTTCCATCTGCTATGGTTATAATAGGTGCATAGTTACTTTCCACAATCAGAGGTTTTCAACAAATAAAAAGTAGTTATGGAGCTCCAATTGTATATATGACATTGGTCCAGGTACTGGAGCTAAGAAGATAAGCAAGACATAGTCCAGATCCCCAAGAGAACCAGGCATCTCTCCTAAATATGTGTAGATGAGGGATGGATTCATGTACCACATGTGTAACCCCCAGTACCTAGAAGAATGAGATGGACAATAAGTGCTAAGAGAGAGATTTGAAAACACTGATTGGGGTATGAACCTGAAAATCACTTAAAAAATAAATCTGCAAAGCAAGGGATGTAGGCTCCAAAGACCGTCATTTTTATATGCCTGTGTTCTTGCCATTTAAAAAGTTTTACATTTATAGGTTCAACTAGTGACTTACTATTCTCAAGGTATAGCCATCAAATGAATATTTCTAACTGGATAGTGTGTGAGTGGGGAGGGGTTGAGAAGGATCTGTATTCTGAAATGGAGGCCAAGAAGCTTTGTTTATGATGGAAGTACAGAGGTGGAGTTCTCGTTCTCTTCTACATGTCTCTAGGACCCTCCTGTGGTTCTGTTGAAATCCAGGCTGTGAAAGAGTCCACCTCTGCCACCACCCTTTTTCTTTGTTCCTTTTTTCTCCTCTGCACCTGGATTCAGCATTTAACACCCTTCATTTATGAGCAACTTATAATAAACTACTCATATGTGATTAAGCCATTAAAAATAGAAGTAGAAAATGTAAAAGCAGGAGGAGGGATGGATTTTGTTTTGGGAATCGGCCCAATCCCATGAACTTTCTGTTCTTTCTGTTTGGGGCTAAATGGTCCCGATTCTTCATTTCAGACTAATTGCAAACTGGTGTGCATTACATTTTCCATCCCAGAACAACTGGATTATGGCTTTCTGTTCATTCCTGAACTCTAGCCACTTGCAATGGTGCACAGTGTTCAGCTGGCATCTCATCCAGCAGATTTTGGCCAAGGGTGTTCCCTGGAAACTCGAGTGTCTAGGCATGAGCTCAGACACTGGCGTGTTTGCCATCCCTCTAAATGTCTCCATGTGCTTCATGTATAATTCTAACTGTAAAGCCAGAAGGTAGCTCCTCTTCTCTGCATGCAGTAGCTTTCTCATTGCTCCTGTCTTAGGGATTTATCACTCATTCCTTGTATGACAGGAACCGTGAAGATTGTTTTCATCACCTCTACTGGAAATGGCTTGAATGAAGGTCTTTTAAAAATCTTTCTTTACATCCTTCTGGGGGCTTTATAGGGTAGAGGATCAGTTCATATAACTTGGCTATACCCTGTGGGTCCTTAAACCATGATGCTTCCTGTAGCTTTTACAGGAAGCATTTCCTGTGAAATCTCTGAAATAGTTTTCACGTGTAACTTAGAAACCAGCTGTCAGCAACTCATTTGCATGGTATCATCAGTATCCTTTTTGCTTTCTCAGTCAGCTCATTTACCACCATGCCTTCCAGTTGGTGTTGGTCTCATTACCAGCATCTTGGTGGATTGTAAGATGCAGTGACTCTGGAACCTCTGCCAGCTCTGAGACCTCGAGGTGGCATTGAGCTGTCTTGTGGGAAGGCCTCCCTTCTGTGTCAAGTATTCCTCATGGTTATTACCAGCTTGTTTCTTTAAAATCAAATGTCTCGTAAAATGTGAATTTCTGGTTTTATACCTGCAATGATTCAAAAACAGCCTTTGTTTGCCCCTTTGACCTAGGAACACCATTAAGGAGAGAAAGAAAGGATGACAGTAAATAATCAGCCCTAGGGACTCTCCGTCTAGGAAAATACAAAGGTATAGCCACTCTACTGTTTTCAAGCTCTACATATGAGAGCACTGATGAATGATTTTGGGGAGGCACTTATAAGCACCAAGTAAGGGTGTTAAATGAATCCACATTGTCTTGGGAGGTGTTTCACATGACTTGGAGTGTGACCAGCCCTATTTTCCCTGATGTAGATAGACTTTAATAAAGCATTAGGTCCCAGTGCCATTGTAAATTTTGTTAATACCAAGTGAAGGCCAAGGGAATTGGGAAGACATCTATTTTCATGTGAAAACATAACTTTGGAAGCACATAAAGCAACTAATTGACAAAAAAAAATGAAAGCATATTTCCAGAAGGCCAAGAATGTCTTGGCAATCCAGATAAATGCTGTTTGTAAAAGCAAAACTGATAACCAGGAATGACTGTGGAATGGAGCCTCATGAACTCCAAGATAAGATAAATGAGTGAAAGACAGGAGGAGGGAAGTGTGTGTTTCCTGGGAAAATGTTCTCAGGGTTATTCTAAAGCTCACTTAGACAGGCTTACCAAGGCGACAAATACATTAAAAACAAAACAAAACCCTCCAAACAGCCTTAGTTCCTTACTTGTAGGGCCTTAAAACCAAAACGTGACTGTTTCTCAGAAAATCATGGTAATTTTTAACAGAATTACCTATTGAGAAGATCAAGAGTTGTGCTTGACCTGATATTTGGGTTGAGCCCTGCCTTCTACTCTAGGGGTCCCCAGCCCTCAGGCCATGGACTGGTATAGGTCTGTGACCTGTTAGGGACCAGGAACACAAACCCTATTGTTAACTGTGCATGCGAGGGATCTAGGTTGCATTCTCGTTATGAGAATCTGTAGTAACTAATGCCTGATGATCTCAGATGGAATGGTTTAGTCCTGAAACCATCCCTCCCCTCAACCTCCGCCGATCCATGGAAAAATTGTCTTCCCCGAAACTGGTCCCTGGTGCCAAAAAGGTTGGGGACTGCTGCTTTACTCCATTCCAAGTCTGTCTTGTAAAGGAATGATCAAGAAAGAGGTTGGTGGCCTTTCGCTAGTAGTTGGGGTGGTAGGTGGTATATTGTAGAGGATGAAAGCATGAGCCCTGGAGTCAGACTCACATGGAATCCTGGCTGTGTGCCTTGAGTCAGGACACCTCACTGGTTGGAGCCCCTGTTTCCTAATCAATAAAATCAGGATAATTACAGAGCCCAGCACACAGAGCACAGTGAGGGTGAAATGAGCCCATACATTCAAGACTTGGTAGCACAGTGTCTGGCCACCAACAGATGGGTGCTGATAGACTCAGAGAGGGGAGAAGAGCCAGGGGCCAGGCACAGCAACAGCTCTGTGGTTGCTGAGTCCGGCAATGCTGAGAAGGATGGCAGTTGCATCCACGTTGTGTGGAAGCAGCACTTCAGCAATCCAAACAGAGCAGCAGACCCCAGGAATGGGAGTCTGACGCCCCCGAGGCCCCACATCCTGCTGTGTTTGGCGGTATGGGGATGGCTGGGGACTGATATCCCAGCTGGTGCAGGCCCAGGGATCTTCTGGCAGGTCTCTGTAAGTGCCTGGTGCATCTGGTGACTTCAAACAAAGGGCACCAGTGACAGCGTTGGTCCAACAGGAAAGAAGGCCTTTGGCAAGAGGGCCTCTTTGTTTGCTCCTGTGTGTGTGCACCTTGTCTGCCCTGACAGGCGGAACTCACTGTTTGTTTTGTGGAACAAAGAACAGGCCTCGTTAGATTGGAGTGGGAACTGGGGGCAGGTAGGGGGAGCAGGGTGGGGCGGGTGGTGGCAGGGTTCCTGTTGTGACAGCACACTCCAGGAGAAGCGTCTGGCATGTGTCTCTTGGCCTCAGCAGGGGAAAAAGAATAAAGACACATTCTCATGCTTCAACTTTGATCCTGCAAAGTAAAAGTCTGCAGACAAGGGTCTTGAGTGGCCTGAACCTCTTCACTCTCTGCTTCTTATTTAACATAAATAGGAAAATTATTGGAGCTAGCTGCTTACCACAGAATGAGGTGAAAGAGAGGGCTACAGTTTCCAGAAATGCAGCAGTTCCACAGGAATGGAGGGTGTGGGTGGGCCAGGCAGAGGGGCAGGCCCTGCGGAATCTGGAAATGGTGGCTTCAGCTCAGGCCACAGGAGCTGAGCATGTATGCTGTGCAGCAGAGATGCGGGCTTGCACCCATGCACACACGGGCGGCGGCCTGTAGGAGTCCTGCAGGGAAGAAGCCCAGCTGTTGTATAGGGAGGCATTTCTTTCTCACATTAGTGGGCACTTCCATTTTCCTGGTGCCCTCAGTGTCACGCTGAGAAGAGTGTGAAAGACATTCTCTGTACACTTGAGGATCAGAGGTGGGGATGGTCTAGATGGAAAACAGAATTGAGCAGAAAGCAGCCCGTCCACAGGTACCACACTGTGGCATGTGCTGTTTTTTTTCCATCTGCACTGCCTTTCCCTTCCCTCTGTGTGTGGCACCAAGCACTCTGCAGCTTTACCCGTCTCACCCAAATAGAGTTAAGGCTCCCTCACCTCCTCTTCATAGCATTGGGTTCTTGTCTCCACTATAGAATATATAGTCTTGTGTTGTGCTTTGTTTTTTCACATCAGTTGCTCATACTTAGGTTGATTGGGGAAACAGTTTTTTTTTTTTTTTTTTTTGGAGACCAGGGTCTCACCCTGTTGCCCAGGCTGGAGTGCAGTAGCTTGATCATGGCTCACTGCAGCCTCAATCTCCCGGGCTCAAGCGATTCTCCCACCTCAGCCTCTCAAGGAGCTTTTGTAATGACAAGGTTTTGCCATGTTGCCCAGGCTGGTCTCAAACCCCTGGGCTTAAGTGATCCATCCACCTTGGCCTCCCAAAGTGCTGGGATTACAGGTATGAGCCCCTGTGCCCAACCTGTTTTTGTTTGTTTATTTGTTTTTTGTTTGTTTGTTTTTTCTTTTTTTGAGTATTTACTTGTGGCCAGACACTGTATTAAGCCTATGAGCAAAAATGGATGCATGCTGTCTATCCTAAAACGTTTACAGAAAACATAAGAAAAAAATCATACAAGTAAATAAAAATCGCACCCATGACAAGGCTTATGGAGGAGAGGGGCTAGGATTTGACCTCATTTGTGTGGTCAGGGACCATTTCCTTGAGGAGGTGAGGATTGGTAGAGAGGAGGCAGAGTCTTCAGGCAGACACGCAGAGGCCCTGGGGTGGGAGGAAGTATGGTCCAGGAGGAACTTTTTTTTAAAAGCCAGTAGAAGGATGGGGTGGGTGAGGAGGAGGAGTGTGGTGTGAGATGGGGCTGGAAGGGTACGTAGATGATACAGACATTGGGGACTGAATTAAGGAGATTTGTTTTTTATTTTTGCGTTTATCCTTAAGAGCGCAAGAAGGCCACTGAAGCATTTGGTGGAGGGTGACATGATCTGATTTGGGATTCAAAATAATTTCTCCTGCCCCAGTGTGTGGGGATGGATTGGAAAGGGCAGAAGAGGGGATGTGGGTAGACCAGCTTGGAGGGTCTTGCTGTTGCCCAGGAAGGAAACGTTGGCAGCTTGGAGTCGCATGGCAGTGGTAGAGGTGGAGAAAGGAAGAAAGAACTGAGATAAACTTGGGAACTCATGAAATAAAGTTAATGGCTTTTTTTTTTTTTTTTTTTTTTTTGGAGACGGAGTCTCACTGTGTCACCCAGGCTGTAATGCAGTGGTGTGATCTTGGCTCACTGCAACCTCTGGCTTCCAGGTTCAAGTGATTCTCCTGCCTTGAGTAGCTGGGATTACATGCTTGTGCCACCACACCTGGCTAATTTTTGTATTTTTAGTAGAGGCGGGGTTTCACCATATTGGCCAAGCTGGTCTGAAACTCCTGACCTCAAGTGATCTGCCTGTCTTGGCCTCCCAAAGTGCTGGGATTACAGGCGTGAGCCACCGTACCTGGCCTACATGGCTTTTCTTATTATGTAACTTCTCAGAGTCTTTAATATGTGGGTTAATGTAAATTGTGATTCTCTGAGAAAGGACTCGACCACAAGAATTTTCCACAGTGTGACCGGGCCGCAAATCTTTTTTCAAAGAATCTTCCACAATATTTCATTCCATAGCATACTTCTGGGGAAATACTGCATTACATAATTGATTCTTTTTTGGGTACTTTCCACAGATAGTTGTAGATATTATACCAAGGTCTGTAATTGGGAATGGGCCTGACCCAGTACAAAGAGGAATGTGTTTGACACAGGGTTTGAATTGAAGCCTTGGGCAGATCAGATGGAATAGGTAGACTGAATTCAATTTAGGAAGGTTTTGGAGGCCAGGCTGAGGGGAGTTTGGATGCATTTTGTTGTGTGTTGGGAGTCGTTCTGGGCTCTGAGCTGTGTCATGGTGGAAGTACCATCTTGGCTAGGTCATTCTGGAAGATACCTGGTAAATGGGTTGGGTGGTGAGGTGTGTATTGGAGTTGGGCAGCCTTGCTTTCTAGCAGTGACTGGATGAGAACCTGGGTGTGGGGAGTGGGAATGGGGAGTGAATCTTTGGGGTTGAGAAGGAAGTGTGAGATGTTTTCCTTCATACCCTTTTCCTTTGGTGGGTGGCCACTGTCAACAGCTGAAAACAAGAGAGGCTCTTCTGTGTTTTTCTGAGGCCAGATAAGCATAAGGAGACCCTTGCGGCCCGTGGGTTCCTGTGCAGCACTGGCAGAGAGGCCGTGTGTTGGGAATGGTGCTGCCATTGTCAGGGAGTGGGAGAGGAATTACTTACGTTAATAGATGAAGCCCGAGGAGGAGGTTAAGTTGGCATCAAGGCCATCAACTTCCCGCCACGGCTGAGATGTCCCTGTGTGACTTTGAACAGGCCACTTAACCTCTCCAGGCCCCAGTTTGCTCATCTGGAAAATGAGAGGCTAGAACGAACGTCAGGCCCCTCCTGAGCTGGAATTCCAGCCATCTCGGGGAACTGAACATTGTTAATTAGGGCAATCATTTATCAGGGTCAGCAAGAGCCTGTGCTCCCAGAGAACTATCAGTTTTGTGAAAAATGTGGATTGAGAATGAAGACTTTGGGAAAAAAAAGCGTGGAGCGTTCAGTTCACCCATTCCTCTGAAATTCAGGCATCTTTTCTGAGGCAAAGATGTAACAAAGTGAGGCCGACTTTAGCCAGGACAGACTTTTTAGCAATGCAAAGGTAGACAGCATCCTATGAATGAATGAATCGGCTAACTGAATGCTTATTTTAGGAACAGAGGGCGCTAACATTTTATTTTTATGTGAGGTGTTTGGAAGTTGAAGGAATTTTCTCACAGAGACATTGTTATGAATTGAGGCTAGGTTCTCAGGCCAGCTAACAATAGTTGATTTAGCCCATGACACTGCTAAAATAGTGTGTATTAACTATAAAGTATAGAATACATGTGTGGTGGGAGAATGCGTGTGTATGCTTGGGGAGTATCACAGGGTATTAAATACCTAGACACATAAAAACCTCTATCAAGCTGATTAATTCAGTAACCTTGGATCGTGATTGTGCTATGTACCAGGTGCTGGGCTGGGCACAGAGTGGGATGGAGGCCCTGCCCAGAAGGGCTCCTGGTGTGGTTTTCAGCCTGTGGGCTCTCAACTCTGGCTGCCTGGGTTGGCTCCTGGCTCTGCTGCTTATACCTATGAGCCCCTAAGCAAGTGACTTACCTCTCAGTACCTCAGTTTCCTCACTTAGAAGCAAAGGATTATAACAGTTAATAGCAGTGCCTCCCTCAGCGGGAAGCCGAAGAGAATTCAGTGAGATGACTCATGGAAAGCACATAGCTGGTGTCTGGCATAGACTGAGCACTCAGAAAATCTAGTGATGCCTGCCTAGGCAGAGAGCCCTGTCCTCAGGGGGTGCAACCAGCAACTTACCTGCGGCAATGTGGGGAGTTAGGCTTATTGTCCAGTTCCCCAGGCATAGCCTGGCATGGGATGGGCTGAGAGGTGGAGACGGGGTGTTGGCCATAGAGGGAGAGAAGAAGTGGGGAGCAGGAGGAGGGTAAGGGAAAAGGGTGTTGTCTGATTTTCCCCCAGAAGTCAAGGTACAATTTGCCAGCAAAAGGGATGGGGTTGGGGCAAGAGGTGACCTCTAGGAGCCATCCGAGAGCTGCACAGGAGCCAGAGGGTTATTGGAGGCCCCTAGATGGGGAGGAAAGAGGAAAGGGACTGGCAGCTAAGGAAGAGATGGAAGCAGCAGTGGGACCCCAGCAGCAGTGCCCTGACTGCCACCGTGGATCCTGCAGCGGCACTCACAGGGGGGAAGTTCTGGGAAGGGTCCCATGGGTGTCTGTGTGTCTAGAGGTGGTGGGGACTTCCTTTGGTTGGTAGTCTTTAGTTCAAGCCCCAGGTTTTATCTCTAGCCTCTGTGTGGGGTCTGACTATTCTGTTCTCTGGGAGAATGTTCAGGAGCCTAGAGCAGTTGGTAATCAGGATGCTGATAGGCCCAACTTGCAGGGAGCGTTGTTTTGATTTTGGCCCCCATGCTTTGAGAGAAGACTTAGTACAACCTGCCAGTGAGTGAGGAAGGACCTTGGACAGTTTAGCCTAAGAGGAAAAGAAAGACAGGATGGTATGAGGGTGGGTTTTAAGTTTTTGGAAGGCTCTCGTTTGGAGGAAGGACACACTAAACCATCCTCAGTTGGTCTCAGTGATATTGTAGGAATGCAGACATCAGCTCAGTGTGAAGGAGGAGTTTCCATGCCTGAGAGCTGTGGGAAAATGGAAAGGCTTGTTTTGAGAGGCAGTGTGTTTCCAGCTCCCGGGGCAGAGGCTGAATGGCTGCTTATCTTCCACAGATATGGGGGAAGGTGGAAGGAAGTGTTAGAAATTCAAATTAGGGTTTCAACCTGAGAAAGTTGGTGTCTTAAATAATGCTGATGTTCTGTGACTTTATGAATGGGTAAGATGAATGAAATACAGGCCTGTTTTAATTTATCTGGAGAAATGGAAACTTTGGTAGGTCAGAGAGAGGAAATAACCTTTATCTGCCATGCAGATAATTGCAGAGATGGCTATGACCTTAGAGACCTCAGACCAGTGTGCTCATGAGCCTGTCTTCAGGCAGTGATTATTTAGATTTCACTTATGAACATGTTGAACTTTCTCTGGGACTTTAAACTCTTTAAAAATGGCACTGTACCTTGTTCAAGTTGTATATTCAGTGACTGTAGATAATCAATGGTGGATACTTCAATCCTTAATTGGATTCTCTTCTCTGACATTTTATAGTCATGGAAATGAGGCTCGGAGAAGTTGTGACTGCCTCAGGTCACAGACCGACCCAGGGGCTGCCCTGGGACCAAGACACCCACTCCTGCTCAGCCTCCAGTGTTCCTTCTATTTAGTCCACTTTCAGAGGTCCCAGTGCAGTTGGAATATGTCAGTACCAGGCATAGCATTTCATTAAGCTACCGCCTAAGGACGCACCATGTGGGATGCTTTTAGCGTGTGACTAGGGATTTTGTGGCACATGGCAGATTTTCCTAGATGTGAAGTCTATTACTCTGCAGAGCCTCGCTGTAACACCATTAATTGTCAAAGCCAGGGCCAGGCGGGGGCTGCCAGGCTCTCCAGATCCTCAATAGTTAGGTCAGTAGGAGCCTTGGCAGGGGCCTTCCTCCTACTCCTGATGAGGTGGCCCCAGGGATGGGCCAAGTCTCTGTGACTCATACCCAAGAGGGCTTCTCAAAATCACGAGTCACCTGGGTTGATGTGGGTATCTTAGGGGTCAGGCTGGGGTCCCCAAGGTCAGAGTACCCTGCCAGATGCAGTGCTTGTGGTCCAGTAAATGACAGCAGGTGACCTGGCTAGGGGTGGAGGGAGTGGGACTCTCATCAGATAGGTCCTGGAGGGCAACCTGAAGCTCAGAGTGGACCAGTTGAGGACTGGGCCCCCTTGTGTGTGGGGCAGGTGTTGCAGCTTCATCAGCCTGCGGTGTTCCAGGGCTCGCTCAGGGCAGGCTGGCTAAAGGCTTGGAGTGGAAGGGGTGTGTTATTAATCCATTTTCATGCTGCTGATTAAGACATACCTGAAGCTGGGAAGAAAAAGAGGTTTAGTTGGACTTAGAGTTCCACATGGCTGGGGAGGCCTCAGAATTATGGCAGGAGGCAAAAGGCACATTTTACATGGGGCGGCAGCAAGAGAAAATGAGGAAGATACAGAAGCGGAAACCTCTAATAAACCCATCAGATCTCGTGAGACTTGTTCACTATCATGAGACTAGGATGGGAAAGACTGGCCCCCATGATTCAATTACCTTCCCCTGGGTCCCTCCCACAACACGTGGGGATTCTGGGAGATACAATTCAAATTGAGATTTGGTGGGGACACAGCCAAATCATATCAGGGTGGTATGGGTATTCACGGTTATTGAGCAGCTGCCCCCTGTGCCCTGCGTGGCATTGTGCTGAGTACGCTGGGAGTGGCATGGCATTGCTCTTCCAGTTTACAGAGCAGGAAACAGAGCCTCCGGGTTCACTGCTGATCATTGATGAAAGCAGGGTGATGATGATGATAATGATGATGAGGGTTAGCAGAATCACTCCTGTCTACTCAGTGCACAGTGCACGCCTGGCCACATGCTATGTACTTTACACACATTACATTTCATCCTCACCACCACCCTGTATGTCAGGTACTATCATTGCCCTTTCAAAGTGGAGGAGATTACAGCTCAGTAAAAGGTAGTTGACGGGCTCAGAGTTGCATGGTTGATGGGCGGCTGAGCCAGGATTTAAACTCAAGTCTATCTGACTCTGGGAGCCCAGGCTCTTTCCTTGTTACAGCCCCACTTGTCCTTGGGAATGAAGCTTGTGATGAACTCCAGATTTTGTTTTTAATGGATGTGAGCCAGGTGGGCTGGATCTGCAAGTATAATAGTAGGTCTTTACGTGATGTGATAGGCTAGATGATGTTGCAGTAATAAACAGCCTCCAAAGCTCTGTAGCTTAACGAAGAAAAGCTTATTTCTTGCTCATGCTTCACATCCAGTCATGGCAGGGTTGGAGTTGGTTGCTTTGTTCCTGAGTCCCCGGGGGACCCAGGTGTTGGTGATCTCTGCAGTGGGGTAGGAGGAGGATATGGTAGATCATTAATGGGCTCTTGGAGCTTGTACCTGGACATGTCACCTGCCACTTCTTGCATTTCCTTGGCCAAAGCTAATCACATGGCCACTCCTGACTTCAAGGGGGCAGGGAAGCACATTGCATGTGCCTGGAGGAGAGAAGAACTGGAAATATTAGGTGAACAGCACTAATGACCCTCACAGTGATTCATGGGGCCTGTTTGGTCAGCACCCCAAGATGGTTCCTTTTTAAAACAGATGAGGGCTGGCCCTAGAGCAGTCCTGGGGAAGGTCTTGGATTAGACTTGGTTACTCCATCCCTCCCACTCTGTCTGTCCCAGCTCTTTTGAGGGAGGGGGTGGCATTTTATTCTCCATCAGAAAAGGAGGGACCGAGTGAGAGTCTTGCCAACAGCATGGCTGGGAAACAATTGCTCTAAGAGGACGGGGGCCAAAAAGTCACCACACCTCCTTCAAGGCCTCTGTATAGAAGGAAATCTGTGATTTATGCTCTGTAACTTCTGGGTGGTACACAGTAATTCCTTCCTGGACACTGTTTGCTGTGTATATAGCGACTCATCCTTTGACATTTCACACCATTATCTTTCATTTTTCTTGATCCGTGCAGTGAATGGATCCGTAACGCCACCCTGTTTTTAAGAAAGCTGAGCTGTGATTTAGAGAAGTTGTTACTTGCACAAAACCTCACAGTGGTCAGGTGACTATACCAGGATCAGGACGTTTCTATTCTGGCCCCATTCCCCTTGCCAGTCAGTTAGAGCTGGCTATTGACCCAGGTAGCCTGGCCTTGCAAGGAGGAACCAGGGCACTCTGGGCTTTGTAGGAGCCTGGTCTGCTCAGCTCTGTCTCAGGGAACAGCCTACTACTTTAAAGGAGGAAATAATAAAGGTCACTCTTGTCAGGTGTCTTAACCCTGTGGGTACCAGAGTCAGCCTAAACGCTTGTAGCAGTCTTGGCCCAGGCTCTTGCCTACCGAGACCATGTCCTTTTCTTTCTCCAGTCCCTGCTTAGCATCGCTCCTGTGGCCATGGAAGTGTGGGGCAAACGGAAAAGTTGACAGCTTTCTATACGGAAATTTGGTCTTGTTTGGGGCTGCAAGGAAGCACTAATGAGAAGCATCCATTGGATTGAAAGTTCTTGGCCTCAGCATTTGTATTTAAGTTCTGAAAATGGCATGATTTTTATAATTCAGGAGAGACCCTTTCAGCATTTATGGATATATGGTAGCAAAATGGGAAAGTTGAAGGATCCGTTTTCACAAATAACAAGACTTCCGGGCAGGGGTGCAGGGCAGAACTGTGGACTGGAGTAGGCCTGTGAGCTTCCAGATTGAGCCTTTGGCTGCTTGTTTATCTTCTTTCTTCAAAAATCCTGTTGAACCTGTTGGACATGTGTGTGCTGACAGCAAGCTGATTTGTAATCATTTGTAAAGCCATGTGGTCTGTCTGTGACAGCGACTCTAACTGGGAGTCTAACGCTTGCATTTACCCGGTTCCCACCCCCCAATATTTTCCTAGTGACGCAGAGCGCTGGAAGCAGGGCATTGTCTGGGTGGAGTCCCTTCCGCCAGCCAGCAGCTCCTTGAAGGCGAACGGCACTGCAGGGGCATGTTGGGTTCTATAAACAGAACTTTTACATGCTGGTCACAAGGTTAGCTTAGACTGTGGCTCTCATGGTGAGGGAAGTGGTGTCTTATAAATATGATGTGAGGCTCCTTTTATCTCCTGGAAACTGGGGAACATTTTGTAAGAATTTTTCTAAGGAATGGTGTTAAAAAAACAAAGCAAAGGCACAATGGAAGGCCTAAGGCTGTGTTTCATAGAAGCCCCTGAAATGCAGTCTTGGTGAGTGTGTGGATGTAGCTGAAGCCCCCAGCTGGCAGGTTCGGGGCCTCCTTTTCCCTTCCCTGGCTGGCTCTGGGGAATTTTCCCTCAAGCTGCTGCCCCCACTTGGAAGAAACTGGTAGCAACTAGCAGAGGTCACAAGCAAGGAGTCAGAGAACCGGGTTCAAGTCCTGGGTGTGTGACTGTTGTCTACCCAACCTTAATGTATTGTGGTCATTGACTGAGGTCTTACTATGTGTCTGAAACATTGCTAGGTGCTTTGCATAATGTCTCAATTCATTTTTAGAATAATGAGAAAACTGAAGTTTCGAGAAGAACAAGCAGGACCAATTCAGGTCTGCTGACTCCAAGGCCTGCACTCTTTTTGTTTTCTTTTGTTTTTATTAAGATAACATTCATATAACACAAAATTCATTTTAAGCATTTTACAGTGTGCAGTTCAGTGGTTTTTTATATATTCACAATTTGGGTAGCCACCATCGCTATCTAATTCTAGAACATTTTCATCACCCTAAATGAAGCCCCTTTCATCTGAATTCCCCCTTTCCCTCATCCTTTGTCAACCACTAGTCTACTTTCTGTCTGTATGGATTTGCCTATTCTGGACATTTTGTATAAACAGAATCATACCATATGTCAAGACCTGAACTATGGAGCATGTTGTGTTTCGGAAAAATCAAATCACTTAACTGCTCTACATCTATTTAGTTGCAGTGTGTTGTGGTCAGAAGGATTTTTATTTCCTTGTTGAGTATCTCTGTAGGTTTATTGTGTGTCAAATGCATTCTGTGAGCAAATATGAGGATTTTATTGTCGTAACTTTTGTCTTGGACCTATATTTTAATTACAGGCCACTCTGAGAGTGAATCTTAACTAGTTTTTTTAAAGGGAAGCATGTTGACTTATTTCCTAAGGACATTATGAAGAAAACCAGAGACATTTTTAACCTATGTAATCACTGAGTTGCCATAGGAAAAACTGGGTAATTGAATATGATTAAAAGGGAGTATCTTTTAGGTGGTTCTATAAGCAAGAAAATTGCCACCAGGGCAACAGAAATACAGGATGTAAATAAAATCTTCATTAAGCAAGGTATATGTAAACTCTACAAGTACGGCAGGTTAATGACCATAAGGAGAGAATGGCCCTCACCTCTGGATGCTGTGGCAGGGACATTGTTACAGATGATCTGGTTTAAATGGCAGCATTTGAAAATAAAATGTAAACATGAGGCAGTAGGAGTAGAACCTCTAGTCATCTTAGCTCACTGAATTCCAGGACTACCTAATGCTGCCTGACTTCTTCAAGTTCATTCTAGAATCCCAGACTGTTAGAGCTGGCCAGGACATTGAAACAAGATAGACTGACCCTTTTGTGTTGCAGAGGGGAGAAAGTGAAGGCAGATAGAAGTTAAATGATTTGTCTGTCGTCATCATACATGAATTGTTAGCGGGATCTGGTCTAGAATTCACATCTTTTAACAAAAAGAAATTGAATATTGATCTGTATGATTTTTGGCATTGGAATCAACTCTTCCTTGGAAATATTTGGTACCTGGGTGATGAATACCCTCTACTTCTTTGCCACTTCCTTTGCCACATTTATTTCCATCTCTCCCATGCACTATTTATTTGTGCCCCTCCACCCTCCCCCCGCCCCACACACACACAAACAAAAAGAGCTTATCACTGTATAACCAACTGAGTTCTGAACTGTAGATGTGTTGGGAGAGATTGGTGTTGGCAATTTTGGTAAATACAGTGAGAGAAAATTTGGAAATTCTGATGTTCTTCTTGGAGCATGGGATTTAAAAATATTTTGCAATGGCTCAACCCCATCTTGCCCAAGAAATGGTAAGTAGGCAAATCAAAAAGGAGGAAGGAAGGAACCCATCACTTTACATTACTAAAATAATTTCAACTTTTTAAAGATTTGTATCTCTTTTTTGATTTTCTGATCTGTTTAGGTATTACTGATTATACCTTCTTTAAGGATGTGAATTGAACTCAGAGGGGGCAAGAGCTTGCAGAAGGAAGGTTGCAATGTGAGCTGGCTGCAAAGCCTGCAGTAGCGCACAAGCGGCCTAACGCCAAATCCCAGGCACTGAGAATCCTACCAAGAAGCATAAAGGATTTGACCAGTTAGGAGCTCAGCTCAAATCTCTGCAGAAAGGCCCTGAGAGCTGAGAAGGGTCCAATCAGCCTAGACCTCACTACTCGAAGGGGTATCCACAGACCTGCATCATTGGCATCACCTGGGAGCTTGTTAGAAATGCAGAGTCCTGGGTCCCACTCCAGACTTCCTGAGTCAGAATGAGCGTTTTAATGAGATCTCTAGGTAATTCATTAAAATTTGAGAAGCCCAAGATTAGAGACCTTATGCCAGGGAAATTAACAAATGATTGGGAGAAGGGATGAAGTGTGCTAGTTAAGACTAAAATATATGCTGTTTCTGTACCTGAATAGTTGACCTTTGCTCAGGTGAGGGGGAAGCTGAAGACACAATATGGGGGACTTGCTTTCCTAACACTTCAGAGTGAGGAAGGGACGCATTATTGTGACCCGGGCCCTATTGTGCAAGTGAAAGCAGACGTCCACAGACATGATGGTGAGAAGACAGTAATTTCCCAGCAGATGAGCTGACCTAGGGGATGCTTCTAGTACCTCTCAGCTGGGATCCTGCAGCCCCAACACACTGGAGCGTGGGGGTGGCCAGCGAGATGGAACTGACACCAACATTCCATTCTCTGGATGTCCCGGCCTCCACGCCTCAGCTGTTTTCACTCATTCAGCAAAAAAGAGAGACAGAAAGGAAACAAAAGCCGGCTGTGGCAGAGGCCGTGTTAATTAGTAAAACCTGATATGTCTGTGTACTGGGTCGGCACTAGGACAAGCAGGAGGCTCTTGGCCTATGTGGTTACTTGTTGTCCATCAGGAGCGAGCCTGTCCAAGGTGTCGGGTCCGTGTTCCTACAAGGAGCGCTCCTCAGCTTCCTGAGTCAGGCAGAACATGCAAATGGGGCCATTTATGGTGCCATGGGGGGTTTGGTACTCATCTCTTGTTTCTCCAGGGGCCAGTGTGAACACTTCTAAATGTGGGTGTTAACCCATGAACATGTGGAAAATGTGCCAGCCTGCAGGCAGGTGATTATTTGCAATGAATGGCTTGATGGCAAAGAGTGGGATTTCACTTTCTTGCATATGTGTGATACAATTGTTATATTTCTTTTTTCCTTCTTTTAAAATTGGTAATTGGAGCATATGGCTAAAAGTCAACTATTTTTAAAGTAATGGAAATTTTGCAGTTCAGCATGTTGAAGCATGCTGTTTGGCTGTTTTAGAAGAATGTTTTTCTTAGATGCCATCGGTTTACCACACCACCCTTGACTGGGAAATGGGGCTAAGATTTTAATAAATTAGCCAACCAAGAAACCTGACTTACCCTTGAAATAAGATGGGTGTCATCTTCTTTGTGCAGTGTAGTCGCCCTGGAAGGACTATTAGAAGATCTCAATTCTCTGTTTTGAGAAGTCTAGGCTTGATTTTTTTAGCTGGTAAAAAATGTGCAGGTAGTGGCCTGAAGCCAAGTGTGACGATTTGGAACCACAGCCGGTAAGCTGTGTGAAGTCCTTCCCTTTTGGGAAGCAGATGTGAGTTTAGTGGACCTAACAGTAATAACAAGGGCTATGACGAGAGCTGTAATCCCATTTAACTAGATATTTACAATAATGTACTAGGTGGGCAACTTCATCCCCCTTCTTCAGATAGGAAACTAAGGCTCTGTGAGGCCAGGTCCAGTGGAAGGCCCAGCAAGAGGCACAGCCTGGGTTTGGATCTGATCTGGCTGACTTCAGAGCCTTTGCTGTTTCCTCTAAACAGACAGAGAAGCATTTTTAGAAGTATAAATGAGAATTCCATTCTGGAGGTGATTTATGTCTGTGTTAGGATGGGACATGTGTCTGTGTGCCGGGTGGGCAAGGAGGAGAGTGCTTGGCAAAGTCACAGGGGAAAAGTGACACCACTTCCTGGAATACCAAGAACACAGTATCCTTAATATAAAAAGAGACATAGTAGAATGAAACATGCTATGGTGTTGAATGAAAAATTTACATTCATTTATAATGGAAAAACCCAAGCCTTGAAAGCAGTTCTTCGCAGTCCCTTGGATGTCTCTCATCACCCCACACTGGACTTCTCTGCCTTAGGGTTTCTGGAGTGGAAAAGTTGGGGAAGCACTCGTGTAGTTGCAAGTCCTGGGCCATCTGGGCCTTTTCCACTCTCCCAGCTATATGTGGTGAAAAGGAATTGCTTAACTATGTAAACTGGCGTGGGAGAGTTGGCGCTATGCTCTGTTTGTACAGCTGCTCCTGGGGCTCCGGCTCCGCTATCTTTCACGGCCCAGAGGTACCCATGAAAAGACAAAGGAAGGGTTTCCAGAGGCTGGAGGAGGTGAGAACTTGGCCGAGGACGTGGGTTGTTTTCTGAGTTCCTGTGACCATTGATGGTCAGTCTTTTAAAAGAAAATGTATATTTATTTTTAAAAATGGTAATACATGTTGAATTTCCATGGTTCAAAATTTAAAAATTGCCAGAGGGTTTGCAATTGAAAACTTCCTTCTGCTGTTTTCCACATAGCCCCAGTTTCCTGCCTCATAGTCAGTCATTGTTACCAGTTTCTCATGTAGCCAACTAAAAACATCTTTATCCCTCTTACCTTCTTTTTATACACACAGAAGCATGCTATATCTACTAATCTGTCCCATGCTTCTTCCTCACTTTCTTGTTCTTTTTTTCTCCCAGATGCACAAGATACTATTGACCTGATGTAATTTATTTAACTAGTACCTAATTGGCCTTTAGTAGTGTGCAATCTTTTGCTATTAAGGTACTGCAGTGAATAATCTCATTTATATGTCATTTTGCACACATATGGGATAAAATGATAGACGATAAGTTTCTGGGTCAAAAGAAATGTACATTGTAATTTTGATGGATACTACCAAATTGCCATCCAGGAGCCTCGTACCAGTTTCTAGCCCCACCAGCAATCGATGAGAATACGTTTCCTCACATTACACATACTGTGTTATCAAACCTTTTGATGTGGCTGCCTCATAGCTGAAAAAATAACCTTGGTGTAATTTTTAGTGATGATCCAATCTTGAAAAATGATAGAAAATGGCACAGTTGTTACTTTTGCCTTTGTGGTGATGAATCTGGTGCGGTGTTTTCAACTTTTTGGAGTGGCAGAGGAATCGACTACCTGTACAAGTGAGTAATAGCTAAAATATTGAAATGCAAATCCATGTAATTCTTTTAAAACAAGACATCACGTAGGTGGTAAGATACGGACAAATGAATTATTAAAAACTGTGTGCTTTTTGGTTTTATTTATGATGGTGCTTCCTCTCTAATATTGTTATAACATATAGGACTTGGGATCAGAGAATCGTAGAAACATAATGCCAGCAACTTCAATGACTTTAGCAGTACTTGTCCCCAGGGAACTTCCACTTGAGTTGCTCTTTACCAGCTCTGTCTTGGTGCAGTTCTGCTGCCTTTGCCACATCCATGAGACACAAAGTCTCATCTGGAAAGATGATACATAGATCCAAGCATCAGATCACTTCAGAGTTGGGAGAACTTTGAAGGTCCTCTCTGCCATGTTTCTTTTCTTCACTGGGAGGTCATGGAGAAGAACTTACATGTAGTACTTGCCTTGAACAAAAGGTTAGGATTTTTATTTTTATTTTTGATTCCATTACTACTGCAAGTGAATTAGGTATGGTTTCAGGAAAGGAAAGTTTGTTCTATGGGCTTTATATAAAAGGTGAGCTGGCCATGTGGGGGTGTGGGGGCATGAAAATGGGAGAGGACTTTTGGGAAGATTTGCTAACATAGGCTCATGTTAAATTATTTGTAAGCATAATGTGAAGACATAGAGAAAAACATAGTATCGCTTTACAAATAATCAAAAAAGGACTAAGTGTCTCAATACACACAAGGTCTCCTAGAGTCATACTCAGCCCATGCCACTGAAAGTTAAGATTGGAATAAATCCCTGCCAGCCATAAGCTGAGTGAAGAACTTGCATGCCAAGTTCTAAACATCACAATTCAGTCCAGGTTCCCTTATCTAACACGCTAGGGTGCTAGTTAGGCCCCAATCCAGGTTAAATCAGGTCTGGTTTTCAGTATCCTCATTCTTCCTGAGATTTCCGGGTGAATGAAAGGGTGCTGACCACACATCTAAGTGTTCTTTGCTTTACTGAAAGCTTTGGGCAGATGGTCTTGAGCCTCTTCTTCCCCTCTCTAACACCTCAGCAAACCTCCAGACCACGGGGGTAAATGCATCATCTCTCTCCACCATCCCTACTCCAGCCCCAGGTTTCCTGTAACTTTTGTTTACCCTTTTTTTTTTTAAACAGCTGTATTAAGATATAATTCATATAGCATATAATTCATATAATTCAACTATTGAAATTGTACAGTTCAGTGGTTTTAGTATTCACACAGTTGTACAACCATCACCACAGTCAATGTTAGAACATTTTCCTAACCCCTAAAAAGAAATTCCATCGCCATTAGCAGTCACTCCTGGCCCCTTCCCCATATCCCTCCCTGTACCTCCCTGTAGCAGCCCAGGGCAATCACTAATCTATTTTCTGTCTCCGTAGATTTGCTATTCCAGACTTTCATATAAATGTCAATATGGGTGTGTGTGTGTGTGTGTGTGTGTGTGTGTGTGTGTGTGTGTTTGTGTGATTGGCTTCTTTAGGATAATATGTTCAAAGTTCATCCATGTTGTGGTGTGTGTCAGTATTTCATTCCTTTGAATGGCCAAATAATATTCCATTCTATGGATATGCCACATTTTGTTTACCCATTCACTGTTTGATGGACATGTAGATTGCTTGCACTTATTGGATACTGTGAATAATGCTGCTATAAACATTCATGTACAAGTTTTTCTGTGAATATATGTTTTTTCTTTTTTTTGAGATGGAGTCTCACTCTTGTCGCCCAGCCTGGAGTGCAATGGTGTGATCTTGGCTCACTGCAACCTCTGCCTCCTGGGTTCAAGCGATTCTCCTGCCTCAGCCTCCTGAGTAGCTGGGATTACAGGCACCTGCTACCATGCCTGGCTAATTTTTTGTATTTTTAGTAAAGATGCGGTTTCACCATGTTGGCCAGGCTGGTCTCAAACTCCTGACCTCAGGTGATCTGCCCGCCTCGGCCTCCCAAAGTGCTGGGATTACAGGCTTGAGTCACTGTGCCCGGTCCCTTGTTTTTATTTCTCTTAGCTATATAGCAAGGAGTGAAATTGCTAGGTCCTACCGTAACTCTGTGTAACATTTTGAGGAACTGGCAAACTGTTTTCCAAAGTAGCTGCACCATTTTACATTCCTACCAGCAATGTATAAGTGGTCTAATTCCTCTAAACTCTCCCCAATACTTGTTATTATCTTTCTTTTTTATTATAGCTATCCTAGTGGATGTGGAGTGGTATCTCATTATGGTTTTAATTTGCATTTCCCTAATGACTAATGATGTTGAATATGTTTTCATATGCATGTTGGATTTTATATACTGTTCGGATCCTTTCCCCATTGTTTATTTATTTATTTTTTGAGATGGAGTCTTGCTCTGTCACCCAAGTTGGAGTGCAGTGGTCCCATCTCGGCTCACTGCAATCTCTGCCTCCCGAGTTCAAACAATTCTCTCGCCTCAGCATCCCAATTAGCTGGGATTACAGGTGTGCACCACCACACCTGGCTGATTTTTGTATTTTTAGTAGAGATGGGGTTTTATCATGTTGGCCAGGCTGGTCTTGAACTTCTGACCACAAGTGATCCGCCTGCCTGGGCCTCTTAAAGTGCAGAGACTATGACGTAACCCACCGCACCTGGCCCCATTTTTAAGTCTTTTTGTTACTGAGTTAAAGAATCATTTATATATTCTGGATATGAGTCCTTCATTAGATATATGACTTTTATTTCCTTTCATTCTGGTCGTTGTCTTTTGACTTTCTTGGTGGCATCATTTGCAGCACAAAAGTTTTAAATTTTGAAGAAGCTTAATTTATCTGTTCGTTCTTTTGTCACTTGTACTTTTGGTGTTGTAGCTAAGTAGCCTTTGCCTAACCCAAGGTCACAAATACTTGTTTCTGTGTTTTAAGAGTTTTATAGTTTTAGATCCTACATTTGGGCCTATGATCCATTTTGAGTTAACTTTTGTGTATGGTATGAGGAAGATGTCTAACTTCATTTCTTTTTCATGTGGATATCCAGTTGTAGTGGCACCATTTGTTGAAGGCTATTCTTTCCCCCATTGAATTGTCTTGGCACCCTTGTTGAAAAGCAGTTGGCTATACATGTAGGGGTTTATGTCTGAACTCCCAATTCTGTTTCATTGATTTATATGCCTTCCCTCATGCCAGTACTGCCCTGTCTTGATAACTGTAACTTTGTCTCACATGTTAATAGGAGAGTTAGGGCAGAAGTGGGCAATCTAGACTTTTTCTTTCCCTGGTCTGACCAGTTACTAGATTCTTTAGATCCTTCCTCAAGTTTTCAACCACACTTTATTTCTCCTCTGTATATTTTTGTGACATGTCCTCTTGCTGGTTTCATTAGGAGACGATATCCTGATAGACCTGAGAAGTCTCAGCTGTCTGACACCTTAGTTTTCTCCTAGCAACGCCAGCTAACTTCATTCTAACTCAGTTGCTTGGCTCCGATGGGCTTTCTCTGTTGTATAGAATTAAACCTTTGGGCCATGAAAGGATGCTCTGGTTCCTGAAATTCTCTAACTGGTTAGGTTCAGGATAATAAGCTTACTGTACTGTTAAGAGAAGTAAAGATCTTTCCAACAGGCTATATAAGTGAGCAGTTCTAGCAGATACTTCTCCCACATGGTCGGTGATACAGCCTTTAAAAGCCTAACCTTGTCCTCCCTGGGCCTTTCTTTTATCGCAGGCGTCTGTAGCATTGTGTTGTAGGCATGAGATTTGCTGATATTGGCATCTTTGTAGTAGTGGAGAAATGGAGGACAGGTAAGAGATCTGCCTGGAGAGGTGGAATGTGGGGCAGGACCATTTCCCATCACTTCAAATTGCTAAACCGAAGAATACAAAGCCCCTGTGACCTCTGGAATCAACAATAACCACCCTGAGATTGTCATTCCTTTCTGTTGTGGATTGTGTGCAGCATACCTAGAGCTTACACTGTGAACTGTATCCTAATTTAAGCTAATTTAAATTTCTGTTTTATATTGGACATGAAAAAAATCTGTACTCCGAAGCTGCCCTTCCTCAAGAGCTTCTATTAAAGACCCTGGGCCGGGTGTGGTGGCTCACACCTGTAATCCCAGCACTTTGGGAGGCCGAGGCAGACAGATGATGAGCTCAGGAGATCGAGACCATCCTGGCTAACATGGTGAAACCCCGTCTCTACTAAAAATATAAAAAAATTAGCCAGGCGTGGTGGCGGGCGCCTGTAGTCCCAGCTACTCGGGAGGCTGAAGCAGGAGAATGGTGTGAACCCAGGAGGCGGAGCTTGCAGTGAGCCGACATCGCGCCACTGCACTCCAGCCTGGGGGACAGAGCGAGACTCTGTCTCAAAAAAAAAAAAAAAAAAAAAAAGAAAGAAAAAGAGACCCTGCCCATGCAAATGGGGCAGGGAAGTGGACATGTCAGAAAGCGAGGGTTATGAGGACAGGTTCTGGATTCAGCCTGCCCGAATGCAGTTCCTCCTAAGTGATCTTGGACAAGTTACTTAAACTATCCAAGTGTCAGTTTCCTCATATTTAAGATGGCGATAAGAATAGCACCCGCCTTCTGGAATTGTTAAAAGGTCGAAATCCCGTGTAAAGATCTTAACACAGGCAAGGGTTGGCAAACTTTTTCTATGAAGAGCCAGAGAGTCAACATTTTAGGCTTTGTGACACCATAGGCTTTGGGGTTTCTGTTGCAACCACTCGGCCCTGCTGTTGTAGCTTGAAAGCAGCCACAGACAGTCTGCAAATGGAAGGGCGTGGCTATGTTCCAATAACACTGCGCTTTTCAAAACAGGTGAGGGGCTGGGTTTGGCCTGCAGGCTGTCGTTTGCCGACCCCTGGCTCAGCACAGGGCCTGGCTAAGTGGGCACAATGGGTTTTTCATAAATGCCAGCCATTCTTCCAGCCTGGGGACAGCTCCTTGACATCAGTCTCCTTGTTCATTTGCTTTGTGTTTTTAACAGAATGTCGAGGTCTTGGCGAGCAGGAGCAACACTTCAGAGCAAGACCAGGCGGGGACTGAAATGCGCGTGAAGCTTCTGCAGGAGGAGAATGAGAAGCTGCAGGGAAGAAGCGAAGAGCTGGAGCGGAGAGTTGCTCAGCTTCAAAGGCAGATCGAGGACCTGAAAGGCGATGAAGCCAAGGCGAAGGAAACGCTGAAGAAGTACGAGGTGAGGCTCGCTGGGCCCAGGCCCAGCTTTGGCAGCTGCTGCTCCTTCTTTCCTGTGTAAGTGATTTCAAAAGTGGGGAAGGGATTTATTGTCATGATGTAGTAGGAAAGGTCAAGGCAATAGTGAATACATCCTCTCTGCAAGCCATTTCTTTGTTCCCCTGGGAGTGGCATGACAGGGAGGCCAGGGAACAGGGACGGTGAGGTCAGGCGGGAACACAGGTCTAGGCACAGGAATCCCCACACACCCAGATACCAGACATACCCAGCCTTCCATGGCTTCACACAGGCATCCACCTGAAAGGGCTGTCTTAACACCACCATTAGACCGATTCTCACTCAAGACTATTTATTCTTTTTTAACTCATTGTTGATGTTTTTGAAGTGACACTGATTTTAACAAGCCAATTATCTGGTTGGCCAGACCTCTAGCAGTGGGAAGCTGTGACTGAGAGATGGCACACTCTCAGCAGTAGGAAAGGGCAGCTGACAATGAAAGAGGAGACACACGTGGTCACTGCCTTAGTCTGTCCTGTGCTGCTATCATGGAATACCACCCTGGGGTAATTAAGGAAAAATAGAAATGTATTTCTCACAGTTCTGGAGGCTGAGAAGTCTAATATTAAGGTGCCAGCCTCTAGCGAGGGCCGTCCTTCTGTGTTGAAGTGTGAATGGCATCACATGGCAGAAGGGCAGAGGTGGAGTGGGGAACTGACTGGCCAGAGGGGGCCACACTTGTCCATTGACCAGGAACCTACTCCTGTGATGACAGTTTGAGCCCATTCATAAGGGCAGAGCCCTCATGGCCTCATCACCCCCTAAAGGTCCCACCTTTTCATATCATTACAATGGCAATTAAACTTTCAACACATGCTTTTTGGGGGACACATTCAAAGCATAGCAGTCATCCATCAGGACCACCTGGATACCTTTTATAAAACTGTGTGTGTGGGGGTCCATTCAATACCTACTGTTTTCAGATCTCCAGGAATAAGGCCAGATATTTCTATTAAAAAAAAAAAAAAATACCCCAGCTGGGCATGGTGGCTCATGCCTGTAATTCCAGCTACTTGGGAGGCTGAGAGGTGGGAGGGAGGATCACTTGAGCCCAGGAGTTCATGACCAGCCAGAGCAATATAGTGAGACCCTGTCTCTAAAAAAATAAAAAATAAAAAATCACCCGAGATAATGTGGATGTTCACACCTGCCTGAGAACTGGAACTGCAGATAAACACACGCATCCAAGAACACGGCTGTTGTGTGCCACCTTGGGTCTGTGACAGGTGCATTGTGACCATAGCCACTGCCATATCTATGGGTGTCTTCGGTGTTCATTTAATTCCATTGAGTCAGTTTCATAGGTACAGCACACATCTAAGTGCACACTGACCCAGTGTTTCATTGTAGGGAGAAATACGACAGTTAGAGGAGGCCCTTGTGCACGCCAGAAAGGAAGAAAAAGAAGCTGTGTCAGCCAGAAGGGCCCTGGAGAATGAACTGGAGGCTGCTCAGGTAAACACCAAGGGCTGTTGTCATTACTCCCTCAAGAAGAATGCATAGAGACGCAACACCAGAGGGATGTGTGGAGATTGTCCTTGGCCCTCTCTTTCCATGTAGCTCCCTTTCACCCATAATAACCACTCAGTTATTTGAACTATCCGTCTAGACCAGCGATTCTCAACTGGGGGGGATTTGGTAATGCCTGAAGACAATTTTGGTTGTCACAACTGGAGAGATGCTACTGGCGCCTCGTGGGTGGAAAACAGGGATAGGGATGCTGTTAAACATCCTATGAAGCACAGGACAGCCCCCACTGCAAAGAATGATCAGGCCCCAAATGTCAGTAATGCGAAGGCGGAGAGCCCTCCGTTTAGACGTTAAAGAGCTTGACAGCTTTCCAAAGATAAAATATGAGTGGTGTGAGAAGGCCGGCAGGACTGGCCTCCGAGGCGGTGTGGAGTCTGCTTTCTGGCAGAAGCCAATTTCCTTTCTCCTGTGGGCAAATGCACTCTATAGAGTACATTCCTTCAGGATGGCTATTCAGAGAGGCAGGAGGAAGTCATTTCCTTGAAACTGGATAGCTATCGCTATTCAAAATCAGTAGGTTCTTAGAAAATTAGATTTTCCCATTTGAAGTACATTCTCAAGAAAGGCCTGTACTGCCGTTCTGATTGACTTTGCACAGTGACCTCCGGGTGATGCAGGTGTGTCCTTCTCCTATTGGCTCTCGGGATGCTGCTTAAGTATCTCAGGTGAGTTTCTGAGGAGGTAGAAGCCAGTGTTTTTGAGAGTTGTCTAAGAGGAAGGTTGTTAAAGTTTTCCATTCCGGACCCACTTGTAGTCAGGGATAGGTGAAGTGGGGGCATTAAAAGTGTTAAGAGCCGAGTCAGGTTCAGATTTGTAAATGCCTTGTTGCAGCTTTCCTGGAGGGTGTTCAGCTTCATCTCCTAGAGTATAGAGGAGAGGAAGGATTCCCACAGGTCAGCCTAGCTTGGGGACTCTCCCCCAAAATCAGAAGCCTGTGCCTTCTCCTACTCTTGGGACAAAACTCGTGTTTGCGTATAGTAAAGTCCCAATTTTTCCTGAGTTCAATGTCTGACTGCCTTCACTTTGGATTTTTTTTATTTCTTTAAATCTAGATCTTCATTACAAAATCTTGTGGGGTTGATTTTGTGTGGATGGCACTTTTGCTGTGCTGCTGTTTAAAGCTTAGGTTGGTTACTGTTACCCAACCTGGCTGCCAGAGTGTGGGGTTTAAATTTGTGAGCTGGTTGGGGGGCAGAAAGAAAGGAAACATATTTGTACTCTATAGGGATAAACATCTCTACCTTCATGGTATGTCCACACCAAGTCCCCGGTGCAGCTATGGGTCTCTCAGAACCTTTCCTTTGGTCAAACAGGAACTTTTCACACATACGGAAGTGGTTCCCCTGCTGGGTATCTGCGCTCATAGTGAATTCAGTGCACAGAACAGGTGATGGCCTTGGGGCCTGAAGATCTTAATGTAATCCCCACCCACCCCCATCTGTGGATCTCTAGCCTTGTCTTGGAAATTATCCCTGACATGTTACTTTTGTTGAGGCCTGTTTTCCCAGTGGTGTGGGGATGGTGAGAGTGCTTCATGCAGTGTGTGGCCGTGTTAGCCACTGGCAGTGCAGCTGGCAAGAATTAAAAATGGGCCTGACAGTTTCACTCTCTTTACCTGAATTATCTGGTCTTAAAAATAATGCCATGAAAAAAGCACCATCGCTCTGAAATACTTTGTTTTCTTTAAAATTGGAAACCAGATAGTCAGCTCCTTTTGTTTGGTTACTCTTTCTATGCACCTCTCGTCCTTGAAGCTGACAACTCAAAGGGACCTTAGTCCTTGAGGAAAGAAAAAAGTAACTGGTGTTTTTCTCAGTCTTTGTGCTATTGGTCTATTGCATCTTCACGTATGATAAATAGATTTCTTTACATAGTAGCTGAAGACGCTGGTAAATTTATGTCTGATTTACCATGACTCAGTTAAAAAGTAGCAGAGGGGCATAAAGATGCTGTTCTTGGTTAGCTCAATGCCCTACCGCTTGCTTCAGGACTGTGTTGCTGTCTAGGGCTACTGGAACTGCACTTAAGGCAAGGCATCTATGTTTCTATTTTAAAGTGCCTTCTGCAGATGGGGAAGTAAAGAAGCCTTTGCTGGAGAAACCACAGTTCTTTCCTTCAGGAGGGGATAACAGTGCATACATTATTCCTAGGGCTTTCCCTCCCACCCCATTGGACTTTTGAGTATTGAGACAACCAAGGAAAAAGGGCCCAAGGCTTGCACTGTTGCAGCCCACAGACACTGAGTGGCAGGGACTCCAAGAAGACCAACTTCCTTCTGGTTAAGCTGCCCATTCCTTGACACCCATAGGCTCACCTGCAACTTGTTTGTCATTAATATGAGCCAATTGGGACCTCAATCATAGGGTAAAATCTGCGTCTGTTGACAGATAATGGTCCCTGAGCTCAAGGACACTCACCCTACATCTACCCGTGTTGCGCCTCAGATTCTCCAACCTGATATATTTTCCCTAAATTTTCATCTCATTATTCATTGATGAGCTTGTATTCCTGGCCTCGGAAATAGAGTCTCTGTAGCTACAGAGCGTTTCACTCCTGATACTGTCCACATGAAGGGTCGGAAAAATGCAAAGTTGCCATGTTTGCTTTTTTTCATGTGAATTTGGGACGTTTTCTCAGCAGTGACCTATTGGAACATATGTCTTGAATTATGGAGGAGGAAGACCGTTGTTCTAAACAGTGTTTCTAAACCTTAGTACATGTTAGAATTATCTGGGGAGCTTTCAAATGCAAATGATTATGGGCCCCATGCTAAGAAAAATTGTGATTCCATCAGAAAAAGCTAGAATCTATATTTTAAGTACAGACACCCCATCCTTGCTTGGTGATTCTAACATAAGAAGCCTTGGGATCACTTTTGGGGATAGGCATTCATTTTTAATAGCTAAGTGTTTATCATATGCCTAATAGTGAACATACCCAGATAGACAGAAAGTCTCTCCCTTGCCTTTACGGAGCTTACTACCTTGCAAAAGAGGCAAGCATATAAGAAATAATTTAAAAATAATGTAGCAAATCTATTCTTCTAGGCAATGTGTGTGTGCTGGGGTGGCAGGTGTTGGCAGGCCCTAGGCCCAGAGTGGTGAGTCTGTGGTGTCTTTTGTGGTTCAGGAGAAAGAGCCAGGCAGCCCTGCCTGAGCCAAGAGTGGAGCAGAAATGCATGCACGAACCACATGGAGGCTGAGTAGAGCTGGGTTGGCTTGTCTGCTGCCTGGAGCCCTTGGGATTGGGGTCTAAGAGGAGGAGAAAGGCTGGGGGATTCCTTTGGGGAGGGGGTTGAGTTGGATCCTGAAGGTTCTACAGGAAGCCATTGGGGGCCCTCTGTATTTGTTGTTTTCACAGATTGACGTTTTTTGGGACATGTGTTTTGAGGGTTTTGTCCCATACCATACCTCACTGGTTCTATAACTCCTCCTCACCCTTTGCCCCAACACTGCTAAATCATCGATCAACAGAAACCCCAGGTTTGACCCTGCTTCTGGTGGGTGCCCAGCAGCAGCTGTGCTGGAGCACACTACTGCTAATTCCCCCCCACACTGAACTTCTGATTACCTTTCTTTTTGCCACCATCTTTTCCCCAGCAGCTTTTGTTAACCTTGGTTCTCTGCAGCAATTAACTTCAGCAGGTCGGCCACGTTGGCTGCTTCTCAAAGTGCAGCCAGCCCAACAGAGCCCAGGGACCGGAAGGCCGCTATGGGTCGTGTTTTAGCCCCACATCACATGGTTGGCAGAGCAGATCTGTTCCTATGCTCTGCAAACCAGGAGAGTCCGAAGTGATTTGGAATGTTTTCAAGATCCTGAGTTACTGCCTGTGGCAGCAGCTTGTAAACTGTTAAGCACTGTACAAATATAAACCATTGTTCTTGTGCAGTCACTGCAGGGACACAAGACTGGGTAGGCCCTGAGCTGTTTCTGTAGTGGCCCAGTCAGCCCTCGGTGCCTGACAACGTTTTCGAGATGATCCAGTCTGTGTTTGAGTCAGGTTGCTCTGTTCCGAGTTGTGCGTCTTCTTATTATCCTTGTACCTATGGCCCTAATGCTTAGCCATTTAAAGAAGCCACCATAACTTTCCTATAATATTTTAGGATTTTATTCTGGAGTTGCATGTTGTTTACATAAAGAACATAAGTCTGTGTGACTTTGTGAGATGAGAGCCTCAGGGGAACTAAGGGGAGTATTGCACTCAAGATAGTTGTATTTTATGGTAGGCACTAGTATTTGGTGCTGATTCAATCAACAACCACCTACCTGGCTAGTATTTTATCTGAGTAGTGTCTCTTCCATTTAACACCTTCTGTTCATCAAGTTCACCAACCTGTGTGTTTCCAAATTCCTTTTTGCCTGTGTCTGAGTCCAATTCATGGATTTTGTTGATGACAACTGCCTTTACCCAAATGGACCTTTGTTCTGTGGGGTAGTGTTCTCTTAGCGATTCATTTTTAGTTATTCTAACTGTAAGAACCATCTGCATAGCATAGTAAATACTGGAACATTAGGTGTGATGCTGTGTGTCACAGGATATAAATTGCCAAGTAGGTTTAGATTGTTGTAATGTATAACTTGACCTCGAATTTCAAGCATGAACATTCAGGTTTTCAGACACCATCCTGAATTCCCACCACCAGCAGCCTTGGCCATGTATTTCTGTAGCACGTTGTTTGTCTGCCCCTTCATTCCTGTGGATGTTTTTGGGTAAGTCAACTTTCCTATTTGGTCCTTGAATTTCAGAACCAACAATGCCCTTCTATCTCTGACAGCTTTATTTTGATCTTCTTCCTCATCACGGATTTAACAGATCTGATTGCTTTGCAGTGTGACTATGAAGTTCCCTGTGCCACCCGTTCCTGTGGCTACCTGGTTAGTAGGTGACAGCACTGTCCTTTCCCTGCCATTTGCAGGGAAATCTGAGTCAGACTACCCAGGAGCAGAAGCAGTTGTCTGAGAAGCTCAAAGAGGAGAGTGAGCAGAAGGAGCAGCTAAGAAGGTTGAAGAACGAGATGGAGAATGAGCGGTGGCACCTGGGCAAAACCATTGAGAAACTGCAGAAGGAGGTGAGGGGCTGGAGGAGGAAAGAGGAAGTAGGGCCAGATGTCTTTGTTGGACCCAGTCCCCTCTGAGGGTCTGGTGAAAGCCTGGGAAACCTGCAGTAGGTCTAAGCACAAAAGTGTCAGGGATTTGCAGATCCCAAGAGGCAGCTCTTTGGATTTGTTGAAAAGATAGACACTGGTCTAGAAAACATTAATGCCAGTACCCTCTGGATTCTGGGCACCAGAATCACCTCTTAACAGTTAGTAGAAGAAGGCTGTGTGTCAGTGCAGATGGAACCAATGTTGAGTGAATCAGAATCGACATCTCTGTGCAGAGTCTCTACCTTTGCATCTCTATTGCTTGTCCAGGAGTGTGAAAGGCAGCTTCAGAGCTCAGTAGCTGCTGCTCTTTCTCTTTATGTCTGCCCCACCATACCCAGAAGGGGTAAAGGCACAAAGCTGGCAGGCTTTCTGTATTCTGGGAGTTGACACGAGTGTCTGCTGTTTTCTGACATGTATTATGTACCAGGCACTTTACTAACTATTTTGTTTCTAACTAGAATTTTATCTGTATCTGCTGATAAAATTTTATCTGTATCTGTGGATACTAATTCTGACAACAACCCTGTAAGGTAGATATGATTTCGGTGTTTCCAGTGTGGACATGGCCAGGGCCCAGAGAGGTTAACGACGTGCCCCAGTCATGTACTGGTAAGTGGCACAGCAGCCCTAGGACCCTGAGGCTGTGTGCCTGGCTCCAAAGGACGTGCCTGCTCACTCCTCCATGCTGCTTCCAAGTCACAGGTGCCCACACCTGGCTGACTCAGGATCAGGTGCTGGGCCATCTTTGAGGGGGCCATAGAAGAAAGGGAGAAGAGGAGATGTGCTGTGTGTTGAAATGGGACCCAGACCCTGGTCTCAGAGCATCCCAGGGTGGGCTCACACCCGTGTCACTTCTTCTAGATGGCAGACATTGTTGAGGCCTCCCGTACCTCAACCCTGGAGCTCCAGAACCAGCTGGATGAGTATAAGGAGAAAAACCGCAGGGAGCTCGCAGAAATGCAAAGACAGTTGAAGGAGAAAACGCTGGAGGCAGAAAAGTCCCGACTGACAGCCATGAAAATGCAGGATGAGGTAATGCCTGGCCAGATAAGTTCTTCCTTTATCCCTTATTCAAAGTATCCTTTGCCCTGAAAGTCTTCTGTGAGGGACTTGGGGGTAGATTCGTGAGACAGCTTTGGTGCTTGACTCTTCATTCTTCACCTTCTGGATGGGTTCCGTGGGCAAATGGCATTCTGGAGCACAAAGGACCCACCGGCGGACTGTGAGGCTAAATGGACACAGCTTTAACCTGACCATTTTCTTGATGAATCTATAATTTTTTGCCTAAAATGTTTAGCTGCCATTTATGGAGCAGCCATGATGTGCCCAGCTGTGTCCAGATGATTTATTTATATGCTTTCATGTTTTAATTTAATCCTAGAATAGGGATTACAGTAACTGACTGTTTTTTGGCCATTGATTTTTGAAAATACAGACTTTTATTGGCATGAGGGTGGCGGACAAGAGTTTCACAACAACAATAATGGCGAGTAAAAGAAATCCTCAGGAATTTATGAGTATTGAAATGATTAAAACATTCGTTTTATATTTAAGAATAATTGAGCAAAGAAACCCAAATGCTAGCTCCCTTCAGGCTTGGCCTCTCAAGAACTGAGAAAAAGAAAGGGGATGTTTTTGATTGTTTTAATGGAAAGCCGGAGGCTTCAAAATGTAAGCACAGCCTATGCTGATTTCTAGCTATACCTCTTGCCAACTGGGTCACCTTGAGCAACTTAACCCCAGTTTTCTGAGCATATGTTTCTACCTCTTTAAAAATATACCAAATATTAGTGACTTAATTAAATGAGTTAATATGTGAGACTGTGTAGCAGCGAGTCTGTACATCCCGGACACTTCATAAATATTAATTTCCTTTTCTTTAATTTTAGGGGCTTATTTTTCATGAACAGTGCCGAGAGCACCAAGATTCCACAGGAAAACATTTTTTTCTTTAAAAAACAAACTTTAATTTCTTTGATGATCAAAGAAAAGTCACCCATGAGTCAGTGCTGAAACTGTGTAAAAGAACAATAGATATTTATTGCAGGCTTCTAGAACACTCTTGAAAGGCCCCTGATAATGGATCCCCTTTGGCTCAGGGTTATGTGATACAGGACTCCAAGTAAGCAGTGAAATTAGCGCACTGACATCACAGTTCTCTTTGGTATTAAAAAAAAAAAAATCACATTCATTACTACAGCACAGAGGCAGAAGGATTCAGGTATCTGCCAGAACACCAACAAGCACCTGGTCTGATTTGACTTCAGAAGATCACAGTGTCACAATGACCCCTGAAAAGTACTTCCCGTTGCGTTTTATATAATGATTTTTATGATAGAATCCTTGGGTTGGAAAGAAACATAGAGATCCTCTAGTTAGATAAGGAAACTGAGGTCCAGAGAGACTAGTTAAGGCCAGATGGAGACCAGTATTGTTTATAAAAGAGCAGTCCTTCCAAAACAAAAAAAAAAAAGGATTCCTTGCAAGGAAAATAAAGATGGCCCTTCCTGGATTTTTCTCACTGATGCAGCCCTGTGAGACACTGTTTCCATGTGAGCAACAGACATGGACACCTCATCATTCTGCAGGGAAACTGCAGTGAGATACCACCCTTGACTAAGTTGGTAGAGTGATGGAGTTGTTTAAAACAAAAGTGAATTAACAAGCCAAGGTCTCTCTGGATCCTTAAAAAACTCAGGCTCAACTCTGTTCACTGCCCCTCTGCTTGTGTTTTGATTGAGCTGGTTGAAGATCTTGGTTAAAAAAAAACCCCAAAAGCTACAGGAGTCCGTTCTAAGTGCTGTAATAGTGGCTGCCTTTGCTTTGAGAGAAATAGGCATTTTTCACCCATTCTACCTCTGATAAGCATGATCTTTAGAGAATCGAGACTTAGTGATTACCATTGTTCAGTTTATTTTCTACATCTCTTTTAGCAAAGGGTGATTTTAACTACTTAAAGGTAGCACTAGGAAGTTCAAAAGTTGTTTGCTTGCTTATGATTCAGGATACATTGTTCACAGACACCATGCTAGTTAATCTCTTCTGCCGGCCCTCGTCAAGGACTCTGAGTATGATGGGGCCCTTACCGGGTGTTAGGAGGGACCTGCTGGGTGTGGAAGGTGGGGCTGTGCTGAGCAGTGGAGGAGGGCACGCTGGGCATTGGGAAGGGGGACAGGAAGGAAACGCAGGCTGCACATTTGCCTGTCATTCTTTCTGACCCTCACACTCATGTTCTTTCTGGGTATCATCTCATTTGATTCTCATAATAGCTTTAGAAGGCTGATTTTATAATTATCCCAATTTTGTGAATGAGGAAACTGAGTCATAGAGCGTTTTTGTTTTTTGTTTTTTTAACGCTCTGGAATATAGCACATCCTCTGTATCCAGAAAATGTCCCATCACTGTTTTCCATGGGGTGATTTTCATTCTGTGCTTTCATGTACTTTCTGTCATGGTAACCACTAAAACCAGATGTGGGTCTTCATCTGGAGATGTCATCTTCAAGGCTAGGCTGTTCTCTTAGAAATGCCCAGTGCTCCTGTCAGCCTCCCAGAGAAGAACACATTTCCTCAAGCTTTTCCACGGGTTCTCCAAAGCTGTCCTCAACTACTGGGGCTTTCCAACTCTTCTGTGCCAGACACTGCAGAAGGGTGGCATTCTGTAGCGGAGATGGCCATTCACTTTCATATACTCTGAAGGAAACAGACCCCCTGGTGTATTATTCTATTCATGAGACTAGCTCTACTCAATACTAGTACCAACTCCAAGAGGGTAGGACACTTAGAACAAAGCAGACAGCCTGCGGCTTCACCAGATCAGCCCACACAGATGTTTAAGGAAGACCTACTGTGCCCTGAGCTGGCTGGTCTCCCCAGGGAGCTTCTAGAGAAGTTCAAGACACTGACTGGCCCTTGTGAATCAAGCTGTTTTGTCTGTTGCGCTTTCTTCAAAGCTGTTAGTTGAGTGCCACCTTGTGGATGGAAAAAACAACAACATTATAAATTAAGCTAGCTAATCATGTTCTTCTACAAAGCAGTGGCTTTCCCTAATGTGCCTGTGTATGTTGTTAGGTTTTTTGCCAGTAGGTTGCTTTGCGGTCATTAATTCAGTTGTGTGTTCTTTTTCACTGAGTTGAAACCTCTTTTGAGGTGACAGTGATACAGGTAGACAATAAATTACCCCCTGGGAAACATGTATTTAGTTAAGGGGCTCTCGAGAGGTTTTAACATGACCTAGTAAAAACGACATTTTGCATTCAGCTGAGCACGGTGGCTCATGCCTGCAATCCCAATACTTTGGGAGACTGAGGCGGGCATCACCTGAGTTGAGAAGTTCGAGACCAGCCTGGCCACCATGGTGAAGCTCCATCTGTACTAAAAATACAAAAATTAGCTCAGTGTGGTGGCATGCACCTGTAATCCCAGCTACTTGGGAGGCTGAGGCAGGAGAATTGTTTGAACTCAGGAGATGGAGGCTGCAGTTAGCCAAGATCGCACCACTGCACACCAGCCTGGGCAACAAAGCAAGACTCCATCTCAAAAAAAAAAGACAAAAAAAAACTATATCTTGCAACCCAGGAATACACGCATCTGCACAAATATATGAATGTCTAGCACAAAAGATTTGCAAATCAATATTTGCTAATACTCTGCTATTTTTTTCTGTTCTATTTAATTAAAAAATGCTGGTCAATATCTACCAAATAGAATTTGTAACCTAATAGGTTGCTGCCTGTAGCTGGAAAACCTCCTCTTTTTACAAAAAGGAAAGTAAGGCCCAGAGGGAGGTAGGACTTGCTCAAGGTCTTCTGATCTCCCATATTGTGGGAGTCCAGCTGATCTTCCTTTTGGTGGGGTCAGCCTGTGCACTGTCTGTGGAGGTCTCTATGCTCTTGATGCACCCCAGAAAACCATCCCAGCTGTCTCTCCTCCTAGATGCGTCTGATGGAGGAAGAGTTACGGGACTACCAGAGAGCTCAGGATGAAGCACTCACAAAAAGGCAGCTTCTGGAGCAGACGCTGAAGGACCTGGAGTATGAGCTGGAAGCCAAGAGTCACCTCAAAGATGACCGCAGCAGGCTGGTCAAGCAGATGGAGGTCTGTGGGCCGTACAGTGTGAGCTGGGGGACCTGCAGAGAGCGAGGCTGGGCCACGAGAGAAGCAGCCTCTTTGCTCTCAGCTCAGCCTTTGGGAAGTCTTGGATTTTTATTCTCTCCCACAGCTGGGTGTAGTGAGGTTATTTCTTGATTGAAGGAAGGGGCCAGTCATTTATAGACTCAGGACATCAGAGCTAGAAGGAATGATGGATATAAATTAGTCTAACATTCTCATTGTCTTGAGAGGAAATGGAACAGATTCTCAGGGACATTAGGTGATTTTGCCTAAGGGCACAGATAGTTCCTTTTCTGTTTGTTCTTTGGGGCAGTGCTTCCAGCTAACTAGAAGGAACCAGACTGCTGCATGTCCAGAGAGGAGCCTCCTAGGAATCATCATTCTTCATTTGCCACACCACATTCTCCATTCTTGCTTCCTGTTTCTGGCCCATTTTCCCTTAGAGGTTATTGGGCTTTGCCAGAGCTCGCAGCACACTGTGGCTCAATTTACTGTGGTATACATAGTATGTACATAGTCCAAGACAGCATATCAGAAAGTGCTGAATGCACTCACCAGATGGGGGTGATCTAGTCACAAGCTGAAAACACCACATATTAGAAAAATGTAAATGAAGTAACAGAATCTAAGTGTGAACAGTTCACTGAGGTTGACAAGAAGAACCTTAGAATCACTCCATCTGAACTTTTAAAAAAGAATAATTCTTAGGAGCAAAACTAACCCCCAGAAACACACACACACACACACACACACACACACACACACACACACACACACACGCCCCAGTAGAATTTAGAGAGAGGGAGAGACACTGAAAAAATGGAATTGAGAGAGACACTAAAAAATAGTCTCAGTCTTTTCAGAGAAGTTAAAATTGTCAAAGTTTTGATAAAAGACAGTGCTCAAGGCCATGGAGAGATGGCTTAAATTCAAAATCAATGGAATTCCTGATTCAACTTTGCAAATAAACAGAAATAATTTTCAAAACGTCCAGGGGACTTAGTAGCTGTTTATATCTAGGGAGTGTTGTTTAAGTCATTGAAGATTTTATTAGATGGGCCTCTTTTAGAGACTAGAATAACCTGATTACAGTTTTATTGCTCTTTTGTTGGACTGCTGTACATTTTGCTAATGTCCTGGCTCTGATCTCTTTAGGGGAGGTAATTCTAAGGCAAGCTAAGGTCAACCCACTTAACTAGAAACTGATTATTCTAGGGCCTTAAACAACCTGGCTCAAAACAAGCTAAAGCCCCTTCAGGCAGTGGAGGAAGAACCTTTGGAGTAATGGCCCTGGCCGGCACCCTTAACACTCCTGCTGGGTTCTGTGCAGTATGGCTTTTAGGCAAGAAGACAGTCTTATAAAGAGGTGCTTTTAGCTGGTGATTGGGTTGTTAGGTCATTTCCACTGCTATATCCTGACTAAAGAGATCGTTTCCTTTGGCCGACTTAGGTCTAGAAGGAGTGGCATAGCTAAGCTTCATTTGCCCCTTTGCAATATTTAGCTATTTTCTCATTAATTACAAAATGAATGGCTCTGAAGACCCTGCTACCATGAGATGCGCTTGAGGGGTGTTTCGTCCCCTAAGAGGCGGCAAGCAGGACCGTCTTGCTGTGACTACGTCTTGCCTGCTCCTTCACTAGCACTTAAATTAATTTTCAAGACTCAAGAGCTCTCCTAACGACGGACATTTTCTGTAAACTCAGGTGGCTGTTGTATGTAAATGCAGCTCTTGTGGATCCTGAGTGATGTCTGACTATAGTGAGACTGGTCTTGGAGGCATCAGGAACCACTGAATAAACAGGAGGCTTCGGTGCAGGGCCCAGCTCCAATCCAAGTTGGCCTTAGAGATGCTTGGCTCCTGGGTGAGGGTTTTCTAACTTCCCTATAGGTTTTGATCACTACCTGGGGGCCGTTCACAGACAGTCACTCACTCACAAGAATCCTGGGTGTTTTATTGTGATAAATAGAATAATATTTAGGGATAGAGGTGCCCATTGCTTGTCAATCCACTTTGGCAATTGCAGAGACAATATTTATATACAAATGCTGCAGGTTCACATTTAAAACTTGGAATGCCAATTGCTTTTTAGCATTTGTGGCTCTGAGTTTACTTAGACCTATGACAGATTGGCTGGTGACAGGAGAAACACGTGCTCAAGGCTGACAACCCCCAGTTGTAAGTGGGGTGGTTTGTGTTAGAAGCCTCTTTTCTTCATACACAAAGCTGCTTTGAAATGTTTTTCTCTGAACACTCAATTAGGTTAGATTAGGAGCCAACAAAGAAACCACCAATTATTATTCTGAAGTGATGATGAGTTTAACAGAATTGGTTAGCACTGTCTTTTGGTTAATCCAATGCAGGTTTGGGAGTGCATCGTGCAAATGCATGCTGTTCCTTAGAAGGCTTAGAAGGCTGCTGTAGATTGACTCCTGCAAGGCTCTTGCAGACAAAAGATTGTCCGGAGCGTCAAGTGTTTTTTCCACATTGTCTTTTAACAGGCACTGGCTTGGGTAGATCTGTTTAAAGTTATTGATTCACAGGGAGAAACAGAGACTTGACAGAAACATGCTCAAATATCCTTAGTGTTTGCATTAGGGTTTGGGATAATGTTTTTTCTTCTTTTATGTGTTTTCTACATAAACATTTTATGTTACACATTTTACATTACAAGTCATGAAACACATAGTTTAAGAAATATCTGCTTTGGGCAATGTAAGAAATAGATATATTGTTTTTCCAAACTCTAATGGTAGTTAGCTCTCATTTGCCCTTAGGATTGTTTCTCTGTGGGGGAGCCTTTGCTGTTAATCCCGGTCAGTGCAAGTTAAGTCAACTGTGTTTGTGATTTCCTTCTTAGGACAAGGTGTCTCAACTGGAGATGGAACTGGAAGAAGAGAGAAACAACTCAGATTTGCTGTCTGAGAGGATCAGTAGGAGCAGGGAACAGGTACTATTCTATAGGTGAATGATGCGTGGATTGTCCTGTGTGAAAAAGGAACATGAGGGGTTAATCCTGGGGCTTCAGTTAAGTCCAGGAGAGAAAAATTCATGCCATCTAGAAATTGATGGAAGATTGAATAGTCATCACCATAGTGAGCTTCTAGGAGAGACTTTGACCAGATTACTTGTATTTTAGATTTTAAATTTTACTCCTTGGTCAGATTATTTCCTGATCTATACCTAGCATCATTTCAAGGTTTTTAGGTTTTGATTTCATCTTTTTCATTAAGAAAGTGCCAATGCTAGTCAAGAAAGAGTGAAGGGCTTTCTAAATGTTGATATACAGTTCGTCTAGCACCATTTCCAGGCTCTAGGCGTACAACTGGGTAAGTTGTCATTAAAAGCACATTCTATCATTAGAAGTTTCTACATGTATCCACAGGTGTCTTGTAAATGAAGGGCTGAGACTAGTGAATACAAATTAATTATCTTTGAAACTGCTGCTGAGTGTTCTGAATCCTCTTCCCAAAATGCTTCCATATTTTATCTGTCAAGTGGTTTGGGCATGCACTGGGGACACAGAAACTAGTTAACAGTACCTCTGTTTCCTCGTGATCTCACTGCTCTCCCCAGATCTCACTTGCCACTCCCAGTCTATCTCAAAGCCCCTCTGAACCTTCACTTAATTAAAAAATGGAAACAGAGGTCAAAAGCCTTTGGATAATACTGCATGTATTATCTGCACTTCGCTTGAGAAATTAGTTCCGTCATCTATAACACGAGCATAACTCTCCCCGATTGTCTCACAGTGTTGTCATAAGGATCAAATGTAAGTGAAACTCCTTCCAAAACTGCAAAAAGCATTCACTTGGAAAGTACTGTTATTGAACGTGAATGCTTCATAGGTGTGTGTACTGCTAATTAACTTGTCAAGGAAAAGGCTGCATCGTAGAGCCTACTTTCTGTTGCACCTAACATGGTGCTGGCTACCACATTCCACACACTTGCTTGTTGAACTAATGACCCTTAGAGCCTCAGCCCTAAAAGGCACTTTTCCCTCTATGGCCAATAGATTGTTATTCATAACCACTTGGGAAACTTCCACTTTCTGCCTTATGTTTTTGTCTTCTTTTTCAAATCTTCCCTATTCCAAAGGGCACTTTCCTCTGGTCTCTTCTGCTTATTCACATGGACTTCCCTTTCCTCGGTTCAGGGTGACCAAGAATTGGAAGTTCCAGAGCTTGGGGATAGCACCTTATGAGCAGGCAGCCCTGCTCAAAGTAGAACGTGAATCCCTGGCTGCTTTTCCGTATTCTTTTAGGTCCCTGTTGATAGATTTCTTTGCAAACAAGTGGGATACTCATGCTCCTTTGCTCCTGAGAGTGAAGAAAGTTGCAACCCAGCTGTGTTCCCTCCACCCTCCTCATGGAGAGTGGGTTCTGTCTGCGTGTTCCCAGGCTATGATTTATCTGGAGCTGCAACAGCTTATCAGGCCAGAGCTGCACAGGTTTAGAGAGGGACCTTCCTGAAAATCAGAGGCCCAGATAGAGAGCTCAACCTTGACATCTCCTCTACTGCCCGCCAGGGTTGTTACTGAAGACTTTGTTTTCTAAGTTCTCTCACTGGAATAAAAGCTGTTTTGTGATGAGCCCCTGCCAGCCTGGCTAAGTAGCGACGTTCCCCCCAGACATGTCAGGATCCGCTAAACATTCACAATGACAAAGGATGTGACCATGGATTTGTTTTGCCAGCGCTTCTTGTGGCTTATGCTAAGAGGAATAGTGGGAAAGCCTGTCATCCTATCAGTAATGAGGCCGTTACAACAGACCTTCAGTTCCATGTTTATATCAGAAACAAAACACAGACATTGAACCAGAACGTGTCTGCTTCCCTTAGCTCAGCTGACAGCCCAACACTGACAGAACTGATCATGCAGAGATCTGGTCCCAGAATTGCTCTGGACACTTCTTTTTCCTTTCAACTGAGCACTTGGATCATGGGGAATAGAACTGCTGTCCATGATGTGGTCAAGGCTAAAAATATTTCCACTAAGCCAAGAACTTGATGTCAGTTTAGGGGGGAAGTTAAGGGAACCAAGGACTTGAAGTAAGTCCAGGGAGGAAGTTAAGGGAACTCACTTGGTCTGCTGGGGAGAGCAGTGGGCTGGCAGTCCCAGTCCTGGCTCCTGCATTAGCCTCATTTACCTCTGGGAGAGTCCCAGCCTCTCTGAGCTCAGTCTCTAAAATCTATCAAAAGGAAGTCATTGATCCAGGTGATCTCTGAAGGCTCTTCTGAATTCTAACATTGCAATGCTGCAAGAAGGTTTCATACATCCAGAAGCGTCTGACTCACCCTTTACTTTCCCCCAATTCTCTCCCTGTATCTGAGTTACATGCCTAAAAAGATGAGTTCCACCAATGTCTATAACCTCTTTCCCTACCAGCTCTCTTTCCCTCTTCTGTTTTCTTTCTTCTCACTGCATCATCTGAGATAGGGAGGGTATAGCCTGGTGTTTGTTATAAGTGGAGAAATTGAGCACATTCACATGGACGTAGGAATTGGTAAGCCAATGAAACAGAAACGCTGATGTCTCCTGATTGTGTTCTGAGAGCTTCTCTTCTGGCCTTTGCTGCCTCCTGACTTGTGAGGGAGGGCAGAGAAATGGGTGGGCCAAATACCCGCCTCCCTGGAAAGCATCTCATTCTCATTCAAAGTTGAGGTTGAGCCAAGGCTTATTTCCTGCCTCTTGAAATGAAGGCTCTCTGGGGAGGGCCTTGGGTATAGACAGATGGGCCCTGATTCTGAGCTCTTCTGGTCCACTTAGATTAACTTCTAGGGCCGTGTGCCTGTGCTTTCCTGCTGAAATCAAAGCCAGAAAAGGGAAACTTCAAAACGTAAGGCCGCTTTTCCTCTCCCCCATCAAATGCTGACCTTATGACATCTCCTTAACAAGGACATCTCCTAAAAACAGGAAAGGGTGCTTGTTATCTTGAACCCAAGTAATAACATCGGCCCTGCCTTCCTAGCAAACTGCTACTAGGCACTGAAAAGAGAATGCATGGGATATTTTAGTTTGGTGATCTTGTTCTCTTTAAATTAAAAGGTTCAAACTTAACAGCTTTCTCCTTAAACTCTGAATTCTCACAAGCTCCTTTGCGGAATCTTTGCTTCCCCCAAACATCTCCCACTAGTCTTAGTGATGGGACTTAAGTGAATAAGCCACAAAAAAGGTTTTCCAGCAATATTAGTGAATGGCCAACCCCTCTCATAGACTGTTAGATCTGGCAAGGACCTCAGAGTCCAACTCTCCCCACTTCACTGTAATGGATGAGAGATTTGAGGCCCAGAGTCACCTGGTGATTTGACCACAGTCATGCAGGCAATTGACTGCAGAGCTGGGCTTAGGTCTCAATTTCCAAGGCAGTGCTCTATCTACCCGTGCCTGCAAAATATGATGAATACCTGCTGTGTGCATGGCATTGCAGTAAAGCTCCAAGAGGACCAGAAATGGTCCCTGACCTTGAGTTGCTACAGTTTGTTTGAGGAGATGGGTCAGACCTAAAAAATTGATAACTAACAATAGAAAACAGTGGATACTAAATGCCAAGTAAAAGATTCAAGCAGCTAATGAGGGAAAGACCATTGTTGCAAGAGTGAGTGTGGAAGAATTACTGGAAAGAGGGTGGGGACCTGGGGTCAGCTCTAAAGAAAGGGTAAGACGTGAATAAACCAAGGGGATTGGGAATGGGATTCTAGATAGAAGGAATGGTGTGAACAAAGACTGGGAGGTAGGGACCTATACAGCATTTTGAGGAGCAATGAATGGATGAATGGATGAGTGTGGGTCAATCAGATTTCCAGTTTCCATAGGAAATGAAAGGAGATAAGTTTGAAGAGGCAGACTGAGGGTGTTGAATGGCTCTATTGTGAAGGCAGTGGGCAGCCATCGAAGGCGATTGAGCACAATAGTGAAGCATACACTGTGTTCTAGAAGACTCATGCGCCAGGGGTGGGGGTGAGGACTGGAGAAGGGGCGACTGAGAGGAGGCCTCAACTGTGCTGTTACCAGGGCAGAGGACAAGGAAGGCTGTGTAAGATGGTGTATTTGACCCTTTCCATGCCTCCATTCTTTCTTTCTCTTATGCATACATTTGGCACTCACTAAATGCTGGCCATGTTGTTTATAAGTTCCCAGCCTGTATTAGTTCGTTCTCACACTGCTATAAGGACATACCTGAGACTGGATAATTTATAGAGGAAAGAGGTTTAATGGACTCACAGTTCAGCATGGCTGGGGAGGCCTCACAATCATGGCAGAAGGCAAAGGAGGAGCAAAGGCATGTCTTACATGGCGGCAGGCAAAAGAGTGTGTGTAGGGGAACTGCCCTTTATAAAACCATTAGATCTCATGAGACTTATTCACTATTATGAGAACAGCACAGGAAAAACCTACCCCCGTGATTCAGTTACCTCCCACTGGGTCCCTCCCACAACACGTGGGGATTATGGGAGCTATAATTCAAGATGAGATTTGGGTGAGGACACAGCCAAACCATATCACAGCCTTTCTAAGGGCTTCCTTTACATGCTCAGGACAATATTATTCAGAGTGATGGATTCAGGAAATCCTAATTGAGAGAGAAACGTTTTTCAAACCTCTTGGATGTTTGGACTTTGTTTTCAAGTCTGACTGCTATGAAGGAGAAGGGATGGATTTGGAGTTGATAAAATGATATCTTCTTTATGAAATAGAAGTAAGGAGTATCTGTTTTCTCACCCAAGTATAGTCCCATCATATACAGAAAGGTTTCTGATTGGCTTATAAGTTGAAAGAAGTTGAAGTTGCTGGCGTTTGGTCTGTTTAAATCCAGAGTAATCCTTTTTCCTTTCCGTCCTCCAAAAACCATGTTTCCATTTATGACAATTGCCATCCTTACCAATGATTCCCTAAGTGCTAGGCACTGTGCTGGGTGCCTCACTCACTTTCTTGTTGTTTTCAGGGCTTTCAAGGTGAAGTGACTACATAGGGTCACACAGTTTGTAGGAGGTGGAGTCACAGTTTGACTCCAAAGCCTCTTGCCTATTCCCATCGTCCCTGAATGAGACTATGTCATGGTCTTAAAGACCACTCCTTCAAATGCATTTGGGTCTCCATTCCCAAGTTAAAAGTGGTGTTTCTTAAAATGGGTGAGGAGTTAAGTTCAGCTGATCCTCTCCTGATTCTTTATGAGTGCAGGATTCAAATAGCCAAAGAGAGGTCCGGCTTCATATGCTTTAAATTAAAGGCCAATAGGCTGTTGTGCTGGCTCGATAAGCACTGCTGCAAATGCTTCACAGCAGAGCTGGGCCTACATGGGAAGGCGTTCTCTTGGCTATGGAGACCATGATGACCCAGCCCAGTGGAGAGATGACTCATCAAGCCCAGGCAGCTGGCAGGCAGGAAAAATACCAACTCGAGCTTTGGGTGGCTTCATGGTCTCTCCAGGGACTGAGCAAGGCTGCCTTGTTGCCTCGGCAACTGCAGGATTAAATGCCAGTGATAGAGTTGTGGGCTCCTACAGTCACTTTCGGGAACTGCTCCTCAGTCAGCATCAGGGGTGCCACCCCTGCTAAATGGGACCGTCGTCTTTGCAGTTGTGAGTGAAAGATCAGAGGGGGGTTTTCTTCTTCTTTTTTTTTTTAATTGAAATGCTCCTAATCTCAGAACTGCCTTTTATTGTATCAGCTGCTCAAAAACCCAGTGTGTACAGTTGATTAATAACAATTTTCCTTTTTTGTGGTTATTATTTTTAATGCCAGCCAGGAGTGTGGGCTTGCCGACCTCTTTACAGCCCAATGATAAACACAGGTGATGGGGTTCAGTATTGTTATTGGCCATCACAAATAGCTCTGGCTTTCCATTAACCCAAAAGGCAGCTACTTACAATTCTGAGAGCTGGCTCAGGTCATGGGTATCTCTGACATAAAACCCACTGGAATCTGATACTGTGATTTCTGATCAAAATGCTCAGGGCTTAGCATTCTTTCAATCCAGCTGTGATATACTTTTGCCTTCAGCTCCTGTTCTGTTTTTAATTTGACTGGAAAGTTTTTGTTTGTGCTATTTAATGTAGTTGAAGGGTAAACAACATAGAAAGCACTAAGCTTATATAAAGAAATACTTTCCCAGCCTTGAGTTTACTCTTCTCTGGTCCAGGAGGCTGGCTCAGCCAAGCCATAGGTTTTTCCCTCCTCCCCGCCACCCCCCGCCCCAGGGCAGGTGCCAGTGTGGGCTCAGGGTAAGAATTTGATTTACGATATTCCCAAGTCAAGGGGCCTAGTCCTGGGATCACTGCACTGAGGACAGCTAACAGCAGGGACACATAGGATACTTCTGGGTTTATGTTGAAACCCATCCTTCTTGGGGCATTGTCCATAATACCACATAGTATTTCTTGTATAAGGCTCCACATGGTGGATTTACTTTAGAATTTCATGTCAGGCTGTCCTTTGAAGAACAAAAGGAAGCCTATTATGTTTGCCAAAAGCCTGGGTTTGCAAAGACTGAAGGAAATGGACTGCCTGCTCAGGTCACAGTAACTGTTAAGTTTTATGGCTACACATTTATTCCTTCCTGTTCTTCACTCTGATTTATTTTACATTTCCATTTTAATAGCCATCTTTTAAGGGGCTATGGTGGGGGATAAATAATTCCTTTTTTTGCCCCCCTTTGGAGAGTCACCATTATCCTGGGGCTCTCCAGGGGCCCTCCAGGGAGGTCTTGAACCTGTGGGGACCCTTGGGGATGCTGCCATGCTAAGTGCTGCTCTGCACAGGGAAGTCTGTTTCCTGGTGGGATCCAGATTTTTCAGACATTGGCACTGAGGGTGCAAGACTGTGGCCAGTGGCTGCTGCTTTATGTGGCAGGATTTGTCCTGAACCCCCAGGCTGGGCCCAGGGCTGCGTGACCACTTGGCCATCCTGGAATCCCTCCATGCGCTCTCTGCACTCTGCCTCACTCCACCATAGACACGTTCTCCTTCTGGGCTCCACAGTCCCGGTCTAAACTCTCCTTGTGGGTCTTCTTCCTTTATTGAGAGTCCTAGGTCCTACAGGTTTGCGAAGACACAACGGGGAGGGGAAAAAAGAGTGTATGAGTTTTTGTCAGAAAACCTAGGTTGGAATCCCAAAGCTGCTTCCACCTAACTCTGACTCAGAAGCTGTTTCTGGACCTCCCACCTGGAAACTCAGGGTGATAACATCTGCCTCGGAGAGTTCCCGCCCAGCGCCCAGCTTGAGGGGCTCTTGATTCTTGGTGTTTCCCCTCTGGGTCTCCTGGCCGGGAGCACAGCTGCAGAGCGATGCCTGCCTCTGCTCTGCTGGCCGTTTATTGTCTTCTGGTATTTTTCAGGCGCACACTCCACAGCAACTAGATTTCTTTGTCTCTCTACAAGCCTTCAGTTTTTCTTTATCCCTTCACTTTTCGGAAAATAATCTACCTTCCGTCCCTTTCTTGCCTCTACCTTCCCTTTGAGCTACAGGCTCCTGCCTTCCACCAAGCCCTGGAGGATCCTCTTCCTCTCCCCACCCACATTCTGACCCCAAGACAGGGCTGGATCCTGTCCCTCCACTTGCTGGGTGGCTGCTCTCCTGTGACACTCCCTTCTCGATGTCCACTGGTTGTGACTTTTCTCTCCTCTGTGGCTTCTCATTGACACCTAACAATAGGTGTGGGCATTTCTTGCACACCCTCGTGCCCCCTCCAGCCCTGGGTCATAGCTGCTGTCTTAGTCGCTGCTGGATTCCAGAGGAGAAGTGTGGTGTCTATTCCCACCTCTTCACCTCCAGCGCCTCCTCTGAGCTTTGCAGTCAGGCTCACCTCTCTGCAGACCCTTCCAGAAGCAAACTTGGTTCTTGTCCAGCCTGTGTGCTTTACCGGCAGTCCTTGCCCTTCTTGCCTTTTGGGATAGATCCTGGATTCTCCCTGCCTCCCCTGACATGGGGGGTTGGAGGGGATCCCCAGGGCACAGCTGCAGATCCTCCTTATTCTTTATATATTGCTCCTTGGTGGGCTCACCTGTTCTGTGGCTTCCACCGGCATCGCCCAGTTGGCCCCACATGCATCACCAGGAGGAATCTAAGCACAGATGGGGATGTTAACACTGCCTACCTCATTGGTGGTGGCCAGGAGTAAATGAGATAATACTATTCAAATCCGCAGGACTTGCTTTCCTAAGCACAATAAATCTGTGAGCAGCTGTCACAGTATGATTTTGGGTCCTGTGTGACTACTCTCTGTCTTCCTCTCCACCCAATCCATCGATTGCTTAACCTGCCCCCTCACCTCCCTCATATGGCTAATTCCTTCCAACACTGCCCTTCTCTTTCTTACCTCCTACTCTGTGTTACTGGTGGTCTGCCCCCTTCCGGTTTTGAAAGCTGCATTCCCTACCCTGCCCATTGTATTAGCCTGTTCTCATGCTGCTAATAAAGACATACCTGAGACTGGGCAATTTATAAATGTTTAGTTGACTCACAGTTCAGCATAGCTGGGGAGGCCTTATGATCATGGCTGAAGGTGAATGAGAAGCACAGTCATGTCTTACATGGCGGCAGGCAAAAGAGACCATGTGCAGGGGAATTTCCCTTTATAAAGCCATCAGATCTCATGAGAATTATTCACTGTCACAAGAACAGCATGGGAAAGACCCGCCCCCGTGATTCAGTTACCTCCCACTGGGTCCCTCCCATGACACTGGGGATTGTGGGAACTACAATTTAAGATGAGATTTGGGTGGGGACTCAGGCAAACCATATTACCCTTTTTTCTACCCTGTCTATCCCTGATCTCATTTAGGTTTCAGCTTACTGTCTGTGTCCTGGAAGCTTTTGCTGGCCCTCTGAATCTGGGCAGTCACCCAGTGCACCCACCCCAGCACACTGTCCTTTCCTGTCATAGTGACACTGACCTCTTATGCAGGGCTCGTTCATTTGTCCCCCACTAGGCTATATGGAGAGCGGGCACTTTCTGGGTCTCTTTGTCACAATGTCCTGCATAAGACACATCATGTCGTTTGAACAGCGAACAAACCCATCCTATCGTTCTGAGACTACCCTTGCCCAGCACACAAGCGTGTGCACTCGCAGACACATGCTTGCTCTCATTATGACAATGTGGGTTTTCCCCAGGGGAAACTCCTAATGGTTGAGAGACGGGGTGGCTGCTCTGCCTAAGGATGGAGGCAGGCGCCTCTGGCTTCCTCAGAAGGGTGCCACACAGTACCCTGAAGGGTAGAGGAGGCACCAGGTTGTGCTTTTATTGTATCATTGGCCAGCTCGGGGGCCCTTACAGCGTGTCTCATTCAATCAAGTTCCTTGCTTAGGAGCCTGTATCCCAGAAGTTAGATCAACAAGGTCACAGGTGAGGGACAGACAGAGCCAGCAGGACAAGTTAGGCCACTGCTGTTTTTCTCTGTAATTGTTTCCCATTGCAGTGGAAATTTAACCATGTCCTCAGTGAAGTGCTGGGCCCTGCCCTGGGCACATGAACAGAACGGCTGCCCCTGGGAGGCACGTCTGTCCTCAGTCCCGTGGCCCAGCTGTTCTGCTGACCTCCATGTGTGAGGTGTCAGTGGCTGGTTCAGAAACCACCTTGGGAGCAGGGCCGTGAGCCTGCATTCATTCCCCTTGCACTTTGTGCTGGGGTAACAGTAACAGCAATTGTTCTGGTGCCCTCTTTGCAGTGTGTGATTCGTGAGGGCCCTGGGGCCCAGCAGAGTGGGAGCGGGCCTGAGTTGGGTGGACGTGCCCTGCCTGCTGGTCCTGGCCACTGCTGGCATTTTTCCCTTCTCTATGCAAGATGCCCTAAGGAGGCTGGACTGCCCTTCTGTGCCCGGATGTTTATGCTACAGCTGCATTTGAACTCTAGGCCTATTGGAATCCTTTTCACTTAGATGGTCCAGAGACAGAGCCATGAAGTAATGGGCAGTGCAGGGGCTCAGCCTGTCTCTAGCCCTGCTCCTGAGGTTACTTGCATAACCGCTGCCGTAGGCCTCAGTTTCCTCTGCTGAACATTCTGAACCTCCATGATTTAGATGCCTGCCAGTTAGGAATTTTAAAATGTGAGCATTTTCTTTGGACCACCTGGTACCCCCTCACCTAGGGGCAGAGGCCCAGCTTCCCCCTGTGGTGTTGGAGGCCTTTGTGTCCCAACCCTGCCTGTCCCACCAGCATCATTTAGCCCCCTTCCCCGTTGCCCACTCTGGGCCAGTGACATCATGCTGTGTGACACACCTCGGTCAGGACAAGGGGAGCCAGGGAGCAAATGCAAGCCTGGCCCAATGTGGGATGTCTCCTCTGGCCATTCCTGGGACCCCAGTTCTTGCTCTCCATGGGGGACAGTGAGGAAGGGGTGAGCTTATCTTTTACTCACTGGGGTGCTTGTACAGGTGGCGAAATTCAACTTGAGGCCAGGCCAAGTAAGCCTGTGTCAGATGCTCTCCAGGCCCTGGTGTCTGGGGCTGTGTGTGTACCTCTTAGCCACGTTGGATCCTGGAATTCGTTTTCATCCTTAAGAAGGAAAAGGTGGTTTTATTTTACTGGCTTAGCTTGATTCTTCTGGCTTCTTCAGGCTGCCCTCTGCTGGACAGTTCTGGCAACAGGGTCTGGAGCCTCCGCCTCATAACTCATTTTACTCTTGCACAAGCCACTGGGAATTGGGAGAAGAGATGCTGATGGTCAGGCGATGGGATTTCTTCCCTGGTGCTACACAGCGAGGCTCCTTTCCTGAGCATAGAGGAAACCCTCAGGAGTGTTCAGCCTTTGTCAGGTCGTCTGATGTTGCTCAGCATTCTTACTGACTTTTGTTTCTGGCATAAAAAAGGAGAAATCTAGCAGTGTCTGAGATATGCTCATGGCTCTGGGAAGCCGCTTCTGGAGTTTGAGCTTATAATGCAGCAGTCAGGAGCACAGGTGAATGCTAGCTCCCCCATTCCTCGTTATGTACCTCTTGGGGAAGTTGAGTGACTGACTCATCCTGGTTCACCTGGGACTGTCCCAGTTCAGCATGGAAACAGCCTGAGAACATCCTCAGTCCAGGCAAACTTAGACAGTGGGTCACCCTGCAAGTTGATTGACTTTTGGAAGCCTTAGTATCCTCAGAGAGATACTGTTAGCTCCTTCTGAGGGTTGTTTGTGAGTGTCATAGGATCCTACCTGTGGAGTCTAAGCAGGTGTGCCAATTTTCTAGGGCTGCTGTAACAAAGTAACACAACCTGGGTGCCTTAAAACAACAGAAATCTATTGTCTCATGGTTCTGGAGGCCAGAAATCTGAAATCAGAGTGTTACCAGGGCCATGCTGCCTCTGAGACCAGTAGGGAAATGATTCCTTGCCTCCTCCTAGCTTCTGGTGGTTTCTGGCAATCTTTGGTAATCACTGGCTTGTATACCCATCACCCCAATCCTCCATCTCCACTTCCCTGTGTCCATCTTCACGTGGCCGTCTTCCCTGTGTACGTGTTTGTCTCTGCATCCAAATTTCCCCCTTTTAAAGGACACCAGCCATACTGGATTAGGGCCCACCTTAATAATCTCATTTTTAACTTGATTACCTCTCTAAAGTCCCCATCTCCAAATAAGGTCACGGCAGAGGTACTGGGGATTAGGGCGTCAACATATCTTTTTGAGGGGACACAGTTCAACCCCTAACAGCAGGGCTAGCTTTGACTCTTACTGTTATTTGTATTACCAGTATTGCAATCATCAAGAAACCAAGAAAGAACTAAGAAACAGATCCCGTACCCCAGAGCAGATGGCACGAGGGGCTGGGTAGGGCAACCCCCTTCATAAAGTGGAGGTTGACATTCAGTTCCTTGCCACCATTTCAGTACAAAAGATACAGGAACAGTCCTTCTAACCTCTGGGCTTTTGTTCTGCTTGCTGTAGATGGAGCAGTTGAGGAATGAGCTACTTCAGGAGAGAGCTGCGAGACAAGACTTGGAGTGCGACAAGATTTCCCTGGAGAGGCAGGTGAGGGCAGCCAGCCTGTGAGCTGCCCCCCCGTCCATCCGCTAACCCTCCCCCACTTCACTGCTTTGAACTAGAAGCCCTTGGAGGTCCCTCCTTTACTTGGCATCCCAAGAACTCTGGGGGGTAACAGTCCTTTTCCAGAGTTGTTTTTCCCGGTCATATGAAATCTGCATGGAAGCTTGGCAGCTGAGGGAGGAGGAATTGCATGTGTTATTTTCTAGATCCTGAAGAGGGCTAAATTCTAATGTAAAGAGAATGAAAAAGAATCCACGTCATCAAACACATGAGTGGCTCAGAAAACTTCATCGGGTCATTATTTCTTTTTCATGATTTCTGTTCATGTTCTTCACTGCACAGGACTGGCAAAGGAGCCTATTTCTCCTGTCCCCCTGTAGGTTTATAGGGCAAGGCAAAGCCCGTTTGACATCCGGGAGTCTTAGGACATGGCAAAGGTTTCATTCAGGCTTATGAGGGAGTGTGATAGAACTTCTTCTTCTGGCCTGCAGCTGAGTTCAGGGGTTTTCCTTGGAAACATCTCTGTGTTCCCCAGGTCTCCAGGCCACAGGCCCTGGTGTGGAAAGCAGCCTCATCGCATGCAGCGACCAAACACCAGGTTCTGCCCCATATTCTTCGCTGCTCTGCACAGAGCGTGGCAGACACATAGCCCCTCACAGTCTCCCTGTGTTGTTCCAGAACAAGGACTTAAAGAGCCGGATTATCCACCTGGAAGGTTCCTACAGGTCCAGCAAAGAGGGGCTGGTTGTGCAGATGGAGGCCAGGATCGCGGAGCTGGAGGACCGCCTGGAGAGTGAGGAGAGGTGAGCCGGGCCCACCCACTGCAGTGCGGAGGCCCCAGTGGGCAGTGACAGTCCCATCGCAATGTGTTGTCACATTTGGGATCTGTCCTGATCCTCGTAGCCTGTGAGGAAGGCAGAGCAACTACACCCTTACTTTTATTATTTCCATTTTATAGGTGGGAAAACAGAGACCCATCAAAATAAGTGACTTGAGTAAGGTAGCCTGGCTGGATACTGGTGTAGCTGGGTAAAAGTTTAGGACCCCCACTTCTCAGTCTATGGTGGTGCCACTGTACTTGCTGTCCCTTTTCCCGTTCTCTAAATAGGACAGGCTGCCTTGGAAGCTACAGAGTTTGAGCCACGTTAGAGGCCAGAAGGCTGACTCTGCCCTGGCGGCCAGGTGTATTTAAGCAGAGGCTGACTAGCCACCAGTCAGAGATGGGGCAGGTCCTCCCGCAGTGTGTGGGAGGGACATGGGATCAAGTGAGCACACTCCTTTCCAGCAACTCAGTTCTCTGCAGCTAACTCTCTAATGGCAGCCCGAGGGCCAGCACCAGGTTCAACTTGAGCAGCCTTCCAGCAGTCGTTCTGACTCACAGCCCCTCACCTTCCTAGAAGGAGCGTGGTGTGCCGGCATTTGACACTTTACATTATCTATTGTGTTAGTTGGACTTTTGGGGAGTCAGGCCAGAACAGCCTGGAGTAGACCCAAGACATCTGCAGTTTGTGACTTCTTGCCTTACAAAGTAAAGCTCAGAAACTCCGGGCAGGTCGAGCCATGGCTCAGCCCCTTGCTGGCTCTGAAGCCTTGGGCCAGTCACTCCCCTTCTCAGAGCCCCATTTCCTCACGTCTCTCACAAGCAGCTTTTTCTGCTGTGAAGTTGTGTTTCCCTGACCCTAAGCCTTGAGCTGACCAGGCACCCCTGGCTGGAGCTTCCCCTCCTCCACAGCCTAGGCTGGGCCCCCTGCAGGGATGGGAGTGAGAGGGTTCTTGGTTCTGTCTCCCCTCTTCCAGGGATCGGGCCAATCTTCAGCTCAGCAACCGGCGGCTGGAGCGGAAAGTGAAGGAGCTGGTGATGCAGGTGGATGATGAGCACCTGTCATTGACTGATCAGAAGGACCAGGTGGGGAGCCTCTGCGTGCATTTGCTCTTAGATGAGATTGCGTGTCTCAGGCTGAGGGAGCAAGGGAGGCAAGGCCTCCCTGAGCAGGAGTGGAGTGTGAGTGGGCTGATTCCTCCCTTTCCACGCACCCAGTCACATCATCAAATGGGGGCTTCTTGCCTACGTAATTAGGGGATATCAGCAAATTCTACACCCTGAGTTTGGCTTTAAAGAGTCACCCTGTCTTAGTGCCTGCTCTCCATGTTTCCCAAGAGACTGGCTGCCCCATTGCCCATGTCTTGGTTGCCTGGGGAGATGGTGGCTGGACCTGGGGTAAGCTGAGCGCTGGGGCTGGGCCATCAGCCGGCACTCAGCCCACATTCTCTCCCGGTGCAGCTGAGCTTGCGTTTGAAAGCCATGAAGCGGCAGGTGGAGGAGGCTGAGGAGGAAATCGACAGACTGGAAAGTTCTAAAAAGAAGCTGCAGAGGGAGCTGGAGGAGCAGATGGACATGAATGAGCATCTGCAGGGGCAGCTCAACTCCATGAAGAAGGACTTAAGGTGGGCAGGTGTGGAGGCCACAGAGGGCCGGGTAATCTCCCCACAGTTGAGACAGGCTCTGCTTTCAGAGCATTCACACTCCTGTTGTCTCAAGCCAGCTCCTCATTGTTGCTTTTGGGGTTATCGTATCTTAGAGATGAAGGTGGCTGTGTCCACTTTAGTCACCTTACATGGGCAGTAGGGTCTCATGCATGTCATTCTTATACCAATGCCCCAATGCCAGCTGAGCTGGGTAGATATCATCCCTGTTGATCATAAGGGGAAACAGAGGCTTAGGGCAGATAAGACTAGCTCACACCATCATGGAGGGGCAGTTCCTGGGCCATCCTGGGCTTTTTTCTGACTTAGGGAGAAATAAGGTGAAGTTCTGGTTTGTATCCTCAAGAGGACTAGGATTCCCCAAGCCTGGTTTCCAGGAGAGAGCAGCTCTCTGAAGCTGTCTGCCGTGGTCCTAAGGATGGGGACGTGGAATGCAGGGTTGGGGACTTTGTGGGTTGCTTTTTCTGCTCTAGGGTCTCTCCCCGGGGTATGAGGTAAGGTTCATGAGATTAGGTTCATGGTAATCCATAGAGCTGAGCCTTTCTTGGAGGCTGGCTGTGACGTGGGGCTCTTTGCTGGCTGCCCGGGTAGTTCTCATCAATGGACAGAAGGCTCCAGCCCATTGAGAGTCCTGTAAAACAGGGCCTATCAGGTCACTGGCCCCAAGGTTGGCATTAGGGTGCAGCATTTAAGAGGGCACCAAAAATCTCAATAATTAAGATAGATAACATTTTAATGCAATATTTAAAAGATAATGCATGCAATCCATGGTGAACAAGATACCAAAATTTTAAATTAAGACAAGATCAATAATAACAGCCTGGGGAAATCAACAATACTGATCCTATCCCAGCCTGGCCCACCCCACCAGCACAGGCTTTCCGTGCCGAAATGGGGGCGGTGGACTCCCTGTGGCTGAAGGGGCCATCAGGTGGAGACCTGTTACATTCATGTGTTTCTTTTCTGTGCCACTCAGTGGGGTGCAGGGACAGCAACCCAAAACCCTCCCTTTAAGTCCAAATTAGCTATGGGCCCCGGCCCAGGGCCAGGAAACATGCCCCTTGTCATTTCAGCAGACTGAAGAAGCTGCCGAGTAAAGTGCTGGATGACATGGATGACGACGATGACCTCAGCACGGATGGGGGAAGCCTCTATGAGGCGCCTGTGAGCTACACATTCTCCAAGGACAGCACCGTCGCCAGCCAGATCTGAGTGCTCTCCCGGGCTGTGGAAGTACCTGTCATTCCTGCAGGAGCTGCAGCCACCCAAAGTGGGAGGCAGGGAGGGGAGCATCTGTCTGCCACTGAGACCAATCACAGCCTCTTTGCACAGCATGCCAGCTCCTCAGTGTTACATTCCTCGCCAGGGTCTCTCAGTGGGTCTTCGACAGAGAGCTTTTGCAGTTTAAAATGTTGGGATGCCTGAGGACCAGGAGCCACCACCCACTGGGGTGTTGTGAGAGATACACTTTGGTAGGCTGAGGCCCCTGTTCCACAGCCACTATTTGCATTGCTGTCCCTGCCCCCTCATCACTCCCCCTGCCAAGACAAAGGGTCCAGAAGGCTAGGACTTACTTAATAGCACTGTGCAGGGAGGAAACCATGTATAGCTTGTACATATTTTAAACCAGACCTTCTCACGAACTGCTGCTGTTGGGTTTGGAATGTGATGGAGGCTTGGTAGGGTGGCTGGTTTGTAAAGTTCATGCATCTATATTGAGTATTCTTTTTTTTTTTTTTTGAGATGGAGTTTCATTCTTGTTGCCGAGGCTGGAGTGCAATGGCGCAACCTTGGCTCACTGCAACCTCTGCCTCCCTGGTTCAAGTGATTCTCCTGCCTCATCCTCCCAAGAAGCTGAGATTACAGATGACCACCACCACTCCTGGCTAATTTTTTGTATTTAGTAGAGACGGGGTTTCACCATGTTGGTCAGGCTGGTCTTGAACTCCTGACCTCAGGTGATCCACCTGCCTCAGCCTCCCAAAGTGCTGAGATTACAGGCATGAGCCACCACGCCCAGCCATTGAGTATTCTTTTTTAAAATATGAAGCTATTAGATTTTAAGTGTTGAGGAGCAGAGGTGAGAAGAGAGAGAGAGAGAGAAAGTCAAATAAAGTCAAAGACCAGTTTGGAAACCAAAGTTGGAAAAGAAGAATTGTAGTGGTCATGGACAGCTAAGACTGAGCATAGCAGTTCACATGGTCTGGGTAAACAAGTCACTGGCACAGGGGAAAGCCAGAAGGTTGCTTGTGTCTGTGACTGCAGCTATGGCCTTGTTTGCTTAGTTTATCTGGAATTCTGTTATAATTTCTGAACTGTTCTGAGACCTGTTCCCAGTCACTGATTGCAATTTCTTTTACACAGGTTGGGTAGGGAGAGTTGTAGGTAAGGCCTTAAACAAATGAGGCCGTTTCTGGAAGGATAGGGCTGTGTGGTCATGTCCCACAGCAAGCTTTTGGGATCGGGGGAATAAGAGGGTATGGGGGAAAGGTTCATAGACTTAGGTGTGAGAATGAGGTGGGAGGTGTCTGGTAAGGTCATGGGGGAAGGGAGATGAGAGAGGAGATAGGCAGATGTGGGTATGGGGCCCAGTGTGAGAAGGAAGACAGAGAAGTTCTTGAAAGCTGGGGGATGTGTGGGCAAGAGGTGGATTGAGCAGGATCTCAGGGTTATGTCGAGGAAGGGAAGAAAGAAACAGAAGTCAGGCAGAGGCGTGTCTGTGCAAACTGGAGGACTCCTTCCAACTTCCTGGAACAAAGCGACATCGCCAGCAGCAGGCTGGCAGGGAGTGGTTGAGGTCTGGGGGCCAGGCCACATGGCTGGAGAGGAATTTCAGGGAGCATAGCATCGGGAGGATGCTACATATCCAGGGACTCCCTCCTGGCCTTCCTGTGTCACTTCACAATGTGACAGTCCCCAGGCATGCCCACAGGCCAGGCCCAGTCACAGCTGGGCTTCCACAGGTCAGAATATGGGACAGGACATGGTCAGGGAGAGGACCCTGTGAGTTGGTGACATATATGTGGCAGAGATGGTAGTGTTCAGCTGCTTCAGCAGTGTCCCCAACCATCCCAATAGGGTGGGGGCCTGTGGGCCAGAGGACTCCATGACAGTAGCCATGGAGTCCCACCTGTGCCAGGTCAGAGCCCACCCGGCAGGTTTCAGAGTGGTCAGCCCAGTTTAAGGGTGGGAGTCTGGAGCCAGACAGCCAAGCCCCTTCCACATCTACAGGGTCACTGTCATCCTCACCACAGCCAGGGGTGATTCTCACCTCTGCCTGCTTATGTGGGGTGTGGCCGATTCCTCCCTTTAGTCATTCATTCATTTAGCACATATTTATTGGGCATCGGTGATGTGTCAGGCACAGTCCTTGGCACACAGAATACAGCAGTGAATTAAACAGGCAAAAATTCCTCCCCTCCTGGAGCTCAGTGTCAGGAAAGGGGGTGATAAATGACAATCAAATCGACATGGAGGTTGAGCACCTCTGTACTCAGCCCTCTGTCTGTCCTTCTGAGGACGCAACAAGCCTGGTTCCCTAGAGCTCACTTTGACCCTCAATATGTTCATAATTTCCCTGCTGCTTCTCCCATCGTTAGACATCTGCCAGTAAGCCTGCTGAGAGAAGCCTCAGCCCACTCATACCTAGAGACGCTGCTGGGGAAGGTCAGCACACCCAAGAACTTTGGGAGTGTGTGTCTGTTTTGGTTTGTGAGAAAGTAGCTGCCCCTCATTCTGGCCAGTTCTTTCCAGTAGCCATGGGGCTGGCTACAAGAAGCAAAACTGCCCATGCAAAGAGAACACAGGTCACTTTTCAAAACACTTGCATCATTACCCTAAAAATAGGCTGTTATGCGTTTTGACAATTGCGCTATCCTACACTCTGAGGGAGTTGGCAACGCATGCGGTATAGTGGAGTGGGAAGAGTTGAGACTGAAAGTTAAGAGAAGGGTTTTCAAGTCCCGGCTCATCTCACCCCAGTGACTTTGACAGTGTGCTCACTCTCAGAGCCATGGATTACCTGGAACAAAGTGCAGATTAGTGCCCACGGTCCTTTCCAGGTATAACATGCTATCGTTCTTTAATTTTATTATATATACATACTTTTCTTCTGTTTTTTGCTTTAAGAACTAACCCCGATCAAGAGTATTTTCTTTAGCTAGCTTAAAAAGAAAACATATATTTTATGTAAAAACACATACATGGCCAAATGCAATACTGAAGAGACAATCATCCTGTATCTTTTATGGTTTTTCCTGCTTCTGAGTGTCGTTCTACAATGCCCGTTGACTTATTCCATTGCGTCTCTGCTTTAGGGTATGGTTTGGTCGCTTTGGTTGTCATGAGAAAGAGACATTCTCCTTGCAGCTACCTCCATGTGAGTGAATTCCTGGATAAAGCAAGATTTCCTTTCAATAAACGCTGTCACCCAATGGGAATTTTGACTCTCCTGTGATTGTGACTTCTTTGTTTTCTCCAGAGCTTGGCTCTGTGTCCTTTAAGAAACTGCCAAGGTGAGTGGCTGGGAGCTACTGAGGGAAGTGGAACTTGGAGGCCTTCCAGCCCTGGGACCGGTTTCTGAAACAGAAGGGTGGGGACTGGTCAGTGGTGAATGCTGAGGGAATTAATGGCTCTGGATTCTTGTGATGTTCTGAGAAATCCAAACTGCCCGTTCCAGAACATGGCAAAAGAGGAAGCATGTTCAATGTTAATTACAGAATAAGCAGGAGCCCCCTGTTTACCCCTTTTCCTAAATTCGAGGTCTTCTGCAATCCTAGTTGGCCCATAATCTCTCTTGATCTCACACCAGGCCCATAGCAGGCACCACAGTCTCTATTTTACAGAAACCAAAGCAGCTTCCTCATGGAAGGGGACCAATGATGATCATTGTCCTCAGATCTGTCTATTCTTTGCCCTGTCCCCTGGAGGCTGACCCATACAGGCCATGGGTTCCCTGATGGCCACTCTGGTTGGGTTCAGCCAGTGGGAGCAGGTGGAATTCTGGATGTGTCTGCATCACTCCCTGCTCTGTGTGGCACTTTCAAGTGGGCTCCCCTGGGACTTGGGTGATCTCTCCTTCAGCCTCCAGTTCTAAGGGCGGGTCATGGCTTTCTCTTGCTGTTCCTCTCTGGGTCCCTACCTTGGTGGGTTCCTGCCACACTGCCCACCCACCAGAGCAGCCCTTCATTGAGCTGCCGCAGTTCACTGCTGTGTCCTGTCCAGAGCTCTGTCCACAACCGCCTCTGCCTCCAGGTCAATGTGGATGACCTGTCCCTCCAGCTCTCTAGCAGCACTGATTCTCCTGGTTCTAATTGGAAGGGGTAACCTAATGTAAATGAGATTTTTTAATTTTAGTAAATGCAAAGCCTTTGTATAGATTGTTTCCTTTTTTTTTTTTTTTAAAGTCATGTATGATGAGGTACATAATTTTCTAATTTGTAGTAAAAGTCACCCTTTTTAGCATTATTTGCTTTTGTATTTAGGCCTCTTTATTTGGCCCCTCAGCTGAAGTCCTCTTGGTGGAAATGAGATTCTGAGCGGATACCTTTCCCTCACGCCCTCAGGAAGAATGTGACTCAGGAGGCCCAGAGCCAAAGGAAAAACGTCCCCCAGGCCGGCAGTTCATTTCCTTCACATTCTCAGCATTCCTCCTCTGAGCTTGTGGATAGTTACGGGGAGCCTGTCTTTGTTGGAAGACTGTCATTAGCCGGAAATGTTTCTGTTCTAAATCTTCAAATGATTGGGGAGAAATGACTTGACAGGTTCCTCTCAGGGGTGTAACAGCCCCAAATTCAGACGTTCTAGGCTTTGCAGAGGGATCCACATGCCTTGGTCCTGCCCTCAGACCTGCCGAATACACAGGGCTAAAGATTGTCACTGACTTTCACAGGCATGACCAAGGCCCAGCCCATCTCCGTCAATAAAGAAAGGCTGGAGTGTGTGCCCCTCACTGGTTATGAAAGCTAAGAGAAGTGCAAGTCGGAGAGACATTCAACAGTAAGTTGAAGGTAGTGTGGGGGGAAGGTTGCAAGGTTCCCACTGCGCAGGATCTTACTTGGTCTCACAACAGTTGTCAACAACTCCCAGGGGATGGGAAATGTGATTCCAGAGGTTTGCAGGGTAAATGCAATTAAACAATTTTTGAAGAAAGGTGGAAACTGGTTTTTTGGGAGGTAAGGAAGCTAAGTCTCAGGGAAGTTGGGCATTTTGCCATCAGCCGCACATAGAGTAAGTAGCCAGCCCACAATTAGCACCTGCCAGTGTGGGACAGGAACCGCCGGTGAACAAGGTTTAGGCCACGGTCTAGGACCTTTAGGTGCTTACAGTAGGGCTACAAAATCGTTATGAAACTAAGTGGAAATGACCTGTCAATATTAAGTCCTTCATATATTTATGTGATGCCAAACGTGTCTGTTTTTCCTTGTGCTTTGCTAGCTCTCTATCTGCAGTCCATACCCACTGTTTTCCCTGAGACCATATATAATTCCACAGCTAATGTGTTGCACTCACTTGCTAGGTACCAGGCATTGCCTAAGCCCTTTATGCCTATTGGCTCACTTGATCCTCACGATCATCCCCTGAGTAGGTCCTGTTGTGACAAGTGAGGCAACCCAGGCAGAGGTTACTAACCTAACCAAGGGCATGTGGTAGGATGTGGGGGAACTGGAATTGGATTCTGGGTCTGGCTCTGGAGTTCACACTCTGCTGCCTCTCACCCAGCCTTACACGTCCTAGAGGACATAGGTCTTTAATTTGGTCCCTGTATTAGGGGCTCCTACGGACTCCCAGTCATCCAGATCTCCCCTTCAATGGCCGGTTTCCATGCAACTCGACAGCCTGCTGCCTGCCTCCATCCTGAGCACAGCAGTCAGAGGCAGGTGGAGATGAAGTGAGCCATGGAAGCCACGGGTCTCATGGACGTGGCTGGCCAGGAAATCTTAGCTGTTCCTCTAGCCTGGCTGCTTTGGTGCCACTTACTGCTGTGATCTTTGGATCTCTCATTTTATCCTGAGTGCTCCCTTGCTGCCAGGCCACCCTGATTTCTCTGAGTCTGAGCTGCGTGGGGTGGCTGCTCTGCTTGGTCATTGGGCCTCCCCACTCTCTCACTGTATGGAAAGTGGTTTTGGGGCAACATCAGCAAGTCTTCGAGTTTGGGTGGTTTTCAGGGAACATTTATCTTCCCAACCCCCAGACTGCTTTGTGACGAAAGTCTCCTGTCGCTGTACCATAATAATAATAATCGTCGTGTGGTGCACATTACGTGTTAGTCTCACATGCAAAACTGCACTTGCAACCTGAAATCAGCAGACTGTCCCCAACAGAACACTGTCGACTGAAGTCCTAATCAGACCTCTAGCCCGAGTACTGGGTGTTGGGCTGGAGGCTGGAAACCTGGGCTTCGCAGCAGTGAGCTGTCTTCCTGGAGGTGGCAGCATAGTCTCTGCCAAGCCAGGGGAGTGGTCCCAGTGGGAATGGGCTCTGCCTCCCTGTGAGTGGGCAGGAGGCTGACCTGTGTCCAGACAGGGAGAAACCTTGTGGGTTACAGCAAGCTTTGGGACTTACGGGCATGTGCAGAGCTCATCTGGAAGGAGGCAGATGCCTGGGCCCCCAGCCTTTCCCATGAGTAGCAGGGCTACAGCTGTGGAAGTAGGACCAGCCTTTTGGCGCAGTGTGTGGTGGGCTGGAGGTGGGAAGGGTTGTGTGTGCAGGTGGTGGGTAGTGCCCCTGCCACACGTACAGATCCAGGGCATCTCCTCTGGACCCCTCCCAGGGACTGTAAAACTTTACTATGGGAACAGACTCAGTAGTATTTTGGGGCAGCGGGAATGGTTCTTTACTAATGCCTAAGATCACTTAACAGGGCAGAAGCCATAATTGGGCAGACCTTACGGGCCAAGAATCTTTTGCACTTTATCTGATTTAATCTGCACCCTGTGAGGTAGGTGGCATTACCCGCTTTCATGTGTTAGGAAATGTGTGTAAAGATCAGTAACTTGCCCAGGGTCACCCAACTAGTAGCTAAAGTGGCTAAAGTCCCAGGTCTGTCACTCTAACCACCCAGAGTGGCCTTACCCTGTACATTCTCACCCTGTACATTCTCACCCTTACCCTGTACATTCTCACCCTGCTGCCCCTCTGAAATAGTCACTGCTGGCTTCCCTAGCTGAGGACACTGGGCACAAAGGCTGGGCTTCTGGATTGCAAGTCTGTGCTTGCAGCCTGAGGCCCACTCTAAGGGAAGGCAGATGGCCTGCCTCTCCTTTCTGCAAAACCCCCTGCCACCTGCTGCGTGCTGCCAGCCTGACTCACTGACTCCAGCTACCTCTGGGCCTCTGGCCCTTCTAGGATGGGCTTGTTTTCCAGGAAAGGGTTTGGAGATTAAGATAAGCCAGCTGCCTCCAGTGAAAGGCCCTGCTGCCTTGGAAAGGGCCGGGAAGGCTGCCATTCCAGCTCCTTGGTTTGCTCGCTTCTCTCCGTGGCTGGGGCTGCCTCGCCTTTCATCCGTCCCTGCCTATCGTTGGGCATGAATAATGAGGCTCTTTGGAGACAGGCATAGGACTCCCTGCAGAGCGAGGGATTTGTAAAATGGGTGCCCAAGCTCCCTCTGGGGCTCCGGCTCCCTCATGTCTCTGTCTGTTCTTCCTGGGGAAGCTGCTGCTTGTATTTAGATAATGAAGAACTAGAAAACAGACCTGGCCTCCTTTCAACCTGCCGCTTCCTCCAGCCTGGGTAGGATCCAAAGCTCTGGCCTTCCTAAGCAGTGCTTGTTCCTGACTTACACATGGATGGTTTTCTAAACTAAGTTCATTTTCTGAAGCAGAGAATGAATAACTCACTCTACTACCTCCTCCCCTTCATGGCAAAATTTTTTCTTTTGTCTGTATTTTCACGGCTGCTGGATTCTAAAATCAAGGTGCAAGTTGCTTTGGGGCTTACTAAAGTCCCGTGGCCTTCCCAGGCCCTGTGGAAAGGTTAGATGCACCCCAGATAACCAGGGTTGGTTATTCCCTGTGAGAGAGTCAGAGGGGTGCAGGCTGGAAGCATAGCGCTCCTCCACCCCTGCGCTGGTCATCATGTGGAGCGTGTGCTTTCTAAGAAGTGCCAGCCTGTGTCCAGAGCCTGCTGGGCAGATGTTAAGCCAGCTGTGGACTTAGTCACAGTGACTCTGCTACCAACAACAGCAACATGGACATTTAGGGAGGAGCAAATGAGAGGAAGGAAGAAATAGGCAAGATAACAAGGCTTGACATCTGATCTCTGGGCATTTCCAATGGAGGGATTTGGTTTGTTTATGTTTCCACCACCAAGAATTAACAGTGGTTAACAGCTGTTCATATCTGTCTGCTTTACATTTTTAAATAAACATTACAGATAAAATTGAAGTTCTCTTTTTGTCCCTCACTCCCTGCCAAAGGCAACCACTATTCTCAAATCTGCTGGGTATTCTATTCAATTTTATTTTTACGTGTATGCATCCATGAACACCATGTAGTATGTTTTGTGTGTTTTAAAATGTCATATACATCTCAGCGTCTTGTATATAGTACTCTGACTTTTACATTCAAAATTACATTTTTTTGAGGCCTATGTTGATGTAGATTATTTAGTCATTTGTTTTTCTTTTTAATCACTTTATTGCTTGAGTACATAGACAAATTTATGCAACCAGGGCGAAGCTGTAGATGGTTCATATTTCCAGCTGGGAGGGAGGACTCGCTTGGTTTTATAATATCGAGCCAGACGGTGAATCCGGCTCTCTATCAGAATCAGAAGGAATTTAGCATCCTTGTCTTTTCTGCTCCTCTCAAGATGCTTTTGAACAGCGACTGCTTTCTTAATTAAGTGGTAGAGATCTTCAGGGAGATCAGGAGCAAGTCCCTTAGACTTAAGAATTCTTATGCCTGTCACAAAACGCACTTTTGCAGCACCATGTCAGTCTCTCAGGATCACACCGATTTGTGGAGGAGTCAGGCCCTTCTTGGTCAGTTTGTAAATCTGCTCCTTCACATTGTCAGATGTCAACTTCAGCCAAGTGGGGACGCTGTGGTGATAGAGCAAAGCCGACTGGGACAGGCCCTTCCCGGGCACATGAATGTGACCCGTGACGGCGGCAGTCAGGCAGTGAAAGGCTGTTTTTATTTTTTTATGGTCATTTTTTTTGGCAAATTAAGTGTTGAATGTTGAGTTTTTAAAATACTGATTGCTTTATATGCCATCCGCTTCAAAAGGAGTTGAGTTCTGCTTCAGGCATGACATGGTAGCTGGTATCAAACTGAACTCTTCCTCTGGGAACAACTAGAAAAGGTGGGCAAAAATTTCTTAAAAGCAGTTGTTTGAAGACCTGGAAGAACAACCAAGACACTCTGATGTGGAATTGGCCATTGTTCTTCCCTGGCTGCTGTTGCTATGGGTCATGGTGCTCGCAGCCCTCCTTGGATGGTCGGATGGGTGAGAGGGTTGCTCACACAAATGCCCTGCAGTTTTTTAAAACAAAAGATCACCCCCTTCAGTTAGAAACTGAAGGTCGCTGTAGTGGAATCCAGACAGCAGAGTCTTTGGGTACGGGGAAGGCTGGCAGGGGGACACTGTGGAGCAGAGCCAGGGCAGGCCAGGCTGGGAGCTATATTGTAGGGTGCTCAAATTCTACCAAGATTCTAAAATATCTCAAGTGTAATTAGGGGTGCATTGTTTAAAAAATAGTCTAAAGGAAGTCAGTACCTTAGTAGCCACACCGGGGAGTGGTAAGACCCCAAGGGCTGACCTGATCAATGGCACAGTGACTGAACTGCACTGTAAGGAGAGGACCCAGGCAGGTAGTGTCAGGGTGAGGTTTGGTTGAGCTGGGATGTCCAAGTTTGGGACCAGAGCTGACCAGGCCTAAACAGTAAAAGAGGAACACCAAAAACTGCCCCGGAGGACTTCGTTCTCCATTTTCACCCCAGAACACTGTTTCCCCTTGTCCTTCCAGTATGGAGAATAAATACTAAAGAATATTGATTGGAAAGAACACTGAATTCTTGGCCTGTTTTGGGGGTGGCATTTTCAGCTTTCCTTGGGTGGCCACATGTCTAGTTTCAGGCTCACAAAGACCAAGGTCTCACCAGCTCTGTCCCCTGTGGAATGGTGGTGGCATCTTCTGTGTGATGGTGAATTTTAGATGTCAACTTGACTGGGCTAAGGGATGCCCAGATAGCTGGTAAAACATGAATTCTGGGTATGTCTGTGAGGGTGTTTCCAGAAGGGATTAGCCTCTGAATCGGCAGAACGAGTAAAGCAGATGGCCCTCCCCACTGTGAGCAGGCTCTGTCCAATCTGCTGAGGGCCCTCACTGAACAAAAAGGTGGGGGAATAGAGGATTCATTCTCTACTTAAGCTGAGACATCCGTCTTCTCCCACTCTGACATCAGCGCTCCTTGCTCTCCAGCCTTCAGACTCTGAATGGGACTTAGGCAATCACTGCTACCCGCCCCCCCACACCCCCATTCTTAGGCCTTTGGGCTTGGACTCAATTACAGCTTGCAGGTGGAAAATCATGAGACTTCTCTGCCTCTAACTGCATGAGCCGATTCCTATAATAAATCTCTCTCTCTCCACACACACACACCCACTGGTTCTATCCTTTGAGGATCCTTGATTAATACACTCATTCATCCCTTGAAACGCCCAACTCTGTTGTGGAATTGACCATTGTTCTTCCCTGGCTGCTGTCGCTATGGGTCATGGTGCTCGCAGTCCTCTTTGGATGGTTGGATGGGTGAGAGGGGTGCTCGCACATCCCTGGGCTAACTGGGGTAGTTGCCTTGTTCATTTTGCTATATCCCATTTGGACCCTTTATGATTGGAGTATGAACTACATTTAGCAAACTTTTAAGTTCAACCCAGGAGCTGGAATCCTTACATCCTGGGAGTAGCTCTTCGAACACTTTGGAACTAGAGGCATGCATGGTGGTGGGTGTTCTTAGGTACGCGTTTCCTAGATGGATGGTCCTGAAATGGTATGACACCTCAACTTGCCAAGAGGCCTCCCGTGTGTTCCTGCTTGGCAGGGGGTGAGATTGAAAAGATTCATTACTTCCTTTACATATTTATTTTTCTATATAGAATAAGGTAACTGTATTACTACAAATTTGGAAAATAACCCCACCATACTGATGCAACCATTATTAGCATTTTGGCTCATTTCTTTCCAGTCTTTTTTTCCTACACAGTTTTTAAAGCATAGGTACAACTGCAGTGTTTATATGATTTGTATATGCTTTTTTTGTCACTTAACATTATAGATATTAGATAATCTTGATCACTTTTTAAAAATGCTTTTTAAAAATACACTTAAAAATCACATCACATTGAGTGAATTCTGTCATCAGTTAACTATAATACTATTTGTATATTAACAAATGTGTAGGATTTGGAATTCTGCCTTCCTACATCAAATACTGTTATATCTGTAGCTTTTTCATCTTTCAAATAATTTGCTTTGGCTAGATGACCAGAAAGAGAAGAGGAAAGACAACATCTTTAAGTCTCTATAAAAGTTCCTAATGTGGTTTGGCTCTGTGATCCAAACTTTATGTTGAATTGTAATTCTCAATGTTGGGGGAGGCACCTGGTGGGAGGCGACTGGATTATGAGGGCAGATTCCCTCCATGCTGTTCTCGTGATAGATCATTCTCACGAGATCTGATGGTTTAAAAGTGTGTGGCACTTCTCCCCTCTTTCTCTCTCCTGTTGCCATGTGAAGATGTGCTTGCTTCACCTTTGCCTTCCACCATGACTGCAAGTTTTCTGAGGCTTCCCAGTCATGCTTCCTGTACAGCCTGCAGAACTGTGAGTCAGTTAAACCTCCTTCTTCATAAATTACACAGTCTCAGGTAGTTCTTTGTAGCAGTGTGAGAACGGACTAATACAGTTCCCAAGTTGCTTTTCAGAAGGGTTTACTAGTTTGTACAGACCCAAGAAATTACAAATGTGGCAGTTTCTCCCTTTCTCTCTCCCCTCAGCTTTGATTATTAACATTTCTTCCCGAATAATAGACTAATCTTTCTTTCATCAGGGCAGTCTTTTTATATTGTTAGTGAAGTTTCTTTTAGAAATTGTCGTTTTGTGAGTCTTTTTAATTTTTTATTTATTGTCTAGTGTGGTTTTTGAGTAGCACATAAAATAAATGCAGATAGTACAGGAGGGTAAAACAATGAAAAGTGAGTCTTCCATCCTTGGCGCTCATTTCTCCAGGCTCTACTCAGAGGCAGTCACTGTTTCTAGTTTATTTTGTTTCTTCTGCTTCTTGTACATTTTTCTCGGGGACTCCTGGATCCCTCGCCCTCTGGCTTCCCACTGCTTTTCTGGTTCTCTTTAAAGGGCACCCTACCCCCAGCTGCATTGTCAGGCTCAGTGCATCTCTCTTCCCTAACAGGTCCACAGTGGTCAAAACTCTAAACATATGAACACTTATTGGGGAAGGTAGTGAGGATGGGAGCCAGTGGGGGATGTGGCCTGGGAGGGAAATATTGCCAGATCTCATCTTCCTGAGATGGCAACAGGAGATTTGGACCAAAGGCTCTGGGTCTGTTGGGGGGATGGGGGGAACAGCATTTTCAACCAGGTGTTAGTAGTGGCTGCAGAAATGCGGTTTTCTGGGATCTCAGGTGGGCTCTTTAAAGAAGAGACTGATGGGTGATGATGGAAGCCTTCACAGTCCTGATGTAATAGCCGAGGTGGACAGCAGGGGGAGCTGTTGGACGCTTCTGGCCCAAATGTGGCACAGGAGTAGATTAGTGGCTCCTGTAATCCAGGGCCCCACCCATCAGTGGTGAAGTCCCAAAGAGGACTTTGGACAAAACGAAGCTTTGCCTTCCCAGTGTTGCCCAGGTGATCTGGTGTTCCTATGTTACTCTTAGGTGAACTGTTGCAATATTCGCATTGCAACAAATTGAATTCCAACATTTATTGTGAACTGCTATTTTGTGAGAGACCTATGTTATTCATGCATACCTTTCAAAGGGCAGTCACTATGCACCTAGTCTGCACTGGCTTATGCTGAGATGAGTAAGGCTCAGTTCTGGACCCAACGGGATCAGAAATGTCCACCGAGCACTAAAAAAACAAGGGATGGAATTTAAAGCACTATAAAAGAGGTATAGATGAAGTGTGGCGGAGGTTCATGATGGGAACGGCTGTCATTGGATGGAGCAATCAGGGCAGAATTCATAGAGGAAATGGCATTCGAAAGGGCTTTAAAATGGGCTTGAAAATTTAGAACTGTTTATTATGAAATTTTAATCTCCTAGAAGGGTGCATCTTTGGTGGAAAAAACAGAGGGAACACGGGGATGAAAGCTGGGCTCAGAGGATCAGCCAGTTGCATTAAAATCTTGAGTAAATGAAGTGGAGAATTACTGGAGGTGAGACTGGAAAACACGTTTGGATCCATATTTTTGGAGAACCTTGAATACCACTCTTAGTAACAAGGCAGCAGTAGCTGCTTATAATCAGGAGATTCTGGATAAAAAACAGAGGAGTTGGGGTTTATGCCTTCTTGTCATTTCTGAGAAGACGAGTAATTTTTTTAAAATAGCCAGTGAAATTAGTTCCTATAAAAGATGTGATCCTTGATCATCAATAAGGACAATCGACTTCTCCCAATGGAGAAATCTGATGATCCATTTCACACATCCCTGGGTGCAAATTACTACCTAGTCTACACTAGTGTTTCTCAAACTTCAGTGTGCATCAGAATAACCTTGAGGGCTTGTGAAAACATAGACTGCTGGCCCCACTCCCAGAGTTTCTAGGGCAGCCAAGAATTTGATGCCAATGCTGCTGGTCTGGGGACCACACTGAGAACCTCTGGGTTTAAACATCCTACCTGACCTTTCTCAGTATATCCACTGGGTGGCAGCAGAGAGCATCACAGGCACTGCACAGTGGTCAAACCTGGAAAGCCCGGGCAGAGGCTGTGGAGGACTATTTCTGTGTATTCAATGTAGGTTATTTTTGCTGCCAAATGACAATACAAACCATCCACAATATCAGGCTCTTCAAAATTCAAGGATGCGTTGTATAAGAGAATGATTGGTGACTTGGATCTTGTTCCTTTTCCAGGATGTCGTCACCACCAGACCCAGTCGAGACATCCTCTCTCTACCAGGCGCCCCCAACAAGTCCTTCCTTCAAAAAGAGAATAGTTTTTAATAACTTTCAAGGTCACCTGCAAAAGGGTTTCTGTTTGAGTAATGTAATGACTGTAAAGCTGGCAAAAAACTGTATCGCCAGCTGATAGCTTGAGTCAGACTGGAAAATTACGAGCAAATTTTTCCATGAACCAAGAGGAAGTGTCCAGTCATTGTTGAGAGCAGGTTCATAGCTGTGTACGAGCTCTAGGAGATGGGGAGGCCCGTGCAGACCTACTTCCTTCAAGAAGGGAAGACAAAAGAAACACGTTTTGAGTTTGGGTTTTTAGATGGTTGGGAAGTTTATGTTATAGGATTTTTTTTTGAGGGGGGGGTTTGTTTGTTGATTTTTGTTTTTAAGTTATGAGAGTTATTTTCTTTTTCTTCCTTTTTTTTTTTTTTAGAAGGAGTTTCACTCTTGTTGCCCAGGCTGGAGTGCAATGGTGCGATGTCGGCTCACCACAACTTCCACCTGCCAGGTTCAAGTGATACTCCTGCCTCAGCCTCCTGAGTAGCTGGGATTAGAGGCATGCGACACCATGCCTGGCTAATTTTATATTTTTTGGTAGAGACGGGGTTTCTCCATGTTGGTCAGGCTGGTCTCGAACTCCTGATCTCAAGTGATCCACCCACCTAGGCCTCCCAAAGTGCTGGGATTACAGGCGTGAGCCACCGCGCCCGGCTCTGAGAGTTATTTTCTACTAACCAATGATGTACTGCTAGATTTTGGAATAAAAGGTTCTATGTGTGTGGGGAGGGGAGGAAGGAGCAGAATCAAAAAGCCCTGAGCAATGATAGGATGGATTAGAGTTTGGAAAGGGAAACGTGGGGTCCAGAACACACTGGTTAGGCTGTGGCAAGGGGGTCCTCTTGACATCCTCTAACCAGATCTCACAGCACACTTCCTGCCATGTCGCAGCAGAGACCAGCCCTCACCAGACCCGGTGCTGACATTAACCAGGTGCTGCCCTGAGCGAGATGGCGTCCTGCCACGCCTGCTCCGTCATCTGGGAGATGCCTTGTCGGCAGCTCCAAGGCCTCCTGTGGGAAGGCATGAACGTCTGTCCTCACGTCCCTGCTTCCCTTATTACCCAGCGGTGGAAGTTCATCCCCCACTCTCCTATCTTCCTGAATTCATCCCATCCTTTGTTGGCCCTGTGTGTGGTTTCTTCCTGTACTCTCTTTTGTGGATTTTTGTAGAATTTCAGAAGTGATTGTGATATTAGATGTGATCATCTCTGCTCTGCCTGCTGCTGGGGATGTGTGGCACTGACCCACTCTCCCCATTTTCCTCATTGTGGCTCTATAGTCAAAAAGGCTCTTAGGCCCCTTCTAAGTTCTTTCTTCTCCAGGCTAACATCCTTTTCTTCTTTAAGTCCATTTTTAACATTGGTTGTGAGTTAACTCCTGACCTCTCCCCCTCTGTCTAGTCCATGCTGGTCACTCCCTCCTTGCTCTAAAAGTGAAGGTGCTGGTGGGAGCAGGACCTTCTGGCTATCCCCAGGCAGGCCCGTGCCTCCCTCGAGGCTTTGACATTGTGATGTGTGTGTCTCTTCACACCAGGGTGGGAGCCCCTTGAGGGAAAGAACCACGCCTTTCTCTCTCGGGAGAAAGCCCCTGTCAGACAGCAGGCATTTGAAATTAAACAGAACATTATAATTCTGGGTCCTAACCTTTATAAATGCAAGGCAAGACTAGATTATGTTAGCGGATTTGTCAATATTCATTTGGTTCAGTCTTATTGCACAGATAGGCAATTAAAGCATTTTAAATGGGCTGTGCTTAAGTGTGGTCCCCCTCTCATGTACTCCTATAGCAGGCTTTAAAACACTGCATTGCGCTTAAAGATCTGCTTCTTGGATTTGGGCTGTTGAGCTCTTTTCCTTCTTCCACATCATTCCCTCAACTTCTCAAGAAGTTGTCAACTTGAGATGCTGACACATTCTGCAAGTGCACAGGGACACAGCCCTAAGAGTGATCAGCTACCCCCAGTGCCCATCAGTGGTTCAGTGAAGGACGGCATCCCTGCTTAGAATTTGACCATTCAGTCTGCCGGTTACCAAAACCATGTTCATGCTTTAGTGTAAAGGTTTAGCATCAAGGTTACGTCCCAGGTGATGCTTCAAATCCAAACTTCCCCCTTCCCTGGGCTCCTGTGGTCTTTTGTTCTCTTGCAGCGCTTCCGGACTGTGGTTAGCTGATTATAGTTATTTTTTCCTACATCATTAGGTGGTGAGCTTCTCCGGGACAAAGTCTGTCTCATTATTCATCTTTGTTTGTAGCAGGTGCCTGACAAATACTGATAGAATTAAAATAACTTTTGTTTGTCTCACATTTTGATAAATGAACAGGGCTATATTTACCTGAACGTTTATGATTTCATACATGGACAGCATATTTCCTCTTGGGCTTTTCTCTTCCTAGACTGGATAGATTTAATGATTTTAGTTTTATGTCACAGGACAACCCTCCACCTGGAAGAACTGAAGTTCTATTAAGTTTAGGGGTTTCTGGCTAATTTGTAAATTGTTGAGAAAGAATCCACCTTGTTCTGGTCAAAAGGTGACAAATATAGTTAACTTCAACAAAGGGCAGAGAGTCAGCTATTGTTTCTGCCAATGATTACTTTTGTTATATGCTTGAGATCAGATACTAGTCATTTGTATCCCAGTTAACTTAATATAGATAGCATTTTCTAATATTTTCAAGCGTTACTCTAATGCTTTTTGACGCCTATTTTGAACATCAATCTTTTAAACTCATTATATATTATTCTATAATTTATAGAAAAATCATCACACTTTACCTAATTCTTGTTTGTTTGTTTGTTTGTTTTGAGACAGAGTCTCGCTCTGTCACCCAGGCTGGAGTGCAATGGCGCGATCTCGGATCACTGCAAGCTCCGCCTCCGGGGTTCATGCCATTCTCCTGCCTCAGCCTCCCGAGTATCTGGGAATACAGGTGCCCGCCACCACGCCCAGCTAATTTTTTTGTATTTTTCGTAGAGACGGGGTTTCACCGTGTTAGCCAGGATGGTCTCGATCTCTTGACCTCCTGATCCGCCTGCCTCGGCCTCCCAAAGTGCTGGGATTACAGGCGTGAGCCACCGCGCCTGGCACTTTACCTAATTCTTATAGGCAATATTTTCTTTGGTACTTGGGACTTTTTTTAAAGAATAGTATCCTCAAATTGGAATTAGTGTGTCAAATAATATGAATGCTTTTCTGATTCAATTGGATTTTTAATTTTTATACTTACTCAAATAATTTATACTGACTGTTGAAAAATAGATAAGCAATTAATAATAAAGAAAGTCCCCCTTGCTTTCACTATTTAGAAATAACTACTATAAATATTTTTATGTATATTTGTGTACACTTTTTTCTTTACATGGATGTTTATTTCACAAAATGTGGAATCTTACTGTTTATGCTATTACATAGCTTATTTTTTTAAATTATTGTGAATTTTTTCAGCTATAAAAAGATATTTTCTCAAAAATTTTTTTCAAAAGAATATATTTTTTCAACACAGTTTTAATAATTGCACTGTATTCCATGGAATAATAATACTAATAGTTAACATTTGTTTTGTAATTTTTATATGCTATGCAATATTCTATTTGTTTTATATACCTAAGCTCATTTAATCATCACAATAACCCTGTGAGATAGGTACTATTACTCTATTTTAGCAAAAAAAATTATGCATAGAAATATTAAATGACTTGCCTAGTTATGGGCATACCATAAATGTGCATGACCCAGTAGGTCATTGTAGAACATTTTAGTTATTTATTTTTTGTTTGCCATCATAAGAAATGTTGCTATTAATTCATGAAACAAATATTCACTGAGCTCCCACTCTATGCTGGGTGTTTTGCTAGAAGCTTCGTATGTAAGGGAAAAACTGTTGCAGAAAGTAGGCTTGGCTGGGAAAGAGACCTATTTGAAAGGATCCTGGCATGAGATGGCGTTTTCTCTCTTCTGTTTGCTCACATCGCGGAGGGGAACTCCATACTGCAACAGCAGCCCCTGGCTGGATGTGGTTTTGTCTCTTTCGTCAGCAGGGATATCTCCCGCCCCACTTCCTTGCTCTCTCAGGAAGGCCCCCTCGTGCTCCGCACACCTGCCAGGGTGGGGCTTGTGGAGTTGACCTTCTTCCTTCCTGAATCAGACAACCAAACCAGAGGTGTAACTTCGGTGGCTGGTCCTGTACCTCTGATTCTGTTCTGTGTTCTAAGCAGAGTTTTCACGAACAATGAAAACGCCTGGGAGTGTTCATTGCCAGTTATTAAAGAAAAATGGAATTGGCTACTGTACGGTGTAATAGTCCCCAGGTTATTCCACCCTTTCTGGCAGACTATTTACTCATGTACTTTTAGTATACTGAGGGAAGGCTAAGAGATCTCTGGCCAGTGGGTAGGAAAGAATAAAAAGTCTTTGAGTTTTCAGGTATTTTCTTTTAGTAGTAGCTTCCAGCAAGGCACAGTGGCTCACGCCTGTAATCCGAGCACTTTAGGAGGTCTAGGCATGTGGATCACTTGAGGGCAGAGTTTGAGACCAGCCTGACCAACATGGCAAAACCCTGTTTCTTCTAAAAATACAAAAATTAGCCAGGCATGGTGGCACGCACCTGTAATCCCAGCTACTCAGGAGGCTGAGGCAGGAGAATTGTTTGAACCCGGGAGGCAGAGGTTGCAGTGAGCTGAGATCATGCCACTGCACTCCAGGCTGGTGACAGCAAGACTCCATCTCAACAACAATAAAAAACCTTTATTAACATAATTTACATACCATATTATTCACTCTTTTAAAGTGTAGAATACATGGGCTTTGAATACGTTCACAGAGTTGTGTAACAATCACCACTGTTTAATTTCAGAACATTTTCATTACCCCAAAGAGAAATCCCATACCCACTGTAGCTTCTCATTCTCCCCACCCAAATCCCCCAGCTCCTGGCCACCACTAATCTACTTTCTATCTCTATGAATTTGCCTATTATGGACATTTCATATAAATGGAATCATATGTGGCATTTTATGTCTGACTTCTTTCACTTAGCATAATGTTTTCAAGGTTCATCTATATTGTAGCATGGATCAGCTCTTCATTATTTTTTAAGGCTGAATAGTATTCCATTGTATAAATAGAACACAAACAAAATATAAATTTTGTTTCTTCATCCATCAATTGATGGATATTTGTGTTGTTTCCACATCTTAGCTATTATGAAGAATGCCGCTGTGATCATTTGTGTACAAGTTTTTGTTTGAACATATGTTTTCAATACTCTTAGGTACATTGCAGGCATGGAATTGCTGGGTGATAACGTACCTTGATGTTTAACCTTTTGAGGAACTGTCAAATTGTCTTTCAAAGTGACTATATAACTTTACAATCCCACCTGTCATGTATGAGGGTTTGTTGCATTTTTAATTGCAGTTACCATGAAGTCTGTAAAAGCCAGGCAGTCACAGCCACAGGGCACAATTCCAGAGTGCAGAGGAAGTTTTCCATACAACTCTCACCCTCTTGGCAGGGATACCAGGCCTGCATGTCTCGTGACTGCACATGTTGTTTAGACAATTGTCTCTGTTTGGTGACCCACAGTTTTCGTACTGATATCCGAGTTTTATTGGCATTGCTGACCTATGAGTCTGATGTCTTTGGTGCAGAGCCTCTATCACAGTTTTACCCAGAATCCCATTGCTTTGGACCAATAATAACAACATTCCCTTTGTACAGGTCTTTGCAATTTGCAAAGCACCGTGTTACTTCCCTTTTCTCCAGAGCCTTATGCTCTGCTTTCCAAGGTGTTGGCCTTAGTATAGCAATGTAACCGCTGCTAAGGTGTGTAATGGCCAATAAGATGCTGGCTTTTCCTAAAGAGACTCACTGAGTCCTAATATTTCCCTAGTATAAATGTATCAGTAATGATGAAGATGTCAGGTGCTATGATAGAGCAAAATGGCTTTTGAGGCTCCCTCAAAGCTAGTCTTAGAAGACTCCCCCTCTGTGTGCAGGCCATAAGCTTGGCATCGTTGTAGGAACTTAGTACGGTGTCCAAGCCAGAAGACTTTTCTTTTTGAGACGGAGTCTCGCACTGTCGCCCAGGCTGGAGTGCAGTGGCGCGATCTCAGCTCACTGCAAGCTCCGCCTCCCGGGTTCACGCCATTCTCCTGCCTCAGCCCCACGAGTAGCTGAGACTACAGGCGTCTGCCACCACGCCCAGCTAGTTTTTTTTTTGTATTTTTAGTAGAGACAGGGTTTCACCGCGTTAGCCAGGATGTTCTTGATTTCCTGACCTCGTGATCCGCCCACCTCAGCCTCCCGAAGTGCTGCGATTACAGGCGTGAGCCACCACCCCCGGTCCAAACCAGAAGATTTTTCTACATCTTTCTTCTTATACAAAGATCGTTTGTGAAAAAGCTAAGATTGGTGGCAGGTTTTCAGGAAATTTTCCTTTTTTTTTTTTTTTTTTGCTAGTTTGTGTTCCTAAATAGTGAACATGCAATCGCTAAGTTTTTAAAAGAAGCGAAAAATTGATGGTAGGCCCAGCAGTTAGAAGGCCCTGGGGTTACAGTTCTTCCACAGGGCAGTTGCTGTTTATGAGTGTTCTTTCTTATCTGTAAACCCGTTCTCTATGCCTGAGAGAACATTCCTTACAGCCATGACTCCTTAAAAAGGATAGCCTTTGCAAAAGATTCTTGTCAAATGTTTTTCATCATCTATAAATCACACACAACTGTTTCCCCCAACATTAGCATCAATGTGTATGCCAGTTTCCTCTGAAAATGTCAAGCATGACTGCTCCTTAGAGAAACCATGTTTCTACCTCTCTTCCTCACCAAAGTTTATAAATTCCCAAGCATTCTCTGTGTTAACATTTTATTGTGTGTCACCTCACCCTGAAAAAAAAAAAAAGATAACTAGATTCTGTGCGTGAACCCCCTTCAAAACTCAACTCCCAGGAGAGCTGTGTGTTTTCTAAGCCTGAGCAGCTCAGAATCCTGGTTCATGAAGGCTTGTGGTCTAAGGGCTGGTTATTTCTTGTTTAAATTCAAATTAATTTCCCAGCTCCAGTGCAAATATATCCTTGCAATACTATACGACACCACTTTCTGGTACAGTCCACCTGCCTGTTTCCTGTGCTGTGTTATATCACTCATAGGAAATTCTAATATTCCAATGAGCAACCAGCCTGGAAAATAAAGCAATTCAAATACCTGGGAATGATGGGCTTATTACCATTGCTCCATTTCCCTGTGATATTTATTCATCAGAGATGAATTGCTTCTTTGTGATTTCAGAGGTCATCTCATCTAGTCCCAGGGAGGACTATGTCTAAACTAACCCAAACTGTGACTGTTCATTAGAGTCTTAAAATTTTATGGCTATAGAAAGATGACATCTTTGACTAAGAATTACTTCCACTGTCTATTTTTTATGAATTTTGGAAGTTCTACTTCAGTATAATCTGAATTTTTTTTGCTGCATTGTCTGTCATTTTGCATGCAATGCAGAAAAAAAAAATTCCACTCTGCATGCTAGAGTGGATCTGGTAACTGAGAATAATAGCCATTATGTATTGAGCACATATTATGTGCCAGAAACCATACATAGTGCTTTACAAGCATTACTTTATTTTATTCTCAAAACAGCCCTATAACGTATGTATTTTTTTTTCAGCCTTTTCCAGATGAGGAAGAAAAGGCCTTGAGACATGAACTAGCTCAGCGAGATGGCATAGTTAGACTTTTGGTTAAACAGGGCAGGTTGACATGCTTGGGTAGTACTGTTCCTTCCTGAAACCCCATGAAAATGACACTGAAGGGATTTTTTAACTTGATAATACAAGAATGATAAAAGAGAATAGGAGAGTAAGCAAGAGCAATGGCATCTGGGAAGCCGGAAGGAGAGGGCAAAGTGTCAATTTAACAGACCAGAAAATGGCACAGCCTATGTGGTTGGGGGTGAAGTTTGAAGTAGGCAGAGTCCTCTGAAAATGGGCACAGGTGGAGCTAAAAATAGGATTTGTTGAAAGTTTGTATATTAAATATTTCAATGTCCCTAGATCCTCTCCCTCCTGCTGCTAGAAGACTAGATATTTCTTCTCTGGAGCTGCCAGCTTTGGGCAGCAGCATAGCTGAGGACAGGGTACCATGCCACATGGGGGATTGAGTGAGTATATGTGCTGAGTGGTGACACCACTGGCCTCCTCCCCAGGCCCAGCTCCAAGAGCACTGGCAGCCAGGTTGATCTCTTCCAAGCAGGAGCCTCGAGGATTCCTTTCTAGGGAAGATGTCTGGCAGCTCAGGCATAGAATTTAAAAGATGTTGAGGGTTGGGAGTACCTTGGTGAAACTGCTCAGTGGTTTACCCTCTGGTGAATTCTATAGTTGATGAATGTCACCCCATCAACTATTGGGTGCCTCACTCTGAAATATGAGCGAACAGTCAAGGGTCATCAGGCATTTGAGAGAAGTCCTTAATATCAAAGACATAGACAAAAACAAAAACAAAAACAAACAAAACAAAACAAGGAACTAGGGATGAAACAAGCAATCTGGGCAGCAGCAAGAAACCTGTACCATAGCAACAACAACAAAGTCCTGTGATTGATTCATCTTCAGAGATTACATAGACAAGCACAAGAGGTTAGCATAGCAGAGAACCAAAATGATCCTTGGAACTTCAAAGTTGAGAGCAGAAAGAAAAACTAAATTTAATGGTTAGAAAATGAGGTTAATTGAAGTAATTATCCAGAAAGTTGAGTAATAACATAAATGAGGTGAAAAACAGGAGAGAAAACATAATAAAATTAGAGGATCAGTCCAAGGAGTTCCATAGACTAGGAACAGAGAATATGGAAGGGAGAAGGACGCAATTCAAGAAATTTCTCCATTTCTGAAAGACGTGAATCTATAGATATGTAAAAGGTCCACAGAGTGCCAAGCACAATGCATGAAAAACACCCACAACAATGCATGTGCCCAGCCCCCACTTATCCCTGGGAAATGTGTCCCAAGACCCCCAGTGGTGGCCTGAAACCTCGGATAGTACCTGCTGTAGTTTGGAGGTTTGACCATGCCAAACCTCATGTTGAAATTTGATCCCCAATGCTGGAGGTGGAGCCTATGGGAGATGTTTGGGTCATGGGGACAGATTACCCATGTACAGATTAATGCCCTTTCTTGGGGGTGAGTGAGTTCTTACACTATTAGTTCCTAATTGAACTGGTTGTGAAAAACAGCCTGGCACCTCCCCTCCTCTCTCTTGATTCCTCTTTCGCTGTGTGATCTCTGCACATGCTGGCTCCCCTTCACCTTCTGTCATGAGTGGAAGCAGCCTGAGGCCCTCAGCAGAAGCAGATGCTGGTGCCATGCTTGTACAGCCTACAGAACCGTGAGCCAAACAGGCTTATTTTATTCATAAATTAACCAACCTGAGGTATTACATTATGGCAACACAAAATGAACCAAGAGAGTACCAAACCCTATATATACAACATTTTCTTTCCTATACATACAAACCTGTGATAAAGTTTAATTTATAAATCAGACACAGTAAGAGATCAACAACAATAATAAAATGGAACAATTATAACAATATGCCAGGATCACTACTCTTGTGCTTTGGGACCATTGCTAAGTAAAATAAGGGTTCCCTGAACACTAGCACTGAGATGTTGCAATAGTTAAATTGATAATGGAGATGGCTACTAGGTGACTAACGAGCAGGTAGCATATAGAGCTGGACAAAGGCATGATTCATATCCTGGGCTGGATGAAGTAGGACAGCTTGAGATTTCATCACGCTACTGAGAATGGCATGCAATTTAAAAATTATGAGTTGTTTATTTCTGGAATTTTTCACTTAATATTTTTGAGCCGTGGTTGACCACAGGTAACAGAAACTGTGGAAACTGTGGATAAGGGGGCACTACTGTAATTATGAAGCTTCAGACCATCAGAGACAAAGATAAGGCCCTAAAATCTGTAGGGGGAGGCAAGGCAAGATCAGGAATCAGGATGGCATCAGACTTCTCAAGAAAAGCAACATTAGATGCCAAAACCCGTGCAGCAATGCCTTCCAAATTCTAAGAGAGAATTACTTCTCTATCCCTAGAATCCTGTACATGTCCAAACTATCAATCAAGACAGTTTCAGAAATACAATGTCTTGAAATCCTTAATTCCTATTTACCCTTGGGTATATTCCTCCAAAATGAGGGAATTATCCAAAAAAAAGGACAGCATGAGATAAAGGAAGCAGGTAACGCATCCCAGGAGATAATGCCCAGAGGACACCCTGGATGATGGCAAGCGAAGCCCCAGGATGGCACCATGGGGCTGCCTGGAGCCCCACCAGTCCAGGCTGGAGCAGGAGTTTAGAGAGCTCTTCCGGGAAGTGGAGGTGGAGGCTGTCTCCAGAAAAAAAATGCTGTTGACATATGACCGGATGAGTTTGGTCATGTGACACACTGTCACTTTTGAAGGAAAGCTAGTGATGACTTAGTGATAAGTATTAATACATAAAAAGCTAAATAAGTGGAGAAAAGGTGATAGTTGTTAGCTTCAGGAAAAACAAAAAGTTGTATACGAAAGAAAATATTACTATAAAATGCACTTCATGGCCTGTGACTGATGATCACGCGGTCATAGAGCATAAGCCGTGATTATTGATTTAAACAAAATTACGATATAGCTGTATTTGAAGAATGAGGGGGCATGTGGGAGGAAGATTTAAGAGACCAAAACCTCAGTTTCCACATGGAGAGTCACTAGATGGGATCTAAAATTTAAACAAAATCCAGATATGGCCATATAAGTGTGTAATTGAAATATATGATGATAAATACCAGAAGAAATAGCTTAAAGAGTTAAAAGTGGCTGTGACTACGCAATGGGGATCAAGGGGCAAGAGGGTGCTAATTTTCATTATAAACTTGTAGAACCACTGGACTTTTAAAACCATGTGTGTGTATAATTTTGTCTTCTTTTCATTAAATGTTGCAAAATCAGCATTTGAACCCAATTCTGGTCTGAATCCAAACCTTATTCTATTATCTCAATTTTGCCTCTCAAAATAATTGCTTAACATTTATTTGCCTTTAGATTTTAATTTTTTTGAGTCAATTTCTGATGTGTGCTGTTGACTCAATAATCTACAAACTCCACATGTGTATGGTCCGTGCTTATTTTGCTGACCATTGGATTCCCAGTGTCCAGTGGAGCATCTGGAAACAGTTAGGCTCTCAAAAAACATTTGTTTGTCATTAGGTCCATTTTCTGAGTCTCTAAATTTCAATTCTTGAATATCCACATCCCTCTTAAAGACTGTTTCTGGGCCAGGTGTGGCGGCTCACACCTGTAACCCCAGCACTTTGGGAGGCCAAGGGAGGCAGATCGCTTGAGCTCAGGAGTTTGAGACCAGCCTGGGCAACATGGTGAAACCCCATCTCTTCAAAGCATACAAAAATTAGTCAGGTGTGGTGATGTGTGCCTGTAGTCCCAGCTACTTGGGAGTCTGAGGCAGAAGGATCATCTGAGCCTGAGGTGGTTGAGGCTGCAGTGAGCCGTGATTGAGCCACTGCACTCCTGCCTGGGCGACAGAGTGAGACCCCATCTCAAAACAAACAAACAAAAACACAACAAAAAAAGACTGTTTCTGTGCTGCACTCAGATGTGAACACCGTAATAGATGCATATGCAGAAGTGAATTGCAGTTGTATGATCCCCTTAGAGCATTCAGGATCTGAATGATGGGAGCTCGCTGCTTAAGACCTTTTGATTTCCCTGAAAAAGATGCCATTCCGGGGCTGTTTTGTCTGCACCATGCAGGCTGCAATTCCCTTGCTGGCTGGCTCCTCTTGGTGAGGTTCTCCTGCAGGCAGTCTGGTCTAGAATTGAATTACACTAGATGTTATCTTATACTTTAACTAAGTGGCTGAAGCGTCCTTTCTTTGCTTCCTCCTTCACTCCTTTTCTCCTTTCATCTTGTCCTTCCTTCAGTCAACACATTTGAGCACCTACTACTTCGTAGGCACAGGGAAGGAGATGTGTGGGGAGAAACCTGAGAAAATAAAAGGTGATTAATATTGTCCTTACCCACAACTAAGTGAGGAAGCTGGCTATCCAATCAGCTTTCCAATGAAAGCGAGGACAGAAGGAAGTAGGAGCTTAACGGTGAAGCCTGGGATGCAGTAACAGGGGTGGGAATGCAGAAGGAGCATGTGTTCCAACTGGGGATCAGAGAAGACTTGATGGGCAGCTTGGGACTCACAGGAAGAGAGCCAGGGCTCTGAATGTGGAGTAGACAGGACAGAGGCCCACAGAGGCCTTAGGTCCTCCATGGCAGGACCCCAGTAAACTTGTAATACGACTGAACAAAATCCTCAGAAATGCTGATGGGATGTGGGGACAAACTGGGGTGGCCCTACTGCCATCTAGAAGAGGAAGCAGAAATAAGGCCGCAGGCTTCTGCTCAACTGGAGCCCACTCCTGGGCCTCTGAGTGAGGCCCAGCTGTTAGGGTCAATTGGCTGCAATCATCCAAAACTCACTGAGATGACCTCAAGTGGCAGAAAGAACTTGTTCTATGGTTGGAGGGATGTCTCACAGAGCCCACGAACAGGGAATTTGAATCAGGGATGGGGACATTGCAGGAACCCTGCAAGTTCTTTCTCCCCATTGCTTCCTCTGCTTCCCCTGCCTGTGTCAGGTTCTTCCTCTGAATCCCAGTCTGCATGGTAGAAAATAGCCTCTGAGTTTGTACGTGGATAGAGCAGCTAGACAGGGACTTGGGGAAGGGATAAGATATACCTAGTTTGAGTGCCAAGTTCTGGAAGGTCGGAGGGGAGGCCCCAGTGGGAAACACATGCTTCTTATGGAGCCAGAATTCATCTAATTGAGTTGGAGTTTGCGAAACCCCTTCTCTGCAAAAAAATACAAAAGTTAGCTAGGTGTGATGCTATATGCCTGTAGTCCCAGCTACTTGGGAGGCTGAGGCAAGAGAATCCCCTGAGCCCAGGGAGGTTGAGGCTGCAGTGAGTCGTGATTGAGCCACTGAACTCCATCCTGGGCAACAGAGCGAGTAGCCCTGAAGTCTGTCATCTTGGCCCTGATGTCTTCTTTGAGCGAGTTTATCTTGTGCTATGATGTTCCCGTGAACTCCAGGCCACATCAATAGGCCCCTCCACCTTGGGTGGGGGGCTGGCCTGGGTAAGCTTTAAGGATATCTTCAGAGAAGTCATTTACTTGTGTTGGAACAAAAATAGTTCTTGCATAGCAGCAGGGACAGAACTGACTTGGAGGTCGGAACAGGGTCCCAGTTCCCCCTTGGGGGTCCCAATTCCAGTTCCTCTTCTTATTAGCTTTGTAACCACTACCACCCTGCAGCTATTGAGTGCTCACATTGTAGCCAGTACACATTGAAATGACCTGAGTGTAAAATACACGATGAATTTTGAAGATTTAGTACAAGAAAATGTAAAATATCTCATTACTATTTTACTAGTAACATAATATTAATGTTAAATGATAATATTTCAATATATTGGGTTAAATAAAATATATGAGTAAAATCAAGTTTACCTGTTTCCTTTTATTGTCAATAAATATGGCTATTAGAAAGATTAAAATTACAAAAATGGCTCACGTTCTTTTGGTTTTCCCCTCTAGACTCTAAACCTAACAGATTGCCTTTATTGAAAAGAACAAAATCACACAGTCTTGGCACAACTTTAGAAATTTGGGGAAAGATGCGTATGAAATCTCAATATCTTAGCCTCTGTTTAATGTTAATTACCACATTGTCCTTCAGGGATGCAAATCCTGGCCCAACCTATAGCTGCCCCTCCCTCTGCTCTGCCTGCTGGCAAGACGGCCCAGGCCATGGGGGACAAGATGAGGACAATGATTCCTGACACAAGGCTCTATGCACCCTTTGGGCCTGGTGATGTTCTCATGGGGACCTGCAGGCCATTCCGCTACTCTGAAAAGCTTGACGGAAAGAAAATGTACAGCTTCCCAAGCACTGCTGCCTTGGCTGATGGGATCATTGCTTCTTGGCTTGGGGCCAACAGCAATCCAGCCAGGCAAGGTTGGTGGTCTCAGCTCGTTAGAAGCTCTAATTGGCAATTGTTAATCTCCTTGATTAATAGAAATGTTGAAAACAAATTAATTACTCATTAAAATGTAATTGGATAGACAAAAACTTTCCAAATGTGCTATTCATAGCGAGTGTGACTGAAAGATGTCCTTGGCAATGGAGAGTTTGGGAACCACTGACAGAAGCAATTGTATTCGTCAGGGTCCTGGTTCTTGCATGTTCCGTCTCCACATTTGGTTGGTAGGTGATGGAGTTCCCCTTCACTTTCCTCCAGGGATGTGTCCTCGACATGTCCATCCCCTTGAAATTCATAGAATTTTGAGATTTGGAAGACTTCCATCATGTCGCCACTGGGGATGATGAGCAACCTGTCATGGCTGTCACAGCCCTGTGACCAAACCCCTCGCCCTTTGTTCAGCCCCACTTCCTCCTCAGCTTGGAAGGCACCATGCTTCAAACTATCCCATCTCTGAGAACTCACAGTCAGAGCGGCAACCACTAATTCCTCAGGTTATGTGCAGCTCTGCAAGCCATTGCTCCACTCTCAGAACCAGTTCTTTACCCTTCCTGAGACTACAGGTGCCTGGGCCCCTCCTGGTGCATTAACATATCACCCTCCACTCAAGCCGCTGGCTCCAGCTCCCACGCTCAGGGAGGCAACATTGACTTTATGAGAGCATCTACCTTATTGGAAGGATGTGATAGAATATATATGTATATATGTACATAGACATGTGTAACATAAAATGAGAGAATGTGGACAAAGCTTTCTATAGTGTCTGGTCTGTAGATGCTCTCAGCAACTGTTAACTCTTGTTGCTTATTACTGACTTGTTCTTTTCATGTGCTGTTTTCCCCTCAACCATTGAGACTGCTCAGAGAAAGTAAGAAAATCAGACTGATTGGCTCCGCTACAAAGTCATGATACTTACTCCCCTGCCGGACTCCCCATGGTCTGGCAATCACTGTGTGTGTGTGTGTGTGTGTGTGTGTGTAAAAGTTTTATCCACAAATATGTGTATCGCTATAATTCACGTACCATACAATTCACCCATTTAAAGTGTACAAACCAATGGTTTTTAGAATATTTACAGAATTGTGCAACCATTACCACAATCAATTTTAGAACATATTCATGATTCTAAAAAGAAATTCCATACTCTTTAGGAGTCCTTCCAGACCTGGGCAATCACTAATATACTTTTTTTTTCCTCTTTGGATGTGCCTATTACAGACATTTCATACAAACGAAACCATGCAAGATATAGTCTTTGTGACTGGCTTTTCTTCAGTTAGCATAATGTTTTCAAGGTTCACCCATCTTGTAGAATGTATCAGTACTCAATTCCCTTTCATGACTAAATAACATGCTGTTTGTGAACATACTACATACTGCTTCTTCATTTATAAGTTGATGGGCATTTGGGTTGTTTGCTCTTTTTGACCGTTGTGAATAATGCTGCTATGAGAATTTGTGTACAAATTTCTGAGTGGACTTATATATATATATCTTTGGTATGTATCTTTTGGATATATACTTGACAGTAAAATTGTTGGACCTATGTTAAGTCTATATGTAACCATCTGAGGAACTGCTAGACTGTTTTCCAAAGTGATCAGTCAGTTTTCCATTCCCACCAGCGCAAATGAGGGTTCTGATTTCTCCATATCTCACCAACACTTGTTATTATCTTTCTAATTATAGCCACTCATGTATGTGAAGTAGTGTCTTATTGTAATTTTGATTTGCATATCCCTGATGGCTAATAATGTTGATCGGCTTGGCAATCATTTTATTCATCATTTTCTTATTATCTCTTGGATTCCTATTGTGATTATTACAAACCTTTTCCAGACTCCAGAAGGTCCCAATCCCTCCTATCCTCTTATCTCCAGAAATTACATCTCCCCTGCTATTCTGAAACATCTTCATGAATTCATTGATTATTCAACAAATATTTATGGAGTCTTTATGGCACATTTTCATGCCTGGGTTATAAACTGGATAGGTCATGTTCTTTACCGTCACCCCTCATTCGTTCATAGTTGGTGGTGCCACTTACAGTCTTGTCTTATTGGACTTTTCTGCTTAAAATGTTTCAGTGGCTTCCTAGCGCTTTCAGGATAAAATGTAATGGCAAAATTCATGGCAACCATAAGAACTATGAGTGTGGGGCTAGCCCAACCCCGTCCATGCCATCCTGTCTGTCTCACATTCTCTACTACCCTCTTAGGTCCACAAACACATAATTCTTTCATGCAACCCTGCCTTTCTTCCCCACTGCCCCGCTCCCACCTGCAAGCTTCTCCAGGGCAATGGTGAGTCTTATGCATCCTTGTATTTCCTACAACCCTGGGACAATACTGGGCACATTGAAAGTACTCAATAACTGGATGTCCATTGAGTTAGTAAACGAAGAGATGGCCAAGTAAATAAATGAAGGAAGGAAGGAAGGAAGCTATGCAATTCTGCAAAGTAGTGCAATTTATTTCCCTGACTCCTTCTCCTGTTCCTCTTCCTGAAATAGAATAATCAGATCTTCCCTAATAGGCCAGCGAGAAAGGCTACAACTTTTTAGTTGGCTGAAGTTAGGGTCTATTCTGACCCTCATTTCAAACTGTCCAAACAGAATGATATGCCGAGCCAGCTGAACCGAGGAGGTTTCATCTTAGCCAGGTATTTATGACAAATGCTACTACTCTAAGTAAAGTTTTAACGCAAGACATGTGTGTATCTATTTGTACTCTGTAGGATCTTAAGCAAAATATCATAACATTTAATATAAAATGCCCACAATCTGAATATAATCATGTTAAACAGTAAGATTGTGGAGGCTTCATTGAAATTTGCGAGGAAGGCTGGAGAGTTAGAAGTGTCTAGTCACAGGGTGCCTTCCCCTTTCACCCTCATGTAGGCAGGACAAAGGTCTCTCTCCACTCCAGATGGGAAAATGTTTCTCTTCTGGATAGTTTTGTTGAGGAAGGGAATGGAGGAAGTGGAAGTGGGCTTGCAGTGGGGTATCCGGCCCCATAGGAGACAGGATACAGGCGGTCAGGCTCTCTAGCCCCCTCAAATGCAGGCTGCTTTCTGTTTTCAGAAGTATATGTGGTGGCCCATATGATAAAACAGTGATAAATGCATTGTCCTGAAATCTAAACGGGAGAGGGAGGAAACGCCTGGCATTTATGATATGTCTGTCTGCTTATTCACTGAGAACATTGTTTGGGGAGGATAATAAACACCATGGAGTGAGTGTTTTCAGAGATCTTTGTGAAGATAATGTCTGATGAAGGGCTAAGACACGATGCTCTGAAACAGGACACAAGCTCAAGGCTGGGGTTGAGCCTGCCCTCAGGTCTTCCCCTCAACTTCCCTCCCTCCCATGTCAGGACCTTCCCAGCTGTCCATAGTCAGGGGATCACACCCCCAGCCTACACTCCCTGGGGGATTGGCCTCATTTCTTCCCCCCTGCCCCTACACTGTTAAGGGCCCATGGCTCCCCCAGGATGCCCACTCATGGTCACAGCTGCCCACGGCTTCTTCCTCCCTGACTCCTCCTCCCCTTCCAGATCTTCCCTAATAAGCCAGTGAGAAAAGGCTACAGGAGACAGCCTCTCTGCTCCTCTTCTTAATTAAGTACTTACCATGTGCCAGATGTCTAACTTATATCATTCATTTAATTCTAACCACCTTAAAAGACAGTGAAAATGACAATTTCCCCTATCTTACAGATGGAGAAACTGAGGCTCAGGGAAGGAAATTGAGTACTCTCATAATGAGTAGCCGTGGGATTTGAACCCATAGTCTGATGCAGAGACCTCATCGATTCAGTATATTCTATTTCCTTCTTGCTACTTTTCAGATGTAGAAGTCTGGTGCAACAGAGATGCATAAGGCAGTCTTATCCTTGAGGACTTCTTGGTTACACAAAAAGTAGTGAAATGCTGGGAGAGGCACAACAGCAGTGATGGGAGGGGAAGGCGTCTGGGCATGGCGGAGGGAGGAGATGAGCAAAGACTCTGCAGTGGATGCTGCGACGTGCCACCCACATCCTCCTCACCCAGCTGCAGGGAGTGATGGAGGATGCCGATGGCCCACAGGAATTGCCCTCGACTGGAGTAAGCTGCCTCCCCAATCTTAGGTCCCTTCCTCAGGGCAAGCCTGAATCCAGGGACTGGTTAACAGGTAGGTACAAAGGCTCAGCTCCCTTCTCCACACTGAGGACAAATCTGAAGAGCCATCCTGCTCCAGAGCTCCCTATGGAACTGGCTGAGGCCTCTGGTGTGGCTGCATCACAGTTCAGCTCCTCCCTCTACCAGTCCTGCCATCCTCACTCCAGGACAGGGAGTCTCCTAAGAGTACTCCCCAAAAACCCTACTGCACACAAGTCCCCACCTCAGAGTCTGTGTTCCAGGGAACACAAGCAAAGACAGGCATGGAGACACATAGCACATTCTGGAAAGTCGAAATCGTCCCAGTTACTAGAGTGTAGGATGTAGGTTGGGTGCAGGTGGCTTCTCCTGTCTTTCGATCTAAACATCCAAGAGGGGAGCTGTATCTAGTTTTCTTGGGAACCTAACCTGCAACTCTGCCCAGTGGCAGAGGCTTGACCTATAATAAGAGTAAACTGCTTAAGATTTGGAGGAAATAACAGTCAATAACTTGAATAAAGAACAACAAAGAAATGTTTGGGAATCACATTGTTTAACAATGCTTTGGGAATGTCAAAGCTAAAAGGTAGCTTTGGAGAGCATCTGCTCCAAAGCTCTCAGTTATTATGGGGGAGTGTAAAGCCCCAGAGGGGTGATAACTTCAGGTCAACACAGATATGCCAGAGCCCAGGCTCCCTGGCCTGCATTTGATGCTCTTTCCACCACGCTGTATGTCATACAGGCCGAGAACTGTAAACCTAAGCCCTCGATGGTCTTATCCACCTTTGTTCTCCTGCAGTGGCTTGTCCCTAGGAACACAAATCTGCTCTTGAAGGAGGCTGCCACTCAGCTTCCCAGAAATGCTCCAACAACTCTTCTCAAGGCCAAGCACCCAGTGAGCTTGCGTTGCCAGCACCAGGCATGTCAAGGTTCAGTGTTGTTCCAGAACCCTCTGTGTGTCCTCTCTCTTCCCACCAGATCAGATCCAGCTGCTTCCCTCCAATCGAGATGAAGATAAATGCGGAAGCCACAGAAGTCACTCTCAGGGCAGCTCACCCTCTTTCTGCACCCGTTCAGAGTTAATGCGGCCATAGGCTGGGGAAAATTGCTTCTCCTAATCCCACTCCTGGGTTAGTTGGGCCCCTCCTTTCTCTGAATAGAGGGTCACCAGGTAAGCCGATGTCCATTTGAGACATTTGGTATGACAAATGACAGTCCTTAGCCTCAGTACTTTAATCTCTGATAAATGGCTGACTCCAGACCCATCCCTCCGATGGAGGCTGCACCGCCCCCCTTTGGCCATGAGGTCTAAAATGGAGACTTTGTCCTTCCATCTGGCTCTCTAGCCTGACAATGATTAACCCAGCTAATCAGTCTCCGTATGAACGAACTTTTCTTTCCAGATAAGGCATATTCCTGAAAGGCTGCTTTAAGCAGTATCTGTCCCCACCTGGGCTTGCATTTTGCTGGCCTCCTATGGGCTCTATTAGGGCAGATATTCCATGGGGTTGGGAGGGCCCTGTGGTCAGTTAAGTTGGAAAAACCCTGAATAGTTATTCTTCTTTTGAAGACGCTCCATGCACACTAGGGCAGTGTGTACTGTCTTAAACCTGCCTGCTTTTGTTTAACCTAGATTTTACCAATTTTATTTGACTACAGATTTAAAAAAAAATAAATGGAATGTCTTTTAACCTCCTTGAAGGGACTTAACCTCACCTCTTTTTAAGTCCAGTTTCTCTTCTCTGTCCTGGTCCTCATACCTGGGCTTTCTGTCTGGGCCACTCTTCTGGAGTCACTGTTCCGCATGTGTCCCCAGCATCCCTTCTTCATATCAGGGTCTGGTCTTGCTTTTGTATCTTTGCTGGCTGCTCTGATCTGGGGTGACCAACCATTCTGGTTTGCCTGGGACCAATGGGGCTTCCTTAGATAGAGGACTCAGTGCTAAAACCGAAAATCCAGGCAAACTGGACCGTGTTGGTCATCCTATCCTGAACCTTTTGCTCTGTGCCTGAAGTCCCGCAGCTCCCTGGTAGCCCACCCTGGTGTCTCTTCTGGCTCTGTTGCAGGTCTCAGCCCACCTATCAGAATTTGCAGCTGTTTAATCTTAAACTCCCTGTTCCTGATTGATGGTTGGGACTGTGACTGGGAGTTGCTTAAATAGCTCCCTCCCGTTTCTCAGCTAAACTCAATTTCACCATCAGCCCCCGCAGCTGGGGTAGATCTTGAAGTTCCCTTCCTGCCCCTCTGAGCAGACCCTGGTCCTGTCCCATCTGCTCTGATGGGAGTAATCATAACACCAGGGTATCTTCCCTGCCTGACAGGGACAATGGGAGCTGAGTGGCTATCAGAAGAGGTCACGGTGAAGTGATGCTGACTGAGAGGGTGCTGATGGGGTGTTTTTGTGGGAAGGCAGAGACAGAGCATGTATCCAGGAGACAGAAGCACTCAGCATCCCAGTCCCTCCTTCCACTCCTGCTCTGAGGTTGCAGTGAAGCAGGGTTTGGGGATTGGCACCCAGCATGATGACTGTGTGTCTCTGGATGTACATGTGTCTGCTCTGATTAATGAGTAGCCTCTGACATCAAGCACTCACTCCCATTAGAGGAGGGTGATGGGGACATGAGAATGAATGACTGCAATAAAGTGTTAAGGTGTGTCACTACACAAGTGATGGAGTGATTAAGTCGTCCCTTGTTTTTACTGCTGTAGGTATTTTTCCACATTCCTCCCTCTTTCTCCAAGTCTTTCTGTTCCCTTGCTCCAGGGCCTTTTATGCAGGTCCAAATAGGCAGTTCCTTTTGTTTTTAGGAACCCCAACTTACTGAGAGATTAGTGACATTTATTCTTGAAGAGGAAAGTCTGAGATGACCTGCTGTTGAGTGAGGGAGGCATAAATAGTCAGATTAGAGGGAAGTTTGGACCAGAAGTAGATGTATTTTTCAGGTCCAGTGAGTAATGGAGCCCATACCACCCCCTATGCAGAGGTGTTGGGATCTTGGATGGACTGATCTGAACATGCTGCAGTACTGGGGATGTGGCAAAAGAACACTCACTCATTCATCCAGGAATGAATTACTGCATGTCCCGTGCCAGGCACTGACTGTTGCAGATGTTGGTATTAGAGTAATCAACAAAATACACTAAACCCCTGCCTCATCAAACTTGGGTCTCACTTAGAGGATGGAAACACAAACAAATGCCCGGGATTTGGGCTTTTATCTGAAGAGCTGTGAAGCCACTGGAGGCTTTGGGCAGAGCAGTGTGGGTTAACCTCAGTGTTGTGAATGGACTTTGGGGGTCAAGAGCAGAAGCAGTTGAACCAGTTAGGACTGCAAGGATCTAGGGGAGAGGTGATGGTGGCTTAAGCCCCTTTAATTGAAAGGGCTTAGATTCTGGATATATTCTGAAGGTGAAACCAATCGATAGCATGTAGGGTATGAGAGTAAGAGGAGGAAGCAAGAGTGATTCCAGGGATTTGGGGCTGAGCTACTAGAAGAAAGGAGTCCCCATCAACTGAGCTGGGGAAGGCTAAGGGCAGGAACAGGTTTTTTTGTGTGTGTGGGGGTGGATTTTGCACAAAAATGACAGAGCCCCACATATCCAGGACAGGAAATCCACGAGCCCCTATGATTTTGTGTGAATTAGAAATGGCATCCCTTTCTCTAGTGAGCATAGCCCCAAGCTGGGGGTATTACAGGACCAGCAGGTTCATATACCTGCTGTGGAGTAACAGACAAATATGCTGAGACAGCAGGGTTTGCAACAGAGAAAAAGTTTAATCATCACAATGCTGAGTGAGGAGATAGGAAGAGACCCTCAAATCCACCTCTCTGAGGAGTTCTGGGCTGGGGCTTTTAAGGGGATCATGGAGGGCGAGTGGCTGGAAAATTGGGGTCATTGATTGGTTGGGGTAAAGGAGATGAAATCATCAGGACATGGAAACTACATTCTTTGGTGAGTCCACTTTCATGGGGTCCTTCAGAGCAGCTGATGTCCATAGTTTCACTGGTATGCAGGACCTGAAGAATATCTCAAATGGAAAACTTGAGGTTTGATAATACTCATGTTGTTATCTAGAGAGCAGTGAGGTGGAACTATAATCTTGGACCAGGATCTACATGACTTTGAGGCCATAGGCACCAAACAACCATGAGGAAGCAGGTCAGACAGCGAGCTGCTCTTATGATGGATGCTGAGTGTGCTGCAAGCTTGGCTCATTTACATTTCTTCCCCTCCCTTCTTCCCGGATTAGTTTTATGGAGTTTTTAGGGACGGTGTCAGTGGCACAGTTTGTCAGGTGGAACATTAGTTCTTTTAGCCAGAAGTCTTTGTGTTGTGAACAACCTTCACAGCCACAAGCAGAAACCCTGCCTGAAGCCACTACTGGCATATCAGAAAGACCCCTGTCAGCTGGAGTGGGGCCAGATAGCAACTTAGGACAGAGTAAATTGAACTTAGAGGAAAATGGTTCATATTCTATGTTTTATGGTAAAGTTTATACTTGTCACAGGAGCTATAATGGAAACCTGTTTACATGAGTTCATTGGAGGCCTAAAGGCAGAAAAATAATGTTAGGGAGTACTATCGTTCTTCTTAGGATTAAAAAATAAATACTGTTCTGTTTCAAAGTTTTATGATTCTCTTCTTACATGCTAAGAATAGATTGGTTGTCTATATTAATCTGTCTTAAAGCAAATCAAATAGAGGAAAAGAAGGGCTTTATTCTTTTCTAAATGTCTTATATTAACACTGGCATGGAACACTCAATATTTTTGCTTTGAAGAAATTGTTCCAGACTTAAAAAAGTATTCTGTCATCTTTCATACTCAGCATTACCAAAAAAATGAGCAGGCAATTCCTAGTTTTCTTTAGAAGGGTCTTCAGTTTTGTTGAGGGCTATGACTTACTAGAGTCATATAGTTTATATTTTATGATCTCCTTCAAGCCTCACAACAACCCTAGGAGGTGCTGCTGTTATCCCCCATTTCACAAGTGAGAAGATTCAGACTTGGAGAATGAAAATGACTTGCCCAAGACTCCTCAGCCTGAATGTAAATGCGTGTTAGTTTAGCTCCAAAGCCCATGCTGTCTATTAAACAGTGTTCTTCAGACGGACTCCTCTGATTTGACAGCTAGAATCCCACAATCCCAAGGCCCCAGACCTCTGGAATTTGAAGGGAATAAATATATCTACTCTATGCCCCTTTCCCCACATGAGCTTGAGTCCTTTCTAGTCATCCTTGATGAGTTGTCTTCACCAGCAGTCTCAGACCTGGGCCCAGTACAAATGCTGGATGATGGCATAATAAAAAAATTGGGGAGCTTATTAGAATATAGCTTCCTGGGTGTCATCCCAGATCCATGAAATCAGAATGACTGTGGGTTGGGACCCAGGGTGCAGTGTTAGCGAGTCCCCAGGCAGCTTTGGTGTGCAGTCTGGCTTGGTGACCACTGGCAGAGCCACATTCCAGGGATAGGGAATTCCCTGCCTATGTGTGAGGTATCCCTGCCCATCATTTCCACCCTTCCCAATTTCTTTCCTTTATCCCTTCCCTTGGCTAGCTCTGGCTATTAAAGTTGTTCCTCACATTGTGGTTGAACTCCATCTCTCTGCAGCTTTTGCTTACTGGCCCCTGTCCTACACTTTGGGTTACACAGAAGGTCTAATCTCTCTGCCACAGTGAGTGACATTCAAGAAGGGAAGTCATTTAACATGTCTGCCAGCCTTTTCTTCTCTAGGGACAATATTCCCAGTTCTATCACTTGCATCTCCCATCATTCTTATACTCTCTGGGTCATGTTCTTCTGAAATCATTTGGGTGTTCCCTTTTCCTTCAAACCACAGCACCCAGACCTGAAGGCCACATTCTGGCATGCTTCGGCCAGCACCACAGAGTAGCTGCCTTCCTCTGAATCCCATATGAAATCAGATGAGATTTTCTAGGGCACAGAAGGGTGGGCTTCTGTGGAGCTACTGGCCATGCTGAGTTCCATAGGCATCTGTAGCACATGCTGCTGCTGAGCCGGGTCTGCCAAGTCCTGTCTTGTGCTCTTCTTGACCTTGGACTCAAGGTTAGGATCACAAATTTATTCCCGCCAGATTTCATCTTGTCAGATTCTGCTCCTGGCTCCAGCCTATTTGTTTTTTGGATCCTATCTCTTCCATCAGTAGATGAGTGTTCTCTCCCCTGATTCTTTGTCTGTATCCACATTGTTTTGTACCAGACTCTGTGGGCCATTCAGTGGTTTATTGTTATCATTGTCCCAGAGATTTTACTCTAAGCGGTGACATATTACATACCCACTGGTATCTACATTTATTTATTTATTGAGACAGGGCCTAACTCTGTTGCCCAGGCTGGAGTGCCATGTCATAATAATGGCTCACTGCAGCCTCAACCTCCTGGGCTCAAGCAATCCTCCCACCTTAGCCTCCTGAGTAGCTGGGACCACGGGTGCCTGTCACCATGCAAGACTAATTTTTTTATTTTTTGTAGAAACAGAGGTCTCACTATGTTGCCCAGGCTGGTTTGAACTCCTGGGCTCAAGTAATTAACCAGCCTCAACCCCTCAAAGTGCTGGGATTACACGTGAACCACTGCACTTGGCCAGTATCTACCTTTATATCTTGATTTGTTTACAGAAATAATATATAGCTATAGTGGACACAGTTGATACCCATGCATATCTCCTCAGCCACATTTCACCTGCTCTGTGTGTCCATTCCCTAGCTTTTGCATCCTTGGATGCTAATGGTCTGTGCCTGTGACTTTCAGAGGATTTTCCAAGGATATTCAGGTTCCTTGCCCCTGTGGAGTGCTGCAAATGCCGGAGAGTTCATGTACATTCCCCACCCTCCATCCCCATACCCAGGTAACCTTTAGCCAGTGACTGACTAGTATAGAGTACAAATGCCCTAGTTCTTTTGTCTTGAGGCAGAAGTAGCTGTGAGGTGCAATTTATACTTCAGAGCTGCCCATGGATCAGGCTGAATTTGAAACTTTACCTAAGGTTGCATCCTTGCTTGTTTCTTCCCCTCCCTGGGTCTCCCACTCCCTTCCTGGTTTCTCCTGGGAGCACCTCCCTAATGATCACCTACATAGGAGTCCTTGGCTCAGAATCTACTTCCGGGAGAGGGTGACCTAAAATGACAGTCATTGCATAAATAGACATATCAGATGTTCTGCTTGAATACGCACACAAAGCATTTCAGGACTTTTTATTTTTAAAAAAAAGAGCAAAAAAGAATTTCCCTTTTATAGATTGTCTATTTTTTTTTTGGTATAGATTTAAATACAGTTACTACTCATATTTTAATTTGTCCAAATGACAATTACTGACCGGTCACTAACTTTTGGGGTAAATTACTCAAGGAAGTACATGGGCTACAAAAAGAGATGCTTCTTGCCCCGTGCTTCTCAGGAAGGCCCCTAATTCTTTTCACGTGTCTCATCTGACTGATTCCTTCCTTTTTGTTATTACTGTTTTTTTGACATTGGGTGGAGTCTACTTCCTCTTAAAGACAGTCATCAGAGTATCTTCCTGAGAAAAGAAATACGTAAGGTTTCTGCCTTTGTATCAACATGTTTTCTCCAAGCTCACAGTAGTAGCTACTTGGAAAAGTAAGAGTGCTGCCTTCTTCTAGGTTTTGAGGTTTGTCTCACTGTGTTTAATCTCAGACTTGGGTGAAGTCCCAAGGCTGAGAAAGAAATCACTCATCCTTTATTTCATTCATTTTCTTAGCTGATTCCCCATCCCTCAGGATCTGTAGAGGTATTTGTCGACTATTCACTGGGGTGGCCTACAAAAATCCTCCAGCTTTTGGTTGGTCATGAAGTTCTGTGGATTTTCTGCCTTTTGAATCCATCCCCTCCTTTCTATTCCACTGCCACCGACTGCCCTAGTGCAGAGCCTCTTTACGTCATGGCCACACTTCCAGTGCACTCCAAAGTACTTGCCTTCCAGGCTCTGTCTGCCATCCTTACTCCTTTCTTTGCTGCCTGCCATCTTTCTTCATACAAATCTGATCATATCACTGCACTAATTGCAAAACTTTAAGAGCTCATAATCTGCTATTAAGTCTCAATTTTATTCAAGTCCATTTGCAATCTAACCCCACCCTACTTGTCTCTGGCCATTCCCTCCTGCCCTGAAGTTCAAGCAGAACTGGCTAACATGCATTTCCCACATCCCCCGACCCACTATTTCTTCCAGCTCCTCTGTCTGGAATGCGCTTACCTTTTCCTCCTCATTCTTCGTGTCCAACAACTCCTATGCCACCTTCCCAGGGAAGCCTTCACTGTTCTCTGCCCAAGCAGCTTCCCTCCTGCCTACCATAAGTGCTCTGGACACACCTCAAATCTGGCCCCTATCCCAGTAGAGGAGGTGAATTGTCAAGTATGCAGATGTTGGAGCCATCTTGCCTGGGGTTGAAGCTTAGCTTAACCACTTACTAGTGCTGGAACCAAGGGCAAGTTACTTAACCTCCCTGCCGCTCCATTTTCTCATCTGCAAAGTAAGGGACATAATACTACTTTCCTCACTGAGTTGCTGCGACAGTTAAATGTGTTGATGCATTTTAAGCTTTGTGAACTCAGTAAGTGCCATATAAAAGTGTTAGCTGTCATTTTATTTGCTAAGTGCACATCTCTCTTCCTGGTTTGATTGTGAACTCCTAGAAGACAGGGGCTGTCTTACTCACCTCAGTCCCCAGTGCTCAGTACACAGTAGGTGCTTGGTACATATTTGTTCCATGAATTGGCTTATTATTACTCTGCCAGTTGCCTGTTGGTTCACTGGGTTAACTGGCGAGACAACAGAATGATTTCCAATGAGCTTGTATTCCCCAGGGTGGATCAGCAAGTGGTTCCAGCCCTTGTGTCTAGACAGGCCTATAACTGCTGTGTATCTGGATGACTTGGCTGGGGTTTTGGGTTCCTTTCAGCCTGCCTTTCTTATCTCTAGGCCCCATTCCCTGTTTCTCGGACAACCTGTGAATATGGGGTGTTTCTTGTTCTACTTTATCCAAAGGGGCTTTGTAATGTATTACCCTTGTCCTTGGTTGGAAATGTGTCCTTTTTCTATTGTGAAAGTTTGGTCTGTTTGGCATGCAGAATGGGAGAATATGCCAGGACTTCGGGATGCTGTCGCAGCTGAATGGGAGAGAAAGAAAGAGAAGCTTCAGAGATATAAGAGTGAAGAGGGCATGAAATATCAGGAGGGCCAGAATTGCTTGGGTTCATCTACTGTGTGCTCTTGTCCAGTGATTTAACTCTTGATCATTTGTGCAAGAAATAATGAGTCATTGCTGCTCAGGACTTTGCTGGAGAAAAGGGTCCTATCATAAGCCTCTCAACTAAAGATGCCAATGGAATTTGGAAAGAGTTTAGCAGAAAGCAACAAAGACAATTCAGAAGCAGAGACCTAGAGGATATGAAAGATAATTCTAGGAACTGGGATGGGAGAAGGAGGTAAAATTCAGTAACTGATTACAAGAAAATGAAGGGTGCTTATACAGACATCTGGAATTTTCTACACACCTGTGCTTTAGCAGAGAAATTCAGGACTGCTCTTAGGCCTATGTGGCTATTTCTGTGGATAGAAAAGGATGACAGCTAAGACAGTTTTGTCATAGCTCCCGTTCTCTCCAGCCCAAACACTAGCAACCCCTTCATCACCAATGCTCAGAGGGTCTGGAGTAGATGAGTCATGTTGCAAGGGAATGTGGAGAACTTCTACACCAGACCCTTATCCCTGTTCCCCTCCCATTGGCCCTCTTCCCCACTCTCAGTTCTGTAGACTCCAGAGGACTGCTGACTGGGCAGAAGTTCTCAGCTTTTGATTCCTCTTTTGAAAAGAGTCCATCTTTTTTTAAAAATCATCTTCTCTCAGAAATATTAATGGAAACCAGTGACTGTGACTTCATTTTTTACTTTTTCCTCTCCACTCTAGATCCACTTTTCCATTGATTTCAGTCCTACTTGTCTTCCCATTTTCCTTCTTTCCCACTTTCTGGGCTCCCCACTCTCCTCTCTCTTGCAGTTCCTTATGACCTCAGATTCCTAGTGCTGGCCTATTAGGGAGGAGCTGTGGCATAAGCCAGGGCCTGGCATCTGCCTGGACACACCACCCACAGCCCTTGGCGATTGTCAGCCAGCTTTGGGGAAATGGCCTGGCTGGGACAACCCTGGGGCTCTTGTTGCTTCAGCTGCCAAATTGCTTGGAGTCCCTGGCCCACCCTAGGAGCTGGGTTGGCAAGGATCTTAGTTTCTGTTTTTCATGACCATGAGTGAGTTGAAATCTTACTCTGTAATAACATTTCTTCATTCTTTCCACATTTACTTGCACTACCACACGTCAATTACCTGCTCTAGATATTGGACAGGCAGAGATGTAAACAAGATCCAGCTTCTACACAGAGCTCACAAGCTAGTGAGCTGTCTGCTGCTTTTGTAAAGAAATATAACACCGTGTGAATAGGATGTTAACAATATGAAAAAGACTTGGGTAGATTAGAGGGCTTCGTGGAAGTGGAATGGGAAGGAACCTGTCATGAACAATTTTCTTTTTGGAAGGGATAGGTGGATGGGAGGATGCAGAGAGGAGTGTAGCAGAAAAGCAGAAGGACTTGGGTTAGAAGACTAGATGTGTAGTCTCAGCTGTTCACCAATTAACCTAATGTCTCTGGCCTCAGTTTCCTCATTTGCAAAACAGGGGCGATAACTGTAGCCCACCTTGTGGGGCATTGTGAGAATTGGTTGAGAAAATGCATATAAAGCACTTAGGACACAAGCACAGCTACTGTGAGGATGACGATGAGGATGGTGAAGAACAGGCTGTGCAACTTTGGGAAAGTCACTTGTATACACCGGCCTCAGTTTCCTCATCTACAAAAGGAGTGAGTTCCACAGGATCATCTGTAATTCTGTTTAGCAACATTTTTTTTTCAGCATCTTCCCTGTTGGTGCCATTGGGCATTCAGAGAGGGTCAAGGCCTGGCCTCTGCCCTCCAGAAGGACAGGGTACAGGCACACACATAGATAACTCTAACAGAAGACAGGGTCCCGCGGAGCTGCTAAGTTCCTGAGCATGCGTGTTTGGGGAAGGGGTTTCTGGAGAGCTCCGTGGGGAGGCAGTGCTTGACCTGGGCTTTGAAGACAGAGATTGTGTCTTTCCCTGCTGAAAAACACTTTGTCCTCAAGATAAAGGCCAAATTTCCAGCTAAGCACACAGGTTCCTCATGATGTCCTCAGCTCCCTTCCGCTGCTTCTCCACTGTTTTCCCACTGCACTGTGATACTTCCAATTCTTGAAACATATTTTATACCTTCCCTTGCTTTCCTTCCATCTTTGTGCATGCTAGTTCTTTTGACCTGGGACTCCCTCCTCCCTCTGTTAGGGGACAGCAGAGGGGACAAGCAAGGCACTAGGGTCGGACTGGGGGATTCATATCCTACCTTTGCCACTGAGAGGCCAGTGGGTCGCCTGCTGTGTTGCTCAATCCCTAGGTGAGTCAGCGTCTTCATCTGCAAAATGGGGATACAAGGTAACAACAGTGACTCCCTCAAAGGGCAATGGTGAGGATTAAATGAGGTAACACACGCAAAGTGCTCGCCAGGCAGGCCCACAGTAATCATTGAATAAATATGGGCAGTGTGGCCCACTCCTACTTGCATTTCAGGTCTTAGCTTAGTCATCACCTCCTCTGAGGTTGGCTGTGTGCTCCCTTAGTACATGGTATCTCCTCTTCTACCACAGCCCGGCACCTGTCATCCCCACCACACTGCAAACTCTCCGAGGCCAACAGCCAGTCGACTGGGTTGGCTGCTGGTGGGGACGCATAATAGGCATTCAGGAAATACTGAATGAATGACATGGGGTGAGGGTCCCAGTGATACGAGGGCGTGCAGAGGCTGTAGGGGGCAGTCCGGGGTGGGGGTAGGTCGTGAGACTGAATGGGCAGGTGGATCTCAACTCTGCGGGGGACAGAGAGAGCATGGGCGTCCAGGCTGTCCAGGGCTCCTTCTTGCCCTGGGACTGACCCTGGGAGGGCGCAGCGCCCTGGGAGAGGATGGTGCTCAACTTTAACCGGGTCGGCGCCCTCGGGAGAAAATGCAGCCTGACGGGTCGGGTGAGCGCGCTCGGCCCCGCCCCGGCCCGGCCCGGCCCCGCCCCCGGCCCCACCCCCGGGCCTTCGCGGTGCAGCTGAGGCTGCAAGTAGCCGGCGCCGTCCCGCGTCGCCCCCGCGCAGGGCGGGCCCCGCACGCTTATTCTGCCCGGGAGGAACGCCGGCGTCCAGCCCGCTACCGACCGCCGCTGCGGGATGCTGCGCTCCACGTCCACGGTCACCCTGCTCTCGGGCGGCGCCGCCAGGACGCCCGGGGCGCCCAGCAGGAGGGTGAGTAGCGGGGGCGGGAGCCGCCGCCGTCCCGTTCCCCCATCCCGGCCGCCCCCTCTAGAGGGGACTAGGGATGGGAAAGCTCGGGAGCCAGCACCTGGCCCCGACGCCCCACCCTGGGCTCAACTCCCCGGTCCTGTGCCGGCTCTGGCAGTGACCCTCCCGCTTGAGGTTTCAGGGGGCCCACCAGCTGGTAGGAGAGGGCTTAGGGGACTTTATGGAATTCCCAGAGATTTCCTCTCCTTCCTGCCTTTCTGTCAAGCCGAGTTTATTGGCGGCACCAGTTTAAAAATGAAGGAAGACATTTGTGCAGTGTCCCTACCTTGAGACTCAAAAGTAATGAATGTATTTAAAACTCAAACTTTCCTTCTTCCATTAATTAAAAGAAAGATGGGGTCACTTGTGTCCACTAGTGATAGGGTATCCACTAGTGATAGGGTAATTCTGGAGTGGGGTTAGCCAAGGTGGGCAAACCAGAACAGCAGCCGGCCGCCCAGGAGCCCGACTGTGTGGGACTCCGGTTTATGTAAACCACTTTCTTCTGTCTGATTTAAATATTAGCACAGTGACAACAATGGCAGCACTGAAAGCTTGGGACAGCATCTCCAGGGAAGGTTTCCCTTTGGAAGTGCTGTTTCTTTTTGATCTTTGTGGCATCTTTTCCCATCTCTCCAGATGCTCTGTAAAAGAAATGCTCCATCTTTCTAACACGGTCAGCACCTTAGAGCCACAGCCAGGGGCTTGGCTTGTGGCTTTTTAGTTCTTCCATTTATCATGATGTTCAATACTTATCATTTGGTACCTCTTTGCTCTGATTGAGACTTCTGTAATCGTGTTTCCTCAAGATTTAAACAGGTGGTTAAGTCCAAAGCAAAACCCCCACTGGTTCTGTCTGCGTGCAGGCTTGGACCTGCTTATTTGCTTTTACATGCCTTAAGCGAGTGATGGTGGTCACCTTATAAGCTGTCTTTCTTAGCTCTAGAAGAAAGGTGTGTTACTCTTGGGCATGGGCCAACTGATGGATTCTGGGGTGTGTGTGTGCGTGCACTCACCAGACACTTAGGTTGTGTACACAGGCGCACACACACACACACACACACACACACCCCAGAATCCATCAGTTGGCTCATGCCCAAGGTTGACAGAACTCCAGTTGTCCAATCATTAGCATCATAGAGTAAGATCTACATTGGGTCCAAGGGGGTTTCCAACCACAGTCCTGGCCTTACTCTAAGTTGGGTGTTTGTATTTTTCTATGGAAATCTTTCTCAATTTGAACACAATTGCAACTGAGAAAGAATGAAGTCACTGAAAAGCTAACCCTGAGCCCTGAGAGGATCATATGTGTGACCAGACTGCATGAATTGCATGAAATTCTCTGTAACTTCCCTTCCAGAGGTGGGGATTAGTTGGGGTACCTAACCTAATACGGTGGGTTGATACAAATGTGACTAGTATACAAATAACATTTCTGAAGATTTTGGGTCAAACGTTTCCTTTGGAATATTTATTTAATTATAGGTGCTTTGCTGTCGGACACATTGTGACACTCTTGAAAAGACTTTGCCTTTTGAATAAGATGGCAGACGTATTTTGGACTGGAGAACTCAGGGCTCGGGATCAGGCCATTCAGGGCTGTCCTGGGTACACTGGTACTTGTTTCTGGAAGGAAGGTATCTAAAGGGTCTAGGGTTCTGCCCATCTTTATGGTTTCTAGCTCTGCTCATGATTTGCAGATGTTACAAGTACTATCTGTGTGTGTGCTGGGGATTGTGTGTGTGGTGGGAAGCTGTGAGATGTTGATTAATTGATTTATTGAACATTCATAAACCTTTCTCTGTGTGGTAAAGGGCTGGCATTGGGGTCCGCCCTACCTGTAGAGGCAGACATTTTCCCAAACTAACATCAAACAAAGTGGTGATGGTTATAGTGGGGTGAAGAGTTTACAAAGTTCTGTAGAAGCTAAAATAAAGGTTCTTCCTGAGGCATCAGGGGAAGGCCTCTCACTAAAGGTATGTTTTTTTGAGATGGAGTCTCACTTTGTCATCCAGGCTGGAGTGCCATGGCACGATCTCGGCTCACTGCAGCCTCCACCTCCCAGGTTCAAGCAGTCCTCCTGCCTCAGCCTTCCGAGTAGCTGGGACTACAGGCGCACACCACCATGCTTGGCTAATTTTTGTATTTTTAGTGGAGACAGGGTTTTGTCATCTTGGCCAGCCTGGTCTTGAACTCCTGACCTCAAGTGATACAACTGCCTCGGCCTCCCAAAGTGCTGGGATTATAGGCATGAGCCACCCAGCCCCGCCTACTGGTGATGTTTGAGTTTAATCTTGCAGGATGAGTAGAATTTGTAGGGGAATTGACATTATTGGGATACTGAAAGGAGGAAATAACCATCTCAATGGAATACTTGGCATATATAATCATGTACTGCATAACCACATTTTGGTCAACAGTAGCCAGGATATATGACGGTGGTTGGAATGGTAGGCTATCTCATATCGCCTAGGTGTGTGGTAGGCTATACCATCTAGGTTTGTGTAAGTGCACTCTATGATGATTACGCAACGACAAAAATCATCAAATGATGCATTTCTCAGAGTGCATCTCCACGGTTAAGTGACACATGACTACTTTATCATGATGGCAAATTGGACCTGCTTTGGGACAAAATACCTATTGTTTAGAAAAGCAGGAACGGGATGTCCTGAAAGTAAAATTGTAGACCAAATAATCATTGGAAGTGTACCTTTCATTGAAAGTTGTTCAGCAAATACTGTATTGTTCTGTTATTCCTCTCTGATGATGGACAAGTGATGGTCTTGAACATGTTATCCATTAAAATTGTATTTCTGGTTCATCCAAAGAGCTCATCAAATTGGGTACTGCAGGGGAAACCAGCCTATGTGGGTCCAGATATTCAAGCCAACCAGAAGTGGTGGTGACAGCTGACACTGAGCAGGGACTCCTGCGAGCCAGCTGCCAAGGGTTATGTGGCTGGCTGGACTGCCACCAGTTAGCCTTTGTTCAATGGCTGCCACCTGCAATTTGTATTTCCTTCTTATCTGAAATCACCTCTCAAGGAAAAAAAAACCAACAGGTGGAGAGAGTAATTTCTGTCAGCTGATAAACAAAGCTCTGAAAGGCATTTATGGATGCCAACCAGCAGAAGTTGTGAAATTAAAAAAACTTCCTTCAAACCAGTTGTGCACTAAAAATAGTTTTATCTATGGCAACAGCAGGAAGACAAATTGACTGGAGAATAACCACAGCCAGAAGATGACCTTGGGGAATGGGGGGAAACGATTTTAAAAATATTGACCTTGCTTCATGCTTTTGAAAGGAATTTTATAAATGCCAGTTAGTCTTGCTAAATGGGCCTTTGAAATGGAAGGTTGGTTGTGTGGCTGGGTCGTGTGCTTTGCGGGGAAGGCATGTGTTGCTTTATGGCTTCCCCACAAAGCACACAACCGGGTCACACAACTGACCTTTCGGCACAATACTTACTGCCGAGTATTTTTGGCTAAGCTGTTCTGATCCTGGGCTGTGGAATGATAGATCTGTCAAGGATCTTCTCCAGCACCTTGCTCTCTTGATAATAAAAGACTGTTGGCTGGTGTTGCTGCTATCGTGACCCGTCACTGGCACAGAGAAAAAACAAAACCCAACAAGGTCACAGGATAGGACTATCTCCTAGCCTGCCCTTGCTGATATTTCTTTCTATTTGGCAAAGGCTTCCTCTGTTAAACACTGGAATGGGCCTGCTAGTCATTGTTCCTTGGCTAATGTGTCCCTCTCCCATGTCCCATTGCTGCCTGACTGGGCTAAGTTGTGAGGGTTTGGAACCAAGGCGTCCTCTGGGCTAAGGGCAGGGCTTAAACCTGTGCCGGTCAAAAATGATGGTTGTAGGCTCAGAAAAAGAGGTGCCCAGCTCTATGCTTTTGATCTTTCACATTGCCTTGTTTGATAGAGGATGAACAGACCTGAATTCTGGAGACTCGTAAGGAAACTTGATTTCCCCTAGACATTTATGGAGATCCCATGGCTTTTCTACAAAGGATATGGAATGTGATTTTGACCCATTTGTCTCTGGGGGCACTGATGGAGTGCTGCGTATGAGGTCCCTGTTGTAGTTTACCTATGCTGTGCATCCATATCTGAACAAGAGACCTGGAGGCTGGTGTCACTAAGCCCTGGTCACTGGGGAAGGCTTTGAAGTCAATTAGCCTCAAATGTTCTTGTCTAATTGAGTTCAAGGAGCTGTGGGCCCAGGGCTGACTAACTAGAGACCATGTTAAATATTTCAACCCAAGATACTTCTCAGCACTCATCATGCCTTATGGTCTTACGGAATTCCAGTACTTCTCCAGCACACAGAAGAGCAATACAGTGGTGTTTACCTCTTTCCCTCTTTGGTGAGTGATAGTTCCTAAGTGTCAACCACACTCCTGGCTCTTTTTCACTCTTAAAGGCCGGGGTGATCTTTCTAAAATGCTAAATCTAGTCTCCTGACTCGTCTGCTTCAAGAGCCTCCTCAGTACTGCCAGGAAAAAGTTCACACTCCTTAGTGTAGCATCCAGGCCCTCTGGTTTGGCCCGTGCCTGTGCTGTTTCCCCTCCCTATATGTGGTCTTCTCAGATATTCCAAATCGTTTGCCATTTCCCCGAGCTTTCGATGCCGTTCCTTGCCTCTTTGCTTTTCTTCATGTTTCTCCTCTGATGAGTGTTGTCTCCTCTAGGAAGCCTGCCCTGAAACCTCAACCCTCCTTCTCGTGTTCCCCTAGAGGCCTGTGCATGCCACCATTACTTGCGTCACCTGTGATTACCTACTGGAAGACAGGGCTTAGGAACCACCCCTCCCCAGGCCTGGTGGAATAGGCAGTTAAAAACAGAAATCTCACCAGGTCCTACGTAGAGGAGCCACAGTTAACATTGAATTGGCAAATGGAAAAACAGGAAGAGAAGCCTTGGGTTAAATCCATCCCATCACTTCTGACCCACCTGGGCAGGAAACGGGTGACAAATACATGGGAATGCTGGCCCAGGTGAGGAGGTTGACAGTTCTGGGAAGTCCTCCAAATATTCGAGTTGCCTCATCCTGCTGCACAGTTGGAGCTTCATCCCTTTGGTTCAGTCAGTGGTTCTCAACCAGTTATACACAGAATCACTGGGAGGCTTAAAATAGCCATGTCGAGGCCTCATCCCAAACCAATTAAATGGGAACATCTTAAAGTACAGAAAAGCATGAGTATTTTTTAGGAAGCTTCCCAGGCGATTCTAATGTGCAGCAAGGCTAACAATATTTCTTTAAGCATTACTCCCTTCTATAGCTTTCTTGGAAATGCAGACACTCCTGGGACAGTGTTGCAGAAAGGTCCCTTGAGCCTTGTGGGATGAAGGGCAGGGTGGTGATGGGGCAGGGAGGGGGAGTCCTCGCACTCCAAGTCACACTGGCATCTTTGTGTGCCTTCATCCACCTGTGTTTTCTCTCTGGATCTTGGCGTTTGGGGCACATTGTGTGCCTAGTACAGAACACAGCCACAGAAAGCAGGAATGTTTTGTATGCCTCTGAGCTAAGAATGGTTTTCACAGGGGCCTGCAAAACCTAAATATTTACTGTCTGGCTCTCTACAGAAAAAGTTCGCCCCACCCTGATGTAGATAATTGGGCTGCAAGTTCAGGGCCACAGCAGAGCCAAGAGGTCTAATCTAGATGGGGCATACACTGTTCCGCATGCAGCCTGCTGCAGGCTCCTGGGATTTGATCCTTGTGCTGAGCAGAGAGTGTGGGGTCTGTTCCCCCTAGCCACACTTACAAGGGCCCCACCTTTTATCATTAAGGGGAGCTGGGCAGGGACCCACAGTCACAAAGTGGAACAGGCCTGAGAGAAATGTAAATGCACTTGGCTAATTTCCTTAGGGAAATCCATCTTTGTAAACTGGCAAACCCCTGTCACCTCCCTGAATCATCTTCTCCACTCCCTTTTTATTTGAGATAGATATTTTTCCCCTGGGTGAGCCAAGGTGCCTGAAGTTGAGAGCATGATGTTACTGGATCCGCAGAGTACCCCGTAGGTGAGACCCAGGCCCTCATCTCCACAAAAGGGTCAGAAACAAGGCCTGAGGGGACCCATGTAGCTCCCCAGGGGCCCTGAGTTGCCAAAAAGGGTTTTGTTGTGCTTTTTCTTGTGGAGGAAACCTGAATGCTACCTGTCCCTCCCTTGCTATCCTTCCCAGGGGGGTTGGTTTCAAGAAAGTGCAAGGCACTCCAGGGAGTTTCAGGTATATTCTTACTTTGTTTTAGTTCAACCTAGAAAAAACTACAAAACCCAACACTGAGCGAGCGCCCATCATGTGTTGATACTATGCTAAGCACCGTAGGGGCTATATTAAGTGGTGACGGTACAAAGCTTACTTGATCACTCCCCCTATGTTTTCCCTTCCGTCCATTGTGTGGTGCATGGAACACTGGAGGCACTGAAAAATGACCAGTTGGATTATTGAAATGAACTCAGATTTGAATGTTAGTCTCTTCCTCCAAAGATTTGAATGACTCCTCATTGTCTTCTGACTAGAGCCAGTGCTTCTCTATCATGCATTTGTAGATTGATAGTTCAGCCCCTATCTGTTTGTCCATTTGCCTGTCCTACCCAGGCTTAGGCTGCAGGTTCTTATTCTTGGAACTTGCCGACATCTGTGTGTTTGGCACAGACTAGAACGCCTTGCCTGATAGCTGTCTGCTGTTGTTATGATGGTGGGTTCTCCAAACCTCACTGACCTGTAAAGTCCTTTCTGTCCTTCTATACCCAGCTTAAATTGTATCCCGAGGGTCCTTCCTGAGGGACTTTCCCATATATTCCCACCTCCCATTAAGATTAGTGTTCTTCTTCCTATATTCCCATGATAATAAAGAATGTTTACAGAGTGCTTAATGCGTGCCAGAAATTGTCCTAAGCTCTTTACACACATTAGCTAATTTAATCCTCACAACATTCCTAAGAGGGTATAGTATTGTTAGTTCTTTTTACAACTAGGGTAATGGAAGCACTGAAGACTAAGTGGCTTTCCAAAGGTCTCAAAGCTAGTAGGTGTCAGAACCAATACTGGAAGCCAGGAAGTACATTTCCACTATGATTTAACCACAAAGCTATCCTGTCTCTCTACACCTTGTATTGGTTATTCCAAGTGTTCTTGATTGCCTTGTTTGGGTATATTTCTAGATTATGTACTCCTTGGAGGCCAGCATTTTTTTTTTTTTTTGCCATCGTCGTACCCTCATAGTCCCTAAAAATATTTCACAAGTAATAGGTGCTCAGTAACTGAGTAATAAAGTATGCTGAGTCCAGCTTCCTGCTTTGATCTCCTGGAAGGAACCCTTGCCCCCAGGGACAGCTGGTTCGGTAGCAGTGGTGTTCAGGGTAGGATGCAGTTCTTCGCATTGTGCATAACACAAGCCCTGAACCAGCTGCTTTGGGAACCCCTGGGAATAAAGTGCCCTACCTGCCTTTCAGGCACTGCCAAGCCTGGGGCATCTCTGGAGATTGTGTATCCGAGTTTCAGGAGACCATGGAGATCAGCCTCGTAAAATGCTCGGAGGTAAGGAATGCTGCCTTGATGTTACTCGGGGAGATTTTCCCATGGGGAGATTGCGGAAGGTGAATGAATGGAGGGAGGTAGACTGTACTCGGACAACTTTATGGGTGGTTCAGGGGTTACTGTCCTTAGTGCTTCTGTTAGGGATTCAGAGTACCTTTTAGACCTTTAGAATGTCCCCCTTGCTGCTCCTGAAGCAGTCCTGTGGAAGGATTAGTCTCTTTCTGGATCTGTCTCTTCCCGACATATTTTCTCCCAGTCTTTGTTATTACTATAACTACTATTATTATTTTAATCAAAACCTTACATATCTTAACATCGTTGCCACCAACACAGAAATCTGTTTCCTTAAGAATATCTTCCGCCTACATCTACACAAGTTATCAGGGTATATTTAAAAAATTAAAATGGGATTATTCTTAATGTTTTGTTCTGCAACTTTCTTTCTTCCCCATGGCCATACATTTGGCTATCTTGTAAGGAAGATGTGTGATTCTGTTCTAAGCTGGGTTTAAATTGCTCCTGAACAGCCAGTCCATCAGTGGGTCAGTGTTTATTAAAGAAAAACTAGCTTTGCTCCTTAATGTTTTGATCAAAGCACCTCTGTTGACAAGAGTAAACTTCAGACAGGGTGCTGCAGTAGCCTCAAGCGCCTGCTGCAACTGCCAAATGTCTTTGAGGTCATATGTTTTATTTTACAAGTTCATTTTATTTTATGCATTCTGTTTACCTTGTGGCTTTGTATACCTCAGGGTATTGCTCAGTGTGAGAGCTTCATATAAGGGTTGCCCAGCTCATCATAGGAAGTGTGTTGAGGAATATAGATGGGCAGATGAAGAATGGGCTCAAGCCAGGGGAGGGACCATCTAACTTTTGAGTGATTGGACCCATGGGACCCCCTTTCTGAAAATTATGACCATTAAGGATTACCCCTCTAAAATAATCAACCAACCGAAAGTCATCACTTACAGTGTTAATGTCTCTGATTCATTGACCAAATTGTTATTTTCATGGAAACAGGACTGTGAGGCTAAGCAGGTCTGTTTCATTTTGAAGCATATAGGATGATGATAATATCTAGATAATAGTAAAAATATCTGGCTGGGTGCAGTGGCTCATGCCTGAAATCCCAACACATTTGGAGGCTGAGACAGGATTGCTTGAGCCCAGGTGTCTAAGACCCATGTGGGCAACATAGTAAGACTCTGTGTCTACAAAAAATAAAAAATTAGCCAGGCATGGTGATGCATGCCTGTGGTCCCAGCTATTTAGGGGCCTGAGGTCGGAGAATCACTTGAGCCCAGGAGATTGAGGCTGCAGTGCTATGATTACACCACTGCACTCCAGCCTGGGCGACAGAGCAAGACCCAGTCTCAAAATAAATAAATAATCAAATAAAAATAAAAATATCTAATATTCATAGAGGCTTACTATGTGACACTCTCCCTTTATCCCATTTTACCCTTGAGATTCAGAGAGATTAAGTAACTTTCCCGTAGACACACAGCTAGTAGATGTTGGAGCCTGTGTATGTGTGTATGTGTGATAGGCATATATGTACGTGTGTGCACACTTGTGTGTGTGTGTGTGTGTGTGTGTGATGTGGTGCAGGAGAAAAGGACTTCCTTTTCCCTGCAGAATTATGCATGGACTAGACCCAGCCTAATAGGAGATTGTTGAGCACCACAGGTTTGGATTGTCTCTGTGGTCTGAGTTACACTTTGATGCTTGTGCAAATGTCAGACTGGTTTCAACCAGTCTGAGGGGCCTGGAGCCAGAGAGTTGCCTTTCTCTGGAGGGACTCAAGATTCCCTACTCAAGATCAGTGTTGTTGCCCACCAGGAAAGAGAGCTACCTGGTAGTATGGCTTGGTTTCTTTTTGGCCAACATGACTGACGGTGAGCTTTGAAGGTTGCTTGTAAAGTTGGCCCCACAAGAGGCAATGATAGCCCTGGGGGTCAGGCCACATCTGATTCCGGGGTCCCTGGGGGATGATGCTTGCCAAGAGGAGGATGAGGATGGAGAGGGATCTTGAAACCAAGTCATGTGATTTAAAGAACTGGGGTTGTTTCGTCCAGAAGAAAGGAAGTTCAAGGGACAGGAGGACTGCCTAGAAAAAGGGGAATTAGTTTGCAGTCCGAGGACAACCCTGGGTCCATTAGGTAGAAATTCTGGTGTAAGCTCAGATCAGCAAGTTAGAGGTGCCTGGTAGCAAAATGCAATGCCTTGGAGGGTGGCAATGGTGTACGTGGAAGTGCTAACATGGGTCCCAAACCTGGGCTCCCTAACCTGTTCATGGAAAATGAACAGGTTGGTGCCACCTGTCAGGTACATTTTTGGGTGTTGGGTTTCTTCAAAGGTGGGCAGGTTGAACTCAAGAGATTTTTGACATTCCCTCTAGCCCTGGGCTTCTAGGCTGCAGGGTGGTTTTGCTAAGAGGCCACCCTGTGGACCAGTGCAGATCTGTGAACCTGCCAACCAGACTGGGACGGGGGTGGAGAGGATTTGTTTGCTAGGGCTGCCATGAAAACTACCACAACGCCATTGGCTTAAACAACAGAAATTTCTTGTCTCACAGTTCTGGAGGTTAGTGGCCCAAAATTAAGGTGTTGGCAAGGTTGGTTTCTTCTGAGGTCTGTGAAGGAACTCTCTGTTCCAGGCCCTTCTCCTTGGCTGTTGATGGGTCGTCTTAATGTTTATATGATGATCGCCCTGTATGTGTGTCTCTCCCCAAATTTCCCACTCTTATAAGGACACCAGTCATTTTGATTTAGGGCCACACTTATGATCTCATTTTTACTTGATTACCTCTGTAAAGACCCTTTCTTCAAATAAGGTCACATTCTGAGATGCCAGGAAGGCGGTCAGGACTTCAATGGATGAATTTTAGAGGGATGCAATTCAACCCATATTAGGGAGCCAACAGCACTCCCGCGAACTGAGCCCACATGGCATTTCAGGCATGTGATGGGGACCATGAGTATAAGAGCTAAGAAAGTAAGCCCCGGAGACTGCCTGGGTTCAAATCTCAGCTCTGTCATTTCCCAGCCATGTAACCCTTCAGAGGCTTAGCTTCCTCATCTGAAAAATGGGGCAGGTAAGAGAATCTCTTACCATAGGTTTGTGGTGAGGCTTAAATGAATAAATACCTGTAAAACACTTAGAAGATGCCTATACATGGTTAGCTATTACTATTATTACTGTTATTGTCCCCTCGTACTACAGATTATAGTAGTCCATTTTTCCCTCTGTTGAGTAGGAAAATGACTTTGCCCCTAAGTCACCCTTCGTCAACAGAATATGATAAATCACACAAATTGTAGCTTCTCTCACTGAGTGGTATAATGCTTTTTTATTTTTAACAGAAATGGTGCAATTTAGACTTTAAAAAATCATTTAGGAACCTTTATCCGATATTTCAGTGAAATTTTTTGGCAGCCTTTAATAAACTGACGTGAGAATCTCAGTGACTAGTGACAAATATTCATGGTGACATAGCTAATTAAGGAGTCAGATGTCTTACCAAAACTCATAAGCATTATATTTTCTTCTCCTAAGCCTTTCCAGCTAACTGTCTTACTTTTAGTCTGTATCCAACAAGCAGGGACAGCTTTTTTTTTTAAATTGTAGCAATGTACTTGTGAGATTTACCATTTTGACCCTTTTTAAGTGTATAGTTCAGTGGCATTAAGTGCATCCACACTGTTGTGCAACTGGCACCACCATCTATCTCGAGGATTTTTTTCATCTTCCCAAGCTGGGATTCCATGCCCATTAAATACTAACTTTCCCTGTATCCTTACCCCCTGGTCACCACAGTTCCACTTTCTGTCTCTATGATTTTGATTACTCCTGGTACCTCATCTAAGTAGAATCATACAGTATTTGTCTTTTTGCCACTGGCTTATTTCACTTAGCATAGTGTCTTCAAGGTTTATCCATGTTGTAGCATGTGTCAGAATTTCCTTCCTTTTTAATATTGGGTAATATTCCATTGTATGTATAAATAATATTTTGTTTATCCATTCATCTGTCAATGGACATTTGGGTTGCTTCCACCTTTTGGCTATTGTGGATAATGCTGCTATGAACATGGGTATATGGACTTTTTTGAAAAAAAGTTGTGATTAAACATGTACATGTATATTGTAGAAAAATTAAATATATAGGCAAGTAGAAAGCACCCTCCCTTCCCAATAGAGATATCCACTGTGTATATTTTGGCTTCTTTCCCTGTAACTATATTTTTGCCTATACTTGTGAAATGAGATCATTCTATACATATTCTTATGGAAACTGAGCCATTGGTAAAGAAATGTTTGAAATAGATCAAGTGATTTGGTAGTTTCCTTCCTTGAGCCCCAGGGTGGTGGGTGCCTGTGCTGTACCAGGCTGGCCTGGTACTGTGAAGGTAAGGCTGGCCTTATCTCCTCTATGGCTCCTGTATGATCAGGACAGTGTTCCCCAATGGAAGTAGGGGAAATGGGCTGTGAGAAGCCCAAGGTCATCTGGCTCTTTCTGCCCCAAATGCTGACTCCTAACTGGCCTCTCCTTTCCCTCTCTTCTAGGCAAATGTTTGCAGACTACGGCTGACCGTACCTCCTGAGAGTCCAGTTCCTGAGCAATGTGAAAAGAAGATTGAGAGAAAAGAGCAGGTAAGGTATCTCCGAGGCAAAGCCCCAACAAGTTCCAGCCTCTATACCCTTAACCCACTCTCCCATCTCCTAACCAGGCCATTCCCAGAGGCTGGGTGTCTGCACCTCTGTTGAGGAGAAGGCCCTCTCAACCTTCCCACCTCATCTCCCGTCTTCCCAGAAGACAGAGAGCTCTCCCTAGCCGGCTCTGCCACCGACGTGCCCTGCTCTTGTTTCTTGGTGAACACTATGGCTTTGTGTTACCTTGAAGCTGCAGGGACACTGGTCTTAGTGACAGGTGCTGTGGCGGGGAACGTGGGTTTTCCTGAAACAGCCCAATCCAGTTGCTTCAAAGGGCCTATTGTGAGCAGCTGGCGGGGCTGGAACCTTTCTCAGCAGCTTGGAGCAGCAGCCGGGGGCTCTGCTCCCGCAGAAGAGAGGAAAGGCTGGCAGGCAGGCTGGTGCAGGGAAAGGGCACTTTCTTGGCTGGGGGTAGGAGGCATTCGGCAAACATTTTTGTGACAGCTCCTGTGCTAAGTGCTGAGGCCGTGAAGATAAGTATGTCCTTGCCTTGGGGGAATTTGCAGTTTTCTGGGTGAGACGATGATGTGATATTTCAGGTGTTAAGATCCAGCCCTATATGACGGAATCTGGGAACACAGAGAAGGGAATAACTGACTGCTTGGGAGGTGACAGTGAAGTTGGAGGCTTGAAGGATAAAGAGGAGGTCCTGCTGACCTCTAGGCCTGTGGTCCTGGCCGACCCATTTTACTCATTCATAATTATGGGGCACCTACTGTATTCCAGGCACTGTTGTATACAGTGGGAATATAGTAGGGAACAAAGCAGTAAACCAAATCTGTCATCCATGGAACTTATATTCTAGTGGGACAAGAATGGAAGTAAACAAAATAATTAAGTACATTTTATAGAGGTTAGGAGGTGGTAAGTGCTGATGGAGACAAAGTAAAAGAAGGGGTAGGGGTGCCAGGAAGTAGGCAGTACTTTTTCTTGAGCATGTATTTTATATGATTATAAAGTAAAACAAAATAAAATGATATAAATTTCATAAATGGAGTCATAACATAGTGACCTCTTGAAATACAAGCTTGCTTTAGAGTTAACCACTAATGTGGTCAACTATAAAAAAGAAAGCTTCTCATCGATGGCTAAGTGTTTGATAATGTCCCTAAGTTTACCATAGGTCTCTGTCTCTCCTTGCCCTCTCCTCCCCACTTTCTACCAAGGACAGAGAGCTGCCTGTGCTGATGCAAATGATGAATGCCAGGGAAAGGAAGTAGGGAGAAAAGCAAATGAAGTTCTGACTAGAGAAAGGTGAGGAGTAAAATTGCTGATCTGCCTAAAAAGAGTGGATGAGTTCCACTAAAAAGATCCAGAAAAACAGCTAGTTCTGGGTTGCAGAAGGGAAAAGATGAGGGGGATATGGGACCTCTGGAAAATAAGGTTTCACTCAGAGATGAATGGGGTCCTAGTAAAGGACCTAGCAGCCAGTTTGAATGGGCTTTCACTGGCCAAAATGGGAACAGCTGGAGCATCAAAAAGAATAATGACAGTCATGGCTTATAACACATCGAATATTAAAAAAAATCCATACGTTTGTAGTGATAATTGGAGAAGGGGAGTAGAGGCACGAGATCAGAGGATAAAATAGGGAAGGCTCCCTTTTTTTTATAGAACACTAGCTAATAAGTTTAGAAAATCTTTGTTTTGTAACCTCCAGGTATACTCATCAATAGATGCAAAAATAAGTTGGTGAAAGATTATTGTAGGATATTCTCAAAGTATCACCCCAGCGGATTACTGATTCTAAAGGGACAGTACCTTCACAGTGGAGTAGGCAGGCAGCCAGCATTTCAACCAAGTGATCCAACCTAACTTCACCAATAGTGGAACGAGCTGATGTTACATGACTTCTGAGGTGATTCACCTAAGAGGTGCACATCACATATGTAATATTCATGCCAAACTTGTTTAACTGAATCTAATAATAAGGAAACAGAAAACCAAAATGTGGGACATTCTGCAAAACAATTGGCCTGAATCCTTCAATAAATTCAATGTTATTTTTAAAAAAGATGAGAATTTGTTGCAGATAAGAGACTAAAGAGACATAACATTAAATGTAATGAGTGAACCTGGATTAGATGGTGGCAAAAAAAATTATATAAAAGATAGAGCACATGGACGCAGGAAGGGGAACGTCACACTCTGGGGGACTATTGTGGGATGGGGGGAGGGGGGAGGGATAGCATTAGGAGATATACCTAATGCTAAATGACGAATTAATGGGTGCAGCGCACCAGCATGGCACATGTATACATATGTAACTAACCTGCACATTGTGCACATGTACCCTAAAACTTAAAGTATAATAATAATAAAATAAAATAAAAGATATACTGGGATGACTATACAATTTTGTATATGAACTATATATTACATATTATTGAATAAATGTTAATTTTCTTGTGATGATGGTACTATGGTTATGTAGTTGAGTGGCTCTTTCAGCTTCTGTGTAGCTTTGAACATTCTCCACAGACAAAGTTTGGGAGTAAAAGTCCTAAGCAGAGAGTGGAAGTGGTCAGGCTTCAGCTGCTACACCCCTGCTGATGAGCAGGATTGAGTGGGGCCATCTGTCACTAGGGAGTGTCCCCTTCTGTCCTCACTGCTCCTCTCCCTGCCTGTCCCTTTTAGAGCTAATGGCTTGGTCCAAGACATGGGTCTGGGCTGTGTCCAGGTGCTCAGAGCTGCTTAGAACACTTTTTGAAGAAGTGGCCTAAGCTGGAGTGAGGGACAGGACAAGGGCCTGGTGGCAGTACCTGTTGGTACAGACGGTAGAGGAATTGGGGAATATAGTCTTTTGGAGTTAGACCCAAGCTTCATGCCTTGGGAGATGTTCGTGAAAGGTTTCTGAGTGCCAAAACTGGGGTGGTAGGGGCTGGAGGACCCTGGAGGGTCTGTAACCACTGAAGAAGAATCAAGTAATCCCAAGGAAGGAGCCTCGTGTGTTTAGCTGTGTCAACTGGAGTCAACAAATTGTGTGTCAGTTTGCCTATTTGGCTTGAATAGTGCTTTTCAAACTTGTCAATAGGACCCTCTTTTTTAAAAAAAAATCAGAATGTTTTACTGAGCCCTCATATGCAAACCAAGCAAAAGTGGTACTAACGGGGGCCCAAGTCCTCCCAGTCTCCCTTTACCCCTCAGCCCCCAGACACCCTCCTGTGGTTGCTTGAGAACTCCAAGGCCCTGAGGAGCACAGGACAGGCACTGCTGGGATAGCATATGCACCAGGATACTTCTTACACCAGGTGGACCAGGCGTGCAGTCTAAGTGCCTATGTGTGGCACATTGGTGACTCACTGCAGAAGAACTGGGGTAGAGGGGAGGAGGGTGGGGCTGTTGTTTCCCTAGGGATGAAGTCCTTGGGTGGTGGCAGCCCTTGAAGTTTCTAGGGGTAACTGGGAGGCTGCTCTGAGTGATTTCGTCACCATGTCCTGGCCAGGTTCCTGGCATGAGTCACTGAGGGCCAGGGCCATGCACTGTCGGGGAGACTCTGTAGGGGCCACTTCCTTGGATGTGGTTTCAACATGGCTTCCCCTCCTTGGAACCCATGGAATTGCAAGAGGCCAAAACTCTGGATGACCCTCCCTGGTCACGTAACTTTGGTTCCTTTGAAGGGGCTTCTTCTGTGTGCAAAGGCCAGGGGATTGGAGCTGGCTCAGATATGTGAGTAGAAAGTTGTAAATGGCCCGATTGACTTCTGTTGCAGTGAGACTTCTCAAGGATTTCCAGGGCCCTGTTAGAGCCGCACATGATGAGGGCAGCCTGGGCCTTCCTTAGTCTTTCACACTGTTCTGGGAGGTGTTTAATATTGCGGGGATGCCACGATGCCATGGGACAGCTGGCCATGCATAGAGGCTGCTGCCAGTTGGGCCATTCTTCCGTTTGCTGTTCTCCAGTTATTGGAGAAAGGAATTGCTCCCAATGTGGGTGTGTTGTGGATGGCGTATTTTGCCCATTTCCACAAAGGTGTGTTTGGAGGCTGCTGGATGCAATTACAACAGAGTCAGCACCTTCTTATGGAGTCAAGGGTTTGTGGGGTGTATTTGGAGGTTTCCTATCCCTAAGGCAGATGCCCTGGCTGCCTGTTCCTTTTAGTCCTTCAGGAGACATCAACTGCCCCGACACTGCTTTATGCTGACCACAGATGAGCTCCCAAATGCACAGCTTCCTCATCTTTAAAGTAGACACAACAATGCCTGGTTTCAAATTGTAAATAAGCTAATATATGCAAAATGCCCACCACAGTGTCCGGTTTATAATATGGATTAAAGAGGTAATGACTAAACACTGAATCTCTTCCCTTTGAATGCCAAAGCCAGTGGCCCTGGGTCTTTGTTTTTACCCCCTTAGACCTTCTGGAGTTATTCTCCTGCCTGAAGCTGCCTGTCTTTATTTTCCAAACACATAGCATCTCTTCCTTCCTCATAACCCTTGCTGAGGCCCTAGCCATGCTTGGAGTCCCTTCACTGCCATGTCTCAGTTTATCTAAGTCTTCCCTGTCCTTGAAGGCTCAGCTAAAGGCCCACTTCCTTTCTGATAACTTCCCAGACTTCTATGTGCTGGGGTGGTCACTCTTCCCTTAACCTACAGGACACCCAGGCTGCCCCTTTCACTTGGCACCTAGCCACGTGCTGCTAAGAACTCCACATAGGTATAGATATATATTTTTGCAAAATTTGTATATAACATGTATGTAGGCACATACACACACACAGAGAAATGAGGTTGAGTCTTTTTATTCTCTCTTCCCAAAGCCTAGGTGGCTGCCTTGCACATAGTAGGTGCTTAATGAATGCTTATTGATTATGATGATTGAGTTTTATATTAGCTTCCTAGGGCTGCCACAGCAAAGCATGAAAAACGAGATGGCTTCAATAACCGAAAGTATTCTGTCACGGTTCTGGAGTTCATATGTCTGGGATCAAGGTGCTGGTGGTGCCTCCTCTGAAGGCTCCAGGGGGAGAATTTTTCTTTGCCGCTTCCAGCTGCTGGTAGCTCTTGGTAATCCTTGCCTTGTGGCAGCATCGCTCTGATTTTCACATGGCATTTTCATGTGTCTGTGTCCAGATTTTCCCCTTTTTATAGGGACACCAATAGGGCCCAGTCTGATGGCTTTCTCTTAACTTGACCTGCTCTCCATATAATTCCTAGGTACTGGAGGTTAGGACTCCAGCATATCTTTTTGGGGGACACTCTTCAACCCATAACAGGTTCTTTGAGGAAATCACCTTGAATTATAGTAACAACTCAGATGAATTAGCTGTGGGCTTTTATTTGAATATTGAACATTAAAAATCATTAATAATATGGGAGGGAGGATGCTGATTAGTTTGTGGGCACAAATTACATGTTGAGAAATTGATAAATGTAGAATATAATGTTTATAAACAGGCTGAACATTCAAATTAAAATTGGTAATAGTTTTGAAATTAAGTACCTGTTGTTTTCAAAGAACTCTCTGAATTTATGTATCCATATTCTTATCCATAGTCATGTGCAACAGATTCCTATGTGTATATGCAGGGACACACACACACAGACAGAACCCACACCAGCTATTGCAGACTTAGCATATTGAATCAGGGCCTCACTGCACAGTTGAATTTTAGGGCATCTGATCTGAGTTGATTCTGCGTCTTTATGATGGTAAAGTCCTTTGCAAATAGATAAAATAGCTTGAGGCAGATACCGTTTTAAATAGCTATTAACATCCCAGCTTTGGAGGTGTCCTTCAGTGACCTGTTGTTTTTAAAGAAGCTGTTTTCTCTCTAGATCTTTGAGAATGCTGAGTGAGAGAGAGAGCAGATGCGTGGGTATGGATGTAGAGTTGGGAACTTTCATAACCCAATAAAATGTTGAAAAGGAGGAAGTCCTTGCCAGTAGGTTTTATAGTCCTCTTTCCTTTAAAAGCCTTGGATGAATAAGCCTGCTGAGTTCTCGTCCTTGGCGTGACTGTTTATACAACCTCGCGGGCTGTTGCCAAGTGAGCGAGTGTGCTGCCATGATTCAGAGCTTCAGGTGGGGGCCGGGCTGCCCTTTGTGACAGCACACCAGGGACTCTGCGTGCCCCTCAGAGATAACAGCCCCTGGAGGATGGGGAGAGACCTAGAGTTTGAGTCCCGGCTTCCTCATGAACCCCTGTGGTGGTTGGGCCAGTCAGGTCATCTCTAGGGGTCTTTGCTGCTTCTTCTAGCAAATAGAAATGTTAGTCTAGAGCCAGTGTTTTTCCAAACATTCCTTTATTCACGTTGATAAATGTGGAAGTTCTATTGGTAAAGCAGTCAAGGTGCAGCGGGTGGAGCTGAAATAAGATCAGGGCTATGTTGGCTGCCTCCATCAGGCCCCCAACTCTTCACCCTACAACCTTGTCAGACACGGAGGAGGAGCTGGGAATAGTGTCTGAAAACCCACTGGACTATACAACTCTTTTCCATTTTTCTAACCTTCTGAGACTTTGTGATTCACTACCCATGAAGAGAAACCAAGGCCACTTTGGGGGTGAATATTTCGCTGTCAGAGCCACTTTGACAACTGTAATGAGAACAGCAAAAAGACCAAGAAGAAGGTGGACGGACAGACAGACTCATTCAGATAGACATGTAGAGTTGAGTAGGAACCCATATACTCAAAAATGTAAAGAAACCACACCACCAATACTAGAAACTCCCAGTATCTACTAGTATGCTATTAGCACACTAGGTGTTTTGTGTGTTTTATTCTGTGTATTCTTTAGACTGCCCACTGAAATTGGTGGTATGATCCCCATTTTAGTGTTAAGGACCCTGAAGCTCTTTAAAGTACAGAAAATAACTTTCTTAGGGGCACACAGCTAGTAGATAGTGGATTTGCAATTCCAACTCAGGTCTGTGACGGGCCATGTTGCCATGGGAACATTGACTTGCGTGCCTTCTCCTATCAGAGAAACTCTGTTTAGGATATTTACATTTTATCAGTCAAGGTTACCGAAGGTGTGTACTATACCCCTGGGTTCCAGAAAAGCAGTTCCTGATTTTTTTTTCTCCCGTGTATTCTTCCCTTTTCCGCGGGGGTTATTAGGCCTAAGCAACTATTGTCTGCGTTGAAGCTGTGTACTAGCTGCACACTAGTCTGCATGGAAGCTGTGCACTAGCGGTACGCTAGCACTCCTATCAGGCTGCTATCATTACAAATGCCACTCTCTTTGGGACTTCTGCTTGGCTAGAAGCTTTCCTTTTCCTTCTCATCTTAAGCTTTGAAAATGATCTTTTCTCCTGAGTTTACTTAGGAAATGGGCACTATTCAGTCTGTGAGACTGTCAGAAATAACTAAATTAGTTTTATTTTTTAGAAACAGGGTCTCACTATGTCATCCAGGCTGGAAAGCAGTGGCTATTCCCAGGTGCAATCATAGCACACGATTGCCTTGAACACCTGGGCTCAAGTATTCCTCCTGTCTCAGCCTCTCAAGTAGCTGGGACTACAGGCATACACCACTGCGCCTGGCCAAGTATTTTGATAAGCCAGAGGTTTCAGTTTTTCTGAGAATATTTATTTCCCAGGCTGTGGAAAGGCCCTTTGGGCTCAGAGGTAATGTTCATTTTTGTCCAAGAAAGCAAAACAGTGTTAAGTATGAGTAATGACCTGGGCCAAATAATTTGCTGAGATAGATACACAGGTTGTACAAGCCAGAGCACATTCCCGAAGTGCCAGCCTCTGCCTGCAAGATGGGCAGGGAACCCAGTGGCTCTGTGCTCAGCAGTCCCAGGTTAGCTGCTGCCCTCTGGCTGGAGAAAAGAGGTCTGAAGTAAGAAGTTTTGGAAATAACTTGGCTTCCAGTCTGGAAGTCACACGAGTCACATTATGGCCCTTCTCAACCATATTGGCAGCCAGGATGTGTGACCAGCTGCCCCTCCTGGCTGGTGGGGCGGGGGACTGGCTGTGTTAGTCTGCTATTGTCAGTTTGATGCATGTTGAGCTGCATTTCTGCTCTTATTTCCCCTAAGAATGCTGATTGACCAAGGGATTTTCTTTTTTTGCACAGATTAATCCTCAGTGTCAAGGATGACTGTATACTCCAAATATTCCATCTTTCTTTTTCCCTTCAAAATGTATTTATGGAGCATCTATTTATGCTGGGTACCAGAGATAGAGCAGTGAATAAGGCAGATGTTGTCCCTGGCTTTTTGGAGCTTGTTGCATTGTAGGATCCTATCTTCTCATTTAAGATTTGGACAATATCATTGGCCTTGTTAACGCAGACTCTTCAATGGCCAGTAAATCCCTTAGGAGAGGAATTTAGGCTGAGTTAGTTTTCTGTAGCTGCTCTTTCTTTCTAAGGCACTGGCTGCCAGATGTATCTTTAGGGAGGTCAGCCATAGTATGGGGCCTGTAGGTAGAATTTATGCTGTGAGTACTCACAGGAAACAGCTTAATCCAGAGATTCTGCGTATGTGTTGGGAGTATGGAATGCCCTTTCAGTTAATTTTCCTTCTTTCCTACTTTCTTTTTATTCTACACTTTAATTAAGCCTTTTATTTTCTTTTTTTTTCCGAGACGGAGTCTCGCTCTGTCGCCCAGGCTGGAGTGCAATGGTGCGATCTCGGCTCACTGCAAGCTCCACCTCCCGGGTTCACACCATTCTCCTGCCTCAGCCTCCCAAGTAGCTGGGACTACAGGCGCCTGCCACCACGCCTGGCTAATTTTTTTGTATTTTTATTAGAGATGGGGTTTCACCGTGTTAGCCAGGATGGTCTCCATCTCCTGACCTTGTGATCCACCTGCCTCGGCCTCCCAAAGTGCTGGGATTACAGGCATGAGCCACCATTCCTGGCCAGGCCTTTTATTTTCAAGCAAATTCTGTCTAGTATTGTTTCATGCCCAGGAGGCTTTTAATAGAGTACATTTTTTAAAATTTGTTTTTTTAGTACCAAGTAGCATTATAAAGAGGCTTTTGATTTTTAATTTAAATTTAATTTAATTTAATTTTCTTGAGATAGGGTCTTTCTCTGTCGCCCAGGCTGGAGTATAGTAGTATGATCACAGCTTACTGTAGCCTCAACCTCCTGGGCTCAAGCAATCTTCCCACCTTAGCCTCCCAAGAAGCTGGGACTACAGGCACACACCACCACATCAAGCTAATTTTTGCATTTTTTGCAGAGATGGATTTTTACCATGTTGCCCAGGCTGGTCTCAAATGCTTGGACTCAAGCAATCTGCCTGCCTTGGCCTCCCAAAGTGCTGGGATTATAAGCATGAGACACCGTGCCTGGCCATAAGGAGGTTTTAAAAAACTTAATTTTGGAGAGTTTCAAACATACAAAATGAGACTGGATCATGTAATGAGTCATTGATCCTCTCTCCAGCACCAGCAACCTCAATACATGGCCAATCCTGCCTCATCTACATCCACGCTGTATAAGGAAATAAATATACATCATCTGTATCTCAGCATGTTTCTCTAAAAGAGACTGTTTCTTAATATCATCATAATGCTCTTCTGCCTAAAAATCAATACTTTTCTTATTGGGAGGTATTTTAAAGGATACAAGAGGAGAGAAATTTAGCCACAAACATCTTGCTCAACATATCAGCTTTTTTCTTTTTTTCCCCGTGTTCAGTTTTTGACCAAAAGCATACTGATATTTTATAAAAATGATAGCCATCTATGCTCCTAGCAGCTTTTCTGGGTATACATGTTGTGACCGGGGTAAACATTAACTGTCTGTTCCTCCATCTAAGAAGAATAACAGGTATTCACTTCATTTGGACCATATTTATGTACCCTGAGTAATTCCCAGACCTCTCCCAACTTCTAAAGTTCCCTATTCATTCAGCAAGTATTTATTGAGAGACTCATTGCACGTCAGTCACTGTTAGATCTGGGAATTACGGTGGAAAAGAAGACAAAGTAGGCCCTGGACTTGCTGCAATTTACAGTTGATAGGGAAGCAGGGCTTCCCCACACAAGGATACTGACATACACCAACAGTCGCTGGGCTGCAGCTGTGGTGAGTGTCGTGGGGAAGTGCTGTGAGAGTGAACCGAGAAGACCTCAGGGGTCTGAAGGGTCAGGAAAGGCGTTCTTGATTCTTGAGGAAGTGACATTTCAGCCCAGCAGTGCAGATCGAGGGAACAGCATGTGTGACTACCTTGAAACAAGAAGGAGGCTGGCTCCTAAAGGAACAGAAGGGAGGCAGTGAGGCAGGTGTGGGGTTGGGGATGGGCAGGGGAAGTGGAAAGAGCCCCCCATCCTGGGCCTGCCTCTTCCAAATGGCCCTGGGACCTGAGAGCAGGCTCTTGGGTTCCTACGGCTGGAGACCCTGGGATGCTACATGGAGACGTGAGTTCCAGTTGTTCTCCTGACTGTAGCATTGTAGTGAAAAAAGAACTCCAATTTGGAAAGACATAGGCAGGCACTTGCAGGCTGTTACCCTGGAAGAAGAGAAGTCATACTATTTACACAGTAGGGTCATTGTGAGGATTAAAGAAAATATATATTTTATTATATATTATATGTAATAAAATCACCTGACAACAAATTTCTTCCCCCTCCTCTTTCTTCAGTAACTTTCTTCTTCACTTTTCCTGTCAGGGACCATCAGCTCCTTGGGCTGCCTCAGGAGTCCTCTCCCCTGGTGTGGCTGGTGCTGATGGCCCTGCTCCCCAGCGGGTAGAGTCCTGGGGCCGTGCCCTTCCTGGGGGCGTTTTATTTAGACCCTGACATTTACACAAATGTTCAATTCAAACATAATGCTTTTTTCTTTTTGCCAAAAAACATTCAAAGTCTACAAAAGAACATAAAGGAAAAAGTGAAATCTCATTTTCCTGAGGAAACTGTCGTTAGAGAGCTGGATTGCATCCTTCTAGATGTTTTACATACACAAACACACAGTCTTCAAACAAAAAATGAAAATTTGAAATTTATGATTTTTCACTCAGTGTATCTTGATCTCTTTCTGTGTGTACAACTTTGAGACCTGGGCCACTCGGGAGTGTTCCACAGACTTCATTGTTCCTGGCATTGCTTGTGTTTTCCCTGCTCCGTGGCGGCTTCATCTCCCTGCTTGGGCCAGGGGCAGGATCCTCTGTGTCCGGCCACCTGAGTTTTCCTGCAAGCCAGTCCACCTCTGAAAGCCTTTGCTTTGCAGAAATGCATTTCACCAAAGCCTTGTGTTGTCATTGGCTTGTTTTTTAGGAACTGGGTGGAGTCTGTGACTGAAAGATCTTGCTTTTGTTTCCTGGTATTTGGGGAGTTTCATTAGAGCTTTTCCTCTTCCTGGTTATATGTCCAGTAAATTGGGGATAAGTTAATGCCAGCTCTTGACTCTGCTGCAAGCCATTTAACAGCTCAGTTACCCAAACTTAAGCACAAATGTAAGGATAGCATCAGTGCCTTTGGGGCCCAGCTGTAAGGGACTCAGGGGGAAGCATTTACCAGAAACAAGTACAAGGAATCACAGCTTCTTGCATCCCATCTCTTCCCAAGTGTGGGAAGAAGGGCAAGAAGCAATGGTTGTAGTATTTTCTTACTTTTTAAAAAGATTACATTGAAACGAAGCAAAACAAAACAAAAAACAAGCAATATAGAAAGGTATAAAGAACAAGGCAAAAGTCACCCTGATCTCTAGCGCCCCTACCCCATCCATGGTTCCTTCCTTAGAGACCTGTAAGTTTAATCATCATCACATAGTTTTCTAGACCTTTCTTTGATTTTGCAAACTTTGAATGAATGGGATCATAAAGTACTTAAAGTACATAAAGAACTTACTGTTCTGCCACAATGAATGATTTTCAAATGCAAATTAAAGTTTTGTGTGTTAAAAAATGCTTTGTGGGCCAGGCAAGGTGGCTCATGCTTGTAATCCCAGCACTTTGGGAGGCCAAAGCAGGCAGATCACTTGAGGTCAGGAATTTGAGACCAGATGGTGAAACCTTGTCTGTACTAAAAATACAAAAATTGGCTGGGCGCAGTGGCTCACGCCTGTGATCCCAGCACTTTGGGGGGCCGAGGTGGGCGGATCACAAGGTCAAGAGCTCGAGACCATCCTGGCCAACATGATGAAACCCCGTCTCTACTGAAAATACAAAAATTAGTTGGGCGTGGTGGCGCGCTTCTAGTCCCAGCTACTCAGGAGGCTGAGGTAGGAGAATTGGTTGAACCCAGGAGGCGGAGGTTGCAGTGAGCCAAGATTGCGCCGCTGCTCTCCAACCTGGCGAGAGAGTGAGACTCTGTCTCAAAAACAAACAAACAAAATACAAAAATGAGCCCATGTGGTGGTATACACTTGTAATTCCAGCTGACTTGGAAGACTGAGGCAGGAGAATCACTTGAACCAGGGAGGTGGAGGTTGCAGTGAGCCACGATCACGCCACTACACTGCAGCCTGGGTGACAGAGTGAGACTCCATCTAAAAAAAAAAGTGCTTTTTTTTTTTTTTTTTTTTTTTTTGTGAATACATGGCAAGAATCTCTGTGTAAAGGCAGTTGAAAAGTTAGCAGGACAGCAGAATTACCTTTATGGAATTTGGGTTTCTGTGCTGTGGGATTGTCGAGGTACCTGGGTCAGCCCTAGGGAAAACTGAGAGAAGGTCAGTTTGTCTGAAGTCTCAGTCCTTGATCTTGGATTTTTTCTTACTTCTGTCCCTTCCATGTTGTGGAGGCACCTACTCTGTCCCCCTGCATCTAAACATAGCCTGCAGTATGGGGAGGTGCTTAATGTCAGACAGAATCACAGAGCCAGGCTTGAATGTAGGTGTGTGTCCATAAGCAAGTTGCCTAACGTCTCTGAACTTCAGTTTTCTCAGCTATGAAGTGGAAAGGACAGAAAGGACAATTGCTGTGTCATAGAGTGGTTGTGAACATTAAATGTGATTAGGAATATTTCTAGCCTATAGTAGGTTTTCAACAAATCTTAATTTCCCCCTTTCCTGCTTGTTAAGCCTTCATTCTATAAAGGCGTGTTAAGGCTTGGACATGTTACTGTTTCTCAAGGGTATTTGCATTTCAACAATGACCAAAACTTTAACTGAAGGAATTAAGAACCAGCCAACAGGACTGGGAGGATCCTTTTGGGCTGAAGTCACACCACCTCTTCCTGGCTTTTCAGAAATATTTCATGAATGGTCACAACAGGTTATGTACTAACACTACCCCCTTTTCTTAGAACTTGGCCCCAGGACCAGCCCTACCCTCAGAGGACAGTTTGGCTGCTAGATGACTGCCAGCCTCAACCTTGTGCATTGTATTTAGTGATGAGGTTGAAGTCATATGGAGAAGCTGGGATAAGGGGAAAGACAGCATTATTAAGAGCATGAGGTTTCAAATGCTTGCTCTTCTTACTAGGACAACGCAAGTCCGTCTGGTATCTTTGTGGGAATTACTCTTAGGTGAGTGGACAGGCCCTTATATACATTAGCAAACGGTGCTCTTCCTCCGGGGTAAAAGCAGCCCAAGCCTATGCCAAATCACCTTGGTGAACAGAGACTAGATGGGATTTTTGCTCCCTCCATCTCCACTGCCAGGCAATGAGTGCTGGGCACAATTTGCATAATCATACACAGTGGGCCCGTTATTACAACTGTGCATGAGGCCTAAAGAGTCATTATTCTTTTTTTCTTTTCCTACTTTCTTTTAGCTTCTTGACCTGAGCAATGGAGAACCTACCAGGAAACTTCCTCAGGGTGTTGTTTATGGTGTGGTGCGAAGATCAGATCAAAATCAGCAGAAAGAAATGGTGGTGTATGGGTGGTCCACCAGTCAGCTGAAAGAAGAGATGAACTACATCAAAGATGTGAGCCATTTAAGAGTTTTTGCCCCCCACCTGTATTCTTTTTGTAGCATGCAAGAGAATGGAGTTGGAAGCATTGAAGTGAATGTAATAAGGCATTTTGAAAGAATTCTTAGTGTTATCATTTTGGCTGGAAATGTTTCTGTGTATCTTCATGGTAATGTTAAAGTACAGATGTAAATCTGCAAGGAAGGAAAGGTTGAGCTTCTGCTGGATGGATGTTACTAGGTAAGTATACTCAGGAGAGCAGATGGCTTCCTCCTTCCGTGTAGGGTTTGGAGGCTCTTGAGTGGTTTTTCTTTATTGCACTTACCAGTCCCACATTCATCCCTGGCAAGAGGAATAGGAAGACTGTGGGTGATTCAGATCAATCAGTTGGGTTGAAACAAATGCTAGGAAGTCAACCACAATAGACTTTGTCCAACCAAGCCAATCAATGCCATTTCCTTGTATTTAGTAGTTTATTTCCTATCTTTTAAGTTACATGTTCTTTTGAGAAAATTTGGGAAATATAAACATGTATGAAGAAGAAAATAAAATCACTCATAATCTCACTATTCATCCAGAGCAATTGTTAACATTTTGGAGTATTTTCTTCTTCTCTCTCTCTCCATTTCTTTTCATTCCATCCTGTGTTCCCCTAGATTGACTGATTCCCCTCTTGACCAAACCACCCAGCTTATATGGAAGAGGAGATGGCCTGCTCTGACACTGATGGGCTCACATTACAGACCAGTGGCTTAGAAAGTGCTTGTAAGAGGCAGTGTAGGGGCAGGGAGTCAACCTAGGCCTGTGAGCTCACAGACCTTGCTTCGAGCTCCAGCTCTGTGTCTGGCCCAGCAAGTCACTTTTGCTCTGTGCAGGCTTCAGTCCTCATGTTGAGATTGTGGGGGTTGGCTGGGCTTTGATACCTAAGGTTAAAAACACAGCTTTGTGAGCCCCATTTTATTTTGTGGGTTTTCAGATAAGATGCAAACTCATGATGTCTTCGCTTTTGTGTGAGTTTTTAAAAGGAACATTTCTTGTTGAATTTAAAAAATAATAAATGCTTAGCAGAAAATATGAGGAAAAGCCAGCAAAATTAGCACGCATATACATAATGTATATGACAGCCACCAACCTTAAACTCCTAGTTATCCCACCTTTCAAACATAATTTTAAAAATTTATTTTATTGTATATTTTCGAGACAGCGTCTCACTCTGTCATCCAGGCTGGAGTGCAGTGGCACAATCACAGCTCACTGTGGCGACACAATCACAGCTTATTGCAGCTTCTACTTCCCCACCCTCAAGTGATCCTCCTGCCTCAGCTTCCCAAGCAGCTGGGACTGCAGGTGCGCACCGCTACACCCAGATAATTTTTTGTAGAGACCCAGACTGGTCTCAAACTCCTGGACTTAAGTGAACCTCCCACCTCAGTTTCCCAAAGTTCTGGGATTACAGGTGTAAATCACTGTGCCCGGCCTCCAGACATAATTTTTAACCATTCAGAATATTCAATTCCTGAATTTCCTGTTAAGAATAGCTCAGACATTTTAATTTTCTTGTATTTTTTTCTCAAGGAAATACATAGACCTTCCTCACTTAAATGCTCCGGAGGTATGGCTCCTCCCTTAGTAACCTTCTAAACAGAGTCCAGAGTCCCACATTGCCCAAGACAAAGGCAGGAGGAGATGTTGGCTAATCCTGAGCTGTGGATGACATGTACCAAAGACATGTGCCAAAGACCTGGAATTACCACCCTCCACTGTGATCCGCAACTTAAAACTAACTTTCAGGTCCCTCCTGCCATAGGTGGCTTCAGTTCCATCCCTGGCCTGGTCATTGCAGTATTTGCCTTTGGGAGGGACATGCAGCTCAAGATTCCACCCACTCACCACTGGGAGCAGCACAAGAGCCAGCTCAGGGCCACACATGAAAGCCGTTCTGCCTGCCTAGAATGAAAAGTTGTACCTTTAACCTCATTTTCCCAAAATGTTTGTACTTCATGGCAAGAAAGTAGACTCTATTTTTAGAATTCATGTGGGGAAGTCTGGGGGTCTTGACTCTCCCTTCCCCCAAATCTCCACCAATATCCAGTAACCCCTAATAAACATGCTGTCTATTTTAAAACAATGTGCTTCAAAATTAAGCCTTCCAATACTATGTCCTAAACACTTACATTCTAACCAAACTGCTATCTTTAGGCCCTTCCTAAAACAGAAATTCTGGAGTGTGCTGGAGAAAACTCCCTTGAGACTTCCTGCCCTATTTGAGGGTTCCTGAGTACTTTCCCCATCCTAGGGATACCAGAAGAAGGGAGGAGACAGGGACTGTTTGTAAGGTCTTTTGTTGTGTTTTGAAAGTTTTTAAGGTCCTGCTAGCCCTCTGAAAGTAGTACTGTAGAGAAACTTGAACAGCGTTTGTGTAAACAAGTGTTTTTGGGATCACTTGAACTTTTGTTATATTTACTGCCTTGCGTGTTATTGGTGATTACTGAGGAACTGACTTTCAAATTTATGGGCTCCCCAGGGTTCATATTTTACTTCCTTCCATTCCAGATATTTGATTGCTCTTTGGCAGTCAGGGCCGATAGAGGGAAAATTAGAGGTTGCTTTTTGGTTTCTTTGGTCCTCTTAGCCATGAGTCTGTTAAAACACATTCTACTTGTAAAAACATGTGATGGGAAAAGGGCAAAACTTTGCCCAACTGTCATTTGAGGGTGATAGGTGAATTTCAACAAACCATTTTTTCTTCAGAGTTTATTTGGCTAATTAATATTTATTATGATAGTTACATGTAATTATATATAATTTTATGTAATTAATATATATTAGCATATATTTGATATATTCTATATTAATATATGCCTATATATTTTATTATGTATATAAAATATATACATAATAAAATTATATATATATAAATTATTTGGATAATTCCTAACTAGTTTCTAACTAGTTGTTGGGGGTGACCTTCTCCCTTAATTTCCTGTCTTGTTCTTAAGTTTATTTTTATGTGGGGTCCTTCTTTCTTTTTCTTTTTTTTTTTTTTTTGTTTTTTGAGATGGAGTCTTGCTCTGTCACCCAGGCTGGAGTGCAGTGGCATGATCTCGGCTCACTGCAAGCTCCGCCTGCCGGATTCACGTAATTCTTCTGCCTCAGCCTCCCGAGTAGCTGGGACTACAGGTGCCCACCACCACACCCCCCAACTAATTTTTGTATTTTTAGTAGAGACGGGGTTTCACCATGTCAGCCAGGGTGGTCTCGATCTCCTGACCTTGTGATCCGCCTGCCTCGGCCTCCCAAAGTGCTGGGATTACAGGCTTGAGCCACCGCACCTGGCCGGGGTCCTTCTTTCTTTAGAGTTTCTTAAAAGTTTTAGAAATCTTGTATGAAAATGTTATGGCTTGATCTCTAACTAGTATCTTTGTGGGCTACAGGTGAGAGCCACTTTGGAAAAGGTGAGAAAGCGAATGTATGGAGACTATGATGAGATGAGACAGAAGATTCGACAGCTCACCCAGGAACTATCAGTAAGTCATTATCTCAGTTGCTTGGAGATAGGGAGGCATGGCAGGCTCAGAGTGGTCCCTCAGTGGCTAGTGCCTAAAGATATTAGAGTATCTAGTGTTCTTTATCAATAGAATTACATTTTAAATAAACTGAGAAAATTTTATCACAGAATGAAATTTATTACCTAAAGGGAAATTTTTATGGTAAGAATAATCGTATTCATATTCAAAGCATTCTCACCAAAGTCAGGAGCAAAACAAGGAAGCCAGCTATCACTATTATTATTTAACATTGTTCTTCACATACTGGCCAAACAAGAGAAATAAACATATAGGTTTAAACATGGCATAGGTAGATGTAAAACTATCACTGTTTACAAACTATATGATTGTATACCTGGAAAGCTCAAGTGAACATGAAATGATGAAAGAAAAACTACTACAAACAAGTAAAGAATTTGTTATTTGTAGCAGGGTATAAAATTTTATACACACACACACAGAGGATATAAAATTAATATATAATATACAAAGAGGTTTCAATATACAAAAAATTCCCAAAATATCATCAACAGAAAAATACTACATACCTAGGAGTCAACTATAATAAGTGGAAAGAAACACCATGTGCTTAGAAAGGAAGATTCAGCATCATAAGATCCACATTACTGTACCATTTTAATATGACCCAATAAAAAGACCAACAGGTTTTGTTTTTTATAAGTGGAGTAGGTGATTCTAAGGTTTATATAGAAAATAAATAAAAAGATTGGGAAAATAATGGGAAAAAAGAGCAACGAGAGGGAGTAGCCTTATTAAATGTTAAAAGAAAGTGAAAAAGCCTCAGAGATTGAAACAGTATCATAGTGGCACATAAATAGACAAACATCAATAAAAAGTACTCCAGAAATGTACCCCTGTATATGATAAATGTAGCATCTCAAAAAAGGAAGGAAAATGGACTAGTCAATATGTGCTATTGGGAAAACTTATGTGCTGTTGGAAGTCTTATACCTGGCTAAATTCCTAAAGTATCAAAGATTTAAATGTGAAAAATAAAACCCAAAAGTGCCAGAAGAAAAATATGTGTGAATTCATTTATACCCTTGAGGTAAGGGAATGCCTTTTCTTATTATGATATAAAATCCCAAAACCATGAAAAGAAAGGCTGATAACTTTGACAACTTTGAAATGAGAAACTCCTGCTGGTAAAAATGTCAAAGTCAAATGACCGGGAAAAATTATTTGTCCTTCGTATCACACATAATAGGCTCATTTTCTGAATATTGAAAGATCCCCCACGAATCAAGAAGAAAAAAGCTACAACTCATAAAAATAGGTGAAAGATTTGTAACAGGTAATGTATACTAAAGGAAAGATGGAGAGAGCTCTTTTGTGTATGACAGGATGCTCTGCCTCACCTCATCGTAAGATAAATGCGGGTTAAAACCATCCCATGATATAATTTTTATCTATTAGACCCGCCAAAGTGCAAGAGTGGGTCAGGACATTGTTCACAGGCCTGTGGGCAAAGAAGAGGGTTGCTGATGAAAATGCAATTTGCTATTACTCTTACAGAGAACAATTCAGCATTATCGATCAAAATTACAGATGTTTAGATCCTTTGACCCAGCAATTCTATTCCTAGCATTTATTCTACAGGTAGACTCTCACATATGAGGAAAGACATAAGGATAGATTTATTTATTGTAGCATTGTTTGTAATAGTAAAACAATTGGAAACCTAAATGTCTATCAAGTAGAGGAAAGTGGACAGGCACGGTGGCTCACGCTTATGATCACAGCATTTTGGGAGGCCGAGGCAGGTGGATCATTTGAGGTCAGGAGTTCGAGACCAGCCTGGCCAATGTGGTGAAACCCTGTCTCTACTAAAAATACAAAAATTAGCCGGGCATGGTGGTGCAGGCCTGTAATCCTAGCTACTCCGTTGGCTGAGGCAGGAGAATCACTTGAGCCTGGGAGGTGGAGGTTGCAGTGAGCCAAGACTGTGCCACTGCACTCCAGTCTGGGTGACAGAGTGAGACCCTGTTTCAAAAAAAAAAAATAAGGGAAAGTAAGATAAACGATGTATCTCTACAATAGAATATATGCAGTTGTAAATTAAAAAAAAAAAAAAGAAAAAGCAAGTAATCCCTTGAAGGGGAGATACAGAAAGATGTAGACGGTGAAAAAAAGCAAGATGCAAGAAAATATGTAGGAAAAAATTGCTACCATTTGTATAGAACAGGAAGAGAAGATAAACATATCAGGATTGTTCTGTGTGTGCACAAAAAGTTACTAAAAGGTTAATCCAGAAAGTAACTAACAACTGTTTCTAATTGGGAGGCAGGGTGGTAACTGAGCAGGGTGGTAATTTTTTATAAAAATATAAAAGTAACTTTATACTTTTGAAATGTTTGCACCATGTGAGTGTATTACCTACTGAAAAATTTAAGAAAAATAACCTTCTTCTAGTTTAGCCAAGCTAATGCTTGTAGACATTTAAAAAAATTTATTATTAATATTCCCAAAGATAAAAGTCCCTGTCTATGTGACGTACCTTCCATAAGAGTTAATATCTGTGGGAAAGAAGGGCAGTTACAACAGTCATGCATCAGAGTTCAATTTATGGCTGGGCTGTGAGATTAAGTGCTTAAGTAACACCTAGTACCTTGATTATAGGAGTGGGGCTACGTAAATATATCTCCCTACCCCATTTCTTGATTATAGGAGTGGGGCTATGTAAATTTATCTACCTAGCCCCTTCCTTGATTATAGGAATGGGGCTGTATAAACATATCTACCCAGCCCATTCCCACTGGCATGTGGGAGGACATTTGTGAAATTCTCACCTGCTTATGGAAAGTCATTCTGCCATGACTGTCAGACACCAATGACTGTCATCAAAGCCAAAGAATTGGATTTGCAATAGATGCATAAACAAGACTCTGCTCCTCGCTTTCCATCACCATCTCCTACACACCCTCATTTTCTCATGCTAGAATTGTCCCAGAAACCCTGTCTCTCTGCCTACTGGTCTCCTCCTTCTCCAAGTCATCCTACCTACTGCAGCCAGATTAAGATTGCTAAATTATTGCTATTGAAACACACTGCTGAACACAAAGCTGCCACATGCTCCTGGGCCTGGCTTGCTGCTTCAATTCTGTCTCCACTCCCCAGAGTGCACCTCCTGCTCTGCTGTGCCGGGGCTGCTTTCTGCTGCTCCCAGAGGCCACATGGGGGGCCTTCCACCCTCAGTCCTAACTGTATCTAGCCTCTTACCAATATCTAGGTCAAGAATGGCTTCTGACTCAGACATGTTAAACACACACACCCAACAAAGACAGCAGCAACAACAGCAGCAACAAAACAACTCTTTTTTTTTTTTTTTAAATGAGACGGAGTTTCGCTGTTGTCACCCAGGCTGGAGTGCAATGGCGCCATCTCAGCTCACTGCAACCTTGGCTCACTGCAACCTCAGCCTCCGGGGTTCAAGCGATTCGCCTGCCTCAGCCTTCCACGAAGCTGGGATTACAAGCGTGCGTCACCATGCCTGGCTAATTTTTGTATTTTTAGTAGAGATGGAGTTTCACCACGTTGGCCAGGCTGGTCTCGAACTCTTGACCTCAGGTGATCCGACCGCCTCGGCCTCCCACAGTGCTGGGATTACAAAAACACTCTTGAGAATTGAGTGAGACCAAAGCATATTCTCTCCATGGTGACTACAAAGAACAAGGTGGCTGCAGAAGTTATTTCAACTGGGTTCTAGTTCTAGGAGCGCCACTTCTGAGCTGTTTGACAGTGAGCAAATCACATAACTTCTCTGATTGTTTTCTTCCTTACAAAGGACAACATTCTGACTCCTGCACAGTGTTGTTGAGAGGGCTAAATGAGGGTCTGTGAGTAAACACTATCCAAAGGAAGGTGATTCTTGCCCTTCTCTCTGGATCATGCAGATGTTGACTTTTAATTTAAAGCTTTACTTTAGATATTGTTGAAGTAGATGTGGCTTCTAACAGAAGAAAGTTCCAGCCTAACTGAAGATTGTCGTGAACGTGTAGGGATTGATTTTGTGTGACTGTCTCCTCGATCTGTCCAGGTTTCCCATGCTCAGCAGGAGTATCTGGAGAATCACATCCAAACCCAGTCGTCTGCCCTGGATCGTTTTAATGCCATGAACTCAGCCTTGGCATCAGATTCCATTGGCCTGCAGGTACTCATCTGCTTACTGCTATGACAGGGCAACCCAGCTTAATCAAGAGTGGGGACTGTGCCTTTGCAGAAAAATAAGTCACAGAACATCCTTAGCTCATGATTCAGAATTCTTTAAGCAGAACCACTGTGAAGACTGTGCCCAGAAGACAGTGTAGGAAACTGAAGGAAGCATTTCCAAGCTGAGACTCTAAGGCTTTGTTTTTGCTCTCTGAAAAGGAAATTTAGACCCCGAGTTTAGTGTGAGAGATGTTGCTTGCTTCACCAGATACCCGAGTGGTCCTCAGCATCAGTGCCTAACCCCACACGTCAGCCCTCTTCCTCCAGTCCCAGTGCCACAGGAAGTGCCACCTAATCACAGAATAACACAGACTTCACTAAGGACAATCTGTACTCCTTCATGGCAAGCAATATAAAAAAGGCCTGTAAACACTTTTTTATAATTAGAAATTATTTTGTATCAGAAAGAATCATGGATATTCCACGTCTTGTAGTAGCAGACAGGGAAACAGAAAGACCCGGTATCTTATATTTGTGAAAATGCATGTTGTTATCTCACTTTGAGGCATTGTTTTCTTGGTTGATTTGGTTTACAGGAGCTAACCCTTCAAGTGCTTCCCATTCTTACTCTTACAAGTCCCCTAACATGCAAATTAATTTGAAAATGTTCAAAGCAAAGCATTGTATGTATTTGAAATAGCTTCCCTTGGTCTTCATTTCCAAATGTATGAACAACAGTTTTTACCTCTCCTCCAAATTTATTTGGCTCTTATCTTTTTATCCTCCTCTCAAAAGTTCCAAAACCTATTTCAAATCCTTTCTGGTTCTATATAAGTAATTTTAGATAAATAAATTTTCATGTTGGGATTCTCCACTTCCCCTAATTCTCTGATAACAGTTGGTATGGCAGCAGTGACAACAGCAGGGCTCGGCCACTGTCCTGGAGTGGGTCTGGGTGGCCTCGTGTTTGGGGTCATCTGCGATGCCCATTTCTGGTGGGGCTTCTGAGTCCCACCCTTTTCCTGGCTCTCTTGAGTGTATGCCAGCTTTCCCCTGGCCTCAGGCCAAGCCCCACTGGGTCTGGTTTGCTCAGCAGCCTTTGTTTTCCCTTCCTCCTGTGGTCGGGGGGGCTTGCCAAGGCTCCCTTTCCTCCCCTTTCGGACGCTGTCTCATTCCCAGCCCACCAGCAAGGGCTTTATCTCACCTGAGTTCAGACTTAGTCGGTATTTGTACTACATCTCTGGTTTTTCTTCCCAGAAAGAAAAATATATTTGCCAGTATTTTCTGGCAATTCTTGTGCTTTGCCATCTGGCCAACACTCTGGCATTTACTGCAGAGGTCAGCTGTTTGAGCTGGGCCAGCTCTGACCCAGGCACCTTGACTGATTCCTAGTTATCATGCAGGCTCTTAGTCCTGGACAGCCAAAGGAGCCTTATAGCTAAAACCGCTGAGAGAAACAGAAAGAGAGAGACAAAGAGAGAGGGAGAGGGAGGGGGAGGGGGAGGGGGAGGGGAGGGGAAGGGGGAGGAGGAGGAGGAGGAGAAGGAGAAGGAGAAGCCATCTCACAGCAGGAAACTCAACCTGGTAGAGGAAGAGGGCTGATGCACGGTGTTAGGCACTGATGCTGAGGACCACTCGAGTACCTGGTGGACCGAGTCTGAAGAGAGCTGGCTTCTTCCTTATGCAAGACCCCAGCCTCTTCCACTGGCCCACTCTGTCCACTTTCATTATTATTGACAGGGAGACCAGACCCTTGGTTTGATTCCATAGAATGTCAGAGCTAGAAAGAACTGAGAGGATCTCAGTTTTATGAATAGACAAACTGAGGCCGACAGAGAGAAATGACATGAGCAAGATGCCTACCTAGTGACAGAGCCAGGATTAGAAAAATCCTGGTCTCTTGGACCAGAGTGTAGGTTTTTGTGTGGATACACGAGTAGAATCTGTGAAGCCAGTGGGGCTGGGGGAGTGGGTGGCTGGTCTAGGTGGTTTCTAAAGCCCCTTGAAGCTCAAATGTTCTGTGACTCCATGCTTCCAAATAGCTTCAGTATTTTCTTTAGTATCTAATCACCTCCTTCAGAAATTCTTTTTCTTGATTCAAGTAGGTTTAGGAGTGAAAGGCTTATATTGTCCAAAGTAGAGGCTGAGGAATTGAGGAAGCTTCAGAGACTGATCATCTAGACAAGAGCACAGAGGTGTTAGAAACAGTGCCCAACACCAGGGTTTTCACATCTTCTAATGTGAAATTGTAGATGACTGGGGACACAGTAGAAGATGACTTTCCAACGGCACAGATTCTGTGGAGGCCATTTATCTCTAAGGAGAGTTAACCAAGTAGAAACCAAAGCAGTAAATAGCACCACCATTTTTTTCTTTTTCTTTTTTATTATTTTTTTAGAGATGGGGTCTTGCTCTGTTGCGCAGGCTGGAGTGCAGCAGTGTGATATAGTTCACTGCAGCCTTGACCTCCTAGGCTCAAGTGATCCTCATGCCTCAGCCTCCTGGGTAGCTGGGGCTACAGGTACACACAACCATGTCTAGCTGGTTTTTAAATTTTTTTTGTAGTTGCCCAGGCTAGTCTTGAACTCCAGGCTCAGGTGCTCCTCCCACCTCAGCCTCCCAAAGTGCTGGGATTACAGTCATGAGCCATCACGCATGGCCAACACTATTGATTTAAACATCCTTGCTTCAGTGCGGCCTGGAGCAAAAATTACTTGTGCGGCTTGGAGCAAAAATCACTTGTCTGCATTACCAAATTCTGTTCCTTAGTACTTCTTTATTACTACCCTTCTCTGCCTAAGGGAGGAAGGTGAAATGTTTGCAGGTATGTGAGTATTCTCAGTCACATTGTCACTATCCTGGCAGGCAGTCTAGAAGCGCAGAAGGGATAGCTCTTTTAAGAAAAAAGGGAGGCCGGGCGTGGTGGCTCACGCCTGTAATCCCAGCACTTTGGGAGGCCGAGTCAGGTGGATCACGAGGTCAGGAGTTCGAGACCAGCCTGGCCAATACGGTGAAACCCCATCTCCACTAAAAATACAAAAATTAGCCAGGCGTGGTGGCAGGCGCCTGTAGTCCCAGCTACTCGGGAGGCTGAGGCAGGAGAATCGCTTGAACCTGGGAGGCAGAGGTTGCAGTGAGCCGAGATCGTGCCACTGCACTCCAGTCTGGGCGACAGAGTAAGGCTCTGTCTCAAAAACAAAAAAAAAAAAAAAAAAAGAAAAAGAATAAAAAGAGGAATATCTCTATTCTATAAAGCTCGTATTTTGTTTTCTGATTTCATTGTGGCAATTTGGGAAATACAGAAAAAATAAATAAGAAAATAGATACCCATAGCCCTATCACATAGTGAAAACTATCATTCAGATTTCCTCCTGGTCTTTTTCCCCCCAGTGCATAAACATATATTTGAACCAATGCTTATACATATTTTTCAAAATGGGATTATACTATACTTACTATTTTCAAAAGCTGTTTTTTTTCCCATGTGAAATGATGTATTATAATACTTTTCCTTGGAAGGACTCCATTTTAATCCATTTCCATCCATCCTAAGCAGTGGCAAGTGGTGTTGGCAGCAGCTATGGGATGGTATGGGAGAGGTTTTCAGTCCCTCCAAGCTACAGGGGCAGACCTCTTGGCCACCATGGGAGACCCACAGTCCCTCACAGCACAGGGTCCCAGACTGGCAGTTGCTGTAGCCTAGGACAGCTACCCCAGTGCTTAATGATAAGGGGATGCCCCAGCATGTGGTGCAGCCCATGTGTTTTCACGCCACCGGATCTGGTTTTGTTTTTATTTTCATCCTCACAGAAAACCCTCGTGGATGTGACTTTGGAAAACAGCAACATTAAGGATCAAATCAGAAATCTGCAGCAGACGTATGAAGCATCCATGGACAAGCTGAGGGAAAAGCAGAGGCAGTTGGAGGTAGCGCAAGTTGAAAACCAGCTGCTAAAAATGAAGGTGGAGTATAAAAGCCTAGATTTATTTTCTATGAACTTTTCTCCTCTTTACTTCTCCCTTTTCTCTTCCCATCTTCAACCTTTCCATTTCCTTTTCTCCATTCTCTTCTTCATTGGATTTTTTTTTTTTTTTGAGACAGAGTCTCACTCTGTCACCCAGGCTGGAGTGCAGTGGTACAATCATGGCTCACTGCAACCTCCGCCTCCTGGGTTCAAGCAATTCTCGTGCCTCAGCCTCCTGAGTAGCTGGAATTACAGGCACGTGCCACCTTGCCCAGTAATTTTTGTATTTTTAGTAGAGAAGGGGTTTCACCATGTTGGCCAGGCTGGTCTCGAACTCCTGACCTCAGGTGATCCGCCTGCCTTGGCCTCCCAAAGTGCTGGGATGACAGGCGTGAGCCACCGTGCTTGGCCCAGTTTGGGGCTTCTCCATAAATGCCCCCATTGGGCATGCCTTTCTTGGCCTCCAGTCCCTTCAAGGGCTCTTTAGACACTCACCATGGTGCTGTTGTTATGTAACTGAGAAGACGCTTGGGATGCCCACAGATCTGGGACGTCAGAAGCCTTGGAGATCTCTTCCTTCACTGTTTAGATTTTCTTTGAGGTCCCAAGGCCTTTCTGTTTGGCTTGACAATAAAGAGCTGAGGGGCACACAAATAGCTGGTACTTGGGCTGTACCCCAAGTACAATATTCTCAAGAAGAAAATTGGTGGGTGACTAGGGACACTGGGGAATGTCCCATTTGGCCCCCTAGGCTGGGAGCATTCCTTAGCTGAACTTCTAATGCCCTAGAGGCATTAGTGCCCCTCCCAAATTTAAACTGTGGATAGACTTCCTACCCGGTGACAGGAGCAGATCCATGAATGGCTCCTGGAGGGCACTTAATAAATTATATCTTGGATGAATTCCTTTTTATGTAAGTCTGTGGTTTGAAAATTTTGCTCAGCACAGACTTAGGCTATCTTATGAGTAGCGTATCCACATAGTTTATTGCTCAAAGCAGAATATGTGAGGGAGTGAAAGGTGGTACTATTGGTAATTTAGTTAGGGAGACAAACTGGGAAGTGTGGGCCCCTTCACAGGGGTAGGCTGGGTGGGGAAGAGGGGCTGCCGGTCCACCGCCCGGTCTCTGTATTGCCGCCCTGGGGATCTGCTGCCAGTTCACTTGGCCTGCCACAGCCATGGGACAGATCATCTCCTCTGTATGTTCACTTCTAATAGGGCAGCTCTTCTTTTCCGTGTAAGAGTTACTTTCTCAGTAAGAGTTACTTGGGGGGTGAAAAAAGTTTATGTTGCTAAAAAAGCCTGAAATTACTGATTTAAGTAATTTTTTTCAGCTTAGGGGATTTATTCAATCATTCAGTCCACAAATATTTATTGAGTGTCTACTCTATGTGTGTGTCCTGTTCAGTCCTGTTGGTTCCAGAGGTGGCCTGTCACCAGGCATCTGGGGACATCATTAGGCTGCTTGGCAATCTGGCTGCTTCCCTGGAGTCCAGGCCTTTAACTCCAGCCCACAGTTGCCTGTTTTAGAGACTGATGCTTGTTTTCATCCTGACAGTGGAGTTAAAAAGGTTTCTCCTACTCCTCCTATTTTACTCCCCAAATTGGGAAAAAAAAAAAAAGCTTCAGGAACTCAGGGTATGTTACATGACCTGGATGCAGAGTGAATGGGCCTCCAGGGACAGAGCCCTTCCAGCAAGCTGTGCGTGCACTGCAAATGGAGCACACAGCACACAGGGTCTCTCTCAGCTGGTCATAAGCTCTGCTCAGGACTTTCCACTTTGGAACTTCTTGGTGCCAACACTTACCCAGTGATGAGAAGGGAGAAGTCAAGGGCGTCAAGAGAGACTTGTCACATCTTGGAAATAACATCATGTAACCTATTGAGTTTGAAGAATGCTTCCCTTTTCCAGAGTTTAGGTATGCAGCAAACTCAGCTCTCTGCAATAGGCGATAACCTGGAAGGAGGGGATGAGAGCAAACCTTCTGCAGCATAAAATCAATGGCGGGAAGTCTGTGTGTGAGAACGTGGCCTGGCAAACAGGAGGCACCAGCCACCACCAACCTAAGCCCTGCCCACCTGCAACTCCACTGACTTTTTCTCACCTCCTAAGCCAGGCCTGCTTCAGTACTAGGGGTGCCAGCTTAGTGTTCCCCATGCTAGGTTGGAATGTTTCCAAAAGCAACATTTAGGAAAGCACAAGGGTATGGAAAGGGTGAGTCCAGATTTCTCCTTTGAGCTTAGCTGGTCTTACCTAGAAACTGGCTTGGCCAATGCAACTGATGAGATTGCGTAGAGAAATAAGTTTCTACCTTTTGAAAAAGTCACTCATGTGGAGCATACCTTTGTCCTGAGAATGCCCCCAAAATTCGTGTGAAATGCCACTTTTATTTTTCTGTGGCTCTGCTCACCCCTCTTCCTCCCTTTCCCTGTTAGGTCTTGCTGTGTCTCTCTGCTGCAGAACCCAGTGGATGGGCTCACTACCTCTGTGAGTCCCCACATGAAATGTGCAGTGGAAGCTGCCAATTCCTCTGGGCCCTGCAAAAGCTGTCGTTCTGAAATGAGTCTCGTTGTAGGTGGAATCGTCCCAAGAAGCCAATGCTGAGGTGATGCGAGAGATGACCAAGAAGCTGTACAGCCAGTATGAGGAGAAGCTGCAGGAAGAACAGAGGAAGCACAGTGCTGAGAAGGAGGCTCTTTTGGTGTGTGTGTTGTAGCTGCCGATGTAAACTTACCGGGAATTGTTGGTTCATTATTGTTGGTGATGTATACGTAGTAGTGTTTATTCTTAGAGGTGGGTCAGTAGACTCAGCCATGGGTAAGGGATCAAGGAATTATTCATCTGCTCATTCACTCCCCTCCCCTCTTCCCCTCTGCCTTTATTCATCCCCGTCTCTACTCAGAATAGCCCCTTGTCTCTGTCTCTAAATACACACCTTTTTCTAGCTCATCTGACAATTTGCCAGCATCTAAGCAAACCCTGGGCTTGCCCGCAGCTGTGCCCTCCCTCCCTCCATTTGGTTCTCTCTACCTGAAATTTCCTCCTTCCCTATCTTTGATCTTGCCTAAGCTCCCTAAAAGCCTTAAATGCCACTCTCTCCATGCCTGGAGTCTCTTCCAGTCATGGAGCCAGAACCATTATCTGTCCTTAGGAAGCTCACTCACTCTCTCTCTGCTTTTACTTTGGAATTCTTTTATACCTGCCATTAGAGTGGGGCTGTGCGTCTCACATCTTGGCTTTTCCAGGAGATTATAAGTTCCTGAAGGCGGGGACTCCATGTCTGGCTCATCTGTGTCCGTAGAGGCTTAATACATGTTCTGATGATTGACTGGGTTTTCTTGTTAGTAATGAGCTGATGTATTGCATTATGGGAGAAGGATCTGGGAATTCTGCATTCAATTCCAGATCTGGTTCTAATTCCCTTACACTTCTGGCAAATACAGTGACATTCTGAGCATCTACTCAATGTTATTAAACATTTGTAGGCCTCTTTTACACCTTTTGGATATAAAGACTTAAGGGAAAAAAGGGAAAAAAATGTAGTGAGGCCCATTAACCAGCCACATGATGTATCTTTATTCATAGGTGAGAACCAGAACCGTGAGGTTGAGTTCATGATCTGTGAGACACTTTCAGGTTCCAAGGTCATGTTTTAAAGAGAAATCGTGATCTAGCAAGGCCTGAGCTGATTGGATCCCGGTGAGTAGCCTCGGTACTCCATGCCTGTACTTAGGAGGGTATATTTCTTTTGCAGGAAGAAACCAATAGTTTTCTGAAAGCGATTGAAGAAGCCAATAAAAAGATGCAAGCAGCAGAGATCAGCCTAGAGGAGAAAGACCAGAGGATCGGGGAGCTGGACAGGCTGATTGAGCGCATGGAAAAGGTAGGACACAGCGTTGGGCCTATTGCCCACTTGCCCAAACTTTTCCCTGTAGGTCCATCTGAGATACGAGAGGCCCTGGATATGGATTCCTCTCACCTCCAAAATTTGCAATTAAAAAAAAAAAGACAAAGCTATAAAATAAAGTATAAGGAAGTCCAACAACGTTCTCATTTTTCCCATGATAACTATTTTGATGCTTTTAAAAAATATTACTTGTGAAATTCTTTAGAAAAATTAATATTTTAGCAGCCTTGCTTTGCTGGTGCCCCAGGTGTGAACTTAGTTTATCCATTGAATTATCAAGCCCTATTTAGGTGTTACATCAACACAGCAGCCCTGTTGTTTCTGGGGCATGTGTCTCAAGGGTTGGCTTTTCCTTGACACGCTGGGGACTTGAGAGAGTAGGGAGGCCCCATTTCTCTAGGTGTTGTAAGCAGGCTGGTGAGTGTGGTGGGGGAACCTGAGGAAGGCGGGAGCTCAGCTGGGATAATGAAGCCTGTCTAGTGAAAGGGAAGAGGCCAGGAATTAAGTAGGAAGTGGAGGAAGGGGAGGAAGTGGTGGGAGAAAGGAAAGAGGAAAAGAAGGAAGAGAAGGAAGAGAAAGGATGGGTGACCTTTAGCAGGTGACGGCTGACTTCTGGACCCAGGAGTTCAGGGCCAAGTCTGTGGCTGGTTTCTGGGAATGGCTCCCTGGCTGCATATGAGTTTGCAGAGAGCAGTGACCTGCCAAGACCCTGACATTATTAGCACCCTGTGACTCATTCGGGATGCCAAGAATCTCCAATCTGATGATGGAGGCAGAGGTGGGGCAGCAAGAGCAAGGTCACTGTCAGGCTTCATGTGATGCTGAGAAGAGGTCGCCTTAGCTAATGGTGTTTGCAGCATAAGCCCCTGTACTGTCCCCTCATAAGGCGAGGTGTCGCCACTATGGGAACTGCATGAAATTCAGTTCTGTGGAGCTTCAGAGCTCACTGGGTGCTTCGTTTTAGCTCTTTAGCTTTTTACTTGGGAGAGACTTGGGCAAACTAAAGAGTCAATTACAATCTCCCTTCTACCCCCTGGGAAAACAGAATCCCATCTTTTATTGAAGAGTAGGTGATTGGCTTAGTCAGGACTAACATTAGTATTGACCAGAGGGGGTGGTGGTGAAGATTGGGCAACAAGGGAGCTTTCTAGAGCTTGAGTGAGCTTCCTCCCACATTATTGTCCTCCTACAACAGCAGAAGATCCCAGTTAACTCAGATGCTCTCTCTCTGGGCAGCAGGTTTTTCTGCAGCGTAAAGAAGCAAGGTGAGCCGGCAGCATAGCAGGGTGGTCTGGGGGAGATGCCGTCATACAGAGAAACCACAGGTAGTGGTCATGAACATAGGCTTTAGAATCAGACAGTCTGGGGATTTGAATCTTGTGTCTCTTTGTAGTTGTTTGCACTTACTTGGTTTTTCCTAACTCAGTCTCCACTTCTGTAAAATGCTGATAATGGTACTTCTTATTCTTAGGGCTTTTGTGAGCAATAAATGAGAAAAATCCACGCCAAGTGCTAAGCATGGTTCCTCGTATATAGTAAGGGTTCGATCATTTGTGGCTATGATTTTTACTCTGTTACGAGGTTGCCTAAATGTCTACCCTCAGAGTCAGGTTGTCTTTAGCACGACCCATTTTATGCTTATCTTCATTGCTGTCTTGAGGTTCTGAAAGTTTCTTGTCTTTCCCCACTGATTTTCACATGGAGCCCTCATGTGGGATGAATGGGTAGAGCCAGGAAGCTGGTAAGGCCAGCCCTCCCTGCCAGCATTTAGGAAACACAAAACCTTCCCCAAGTGGTGTTGGCTTCTTCTTTAGTGATTGGAAATGTATTGTCCTTTCTCTAAATCTTCCTTTCCATTTAGGCTAGAGAAATGCTCTATTTATTGAACTAACATTAGGTAGGCCAATTTACACTGTTTCCTTTTCAGGGATAAATCTGTGAGAGCAGGAATCTGGCCAAATCGCTGTCTCACACTACGTGAACGGCATGTCCTAGGCAGGGCTGTGGCAGTGTACGTATCCTGCTCTCAGTTTTGGATTTTGCTCAAGGACAAACCATGTGCTTTTGAATGGCTTCTCTGCCATATGCCTTAGTTTACTGTTTCTCTTGCTGAGCACTGTATTTCAAACACCTTTTTTTCTGATCAGTAAAAATCTTTTAAGGAGTGTTCTCTACCAGGGACCCTTCTGGGGAACAGATAATAGTCTATGCCATAATCTGGGCAGTGGTTTCACAGGTGTTTACAAATGTAAGAAATAATTGTGCAGTGTACACTTAAGATTTATTGTACCTCAATTTAAAACAAATTTTAAAAGTGTGCTGTAAGTTAGACCTTGCTCTACTTTATGACAGCCTTTTTCTTTCTTGTTTTTTGTTTTTTTTTTCTTTTTGGAGGGAGGCATTCACTTGTGAAAGCTTTTATCACTGTTATTTCGGGGCTAATGTAAAACTTCCAACCACATAGGGGCAGGAGGAATGTTCTGCTCAGGCCAGGCCATAAGAATGTGCATTTGCTGTAGAGATTTAAAAACAGTAACAAAACCCCAGTCAAAGTTGATCTACCTTTGTTATTTTAAATATTTCAGAGATAATATATTCTTCCTGCTTAAGGTGGACTGCTTCCCCACCCCTTTGGCCTACCTCTTGGTATACCACTGCTTATAGCTTCAGAAGTTGTGGCAGTTAAATTTTCAAAGATTTGCTTTTAATAATTTGGTAGAAAAGAGGTTTGGAATCTATGTAGCTAGTAAGAGTTTGCTGGGTGGAATTTCCGAACATAAAGATGAGGAACATTAGTTCTTAGAGAAGGACCTAAAGTAAAATAATCTCCCAATTAGTGAGCGTTATTTGATAAACTTGCATTTTAAGGAAATTTGTTACACTAACATCTGTAATGTATTTTTAGCACAATTTCGGTTATGACAGGCACCATGTTTTTATGAACATTTTTCAGCTTTGTCCAAAGAAATGATTCCAGACTCTTTTTTGGGCAAACTTCTAAATATACATATATATAGCAAAGTGTACAAAGTGCACGGCTTAGTGCGCGTATGTTTCCTATTGCTACCATAGCAAATTTCCACAAGGTTAGTGGCTTAAAACAACACAAATGTATTATGTTCCATTCCTAGAGGTCAGAAGTGCTAAAATCCAGGTGTTGGCAGAGCTGGATTCCTTTTGGAAGCTCTAGAAGGGAATGCATTTCCCTGCCTTCTCTAACTTCTGGAGGCCACCTGTACTCCTCAACTTGTGGCCCCCTCCTGCAGCTTCAGAGGCAGTAGCAGAGCATCTTCCAGGCTCCTTCTCTCTGATTCTAACCCTGCTGCCTCCTCCTCCTTAGAAGGGCCCAACTGGATAACCCAGGATCTCCCCATTTTAAGATCTTTAACTTAATCACATCTGCAGAATTCCTTTCTCCATGTAAGATAACACATAGGATTCAGGAATCAGGACATGGACATCTTTGGAGGGCCATGAATCTGACCACAACATATTTTTACAAGTGAATACACCTGTGTAAACACCACAAGTTAGAATATAGGATATTGCCAGAATCCCAGAGCCTCTTTTCTTGATGATTCAGAAAATAATAAAGAATTTTGCAGTATCACAAGCCACCAGTTTAAAGTATTGATAATCAGTATTTGGGGCTATAAATTTTCACTGATCCTGGGCTGATGGAATACTTTGGAAAATGAATCTTGAATGGTTTTATTTAGGATGTTTTGTCTCTGACCCATAAATATATCTATAAATACACAACAACAGACTTGGCAGTTTTGAGCCTTGTTTGGGCTTTGCTGAGCAGGTGTGTAAAACCCAGGGGGTGTCATATAGACTTGGACTCCCTAGTGCTAGAATTGCTAAATAGACATTCTCTGTCAAACTTGGGATCCATTGATTAAAATATCAGTTTCTGTTTGTTTTAGGAACGTCATCAACTGCAACTTCAACTCCTAGAACATGAAACAGAAATGTCTGGGGAGTTAACTGATTCTGACAAGGAAAGGTAAGACGTAATGCCTTTCGTCTTGTAATGGATTTAGGTTGTGGACACGCTGTGTTTTTATGACCTCATTTGACCCTTACATTTTCATTTGTGTGGTTGTACCTTATTACAGACTTAAGCATACATAACATTGGGCTGAGAGTTTCCAATATGGAACAAGTTTCTTTGGAAGCCTCCAGCCACATCCTGCAGATCATGGCTGGTTGTTAGTGTAGTGGAACACATCAAATACTTTCACAAGTGCAAAAGTTTGGTCTATTAATGTTCTCCATGGCCTTGAACTCCACAGGATACACCTTGTTGATGAGAAAACTCATCAGCTGTGACTAATACCACTTGCTTTGGAAACCAATTTAAAACATCTTTCTTTGTTTCCAAACTTTGCTTAGTAAAACCTTGCATTATCCTCTGGCAGTGAGTATATAAAGCCCTACATGAAAAACACGGAATAGTACGCTGTCTGTTCTAGAAATCAAAATGCAGAGAGGCCATTCAGGGGTCTCTAGTGAAGGAAAACAAGGTTGAGATGATTTGAGTGTTTTGGGCAAGTGACTTAACCTCCCTGAGTCTTGCTTGTGCCACATGGAAATTCATCTTTAAACGGGGGAGACGGGTATGACGGTGATAACAGTGCCCATCTCACTAGGTTACTGTTGTTAAGAGAACTATTGGGCTTGCTGCCTGCCAAATAGTACGTGCTGAAAAAATACCCATTTTTCCTTCCTCATTTGCAATTTCAGAGTTTTCAAAGTTACAGGAGGCTTGCTAGTCATTAACATAGTGCTGAGGCAGAGATGGGGCACGGGAACTAGACCACCAGACCTTTCCTCCAGTGCCCAGCCCCAGCGGCCCCAGAGAACTGAAGAGTCCAAGCAATGTTGGAGAATAAATTGTGCTGTTGTAAAACAAAAGTATGAAATGTTTTGTGATGTGGCTTGCTCTGTTTGGATGTAGAGAAGGTCTTTCAACTTGTCCCACATTTGCCAAAAATAAAGGATATGTAGAGCAACTGTGATTCCAGACCTTTTGGTATTCTGCCGTTGATTTCAGATATTTTATTGTGTTGCTGGACCCCTTCTTCCCCGTCCTCCCCTCCAAGTAATTTACTGGATGTTCCAATATGTTAATAACCCCAAAACAGAGAGCTTCTCAGATCTGTAAATGGTGCAAAAAAATTATCTCTCAGCCCCTGGAAAATAATCATCCTTATATGGGATAAAACTTGCAAATGGGAACTTGAAAAATAGTCCTGTGCTCCTCTGTTGTGGTAGTTTGTTAGTAATCACACTACTTTGTGTGGTCATCACATAAAGTAAGAAGAATGGATCTTAGAGTTTGATTTCTTGTTCTTGGAAGCATTTTTAAATGTTTTTAAATTTACGTTTATTTTTTTACCAAACCTTCCCCAAAAGATACATGTTTTCTATTTTTATTTATTTATTTTTTTTTTTTGTGGAGATGAGGGTCTCAGCATATTGCCCAGGCTGGTCTCAAACTCCTGGCCTCAAGCAGTCCTCCTGCCTTGGCCTCTTGAAGTGTTGGGATTACAGGCATGAGCCGCCATGCTTGGCGCTCTTGGCAATATTCTTTAAAGCTGTGACTGTTGCTACTGCTGTTGCTGCTTTGGTTTAGGACTCATTTGCTTTTTTCTCCTATTTGTGTTAGGTATCAGCAGTTGGAGGAGGCATCAGCCAGCCTCCGTGAGCGGATCAGACACCTAGATGACATGGTGCATTGCCAGCAGAAGAAAGTCAAGCAGATGGTCGAGGAGGTAAGCATCTGCAAAAGGTCACAGGCCTGGGATTGCTTCCTGTGGTGGGGAAGCATCCCCAGAACAAGTCTGCCTTGCCCCTCCATTTCCTGTGGCTCACAAGCCGAGGTGCTCAGGCCACTGCCATCTAGGCCCAGAGTGGGATTTCCCCACATGTCCCCCATGGACTGATGACGATGATGCCCCTAAAAGAGGGGTTTCCTCAGGTCAAAGGGTTACAGTTAAGAAAGCTGGAAAGTGCAGTTCATAAGCTCACCCACTGTGAAAGGACAGTGATAGCCTGAGTGGGTACCCACAGCTCAGGGGACCCAAGGGGGTGATGGGCAGGGTGAATTTAGCCCAGGTCCCTGCACTGCCTCCACAGCCGTCTGTCTGTCTCTCTCTCTCTCTCTCAGCTACCATTCTTGTCCTTTATCGTTTTCTGGGTGTGTCTTTCATTCCCTTTCCTTGTCTGTTTCTCTCTTTTTTCTCCCTCCTTCCTCGTTCTCTTCTCCCACTCCTGCTTCTTCTTCCTTTTCCTTTGCCACCATCCTTTCTCTCCTAACTGTCTCTGTAACAGGAAACCAAGCTATACATTTACTGTTTGGGCATAGTTTACTATTCTCTTTTTTCTAAATGAGAAAACGGGTAAGTTGAACATTTCTATTTCTCTAAGAGGAACAAAATTTGTTTTAACTTGTGTCAATATAATCCGCCTCTCTTGTGGTGATGTTCCAAAGAAGAAAGTCCGTGCTCTGTAAAGCTAATCACATATTATTGTAGTTTTCTTCTTGCTCAATTAAAAAATCCGATTGAAAAATCTGATAGAAAAAGAGCAGTTAGTACTAACAGGGTTATAAGAATTCCCTTGAGTCTAATTCTCTAACCTGCAAAGAAAAAAAAAGGTTTCAATTTAATCAAACATTTGGTTGGCAGTGGAAAAATGAAAACACATTTTCCTTATATTAAGTACTACTTTAAAAAGTTATGTTTTATTAATGAATTATTAAAATTAAAAGCATATCTACTTCTAAGAAATAATTCATGTACATGACAGACAAATGGAAGATTAAAATATATCTATTTTATTAATCTCTAAGATATTGGGGATATTAATGTTGGGGAGTTAAGGTCAGAGAATTGTGAGTATGGGAAGGGACATCTTTTTTTATTGTGTGTAGGATAAACATACACATTAGATAAAAGTTTGTCCGCAAATGAGAAGTGCAGTTATACTGTGTTGAATCATGTACATCTTATATTGGTTCACACACAAGTTTCTGGGGAGCAGTGGAATAGCAGAGGAGGCCACGCACGCATCTTTGCAATCGTTTTGTGCATCCAGGCAGGAGCACTGCCCATAACAGTAATGCGGAGGGAGATCCTGCCCTATCGTCAACACTAGGTAGATGTCAGGAGTGTATTTTCCAAGGAAAAGCATCACTTTGCCACAGTTAGCATCTCAGTGAGCCTTGGCCGTCGGGGCATAGTTTTTCTGCTTTTGAATTTCACACGCACGAAGTCTGGGGCAAGGGCATCCCTTATTTTCCCCTATGCGAGTCTCTAACTGTGAGCACTACATTTCTCCCACCTCACCACAGGGGGGTGTCTGTGTCATTCTTGTATCTAATCGTTAGAGAACTATTGAACAAAACCTCATACTGGTTGGCTTCTGATTCACTTAAACCCTTACCTGTAAGAGGTTAAGGCTGTACCAGAATCAGAGACATTGTTTTTTTAAAAGACATTTTCAAAGAAGTTTAGAATTCTCTGTTTCCTAACTTACTTCCAGAATATAACAAACCTACCAATTTGAAGAGAGTGAAGGAGTACACATACGTACACACATATACATATGTGCATATGTATATGTGTATTTATACATGTGTATACATATGTATATGTGTGTGTGTAGGGATGCATATAAAGATCACTGTCCATGCTTTGCTTTTTTCTACCTGTGATTTCATATCTTCCAGATAAGCTTCTCTAAGCTTTGATGTGGTCTGTGGTCTGGAAGGCCCAGTCGTTGGAAAGAAATCACCAGCTAAAATTTAGGATGCCATCAGAGTTAGCACCCCCTAGGGGCTGGCTGGGTTTCCACAGTGAATGTAGACCACCACCACCACCAGCAACAAAAAGAGAGAGAGACACTTTTTATTCCTAATAATTTTTACTGCCTGATTTAGAAAGTTTGTGTTTGCCCAGCATACTACATTAACTTACATAAGAAAAAAAGGATAGCCTAGAATCTCATTTGCTATAGCCATTTATGTGAATATTTTTTTTAAAAGTTAGAAACATGGTCAAGGGGCATGGACAGGTGAGCACCTTCAGAAGAGCAAGACCAGGTTGGAAAGGAGTTGAGAACCTGAGTAATTCAGGGAACTGGGGAAGACATGCCCAAGGAGAGATGGGAGCTGAATTCACATCTTAGAAAACATGAGGGAATATGTCTTTGTTTTGTATTGTGAAGCAAGGCCAGGCCAGAACCACTGGGTGACACTTTCAAAGAGGCAAATTGCAGCTCTTCATTCACAACAAAGAAAACATTTCTAATACTGGCTGCACTGGTAAGGCATTTAGCTCTTCATCATGGTTACGTTCTTTACAAAGTAAGAAGTTGATTTAGAAGTTCTCTAGTGTTCCTCCACAAATTCTGTGTTCTGTAACCTTAAAGACTGTGTGGAGGAAGTCTGGTAACTTCAGTTAAGTGTTCATCATATAAAGAATTCTCTATTGTTTACTATGCTGTGCCTGTTTTTGTGAGCTCAGCCTTATCATTATGTTGCATAATGAGCAAAATCAGCAAAGTCGTAACTAAATCACTTCAGATCACTTGGAGCAAATTTTGAAAAATCCGGAGTACTGAATTGGTCACTTGTGAAATGAATCTTGAACTCTGACTCTAGAAGAGAAGTATGTTTTCATCTGTGAACTCCGGCTCCCCAGGCATATAGGCAGCCTTTAAGTGTAGCGGATGTTAAGGACCCTTTTTCTTCCCTCACATGGGTCTGGAAGCTCGTCTTCATCATAGCCTCACTTTCACCATGGATGGAAGTCTCGTCTCCATCCATTGTTGGTATCATTTTGGCCATAATGTCCATGAGGAAACTTAGTTTTTTTAAATGATGGGCTTCTTTTGTTTAGCTCAAAATGTCCAGGTGTCACTACTGCGATCCTTGGGAATCCTTAAATGTTAAGCAACATGTTTCTTCTCACCTTAGTGGAGTATCATTTTATCATAGTAATAATAAATAATAAAAAGTAACTGGCCCAGGTTTTGTCATCCTTAGCTCATTAATGACTTGATTTCCATGGTGGGAGACAGTAGGACTTGTACTATGTAGGAAGGGCTCATGGTGGGGGTGAGCCCTTTTGAAATGAAGGATTAGTATATATCTTACGGTGTCAAGGTCATTGAGAAAAGATAATGCAAAACGTTTTCTGTGAAATGTGGAACCAAGTCCCTCTCACTAGGCTAGGGCTTTCTACTGAATTAAGTCTCCTGTCATGGATGTCAGGGGGTTGGGTATCTCCCCCATCACTAGTTCTTCCAGCTGATTCTGGCTTTGATAAAAATGAGAGAACAAAGCCAAAAAAGCCCCACGTGTGCCTCTTATAGCCGGAAAATATAGAAAAATGCCGAGGGATTGGAAAGAAAAAGCCCTCAAGGGGAAATTAATTCATTCATCCATTCAGCAGATACCCACCAGCACCCGCTCCGTGCTGGGGCTGGGTACACAGTGGGGAGTCAAGCAGACATGGGCCGTGCTGGCACGGATCTTACCCACTGGTGTCACCCGAGTTCCAGGGTAGTCTTGCCTTTGGGTTTTATTATCCTGTTGAAAAGCTTTGTTGGGATTGGTCTTTGGTCCTGAATCAAGCTGCATTCTTTAGATTGCCAGGAAAGGCACTGGGAGAGCTGGGAGGAGTGTAAAAAGTAAGAGAGCATCCTGAGGCCCCCACAGTGCCCCTCTGCTCACACATCTTTGAGTGTGACTTCTTCAGTCCACAGAGTCATTCACACCCTCTTTACCTGCTCTCACCATGGCTCTCCTGCTGCCAACCAAAGCAGCTCTCCTGCCAAGGGGAAAGTGATCTTAAGGAAAAAATCAACTATTTGCCTTCCAAGAGGGTGGGTTTACATTTTTGCCAATGGGCAGGGATATTGTTTAGCTGAATAAACAGTAATTTCTTAAGAGGTTTTTTTTTTGTTTTTTTTTTTTTTAAGCTATATCCCAGTGCAGCCATTAGGCATCCTTTCATTTTGTCATGTCTTTCTTTTGATTTCCCTTTGCCATTTGTGATATAGGAAATGTTTCTTCCAACAGGGTCTGAAGGGAGTTTCTTTTCATTTGCAGAGGAGGCATTTTCTTTAGACTTCTTTTGCTGAAAGCAATTACACTCTACCCCACTTTGCTATAATTGAGATGTTTAATAAGTGCAAAGGTGCAAGGAATTGATTTTCTCATTAGTGCTTCTCCACCCAAGCTACACATTGGAATCACCTGGGGAGCTTTAAGACATGCCTGAACCTGGCAGATGGGATGGAGGCAGACTGAGCATTGGGTTTTGTTTCGTTTTAAAAACTCTGCAAGTGATTCTAATATACAGCCAGGATTGAGAATCGCTGTCCCGGATTCTCAGAGCGGTGGCCTGACTCTCCTTGCTGGGTTTCATGTTCATGCATTTGGCCAGCATCCCTCAGAAGCTCCTATGCCTGAGGTGGGAAGCTGCTGGTGAACTCAATAGGAAGGGCTCAACAGAAAGCAAGCCAGGGAGACAGTCACCAGGGACCAGGAGCACAGAAGTGAGAAAGCTGGTCCAAGTCTGTGACTCTCTGGGCACTGTCAGGGGACCTTCACTTCTTGCCAGCCCCTGGTCCTGGGAGGATTCTGTGACAGCTCACTCTTTTTTTATTTTTTATTTTGTTTTAGAGACAAAGTCTTGCCCTGTTGCTCAGGCTGGAGTGCAGTGGTGCAATCATACCTTCCTGCAGCCTCCAACTCCTGGGCTCAAGTGATCCTCCCCACTCAACCTCCCAAGTAGATCGACTATAGGCACGTGCACCCATGCCCAGCTAATTTTTGTATTACTGTTATTATTATTATTATTTTTTATAGAGACAGGGTTTCACTATGTTGTTCAGCTGGTCTTCCAACTCCTGGCCTCTAGCAATCTTCCCATCTTGGCCTCTCAGAGTGTTGGGATTACAGGCGTGAGCCACTACACCTGGCCTGACAGCCTAATCTTAATAGCTGTACTGGCCTGGTGGTATCCAGATAATACAAACTTCCCAAAGGCTATTTAGACCCATCTAGAGAGATGTTACTAAGGTGGGAAGAGGTACGCTTGTTAAATAGATAATAGAAACTTAAAGGGACAGAATCCAATCCACCTAAGTCCTTGAAAGCTGGACTACCACTAAGAGAGACTAAGGGTGATTCTCATGGATCCTCTTCCAACTGTGCATGTATGCACGTGTCTGCCTCGCCCTGCTTTAAATTATTCACTTCTGTCTGTACAGAAGACGTTACACTTGGCCACATGGTACCCCTTTAGAAAGAGAAGGCAAAAACATCTTGGTTAAATAATTATATTAGCAATGACCACTTCTCAAATTCAAGGCAAAGCAGAATATTATTTGTGATTCCTAAGGAATGATTTTGAAAGTATTTAACGGTCATCTCTTAGATTTTTTTTAAAGAGTGATGCTGTAGTCATAATGCAGCAGTTCCTTGGGGGAAACAAACTGGATCAGGGAGAATAACAGATGAGTAAGAACTCTTCAGAGAGTTGAGACTTTGAGTATCTGGCTCTCTAGCCAGTTGGCCAAACAAGGCTTTACATTACTAGTCCCTAAATCCACATGCATCTGCAGTTAGAGACCTTTATGTGTCTACAACAAAAGATGGCCTAGAAAAATAGCAACAAGTATGGACTTTAGCATCAGACAAACCTGCCTTTGAAAAGTTATTAGTTTCCTTGTCTATAAAATAGGGTTAATAATAGTATCTACCCAATTTTTTGTAAGAGTTAAATGAGATGACATGTATAAAATGCACAGCATGTTAATTGGATCATAAGAAATAATAAATATTAGTGGCTGTTATTATTACCACCTGTAAATGGGTTCGGCTGTGTATACCTAAAGTTAAGTGAACTAAAAGCAAAAGTAGCTATTGTTGATTTCCTGAGCAATGCACGGGGCTGCCCTTTATCTTTCCCTTTGGGAGTCTTGTTGGCCACATTCAATCTTTGGGTATACTTCTCTCTTCTCTTTTGTGCTCTGTGCTGTTTTCTAGCTTAGCCATCAATCTCTTCACAAGAATATTTATACAAAAAGCGATTTTTAAGATTTAAATTTGCTTCATCGCAAGTATCTGCCATTTTTACATGGTTCAGTCATTTGCTGGCACACAATTTAATTCAAAACTGTTGTGTGGTGTGCTGAAATGTGCAACACACGAAAGTACATTTTACTAAATGCCCTGTGTTTAGAGGATTTCAAGTACTTCTCATAATTGGTAATTAGCCAAATGGGGGTAGGGGAAAGGAGCCATAGCACCAAGCCCACAAACCTAATCCACTCAATTGAACTGTCTCCAGATCATGTCGCACGAGCTCTTCTCCAGATTTAGTCTCCGGCTCTTTGGAAGATGATAAGTTGGTAGCCTGCTCTGGGTTGGAAGCGATTCCTTTATTGTTCGTGATTAGAAGAACACTTGTACACTCTCTGCTGGGAAGAGGTGGTATTTATCTATGATGAGCCAATGAACAAAACAGGAAGGACATATTATTTAAAGGAAAATTTGACCATGTGGGGCTCTTGTTTGTGAAAACACCCACATACTGTCACCCTGACTTGTACAGCCTCAAACTGCAGAGTCAAGAGAACTCACAGATCCACAGAGTATTTTTAGGAACTTGAGTAGACATTGAAGAAGGAACTGCAATGAAAAAGGCTACTGAAAAACCATTCAGAAAGATCCAGGTGGAGGCTTGGAAGATGAATCCTTACTTATGGAAAAGCTGCCAAAGACATCTGCTAAGGAGATGGGAAGAGAGCTTGAAGAATGTTAGTGCTCTGGGAAGGAGGTGCTCCCACCAGATCACCCCCAAGAAAGTACAGGAGCAGCCAGGTATCCATGTGGTTTGGTTCTATTTGTATATGGGAGGTGGCCCTGAAGGTGTCCTTCCTGAATGGATATCAATACTCATCTTAGGACTCTTCTAAGAGGAGTTTAGCTTGCTTCTATCACCATCAGCATTTTGCCTGAATTGGTTCAACCAACTTCACGAAAAGGAGTGTATCTGATAAAGAGAAATCTATCTGGCTGAAATATGTTGAACTGAAACATCCTTCATGTATGTTTTATTTTTATAGAGGTCTTTCTTGAGATTGCTGCAGGCATTGGTGTTTTATCAGAACATGGCAGTTTTGCTGAGAACTAGCAGTAGTAGCTGCAGTCATAGCAATGGGTGGCATGAGTCTACATAAGCTGGGAGATGGGGCTCGTGGAGTGAGTGCGTTCAGAGGCCCAGTGTCCCTCAGACGTTGGCTAGTTCTCCACTCCTATCACTCCTTCATGGCAAAGCAGGCATGAAGCTGCTTTCTTGCTAATATTTGCCTTTGCTTTCATTTAGATGCTTCTACCCAGCTTAAGCAAGGAGGGAGGGGATGGGAAAGAAGCAGATGAATACTTTTCCGCATTAGTTATTAACCATTAATATTGTTCACCTGTGCACGGTGCTGTGTTTAGACACAGATCCCCAGATACGATGCTGGGTATTCAGACTTCCACTAGGGAGACAGAGGCAGATTTGAGAATCTCATCTGGATGTTAGCTTAGTGTTGTTACCTACACTGTTTTTTAGGGACGCCTTTATTGCTGTAATGTTTTTCTAAGTCTCTGGTGGAAAAGTCACTGGCATTTGTTCTAGCAGCATTGATTCATTGCCAAGTTTTAAAAAAGGAAATAATTAAGAGAATGCAATGACCTTTAGAGAAAACAGGTCACCCATGTAAGTCCTGCTTTCAGGGTGGTGTGCTTTCTTCTGCTTTTAGAGTTTCTTTTCTCTTTTGGGCTATGAACCGTACCTGGAGGCCAGGCAGGCCTTATTCTGGAGCAGATAGTGAGTGAGGTTCCTAGAGTACTGCATAGCCTGAGAGTGCCTCCTAAGTGGATGCCCTCCACACCTCCTGCACTTGGCCCTGGCCCTGGGTCCTAGGCTCATTGTTGATCTTCTTAGATCTGGGTTCCTTGCATTGCAGGACCTACCTCAGCCTGCTCTTGTCTGCCTTTGCTGATGCCCCTCAATTCACCTCTTTCCTGCCTGTACTGTGATATGGTGTGAACTTGACTTATACTGCTTGTGAAACCTGAGTCATGTGCTGAAATCCTGCCCCGCCACCGCTTTCCTCCCTTAACTGGATCCTTAGCCTTGGACTCCAAGGCTACAGCTCTGTCTCGTGGCCACTCAAGCCCCACCCAAAGGAGGTGCTACTCAAAAGTTTGAGGCAGGAGTGATTTATTGTGAATGACAATGTTATAGTTTCTAATTCTAGTGTTTAGCATGGTATTATTCCTTATTTATTTTAAAATCTTAGACAATTTATCTAAAATGTCAATTTTTAGAAGGTATCAGCACAATTGTGGCAGCCTTTTTTCTGTATGTGTTATATGTATTATTTAAAAAAGCAGGTTCATTCTATGACAGGTATTGGTTTCGGTATTCACAATATAAATTGTCTTTTCAAGGGAAAGGATATTTTCTTTGGAAATGTCATTGAATCTATGTTCTCTTTATTGAAATTGTTCTAATTGACTTTGAACTGTTTCTCAGACACCTGGTGCCCAGTTTCTGGCCATAGAAACTATGTGAGGCTGAGTAATTCATGTTTTGGGTCACTACCAGTCACGAATGCTTCTCTCATTCCAAGGCTATGCATATGGATGTCACATTCCCATGTCAATCATCTCTGGAAGGTATTATTCGCCCAGTTTTTTAAGCATGGGAAACTGAGGCTTAGAGTCTTAAAAAATAAGTAGCTGGCAGTCTCTCAGCAAATAATGATGGTGCTGCACTACAGACCCAGATCTGTGACTCCAAAGTCAGCCTTTGTTCTTTTCTTCTTGTTACTTTTAATTGGAAAAAAATTTAAATTGCAAAAAGTTGTAGAGTGATAAAAACAAAAATCCACGAATGCTCTTCTAGGATTAACAAATGTTGCCATTTTGGCACACTTGTTTCTGTTTTTTTTTTTTTTTTTAAAGAAAAGAACACATCACAGATAAAGAAGAGGTTCTCTTTTTACCTGTCCCTGATTCTGTTCCTTTTCCTTCTTTCACCCTCTCTTCTTCTCAGAGGCAGTTTGGTCTCTAGGCCATGCCTTGATGATTTTACTGTGTATATATATATATAAAATTAGTATGTGGCTTAGTTTGTGTTTTAAATTTTACGTAAATTTTAATTTATAATATTAAAAATAAATTGTATTGTACATATTTTGCAACTTATTTCTCAGTTTTGTTTCTGCTGTTATTCCACATAGATCTGGATTATTCATTTCAATGGCTAATATCCTTTTATTTGAATATATTGTAACTTATTTATCCTATTGATAGACATTTTTATTCTTTTACAAACAATACCAACATGTCTCCAGGCTTCTCTAACTAGGAAGTATACGTAAAGGAGGAATTGCTAGGGCATGGGATTGGCATAATTTCACCTTTTCTAGATATTGCCCAATCGCTGCCCACAGTGCACATACCTTTCCACCAGTCACATGTGAGAGGGCAGATTTTCCAAATGCTCATCACCACTTGGCACTGTGTGGACTATAATTTTGGCCAGTTAGGAAATGGCATCTCATTGTTTTCATCTTAATTTGCGTCAGCCTGATTACTCATTGAAACTTGTGAGGTTGAGAAACTTTTCTTAAGCTTATTGGCCATTCAAGTTTCCTCCTTTATGAAATGGTTGTTCATGTCATTTGCTCATTTTTATATTAGATTGTTTTTCTTTTTTCCAGCTGACTTGTAGGAACTCTACATCTTATCAATATTAATCATTTATCGAAAACTATTTGGGTGCCATTATCTTCTCCTAGTCAATGTTTTTTGTTTGTGATATCTTTTATAATATATAAGTTTTTAATGTTGGCAGAAGTAAAGTTAATCTTTTTGGCTGTGTTGTGTGTCTTGTTTGATGTAAAGATAGTTTCTGTAATAGTTTTGCAGTTTGATTGTTCATCTTTAGGTCTTCAATTACAACCTGCACATCCATCCCCTCTATCCTCTTTCTTACTCTGTTTTTCTCCATAGCACTTATCATCCAATAATATGTCATGCACTTTATTTATCTGTTTTGCATATATATTTTGTCTGTTACCTGTTTCCTTCCACTAGAATGTAAGTCCCATGAGGGCAGGGACTTGCATCTATTTTGTTTGTGGTTGTATCTCTAACACCTGGGATAGTCACTGGCAAATGATAGTTGCTCAATAAATATTTGTTGGACAAATAATGATCCATGTAGAATTTATTTTTGTGTATCATATGAATAGGACTCCTTTTATTTTTGGCTCACGGAAAGCTTGTTTCTCTAATAGCATTGCCGTACTGATTTTTTTCACGTCGCTTTCGTCAAGCTGGAGTTGTTTCCCCTGTGCCATTGTCTTTGAACAATCCTGTTTTCCTGCCCCTCTGCTGAAGACTGAAGGAAACTCATTCCTTGGGCTTAAGAGTGGGAATAAGGATGAGGAGGAGCCAGGTACAATTTATGGGGAGCTTATGGGACAGTTGGTACACGTTTAAGAAGAGCCTCTTATGAGCATGAGTGCAAAAATGGACATGAGTTCCTGCTCTCAGAGGACCTTCTGGCTGACATTTAAACTCATTTGAACTTGAGGCAGAATGTCATAGGTGCTGGAAACACAGAAGCTGGGAAACTTAGTGGTTAAGTTCATAGGCTTTGAGTAAATTCAGTCTGCTTTTGCATCCTGCCTCTGCTACTGACTAGGCTTTGTATCTTGAGCAAATTATCCAAGATTCAGTTTCCTTATCAATAATATGGGAATGGTCATAACATTACCTCCTCAAGTGGTAGTTATGAGGATTGACTGATGTGATGTGTGCTAAATGCTTAGCATAGTTCCTGCCAGGACAAACTAATTCTGATGTGGGTGGAGAGTCTTTAGGGAGGAGGTAGTGTTTGACCAGGCCTTGTAGGATGGGTTGGATTTTTCTAGGCAGGGATTGAATGGGTGGACATGTCAGACAAGATATAGAATAAATAAAAGCAAAAACATGCAGACCAGAAAGTATAGGGTGAGTTCACAGAGCATTCATCTAGTTTGGATGGTACGAGGGAGTGAGAAATGAAGAGGCTAGAAATATAGGTTGACACCAATTGTGATGGTTTATTAGCACCAAGCCAAGAAGGATGTCCTTCATCACTCTGCTCATAATTCCTCAATGGCTCCCCATTGCCTGATCAGATATGAGCTCCAGAGTGGTGGCTCTGGCCAGTGGGTGCTGGGTGAATAGGAGGGGAGAGGAGCACGGAGGACAGCAAGAAGGCTCCAAGGAGAGCCCTGGCTAGTGCTAGAGAGTGTTTACTTTCCATGCACTTGAACTTTAGGAAGCGCTTCCAAAATGCAATTTTTTAGCATCAGCTTTGTGCCAGATGTGGAGCTAGGGGCTTCCATATATATGTATTACATGAATTTGAAGCAGTTCACTCCCTTGGACACTCCTGTTCAGGATTTGGTGTTTTGTCTCTGAAACTGAATTCATCGAGAAAAGCACAGGGGTAAATAAGCTTCATCCCCATCTCCATTCCATCTGCCTCCTCTTGAATCATAGAGGGAAAAAAAGGACAGCCTAAAGAATTAGGGCCCCAGCAGATCCTTTGTGACAGAAGATATCACATGTCAACCTTCCTCCCAGCCCTGCCAACTCTCCAGGCCAGCTTTGCAGCCATAGGTTGTCATCACTGGGAGGATGGAAGCAAGCAAACCTCTGAACAGGGTGTGGTGTGAATAGGACAGCCTGGGCCTTGCCCTCACAGATGCTTACTTGGGTCGTAATATCAGCCCTATCAGCATCCAGATGATTGTGAAGGGAGTGAATGAATGATGAAAGTCTTGGCACCTCAGTTTCATGGTCTGGTGGGGATAACCACATAGGGTTGTTTCTGAGAATCGTGAGCTAAGCCAGCAAAGTTCCTGGTAGCTTGCATGCTCCTCCTTTCTTCCTTCTCAGAGAATGTGCTCAGATTGGGAAGCAGTTTAACCGTCCTTCCCTGACATTTGTACAGCCAAGTCATGTTTAGGTACC